>NC_000023.11:60550208-61173171 GCF_000001405.40 Homo sapiens
AGCAAACTCAGAACATTCTTTGTGATGTTTGTATTCAACTCACAGAGTTGAACCTTCCTTTGATAGTTCAGGTTTGCAACACCCTTGTAGTAGAATCTGCAAGTGTATATTTTGACCACTTTGTAGCCTTCGTTTGAAACGTCTATATCTTCACATCAAACCTAGACAGAAGCATTCTCAGAAAGTTTTCTGCGATGACTGCATTCAACTCACAGAGTTGAACAATCCTTCTGATGGAGCAGTTTTGAAACCCTCTTTCTTTGGAATCTGCAAGGGGATATGTGGACCTCTTTGAAGATTTCACTGGAAACGGGATCATCTTCACATAAAAACTAAACAGAAGCATTCTCGGAAACTATTTTGTGATGTTTGTATTCAACTCCCAGAGTTGAACTTTCCTTTTGAAAGAGCAGCTATGAAACACTCTTTTTCGAGAATCTGCAAGTGGACGTTTGGAGGGCTTTGAGGCCTGTGGTGGAAAAGGAAATATCTTCACACAAAAACCAGATAGAAGCATTCTCAGAAACTGCTTTGTGAGGATGGCATTCAACTCATGGAGTTGAACAATCCTATTGATAGAGCAGATTGGAATCACTCTTTTTGTAGAATCTGCAAATGGAGATTTGGACTGCTTTGAGGCCTACGGTAGTACAGGAAGGAACTTCATATAAAAGGCAAACGGAAGCATTCTCAGAATATTCTTTGTGATGATGGAGTTTCACTCACAGAGCTGAACATGCCTTTTGATGGAGCAGTTTCCAAATACACTTTTGGTAGAATCTGCAGGTGGATATTTGGAGCTCTCTGAGGATTTCGTTGGAAACGGGAATAATTTCCCATAACTAAACACAAACACTCTGAGAAAGTTCTTCATGATGAATGCATTTAACTCGCAGAGATGAACCTGCCTTTGAGAGTTCAGGTTCGAAACAATCTTTCTGTATAATCTGCAAGTGGATATTTGGACCACTGGGTGGCCTTCGTTCGAAACGGGTATATGTTCACGTAAAAACTAAAGAGAAGCATTCTCAGAAACTTCTGAGTGATGATTGCATTCAAGTCACACGGTTGAACCCTCCTTTTGATGGAGCAGTTTGGAAACTGTCTTTTTG
The DNA here is from genome assembly GCF_000001405.40 of Homo sapiens. Classification (NCBI taxonomy): domain Eukaryota; kingdom Metazoa; phylum Chordata; class Mammalia; order Primates; family Hominidae; genus Homo; species Homo sapiens. The sequence continues at coordinate 60,551,321 of NC_000023.11, forward strand.
TAGAATCTGTAAGTGGATACGTGGACCTCTTTGAAGATTTCTTTGGAAACGGGAATATTTCCACAGAAAAACTAAACTGAAGCATTCTCAGAAACCGCTTTGTGATGTTTGTGTTCGAGCCGCAGAGTTTAACATTGCTTTTCATAGAGCAGTTTTGAAATATTCTTTTGGCAGAATCTGCAAGTGGACATTTGGAGCGCTTTCAGGCCTGTGGTGGAAAAGGCCTGAAAGCCTTTTCCTTTATCTTCACAGAAAGACGAGAGAGAAGCATTGTCAGAAACTTCTTTGTGATGATTGCATTCAACTCACAGAGTTGAAGATTCCTTTTGAAACAGCAGTTTCGAAACTCTCTTTCTGTGGGATCCGCAAGGGGATATTTGGACCTCTTTGAAGGTTTCGTTGGAAACGGGATAATCTTCACCTAAAAGCTAAACGGAAGCATTCTCAGAAACTTCTTTGGGATGTTTGCATTCACCTCACAGAGTTGAACTTTCCCTTTGATAGCGCAGCTTCGACACACTTTTTCTACAATGTGCAAGTGGCTATTTAGCGGGCTTGGAGGACTGTGTTGGAAAAGGAAATATCTTCTCCTAAAAACGACATAGAAGCATTCTCAGAAACTGCTCTGTGATGATTGCATTCAACTCCCAGAGTTGAACATTCCTTTTGATAGAGCAGTTTGCAAACACTCTTTTTGTAGAATCTGCAAGTGGAGATTTGGACCGCTTTGAGGCCTGTGGTAGTGAAGGAAAGAACTTCATATAAAAACCAGACGGTAGCACTATCAGAAAATTCTTTGTGACGATGGAGTTTAACTCAGGGAGCTGAACATTCGTTATGATGGAGCAGTTTCCAAACACACGTTTTGTAGAATCTGCGAGGGGATATTTGGACCTCTCTGAGGATTTCGTTGGAAACGGGATCAACTTCCCATAACTGAACGGAAGCAAACTCAGAACATTCTTTGTGATGTTTGTATTCAACTCACAGAGTTGAACCTTCCTTTGATAGTTCAGGTTTGCAACACCCTTGTAGTAGAATCTGCAAGTGTATATTTTGACCACTTTGTAGCTTTCGTTTGAAACGTCTATATCTTCACATCAAACCTAGACAGAAGCATTCTCAGAAAGTTTTCTGCGATGACTGCATTCAACTCACAGAGTTGAACAATCCTTTTGATGGAGCAGTTTTGAAACCCTCTTTCTTTGGAATCTGCAAGGGGATATGTGGACCTCTTTGAAGATTTCACTGGAAACGGGATCATCTTCACATAAAAACTAAACAGAAGCATTCTCGGAAACTATTTTGTGATGTTTGTATTCAACTCCCAGAGTTGAACTTTCCTTTTGAAAGAGCAGCTATGAAACACTCTTTTTCGAGAATCTGCAAGTGGTCGTTTGGAGGGCTTTGAGGCCTGTGGTGGTAAAGGAAATATCTTCACACAAAAACCAGATAGAAGCATTCTCAGAAACTACTTTGTGAGGATGGCATTCAACTCATGGAGTTGAACAATCCTATTGATAGAGCAGATTGGAATCACTCTTTTTGTAGAATCTGCAAATGGAGATTTGGACTGCTTTGAGGCCTACGGTCGTATAGGAAGGAACTTCATATAAAAGGCAAACGGAAGCATTCTCAGAATATTCTTTGTGATGATGGAGTTTCACTCACAGAGCTGAACATGCCTTTTGATGGAGCAGTTTCCAAATACACTTTTGGTAGAATCTGCAGGTGGATATTTGGAGCTCTCTGAGGATTTCGTTGGAAACGGGAATAATTTCCCATAACTAAACACAAACACTCTGAGAAAGTTCTTCATGATGAATGCATTTAACTCGCAGAGATGAACCTGCCTTTGAGAGTTCAGGTTCGAAACACTCTTTCTGTATAATCTGCAAGTGGATATTTGGACCACTGGGTGGCCTTCGTTCGAAACGGGTATATGTTCACGTAAAAACTAAAGAGAAGCATTCTCAGAAACTTCTGAGTGATGATTGCATTCAAGTCACACAGTTGAACCCTCCTTTTGATGGAGCAGTTTTGAAACTGTCTTTTTGTAGAATCTGTAAGTGGATACGTGGACCTCTTTGAAGATTTCTTTGGAAACGGGAATATTTCCACAGAAAAACTAAACTGAAACATTCTCAGAAACCGCTTTGTGATGTTTGTGTTCCAGCCACAGAGTTTAACATTGCTTTTCATAGAGCAGTTTTGAAATATTCTTTTGGCAGAATCTGCAAGTGGACATTTGGAGCGCTTTCAGGCCTGTGGTGGCAAAGGCCTGAAAGCCTTTTCCTTTATCTTCACAGAAAGACGAGAGAGAAGCATTGTCAGAAACTTCTTTGTGATGATTGCATTCAACTCACAGAGTTGAAGATTCCTTTTGAAACAGCAGTTTCGAAACACTCTTTCTGTGGGATCCGCAAGGGGATATTTGGACCTCTTTGAAGGTTTCGTTGGAAACGGGATAATCCTCACCTAAAAGCTAAACGGAAGCATTCTCAGAAACTTCTTTGGGATGTTTGCATTCACCTCACAGAGTTGAACTTTCCCTTTGATAGCGCAGCTTTGACACACTTTTTCTACAATGTGCAAGTGGCTATTTAGCGGGCTTGGAGGACTGTGTTGGAAAAGGAAATATCTTCTCCTAAAAACGACATAGAAGCATTCTCAGAAACTGCTCTGTGATGATTGCATTCAATTCCCAGAGTTGAACATTCCTTTTGATAGAGCAGTTTGCAAACACTCTTTTTGTAGAATCTGCAAGTGGAGATTTGGACCGCTTTGAGGCCTGTGGTAGTGAAGGAAAGAACTTCATATAAAAACCAGACGGTAGCACTCTCAGAAAATTATTTGTGACGATGGAGTTTAACTCAGAGAGCTGAACATTCGTTATGATGGAGCAGTTTCCAAACACACGTTTTGTAGAATCTGCAAGGGGATATTTGGACCTCTCTGAGGATTTCGTTGGAAACGGGATCAACTTCCCATAACTGAACGGAAGCAAACTCAGAACATTCTTTGTGATGTTTGTATTCAACTCACAGAGTTGAACCTTCCTTTGATAGTTCAGGTTTGCAACACCCTTGTAGTAGAATCTGCAAGTGTATATTTTGACCACTTTGTAGCCTTCGTTTGAAACGTCTATATCTTCACATCAAACCTAGACAGAAGCATTCTCAGAAAGTTTTCTGCGATGACTGCATTCAACTCACAGAGTTGAACAATCCTTCTGATGGAGCAGTTTTGAAACCCTCTTTCGTTGGAATCTGCAAGGGGATATGTGGACCTCTTTGAAGATTTCACTGGAAACGGGATCATCTTCACATAAAAACTAAACAGAAGCATTCTCGGAAACTACTTTGTGATGTTTGTATTCAACTCCCAGAGTTGAACTTTCCTTTTGAAAGAGCAGCTATGAAACACTCTTTTTCGAGAATCTGCAAGTGGACGTTTGGAGGGCTTTGAGGCCTGTGGTGGAAAAGGAAATATCTTCACATAAAAACTAGATAGAAGCATTCTCAGAAACGACTTTGTGAGGATGGCATTCAACTCATGGAGTTGAACAATCCTATTGATAGAGCAGATTGGAATCACTCTTTTTGTAGAATCTGCAAATGGAGATTTGGACTGCTTTGAGGCCTACGGTCGTATAGGAAGGAACTTCATATAAAAGGCAAACGGAAGCATTCTCAGAATATTCTTTGTGATGATGGAGTTTCACTCACAGAGCTGAACATGCCTTTTGATGGAGCAGTTTCCAAATACACTTTTGGTAGAATCTGCAGGTGGATATTTGGAGCTCTCTGAGGATTTCGTTGGAAACGGGAATAATTTCCCATAACTAAACACAAACACTCTGAGAAAGTTCTTCATGATGAATGCATTTAACTCGCAGAGATGAACCTGCCTTTGAGAGTTCAGGTTCGAAACACTCTTTCTGTAGAATCTGCAAGTGGATATTTGGACCACTGGCTGGCCTTCGTTCGAAACGGGTATATGTTCACGTAAAAACTAAAGAGAAGCATTCTCAGAAACTTCTGAGTGATGATTGCATTCAAGTCACACAGTTGAACCCTCCTTTTGATGGAGCAGTTTTGAAACTGTCTTTTTGTAGAATCTGTAAGTGGATACGTGGACCTCTTTGAAGATTTCTTTGGAAACGGGAATATTTCCACAGAAAAACTAAACTGAAGCATTCTCAGAAACCGCTTTGTGATGTTTGTGTTCGAGCCACAGAGTTTAACATTGCGTTTCATAGAGCAGTTTTGAAATATTCTTTTGGCAGAATCTGCAAGTGGACATTTGGAGCGCTTTCAGGCCTGTGGTGGAAAAGGCCTGAAAGCCTTTTCCTTTATCTTCACAGAAAGACGAGAGAGAAGCATTGTCAGAAACTTCTTTGTGATGATTGCATTCAACTCACAGAGTTGAAGATTCCTTTTGAAACAGCAGTTTCGAAACACTCTTTCTGTGGGATCCGCAAGGGGATATTTGGACCTCTTTGAAGGTTTCGTTGGAAACGGGATAATCTTCACCTAAAAGCTAAACGGAAGCATTCTCAGAAACTTCTTTGGGATGTTTGCATTCACCTCACAGAGTTGAACTTTCCCTTTGATAGCGCAGCTTTGACACACTTTTTCTACAATGTGCAAGTGGCTATTTAGCGGGCTTGGAGGACTGTGTTGGAAAAGGAAATATCTTCTCCTAAAAACGACATAGAAGCATTCTCAGAAACTGCTCTGTGATGATTGCATTCAACTCCCAGAGTTGAACATTCCTTTTGATAGAGCAGTTTGCAAACACTCTTTTTGTAGAATCTGCAAGTGGAGATTTGGACCGCTTTGAGGCCTGTGGTAGTGAAGGAAAGAACTTCATATAAAAACCAGACGGTAGCACTCTCAGAAAATTCTTTGTGACGATGGAGTTTAACTCAGGGAGCTGAACATTCGTTATGATGGAGCAGTTTCCAAACACACGTTTTGTAGAATCTGCAAGGGGATATTTGGACCTCTCTGAGGATTTCGTTGGAAACGGGATCAGCTTCCCATAACTGAACGGAAGCAAACTCAGAACATTCTTTGTGATGTTTGTATTCAACTCACAGAGTTGAACCTTCCTTTGATAGTTCAGGTTTGCAACACCCTTGTAGTAGAATCTGCAAGTGTATATTTTGACCACTTTGTAGCCTTCATTTGAAACGTCTATATCTTCACATCAAACCTAGACAGAAGCATTCTCAGAAAGTTTTCTGCGATGACTGCATTCAACTCACAGAGTTGAACAATCCTTCTGATGGAGCAGTTTTGAAACCCTCTTTCTTTGGAATCTGCAAGGGGATATGTGGACCTCTTTGAAGATTTCACTGGAAACGGGATCGATCATCTTCACATAAAAACTAAACAGAAGCATTCTCGGAAACTACTTTGTGATGTTTGTATTCAACTCCCAGAGTTGAACTTTCCTTTTGAAAGAGCAGCTATGAAACACTCTTTTTCGAGAATCTGCAAGTGGACGTTTGGAGGGCTTTGAGGCCTGTGGTGGAAAAGGAAATATCTTCACATAAAAACTAGATAGAAGCATTCTCAGAAACGACTTTGTGAGGATGGCATTCAACTCATGGAGTTGAACAATCCTATTGATAGAGCAGATTGGAATCACTCTTTTTGTAGAATCTGCAAATGGAGATTTGGACTGCTTTGAGGCCTACGGTCGTATAGGAAGGAACTTCATATAAAAGGCAAACGGAAGCATTCTCAGAATGTTCTTTGTGATGATGGAGTTTCACTCACAGAGCTGAACATGCCTGTTGATGGAGCAGTTTCCAAATACACTTTTGGTAGAATCTGCAGGTGGATATTTGGAGCTCTCTGAGGATTTCATTGGAAACGGGAATAATTTCCCATAACTAAACACAAACACTCTGAGAAAGTTCTTCATGATGAATGCATTTAACTCGCAGAGATGAACCTGCCTTTGAGAGTTCAGGTTCGAAACACTCTTTCTGTAGAATCTGCAAGTGGATATTTGGACCACTGGGTGGCCTTCGTTCGAAACGGGTATATGTTCACGTAAAAACTAAAGAGAAGCATTCTCAGAAACTTCTGAGTGATGATTGCATTCAAGTCACACAGTTGAACCCTCCTTTTGATGGAGCAGTTTTGAAACTGTCTTTTTGTAGAATCTGTAAGTGGATACGTGGACCTCTTTGAAGATTTCTTTGGAAACGGGAATATTTCCACAGAAAAACTAAACTGAAGCATTCTCAGAAACTGCTTTGTGATGTTTGTGTTCGAGCCACAGAGTTTAACATTGCTTTTCATAGAGCAGTTTTGAAATATTCTTTTGGCAGAATCTACAAGTGGACATTTGGAGCGCTTTCAGGCCTGTGGTGGCAAAGGCCTGAAAGCCTTTTCCTTTATCTTCACAGAAAGACGAGAGAGAAGCATTGTCAGAAACTTCTTTGTGATGATTGCATTCAACTCACAGAGTTGAAGATTCCTTTTGAAACAGCAGTTTCGAAACACTCTTTCTGTGGGATCCGCAAGGGGATATTTGGACCTCTTTGAAGGTTTCGTTGGAAACGGGATAATCTTCACCTAAAAGCTAAACGGAAGCATTCTCAGAAACTTCTTTGGGATGTTTGCATTCACCTCACAGAGTTGAACTTTCCCTTTGATAGCGCAGCTTTGACACACTTTTTCTACAATGTGCAAGTGGCTATTTAGCGGACTTGGAGGACTGTGTTGGAAAAGGAAATATCTTCTCCTAAAAACGACATAGAAGCATTCTCAGAAACTGCTCTGTGATGATTGCATTCAACTCCCAGAGTTGAACATTCCTTTTGATAGAGCAGTTTGCAAACACTCTTTTTGTAGAATCTGCAAGTGGAGATTTGGACCGCTTTGAGGCCTGTGGTAGTGAAGGAAAGAACTTCATATAAAAACCAGACGGTAGCACTCTCAGAAAATTCTTTGTGACGATGGAGTTTAACTCAGGGAGCTGAACATTCGTTATGATGGAGCAGTTTCCAAACACACGTTTTGTAGAATCTGCGAGGGGATATTTGGACCTCTCTGAGGATTTCGTTGGAAACGGGATCAACTTCCCATAACTGAACGGAAGCAAACTCAGAACATTCTTTGTGATGTTTGTATTCAACTCACAGAGTTGAACCTTCCTTTGATAGTTCAGGTTTGCAACACCCTTGTAGTAGAATCTGCAAGTGTATATTTTGACCACTTTGTAGCCTTCATTTGAAACGTCTATATCTTCACATCAAACCTAGACAGAAGCATTCTCAGAAAGTTTTCTGCGATGACTGCATTCAACTCACAGAGTTGAACAATCCTTCTGATGGAGCAGTTTTGAAACCCTCTTTCTTTGGAATCTGCAAGGGGATATGTGGACCTCTTTGAAGATTTCACTGGAAACGGGATCATCTTCACATAAAAACTAAACAGAAGCATTCTCGGAAACTACTTTGTGATGTTTGTATTCAACTCCCAGAGTTGAACTTTCCTTTTGAAAGAGCAGCTATGAAACACTCTTTTTCGAGAATCTGCAAGTGGACGTTTGGAGGGCTTTGAGGCCTGTGGTGGAAAAGGAAATATCTTCACATAAAAACTAGATAGAAGCATTCTCAGAAACGACTTTGTGAGGATGGCATTCAACTCATGGAGTTGAACAGTCCTATTGATAGAGCAGATTGGAATCACTCTTTTTGTAGAATCTGCAAATGGAGATTTGGACTGCTTTGAGGCCTACGGTAGTATAGGAAGGAACTTCATATAAAAGGCAAACGGAGGCATTCTCAGAATATTCTTTGTGATGATGGAGTTTCACACACAGAGCTGAACATGCCTTTTGATGGAGCAGTTTCCAAATACACTTTTGGTAGAATCTGCAGGTGGATATTTGAACCTCTCTGAGGATTTCGTTGGAAACGGGAATAATTTCCCATAACTAAACACAAACACGCTGAGAAAGTTCTTCATGATGAATGCATTTAACTCGCAGAGATGAACCTGCCTTTGAGAGTTCAGGTTCGAAACACTCTTTCTGTAGAATCTGCAAGTGGATATTTGGACCACTGGGTGGCCTTCGTTCGAAACGGGTATATGTTCACGTAAAAACTAAAGAGAAGCATTCTCAGAAACTTCTGAGTGATGATTGCATTCAAGTCACACAGTTGAACCCTCGTTTTGATTGAGCAGTTTTGAAACTGTGTTTTTGTAGAATCTGTAAGTGGATGCGTGGACCTCTTTGAAGATTTCTTTGGAAACGGGAATATTTCCACAGAAAAACTAAACTGAAGCATTCTCAGAAACTGCTTTGTGATGTTTGTGTTCGAGCCGCAGAGTTTAACATTGCTTTTCATAGAGCAGTTTTGAAATATTCTTTTGGCAGAATCTGCAAGTGGACATTTGGAGCGCTTTCAGGCCTGTGGTGGAAAAGGCCTGAAAGCCTTTTCCTTTATCTTCACAGAAAGACGAGAGAGAAGCATTGTCAGAAACTTCTTTGTGATGATTGCATTCAACTCACAGAGTTGAAGATTCCTTTTGAAACAGCAGTTTCGAAACACTCTTTCTGTGGGAACCGCAAGGGGATATTTGGATCTATTTGAAGGTTTCGTTGGAAACTGGATAATCGTCACCTAAAAGCTAAACGGAAGCATTCTCAGAAACTTCTTTTGGATGTTTGCATTCACCTCATAGAGTTGAATTTTCCCTTTGATAGCGCAGCTTCGACACACTTTTTCTACAATGTGCAAGTGGATATTTAGCGGGCTTGGAGGACTGTGTTGGAAAAGGAAATATCTTCTCCTAAAAACGACATAGAAGCATTCTCAGAAACTGCTCTGTGATGATTGCATTCAACTCCCAGAGTTGAACATTCCTTTTGATAGAGCAGTTTGCAAACACTCTTTTTGTAGAATCTGCAAGTGGAGATTTGGACCGCTTTGAGGCCTGTGGTAGTAAAGGAAACAACTTCATATAAAAACCAGACGGTAGCACTCACAGAAAATTCTTTGTGACGATGGAGTTTAACTCAGAGAGCTGAACATCCGTTATGATGGAGCAGTTTCCAAACACACGTTTTGTAGAATCTGCAAGGGGATATTTGGACCTCTCTGAGGATTTCGTTGGAAACGGGATCAACTTCCCATAACTGAACGGAAGCAAACTCAGAACATTCTTTGTGATGTTTGTATTCAACTCACAGAGTTGAACCTTCCTTTGATAGTTCAGGTTTGCAACACCCTTGTAGTAGAATCTGCAAGTGTATATTTTGACCACTTTGTAGCCTTCGTTTGAAACGTCTATATCTTCACATCAAACCTAGAAAGAAGCATTCTCAGAAAGTTTTCTGCGATGACTGCATTCAACTCACAGAGTTGAACAATCCTTTTGATGGAGCAGTTTTGAAACCCTCTTTCTTTGGAATCTGCAAGGGGATATGTGGACCTCTTTGAAGATTTCACTGGAAACGGGATCATCTTCACATAAGAACTAAACAGAAGCATTCTCGGAAACTACTTTGTGATGTTTGTATTCAACTCCCAGAGTTGAACTTTCCTTGTGAAAGAGCAGCTATGAAACACTCTTTTTCGAGAATCTGCAAGTGGACGTTTGGAGGGCTTTGAGGCCTGTGGGGAAAAGGAAATATCTTCACATAAAAACTAGATAGAAGCATTCTCAGAAACGACTTTGTGAGGATGGCATTCAACTCATGGAGTTGAACAATCCTATTGATAGAGGAGATTGGAATCATTCTTTTTGTAGAATCCGCAAATGGAGATTTGGACTGCTTTGAGGCCTACGGTAGTACAGGAAGGAACTTCATATAAAAGGCAAACGGAAGCATTCTCAGAATATTCTTTGTGATGATGGAGTTTCACTCACAGAGCTGAACATGCCTTTTGATGAAGCAGTTGCCAAATACACTTTTGGTAGAATCTGCAGGTGGATATTTGGACCTCTCTGAGGAATTTCGTTGGAAACGGGAATAATTTCCCATACCTAAACACAAACACTCTGAGAAAGTTCTTCATGATGAATGCATTTAACTCGCAGAGATGAACCTGCCTTTGAGAGTTCAGGTTCGAAACACTCTTTCTGTAGAATCTGCAAGTGGATATTTGGACCACTGGGTGGCCTTCGTTCGAAACGGGTATATGTTCACGTAAAAACTAAAGAGAAGCATTCTCAGAAACTTCTGAGTGATGATTGCATTCAAGTCACACAGTTGAACCCTCCTTTTGATGGAGCAGTTTTGAAACTGTCTTTTTGTAGAATCTGTAAGTGGATACGTGGACCTCTTTGAAGATTTCTTTGGAAACGGGAATATTTCCACAGAAAAACTAAACTGAAGCATTCTCAGTAACTGCTTTGTGATGTTTGTGTTCGAGCCACAGAGTTTAACATTGCTTTTCATAGAGCAGTTTTGAAATATTCTTTTCGCAGAATCTGCAAGTGGACATTTGGAGCGCTTTCAGGCCTGTGGTGGAAAAGGCCTGAAAGCCTTTTCCTTTATCTTCACAGAAAGACGAGAGAGAAGCATTGTCAGAAACTTCTTTTTGATGATTGCATTCAACTCACAGAGTTGAAGATTCCTTTTGAAACAGCAGTTTCGAAACACTCTTTCTGTGGGATCCGCAAGGGGATATTTGGACCTCTTTGAAGGTTTCGTTGGAAACGGGATAATCTTCACCTAAAAGCTAAACGGAAGCATTCTCAGAAACTTCTTTGGGATGTTTGCATTCACCTCACAGAGTTGAACTTTCCCTTTGATAGCGCAGCTTTGACACACTTTTTCTACAATGTGCAAGTGGCTATTTAGCGGGCTTGGAGGACTGTGTTGGAAAAGGAAATATCTTCTCCTAAAAACGACATAGAAGGATTCTCAGAAACTGCTCTGTGATGATTGCATTCAACTCCCAGAGTTGAACATTCCTTTTGATAGAGCAGTTTGCAAACACTCTTTTTGTAGAATCTGCAAGTGGAGATTTGGACCGCTTTGAGGCCTGTGGTAGTGAAGGAAAGAACTTCATATAAAAACCAGACGGTAGCACTCTCAGAAAATTCTTTGTGACGATGGAGTTTAACTCAGGGAGCTGAACATTCGTTACGATGGAGCAGATTCCAAACACACGTTTTGTAGAATCTGCAAGGGGATATTTGGACCTCTCTGAGGATTTCGTTGGAAACGGGATCAACTTCCCATAACTGAACGGAAGCAAACTCAGAACATTCTTTGTGATGTTTGTATTCAATTCACAGAGTTGAACCTTCCTTTGATAGTTCAGGTTTGCAACACCCTTGTAGTAGAATCTGCAAGTGTATATTTTGACCACTTTGTAGCCTTCGTTTGAAACGTCTATATCTTCACATCAAACCTAGACAGAAGCATTCTCAGAAAGTTTTCTGCAATGACTGCATTCAACTCACAGAGTTGAACAATCCTTTTGATGGAGCAGTTTTGAAACCCTCTTTCTTTGGAATCTGCAAGGGGATATGTGGACCTCTTTGAAGATTTCACTGGAAACGGGATCATCTTCACATAAGAACTAAACAGAAAGCATTCTCGGAAACTACTTTGTGATGTTTGTATTCAACTCCCAGAGTTGAACTTTCCTTTTGAAAGAGCAGCTATGAAACACTCTTTTTCGAGAATCTGCAAGTGGACGTTTGGAGGGCTTTGAGGCCTGTGGTGGAAAAGGAAATATCTTCACATAAAAACTAGATAGAGCATTCTCAGAAACGACTTTGTGAGGATGGCATTCAACTCATGGAGTTGAACAGTCCTATTGATAGAGGAGATTGGAATCACTCTTTTTGTAGAATCTGCAAATGGAGATTTGGACTGCTTTGAGGCCTACGGTAGTATAGGAAGGAACTTCATATAAAAGGCAAACGGAAGCATTCTCAGAATATTTTGTGTGATGATGGAGTTTCACTCACAGAGCTGAACATGCCTTTTGATGGAGCAGTTTCCAAATACACTTTTGGTAGAATCTGCAGGTGGATATTTGGAGCTCTCTGAGGATTTCGTTGGAAACGGGAATAATTTCCCATAACTAAACACAAACACGCTGAGAAAGTTCTTCATGATGAATGCATTGAACTCGCAGAGATGAACCTGCCTTTGAGAGTTCAGATTCGAAACACTCTTTCTGTAGAATCTGCAAGTGGATATTTGGACCACTGGCTGGCCTTCGTTCGAAACGGGTATATGTTCACGTAAAAACTAAAGAGAAGCGTTCTCAGAAACTTCTGAGTGATGATTGCATTCAAGTCACACAGTTGAACCCTCCTTTTGATTGACCAGTTTTGAAACTGTCTTTTTGTAGAATCTGTAAGTGGATACGTGGACCTCTTTGAAGATTTCTTTGGAAACGGGAATATTTCCACAGAAAAACTAAACTGAAGCATTCTCAGAAACTGCTTTGTGATGTTTGTGTTCGAGCCGCAGAGTTTAACATTGCTTTTCATAGAGCAGTTTTGAAATATTCTTTTGGCAGAATCTGCAAGTGGACATTTGGAGCGCTTTCAGGCCTGTGGTGGAAAAGGCCTGAAAGCCTTTTCCTTTATCTTCACAGAAAGACGAGAGAGAAGCATTGTCAGAAACTTCTTTGTGATGATTGCATTCAACTCACAGAGTTGAAGATTCCTTTTGAAACAGCAGTTTCGAAACACTCTTTCTGTGGGAACCGCAAGGGGATATTTGGATCTATTTGAAGGTTTCGTTGGAAACTGGATAATCGTCACCTAAAAGCTAAACGGAAGCATTCTCAGAAACTTCTTTTGGATGTTTGCATTCACCTCACAGAGTTGAATTTTCCCTTTGATAGCGCAGCTTCGACACACTTTTTCTACAATGTGCAAGTGGATATTTAGCGGGCTTGGAGGACTGTGTTGGAAAAGGAAATATCTTCTCCTAAAAACGACATAGAAGCATTCTCAGAAACTGCTCTGTGATGATTGCATTCAACTCCCAGAGTTGAACATTCCTTTTGATAGAGCAGTTTGCAAACACTCTTTTTGTAGAATCTGGAAGTGGAGATTTGGACCGCTTTGAGGCCTGTGGTAGTGAAGGAAAGAGCATCATATAAAAACCAGACGGTAGCACTCTCAGAAAATTCTTTGTGACGATGGAGTTTAACTCAGGGAGCTGAACATTCGTTATGATGGAGCAGTTTCCAAACACACGTTTTGTAGAATCTGCAAGGGGATATTTGGACCTCTCTGAGGATTTCGTTGGAAACGGGATCAACTTCCCATAACTGAACGGAAGCAAACTCAGAACATTCTTTGTGATGTTTGTATTCAACTCACAGAGTTGAACCTTCCTTTGATAGTTCAGGTTTGCAACACCCTTGTAGTAGAATCTGCAAGTGTATATTTTGACCACTTTGTAGCCTTCGTTTGAAACGTCTATATCTTCACATCAAACCTAGAAAGAAGCATTCTCAGAAAGTTTTCTGCGATGACTGCATTCAACTCACAGAGTTGAACAATCCTTCTGATGGAGCAGTTTTGAAACCCTCTTTCTTTGGAATCTGCAAGGGGATATGTGGACCTCTTTGAAGATTTCACTGGAAACGGGATCATCTTCACATAAAAACTAAACAGAAGCATTCTCGGAAACTACTTTGTGATGTTTGTATTCAACTCCCAGAGTTGAACTTTCCTTTTGAAAGAGCAGCTATGAAACACTCTTTTTCGAGAATCTGCAAGTGGACGTTTGGAGGGCTTTGAGGCCTGTGGTGGAAAAGGAAATATCTTCACATAAAAACTAGATAGAAGCATTCTCAGAAACGACTTTGTGAGGATGGCATTCAACTCATGGAGTTGAACAATCCTATTGATAGAGCAGATTGGAATCACTCTTTTTGTAGAATCTGCAAATGGAGATTTGGACTGCTTTGAGGCCTACGGTCGTATAGGAAGGAACTTCATATAAAAGGCAAACGGAAGCATTCTCAGAATATTCTTTGTGATGATGGAGTTTCACTCACAGAGCTGAACATGCCTTTTGATGGAGCAGTTTCCAAATACACTTTTGGTAGAATCTGCAGGTGGATATTTGGAGCTCTCTGAGGATTTCGTTGGAAACGGGAATAATTTCCCATAACTAAACACAAACACTCTGAGAAAGTTCTTCATGATGAATGCATTTAACTCGCAGAGATGAACCTGCCTTTGAGAGTTCAGGTTCGAAACACTCTTTCTGTATAATCTGCAAGTGGATATTTGGACCACTGGGTGGCCTTCGTTCGAAACGGGTATATGTTCACGTAAAAACTAAAGAGAAGCATTCTCAGAAACTTCTGAGTGATGATTGCATTCAAGTCACACAGTTGAACCCTCCTTTTGATGGAGCAGTTTTGAAACTGTCTTTTTGTAGAATCTGTAAGTGGATACGTGGACCTCTTTGAAGATTTCTTTGGAAACGGGAATATTTCCACAGAAAAACTAAACTGAAGCATTCTCAGAAACTGCTTTGTGATGTTTGTGTTCGAGCCACAGAGTTTAACATTGCTTTTCATAGAGCAGTTTTGAAATATTCTTTTCGCAGAATCTGCAAGTGGACATTTGGAGCGCTTTCAGGCCTGTGGTTGCAAAGGCCTGAAAGCCTTTTCCTTTATCTTCACAGAAAGACGAGAGAGAAGCATTGTCAGAAACTTCTTTGTGATGATTGCATTCAACTCACAGAGTTGAAGATTTCTTTTGAAACAGCAGTTTCGAAACACTCTTTCTGTGGGATCCGCAAGGGGATATTTGGACCTCTTTGAAGGTTTCGTTGGAAACGGGATAATCTTCACCTAAAAGCTAAACGGAAGCATTCTCAGAAACTTCTTTGGGATGTTTGCATTCACCTCACAGAGTTGAACTTTCCCTTTGATAGCGCAGCTTTGACACACTTTTTCTACAATGTGCAAGTGGCTATTTAGCGGACTTGGAGGACTGTGTTGGAAAAGGAAATATCTTCTCCTAAAAACGACATAGAAGCATTCTCAGAAACTGCTCTGTGATGATTGCATTCAACTCCCAGAGTTGAACATTCCTTTTGATAGAGCAGTTTGCAAACACTCTTTTTGTAGAATCTGCAAGTGGAGATTTGGACCGCTTTGAGGCCTGGGGTAGTAAAGGAAAGAGCTTCATATAAAAACCAGACGGTAGCACTCTCAGAAAATTCTTTGTGACGATGGAGTTTAACTCAGGGAGCTGAACATTCGTTATGATGGAGCAGTTTCCAAAAACACGTTTTGTAGAATCTGCAAGGGGATATTTGGACCTCTCTGAGGATTTCGTTGGAAACGGGATCAACTTCCCATAACTGAACGGAAGCAAACTCAGAACATTCTTTGTGATGTTTGTATTCAACTCACAGAGTTGAACCTTCCTTTGATAGTTCAGGTTTGCAACACCCTTGTAGTAGAATCTGCAAGTGTATATTTTGACCACTTTGTAGCCTTCGTTTGAAACGTCTATATCTTCACATCAAACCTAGACAGAAGCATTCTCAGAAAGTTTTCTGCGATGACTGCATTCAACTCACAGAGTTGAACAATCCTATTGATGGAGCAGTTTTGAAACCCTCTTTCTTTGGAATCTGCAAGGGGATATGTGGACCTCTTTGAAGATTTCACTGGAAACGGGATCATCTTCACATAAAAACTAAACAGAAGCATTCTCGGAAACTACTTTGTGATGTTTGTATTCAACTCCCAGAGTTGAACTTTCCTTTTGAAAGAGCAGCTATGAAACACTCTTTTTCGAGAATCTGCAAGTGGACGTTTGGAGGGCTTTGAGGCCTGTGGTGGAAAAGGAAATATCTTCACATAAAAACTAGATAGAAGCATTCTCAGAAACTACTTTGTGAGGATGGCATTCAACTCATGGAGTTGAACAATCCTATTGATAGAGCAGATTGGAATCACTCTTTTTGTAGAATCTGCAAATGGAGATTTGCACTGCTTTGAGGCCTACGGTCGTATAGGAAGGAACTTCATATAAAAGGCAAACGGAAGCATTCTCAGAATATTCTTTGTGATGATGGAGTTTCACTCACAGAGCTGAACATGCCTGTTGATGGAGCAGTTTCCAAATACACTTTTGGTAGAATCTGCAGGTGGACATTTGGACCTCTCTGAGGATTTCGTTGGGAACGGGAATAATTTCCCATAACTAAACACAAACACGCTGAGAAAGTTCTTCATGATGAATGCATTTAACTCGCAGAGATGAACCTGCCTTTGAGAGTTCAGGTTCGAAACACTCTTTCTGTAGAATCTGCAAGTGGACATTTGGACCACTGGGTGGCCTTCGTTCGAAACGGGTATATGTTCACGTAAAAACTAAAGAGAAGCATTCTCAGAAACTTCTGAGTGATGATTGCATTCAAGTCACACAGTTGAACCCTCCTTTTGATTGAGCAGTTTTGAAACTGTCTTTTTGTAGAATCTGTAAGTGGATACGTGGACCTCTTTGAAGATTTCTTTGGAAACGGGAATATTTCCACAGAAAAACTAAACTGAAGCATTCTCAGAAACTGCTTTGTGATGTTTGTGTTCGAGCCGCAGAGTTTA
Source organism: Homo sapiens (assembly GCF_000001405.40). Classification (NCBI taxonomy): domain Eukaryota; kingdom Metazoa; phylum Chordata; class Mammalia; order Primates; family Hominidae; genus Homo; species Homo sapiens. The sequence continues at coordinate 60,567,912 of NC_000023.11, forward strand.
ACATTGCTTTTCATAGAGCAGTTTTGAAATATTCTTTTGGCAGAATCTGCAAGTGGACATTTGGAGCGCTTTCAGGCCTGTGGTGGAAAAGGCCTGAAAGCCTTTTCCTTTATCTTCACAGAAAGACGAGAGAGAAGCATTGTCAGAAACTTCTTTGTGATGATTGCATTCAACTCACAGAGTTGAAGATTCCTTTTGAAACAGCAGTTTCGAAACACTCTTTCTGTGGGATCCGCAAGGGGATATTTGGACCTCTTTGAAGATTTCGTTGGAAACGGGATAATCTTCACCTAAAAGCTAAACGGAAGCATTCTCAGAAACTTCTTTTGGATGTTTGCATTCACCTCACAGAGTTGAATTTTCCCTTTGATAGCGCAGCTTCGACACACTTTTTCTACAATGTGCAAGTGGATATTTAGCGGGCTTGGAGGACTGTGTTGGAAAAGGAAATATCTTCTCCTAAAAACGACATAGAAGCATTCTCAGAAACTGCTCTGTGATGATTGCATTCAACTCCCAGAGTTGAACATTCCTTTTGATAGAGCAATTTGCAAACACTCTTTTTGTAGAATCTGCAAGTGGAGATTTGGACCGCTTTGAGGCCTGTGGTAGTAAAGGAAAGAACTTCATATAAAAAGTAGACGGTAGCACTCTCAGAAAATTCTTTGTGACGATGGAGTTTAACTCAGAGAGCTGAACATTCGTTATGATGGAGCAGTTTCCAAACACACGTTTTGTAGAATCTGCAAGGGGATATTTGGACCTCTCTGAGGATTTCGTTGGAAACGGGATCAACTTCACATAACTGAACGGAAGCAAACTCAGAACATTCTTTGTGATGTTTGCATTCGTCTCACAGAGTTGAACCTTCCTTTGATAGTTGAGGTTTGCAACACCCTTGTAGTAGAATCTGCAAGTGTATATTTTGACCACTTTGTAGCCTTCGTTTGAAACGTCTATATCTTCACATCAAACCTAGACAGAAGCATTCTCAGAAAGTTTTCTGCGATGACTGCATTCAACTCACAGAGTTGAACAATCGTTTTGATGGAGCAGTTTTGAAACCCTCTTTCTTTGGAATCTGCAAGGGGATATGTGGACCTCTTTGAAGATTTCACTGGAAACGGGATCATCTTCACATAAGAACTAAACAGAAGCATTCTCGGAAACTACTTTGTGATGTTTGTATTCAACTCCCAGAGTTGAACTTTCCTTTTGAAAGAGCAGCTATGAAACACTCTTTTTCGGGAATCTGCAAGTGGACGTTTGGAGGGCTTTGAGGCCTGTGGTGGAAAAGGAAATATCTTCACATAAAAACTACATAGAAGCATTCTCAGAAACGACTTTGTGAGGATGGCATTCAACTCATGGAGTTGAACAATCCTATTGATAGAGCAGATTGGAATCACTCTTTTTGTAGAATCTGCAAATGGAGATTTGGACTGCTTTGAGGCCTACGGTAGTATAGGAAGGAACTTCATATAAAAGGCAAACGGAAGCATTCTCAGAATATTCTTTGTGATGATGGAGTTTCACTCACAGAGCTGAACATGCCTTTTGATGGAGCAGTTTCCAAATACACTTTTGGTAGAATCTGCAGGTGGATATTTGGACCTCTCTGAGGATTTCGTTGGAAACGGGAATAATTTCCCATAACTAAACACAAACACGCTGAGAAAGTTCTTCATGATGAATGCATTGAACTCGCAGAGATGAACCTGCCTCTGAGAGTTCAGGTTCGAAACACTCTTTCTGTAGAATCTGCAAGTGGATATTTGGACCACTGGCTGGCCTTCGTTCGAAACGGGTATATGTTCACGTAAAAACTAAAGAGAAGCGTTCTCAGAAACTTCTGAGTGATGATTGCATTCAAGTCACACAGTTGAATCCTCCTTTTGATTGAGCAGTTTTGAAACTGTCTTTTTGTAGAATCTGTAAGTGGATGCGTGGACCTCTTTGAAGATTTCTTTGGAAACGGGAATATTTCCACAGAAAAACTAAACTGAAGCATTCTCAGAAACTGCTTTGTGATGTTTGTGTTCGAGCCACAGAGTTTAACATTGCTTTTCATAGAGCAGTTTTGAACTATTCTTTTGGCAGAATCTGCAAGTGGACATTTGGAGCGCTTTCAGGCCTGTGGTGGAAAAGGCCTGAAAGCCTTTTCCTTTATCTTCACAGAAAGACGAGAGAGAAGCATTGTCAGAAACTTCTTTGTGATGATTGCATTCAACTCACAGAGTTGAAGATTCCTTTTGAAACAGCAGTTTCGAAACACTCTTTCTGTGGGATCCGCAAGGGGATATTTGGACCTCTTTGAAGATTTCGTTGGAAACGGGATAATCTTCACTTAAAGCTAAACGGAAGCATTCTCAGAAACTTCTTTGGGATGTTTGCATTCACCTCACAGAGTTGAACTTTCCCTTTGATAGCGCAGCTTCGACACACTTTTTCTACAATGTGCAAGTGGATATTTAGCGGGCTTGGAGGACTGTGTTGGAAAAGGAAATATCTTCTCCTAAAAACGACATAGAAGCATTCTCAGAAACTGCTCTGTGATGATTGCATTCAACTCCCAGAGTTGAACATTCCTTTTGATAGAGCAGTTTGCAAACACTCTTTTTGTAGAATCTGCAAGTGGAGATTTGGACCACTTTGAGGCCTGTGGTAGTAAAGGAAAGAACTTCATATAAAAACTAGAAGGTAGCACCCTCAGAAAATTCTTTGTGACGATGGAGTTTAACTCAGAGAGCTGAACATTCGTTATGATGGAGCAGTTTCCAAACACACGTTTTGTAGAATCTGCAAGGGGATATTTGGACCTCTCTGAGGATTTCGTTGGAAATGGGATCAACTTCCCATAACTGAACGGTAGCAAACTCAGAACATTCTTTGTGATGTTTGTATTCAACTCACAGAGTTGAACCTTCCTTTGATAGTTCAGGTTTGCATCACCCTTGTAGTAGAATCTGCAAGTGTATATGTTGACCACTTTGTAGCCTTCGTTTGAAACGTCTATATCTTCACATCAAACCTAGACAGAAGCATTCTCAGAAAGTTTTCTGCGATGACTGCATTCAACTCACAGAGTTGAACAATCCTTTTGATGGAGCAGTTTTGAAACCCTCTTTCTTTGGAATCTGCAAGGTGATATGTGGACCTCTTTGAAGATTTCACTGGAAACGGGATCATCTTCACATAAGAACTAAACAGAAGCATTCTCGGAAACTACTTTGTGATGTTTGTATTCACCTCCCAGAGTTGAAATTTCCTTTTGAAATAGCAGCTATGAAACACACTTTTTCGAGAATCTGCAAGTGGACGTTTGGAGGGCTTTGAGGCCTGTGGTGGAAAAGGAAATATCTTCACATAAAAACTAGATAGAAGCATTCTCAGAAACGACTTTGTGAGGATGGCATTCAACTCATGGAGTTGAACAATCCTATTGATAGAGCAGATTGGAATCACTCTTTTTGTAGAATCTGCAAATGGAGATTTGGACTGCTTTGAGGCCTACGGTAGTATAGGAAGGAACTTCATATAAAAGGCAAACGGAAGCATTCTCAGAATATTCTTTGTGATGATGGAGTTTCACTCACAGAGCTGAACATGCCTTTTGATGGAGCAGTTTCCAAATACACTTTTGGTAGAATCTGCAGGTGGATATTTGGACCTCTCTGAGGATTTCGTTGGAAACGGGAATAATTTCCCATAACTAAACACAAACACTCTGAGAAAGTTCTTCATGATGAATGCATTTAACTCGCAGAGATGAACCTGCCTTTGAGAGTTCATGTTCGAAACACTCTTTCTGTAGAATCTGCAAGTGGATATTTGGACCACTGGCTGGCCTTCGTTCGAAACGGGTATATGTTCACGTAAAAACTAAAGAGAAGCATTCTCAGAAACTTCTGAGTGATGATTGCATTCAAGTCACACAGTTGAACCCTCCTTTTGATGGAGCAGTTTTGAAACTGTCTTTTTGTAGAATCTGTAAGTGGATACGTGGACCTCTTTGAAGATTTCTTTGGAAACGGGAATATTTCCACAGAAAAACTAAACTGAAGTATTCTCAGAAACCGCTTTGTGATGTTTGTGATCGAGCCACAGAGTTTAACATTGCTTTTCATAGAGCAGTTTTGAAATATTCTTTTGGCAGAATCTGCAAGTGGACATTTGGAGCGCTTTCAGGCCTGTGGTGGAAAAGGCCTGAAAGCCTTTTCCTTTATCTTCACAGAAAGACGAGAGAGAAGCATTGTCAGAAACTTCTTTGTGATGATTGCATTCAACTCACAGAGTTGAAGATTCCTTTTGAAACAGCAGTTTCGAAACACTCTTTCTGTGGGATCCGCAAGGGGATATTTGGACCTCTTTGAAGGTTTCGTTGGAAACGGGATAATCTTCACCTAAAAGCTAAACGGAAGCATTCTCAGAAACTTCTTTGGGATGTTTGCATTCACCTCACAGAGTTGAACTTTCCCTTTGATAGCGCAGCTTTGACACACTTTTTCTACAATGTGCAAGTGGCTATTTAGCGGGCTTGGAGGACTGTGTTGGAAAAGGAAATATCTTCTCCTAAAAACGACATAGAAGCATTCTCAGAAACTGCTCTGTGATGATTGCATTCAACTCCCAGAGTTGAACATTCCTTTTGATAGAGCAGTTTGCAAACACTCTTTTTGTAGAATCTGCAAGTGGAGATTTGGACCGCTTTGAGGCCTGTGGTAGTGAAGGAAAGAACTTCATATAAAAACCAGACGGTAGCACTCTCAGAAAATTCTTTGTGACGATGGAGTTTAACTCAGGGAGCTGAACATTCGTTATGATGGAGCAGTTTCCAAACACACGTTTTGTAGAATCTGCGAGGGGATATTTGGACCTCTCTGAGGATTTCGTTGGAAACGGGATCAACTTCCCATAACTGAACGGAAGCAAACTCAGAACATTCTTTGTGATGTTTGTATTCAACTCACAGAGTTGAACCTTCCTTTGATAGTTCAGGTTTGCAACACCCTTGTAGTAGAATCTGCAAGTGTATATTTTGACCACTTTGTAGCCTTCGTTTGAAACGTCTATATCTTCACATCAAACCTAGAAAGAAGCATTCTCAGAAAGTTTTCTGCGATGACTGCATTCAACTCACAGAGTTGAACAATCCTTCTGATGGAGCAGTTTTGAAACCCTCTTTCTTTGGAATCTGCAAGGGGATATGTGGACCTCTTTGATGATTTCACTGGAAACGGGGTCATCTTCACATAAAAACTAAACAGAAGCATTCTCGGAAACTACTTTGTGATGTTTGTATTCAACTCCCAGAGTTGAACTTTCCTTTTGAAAGAGCAGCTATGAAACACTCTTTTTCGAGAATCTGCAAGTGGACGTTTGGAGGGCTTTGAGGCCTGTGGTGGAAAAGGAAATATCTTCACATAAAAACTAGATAGAAGCATTCTCAGAAACGACTTGGTGAGGATGGCATTCAACTCATGGAGTTGAACAATCCTATTGATAGAGCAGATTGGAATCACTCTTTTTGTAGAATCTGCAAATGGAGATTTGGACTGCTTTGAGGCCTACGGTCGTATAGGAAGGAACTTCATATAAAAGGCAAACGGAAGCATTCTCAGAATATTCTTTGTGATGATGGAGTTTCACTCACAGAGCTGAACATGCCTTTTGATGGAGCAGTTTCCAAATACACTTTTGGTAGAATCTGCAGGTGGATATTTGGACCTCTCTGAGGATTTCGTTGGAAACGGGAATAATTTCCCATAACTAAATACAAACACTCTGAGAAAGTTCTTCATGATGAATGCATTTAACTCGCAGAGATGAACCTGCCTTTGAGAGTTCATGTTCGAAACACTCTTTCTGTAGAATCTGCAAGTGGATATTTCGACCACTGGCTGGCCTTCGTTCGAAACGGGTATATGTTCACGTAAAAACTAAAGAGAAGCATTCTCAGAAACTGGTGAGTGATGATTGCATTCAAGTCACACAGTTGAACCCTCCTTTTGATGGAGCAGTTTTGAAACTGTCTTTTTGTAGAATCTGTAAGTGGATACGTGGACCTCTTTGAAGATTTCTTTGGAAACGGGAATATTTCCACAGAAAAACTAAACTGAAGCATTCTCAGAAACCGCTTTGTGATGTTTGTGTTCGAGCCACAGAGTTTAACATTGCTTTTCATAGAGCAGTTTTGAAATATTCTTTTCGCAGAATCTGCAAGTGGACATTTGGAGCGCTTTCAGGCCTGTGGTGGAAAAGGCCTGAAAGCCTTTTCCTTTATCTTCACAGAAAGACGAGAGAGAAGCATTGTCAGAAACTTCTTTGTGATGATTGCATTCAACTCACAGAGTTGAAGATTCCTTTTGAAACAGCAGTTTCGAAACACTCTTTCTGTGGGATCCGCAAGGGGATATTTGGACCTCTTTGAAGGTTTCGTTGGAAACGGGATAATCTTCACCTAAAAGCTAAACGGAAGCACTCTCAGAAACTTCTTTGGGATGTTTGCATTCACCTCACAGAGTTGAACTTTCCCTTTGATAGCGCAGCTTTGACACACTTTTTCTACAATGTGCAAGTGGCTATTTAGCGGGCTTGGAGGACTGTGTTGGAAAAGGAAATATCTTCTCCTAAAAACGACATAGAAGCATTCTCAGAAACTGCTCTGTGATGATTGCATTCAACTCCCAGAGTTGAACATTCCTTTTGATAGAGCAGTTTGCAAACACTCTTTTTGTAGAATCTGGAAGTGGAGATTTGGACCGCTTTGAGGCCTGGGGTAGTGAAGGAAAGAACTTCATATAAAAACCAGACGGTAGCACTCTCAGAAAATTCTTTGTGACGATGGAGTTTAACTCAGGGAGCTGAACATTCGTTATGATGGAGCAGTTTCCAAACACACGTTTTGTAGAATCTGCAAGGGGATATTTGGACCTCTCTGAGGATTTCGTTGGAAACGGGATCAACTTCCCATAACTGAACGGAAGCAAACTCAGAACATTCTTTGTGATGTTTGTATTCAACTCACAGAGTTGAACCTTCCTTTGATAGTTCAGGTTTGCAACACCCTTGTAGTAGAATCTGCAAGTGTATATTTTGACCACTTTGTAGCCTTCGTTTGAAACGTCTATATCTTCACATCAAACCTAGACAGAAGCATTCTCAGAAAGATTTCTGCGATGACTGCATTCAACTCACAGAGTTGAACAATCCTTTTGATGGAGCAGTTTTGAAACCCTCTTTCTTTGGAATCTGCAAGGGGATATGTGGACCTCTTTGAAGATTTCACTGGAAACGGGATCATCTTCACATAAGAACTAAACAGAAGCATTCTCGGAAACTACTTTGTGATGTTTGTATTCAACTCCCAGAGTTGAACTTTCCTTTTGAAAGAGCAGCTATGAAACACTCTTTTTCGAGAATCTGCAAGTGGACGTTTGGAAGGCTTTGAGGCCTGTGGTGGAAAAGGAAATATCTTCACATAAAAACTAGATAGAAGCATTCTCAGAAACTACTTCGTGAGGATGGCATTCAACTCATGGAGTTGAACAATCCTATTGATAGAGCAGATTGGAATCACTCTTTTTGTAGAATCTGCAAATGGAGATTTGGACTGCTTTGAGGCCTACGGTAGTATAGGAAGGAACTTCATATAAAAGGCAAACGGAAGCATTCTCAGAATATTCTTTGTGATGATGGAGTTTCACTCACAGAGCTGAACATGCCTTTTGATGGAGCAGTTTCCAAATACACTTTTGGTAGAATCTGCAGGTGGATATTTGGACCTCTCTGAGGATTTCGTTGGAAACGGGAATAATTTCCCATAACTAAACACAAACACGCTGAGAAAGTTCTTCATGATGAATGCATTTAACTCGCAGAGATGAACCTGCCTTTGAGAGTTCAGGTTCGAAACACTCTTTCTGTAGAATCTGCAAGTGGATATTTGGACCACTGGCTGGCCTTCGTTCGAAACGGGTATATGTTCACGTAAAAACTAAAGAGAAGCGTTCTCAGAAACTTCTGAGTGATGATTGCATTCAAGTCACACAGTTGAACCCTCCTTTTGATTGAGCAGTTTTGAAACTGTCTTTTTGTAGAATCTGTAAGTGGATGCGTGGACCTCTTTGAAGATTTCTTTGGAAACGGGAATATTTCCACAGAAAAACTAAACTGAAGCATTCTCAGAAACTGCTTTGTGATGTTTGTGTTCGAGCCACAGAGTTTAACATTGCTTTTCATAGAGCAGTTTTGAAATATTCTTTTGGCAGAATCTGCAAGTGGTCATTTGGAGCGCTTTCAGGCCTGTGGTGGAAAAGGCCTGAAAGCCTTTTCCTTTATCTTCACAGAAAGACGAGAGAGAAGCATTGTCAGAAACTTCTTTGTGATGATTGCATTCAACTCACAGAGTTGAAGATTCCTTTTGAAACAGCAGTTTCGAAACACTCTTTCTGTGGGATCCGCAAGGGGATATTTGGACCTCTTTGAAGGTTTCGTTGGAAACGGGATAATCTTCACCTAAAAGCTAAACGGAAGCATTCTCAGAAACTTCTTTGGGATGTTTGCATTCACCTCACAGAGTTGAACTTTCCCTTTGATAGCGCAGCTTTGACACACTTTTTCTACAATGTGCAAGTAGCTATTTAGCGGGCTTGGAGGACTGTGTTGGAAAAGGAATTATCTTCTCCTAAAAACGACATAGAAGCATTCTCAGAAACTGCTCTGTGATGATTGCATTCAACTCCCAGAGTTGAACATTCCTTTTGATAGAGCAGTTTGCAAACACTCTTTTTGTAGAATCTGCAAGTGGAGATTTGGACCGCTTTGAGGCCTGTGGTAGTGAAGGAAAGAACTTCATATAAAAACCAGACGGTAGCACTCTCAGAAAATTCTTTGTGACGATGGAGTTTAACTCAGGGAGCTGAACATTCGTTATGATGGAGCAGTTTCCAAACACACGTTTTGTAGAATCTGCGAGGGGATATTTGGACCTCTCTGAGGATTTCGTTGGAAACGGGATCAACTTCCCATAACTGAACGGAAGCAAACTCAGAACATTCTTTGTGATGTTTGTATTCAACTCACAGAGTTGAACCTTCCTTTGATAGTTCAGGTTTGCAACACCCTTGTAGTAGAATCTGCAAGTGTATATTTTGACCACTTTGTAGCCTTCGTTTGAAACGTCTATATCTTCACATCAAACCTAGACAGAAGCATTCTCAGAAAGTTTTCTGCGATGACTGCATTCAACTCACAGAGTTGAACAATCCTTCTGATGGAGCAGTTTTGAAACCCTCTTTCTTTGGAATCTGCAATGGGATATGTGGACCTCTTTGAAGATTTCACTGGAAACGGGATCATCTTCACATAAAAACTAAACAGAAGCATTCTCGGAAACTATTTTGTGATGTTTGTATTCAACTCCCAGAGTTGAACTTTCCTTTTGAAAGAGCAGCTATGAAACACTCTTTTTCGAGAATCTGCAAGTGGACGTTTGGAGGGCTTTGAGGCCTGTGGTGGAAAAGGAAATATCTTCACACAAAAACCAGATAGAAGCATTCTCAGAAACGACTTTGTGAGGATGGCATTCAACTCATGGAGTTGAACAATCCTATTGATAGAGCAGATTGGAATCACTCTTTTTGTAGAATCTGCAAATGGAGATTTGGACTGCTTTGAGGCCTACGGTAGTACAGGAAGGAACTTCATATAAAAGGCAAACGGAAGCATTCTCAGAATATTCTTTGTGATGATGGAGTTTCACTCACAGAGCTGAACATGCCTTTTGATGGAGCAGTTTCCAAATACACTTTTGGTAGAATCTGCAGGTGGATATTTGGAGCTCTCTGAGGATTTCGTTGGAAACGGGAATAATTTCCCATAACTAAACACAAACACTCTGAGAAAGTTCTTCATGATGAATGCATTTAACTCGCAGAGATTAACCTGCCTTTGAGAGTTCAGGTTCGAAACACTCTTTCTGTAGAATCTGCAAGTGGATATTTGGACCACTGGCTGGCCTTCGTTCGAAACGGGTATATGTTCACGTAAAAACTAAAGAGAAGCATTCTCAGAAACTTGTGAGTGATGATTGCATTCAAGTCACACAGTTGAACCCTCCTTTTGATGGAGCAGTTTTGAAACTGTCTTTTTGTAGAATCTGTAAGTGGATACGTGGACCTCTTTGAAGATTTCTTTGGAAACGGGAATATTTCCACAGAAAAACTAAACTGAAGCATTCTCAGAAACCGCTTTGTGATGTTTGTGTTCGAGCCACAGAGTTTAACATTGCTTTTCATAGAGCAGTTTTGAAATATTCTTTTCGCAGAATCTGCAAGTGGACATTTGGAGCGCTTTCAGGCCTGTGGTGGAAAAGGCCTGAAAGCCTTTTCCTTTATCTTCACAGAAAGACGAGAGAGAAGCATTGTCAGAAACTTCTTTGTGATGATTGCATTCAACTCACAGAGTTGAAGATTCCTTTTGAAACAGCAGTTTCGAAACACTCTTTCTGTGGGATCCGCAAGGGGATATTTGGACCTCTTTGAAGGTTTCGTTGGAAACGGGATAATCTTCACCTAAAAGCTAAACGGAAGCATTCTCAGAAACTTCTTTAGGATGTTTGCATTCACCTCACAGAGTTGAACTTTCCCTTTGATAGCGCAGCTTTGACACACTTTTTCTACAATGTGCAAGTGGCTATTTAGCGGGCTTGGAGGACTGTGTTGGAAAAGGAAATATCTTCTCCTAAAAACGACATAGAAGCATTCTCAGAAACTGCTCTGTGATGATTGCATTCAACTCCCAGAGTTGAACATTCCTTTTGATAGAGCAGTTTGCAAACACTCTTTTTGTAGAATCTGCAAGTGGAGATTTGGACCGCTTTGAGGCCTGTGGTAGTGAAGGAAAGAACTTCATATAAAAACCAGACGGTAGCACTCTCAGAAAATTCTTTGTGACGATGGAGTTTAACTCAGGGAGCTGAACATTCGTTATGATGGAGCAGTTTCCAAACACACGTTTTGTAGAATCTGCAAGGGGATATTTGGACCTCTCTGAGGATTTCGTTGGAAACGGGATCAACTTCCCATAACTGAACGGAAGCAAACTCAGAACATTCTTTGTGATGTTTGTATTCAACTCACAGAGTTGAACCTTCCTTTGATAGTTCAGGTTTGCAACACCCTTGTAGTAGAATCTGCAAGTGTATATTTTGACCACTTTGTAGCCTTCGTTTGAAACGTCTATATCTTCACATCAAACCTAGAAAGAAGCATTCTCAGAAAGTTTTCTGCGATGACTGCATTCAACTCACAGAGTTGAACAATCCTTCTGATGGAGCAGTTTTGAAACCCTCTTTCTTTGGAATCTGCAAGGGGATATGTGGACCTCTTTGAAGATTTCACTGGAAACGGGATCATCTTCACATAAAAACTAAACAGAAGCATTCTCGGAAACTACTTTGTGATGTTTGTATTCAACTGCCAGAGTTGAACTTTCCTTTTGAAAGAGCAGCTATGAAACACTCTTTTTCGAGAATCTGCAAGTGGACGTTTGGAGGGCTTTGAGGCCTGTGGTGGAAAAGGAAATATCTTCACATAAAAACTAGATAGAAGCATTCTCAGAAACGACTTTGGAGGATGGCATTCAACTCATGGAGTTGAACAATCCTATTGATAGAGCAGATTGGAATCACTCTTTTTGTAGAATCTGCAAATGGAGATTTGGACTGCTTTGAGGCCTACGGTCGTATAGGAAGGAACTTCAGATAAAAGGCAAACGGAAGCATTCTCAGAATATTCTTTGTGATGATGGAGTTTCACTCACAGAGCTGAACATGCCTTTTGATGGAGCAGTTTCCAAATACACTTTTGGTAGAATCTGCAGGTGGATATTTGGACCACTCTGAGGATTTCGTTGGAAACGGGAATAATTTCCCATAACTAAACACAAACACTCTGAGAAAATTCTTCATGATGAATGCATTTAACTCGCAGAGGATGAACCTGCCTTTGAGAGTTCAGGTTCGAAACACTCTTTCTGTATAATCTGCAAGTGGATATTTGGACCACTGGGTGGCCTTCGTTCGAAACGGGTATATGTTCACGTAAAAACTAAAGAGAAGCATTCTCAGAAACTTCTGAGTGATGATTGCATTCAAGTCACACAGTTGAACCCTCCTTTTGATGGAGCAGTTTTGAAACTGTCTTTTTGTAGAATCTGTAAGTGGATACGTGGACCTCTTTGAAGATTTCTTTGGAAACGGGAATATTTCCACAGAAAAACTAAACTGAAACATTCTCAGAAACCGCTTTGTGATGTTTGTGTTCCAGCCACAGAGTTTAACATTGCTTTTCATAGAGCAGTTTTGAAATATTCTTTTGGCAGAATCTGCAAGTGGACATTTGGAGCGCTTTCAGGCCTGTGGTGGAAAAGGCCTGAAAGCCTTTTCCTTTATCTTCACAGAAAGACGAGAGAGAAGCATTGTCAGAAACTTCTTTGTGATGATTGCATTCAACTCACAGAGTTGAAGATTCCTTTTGAAACAGCAGTTTCGAAACACTCTTTCTGTGGGATCCGCAAGGGGATATTTGGACCTCTTTGAAGGTTTCGTTGGAAACGGGATAATCTTCACCTAAAAGCTAAACGGAAGCATTCTCAGAAACTTCTTTGGGATGTTTGCATTCACCTCACAGAGTTGAACTTTCCCTTTGATAGCGCAGCTTTGACACACTTTTTCTACAATGTGCAAGTGGCTATTTAGCGGGCTTGGAGGATTGTGTTGGAAAAGGAAATATCTTCTCCTAAAAACGACATAGAAGCATTCTCAGAAACTGCTCTGTGATGATTGCATTCAACTCCCAGAGTTGAACATTCCTTTTGATAGAGCAGTTTGCAAACACTCTTTTTGTAGAATCTGCAAGTGGAGATTTGGACCGCTTTGAGGCCTGTGGTAGTGAAGGAAAGAACTTCATATAAAAACCAGACGGTAGCACTCTCAGAAAATTCTTTGTGACGATGGAGTTTAACTCAGGGAGCTGAACATTCGTTATGATGGAGCAGTTTCCAAACACACGTTTTGTAGAATCTGCAAGGGGATATTTGGACCTCTCTGAGGATTTCGTTGGAAACGGGATCAACTTCCCATAACTGAACGGAAGCAAACTCAGAACATTCTTTGTGATGTTTGTATTCAACTCACAGAGTTGAACCTTCCTTTGATAGTTCAGGTTTGCAACACCCTTGTAGTAGAATCTGCAAGTGTATATTTTGACCACTTTGTAGCCTTCGTTTGAAACGTCTATATCTTCACATCAAACCTAGACAGAAGCATTCTCAGAAAGTTTTCTGCGATGACTGCATTCAACTCACAGAGTTGAACAATCCTTCTGATGGAGCAGTTTTGAAACCCTCTTTCTTTGGAATCTGCAAGGGGATATGTGGACTTCTTTGAAGATTTCACTGGAAACGGGATCATCTTCACATAAAAACTAAACAGAAGCATTCTCGGAAACTACTTTGTGATGTTTGTATTCAACTCCCAGAGTTGAACTTTCCTTTTGAAAGAGCAGCTATGAAACACTCTTTTTCGAGAATCTGCAAGTGGACGTTTGGAGGGCTTTGAGGCCTGTGGTGGAAAAGGAAATATCTTCACATAAAAACTAGATAGAAGCATTCTCAGAAACGACTTTGTGAGGATGGCATTCAACACATGGAGTTGAACAATCCTATTGATAGAGCAGATTGGAATCACTCTTTTTGTAGAATCTGCAAATGGAGATTTGGACTGCTTTGAGGCCTACGGTCGTATAGGAAGGAAGTTCATATAAAAGGCAAACGGAAGCATTCTCAGAATATTCTTTGTGATGATGGAGTTTCACTCACAGAGCTGAACATGCCTTTTGATGGAGCAGTTTCCAAATACACTTTTGGTAGAATCTGCAGGTGGATATTTGGAGCTCTCTGAGGATTTCGTTGGAAACGGGAATAATTTCCCATAACTAAACACAAACACTCTGAGAAAGTTCTTCATGATGAATGCATTTAACTCGCAGAGATGAACCTGCCTTTGAGAGTTCAGGTTCGAAACACTCTTTCTGTATAATCTGCAAGTGGATATTTGGACCACTGGGTGGCCTTCGTTCGAAACGGGTATATGTTCACGTAAAAACTAAAGAGAAGCATTCTCAGAAACTTCTGAGTGATGATTGCATTCAAGTCACACGGTTGAACCCTCCTTTTGATGGAGCAGTTTTGAAACTGTCTTTTTGTAGAATCTGTAAGTGGATACGTGGACCTCTTTGAAGATTTCTTTGGAAACGGGAATATTTCCACAGAAAAACTAAACTGAAGCATTCTCAGAAACTGCTTTGTGATGTTTGTGTTCGAGCCACAGAGTTTAACATTGCTTTTCATAGAGCAGTTTTGAAATATTCTTTTGGCAGAATCTGCAAGTGGACATTTGGAGCGCTTTCAGGCCTGTGGTGGCAAAGGCCTGAAAGCCTTTTCCTTTATCTTCACAGAAAGACGAGAGAGAAGCATTGTCAGAAACTTCTTTGTGATGATTGCATTCAACTCACAGAGTTGAAGATTCCTTTTGAAACAGCAGTTTCGAAACACTCTTTCTGTGGGATCCGCAAGGGGATATTTGGACCTCTTTGAAGGTTTCGTTGGAAACGGGATAATCTTCACCTAAAAGCTAAACGGAAGCATTCTCAGAAACTTCTTTGGGATGTTTGCATTCACCTCACAGAGTTGAACTTTCCCTTTGATAGCGCAGCTTTGACACACTTTTTCTACAATGTGCAAGTGGCTATTTAGCGGGCTTGGAGGACTGTGTTGGAAAAGGAAATATCTTCTCCTAAAAACGACATAGAAGCATTCTCAGAAACTGCTCTGTGATGATTGCATTCAACTCCCAGAGTTGAACATTCCTTTTGATAGAGCAGTTTGCAAACACTCTTTTTGTAGAATCTGCAAGTGGAGATTTGGACCGCTTTGAGGCCTGTGGTAGTGAAGGAAAGAACTTCATATAAAAACCAGACGGTAGCACTATCAGAAAATTCTTTGTGACGATGGAGTTTAACTCAGGGAGCTGAACATTCGTTATGATGGAGCAGTTTCCAAACACACGTTTTGTAGAATCTGTGAGGGGATATTTGGACCTCTCTGAGGATTTCGTTGGAAACGGGATCAACTTCCCATAACTGAACGGAAGCAAACTCAGAACATTCTTTGTGATGTTTGTATTCAACTCACAGAGTTGAACCTTCCTTTGATAGTTCAGGTTTGCAACACCCTTGTAGTAGAATCTGCAAGTGTATATTTTGACCACTTTGTAGCCTTCGTTTGAAACGTCTATATCTTCACATCAAACCTAGACAGAACCATTCTCAGAAAGTTTTCTGCGATGACTGCATTCAACTCACAGAGGTGAACAATCCTTTTGATGGAGCAGTTTTGAAACCCTCTTTCTTTGGAATCTGCAAGGGGATATGTGGACCTCTTTGAAGATTTCACTGGAAACGGGATCATCTTCACATAAGAACTAAACAGAAGCATTCTCGAAAACTACTTTGTGATGTTTGTATTCACCTCCCAGAGTTGAACTTTCCTTTTGAAAGAGCAGCTATGAAACACTCTTTTTCGAGAATCTGCAAGTGGACGTTTGGAGGGCTTTGAGGCCTGTGGTGGAAAAGGAAATATCTTCACATAAAAACTAGATAGAAGCATTCTCAGAAACGAGTTTGTGAGGATGGCATTCAACTCATGGAGTTGAACAATCCTATTGATAGAGCAGATTGGAATCACTCTTTTTGTAAAATCTGCAAATGGAGATTTGGACTGCTTTGAGGCCTACGGTAGTATAGGAAGGAACTTCATATAAAAGGCAAACGGAAGCATTCTCAGAATATTCTTTGTGATGATGGAGTTTCACTCACAGAGCTGAACATGCCTTTTGATGGAGCAGTTTCCAAATACACTTTTGGTAGAATCTGCAGGTGGATATTTGGAGCTCTCTGAGGATTTCGTTGGAAACGGGAATAATTTCCCATAACTAAACACAAACACTCTGAGAAAGTTCTTCATGATGAATGCATTTAACTCGCAGAGATGAACCTGCCTTTGAGAGTTCAGGTTCGAAACACTCTTTCTGTAGAATCTGCAAGTGGATATTTGGACCACTGGGTGGCCTTCGTTCGAAACGGGTATATGTTCACAGTAAAAACTAAAGAGAAGCATTCTCAGAAACTTCTGAGTGATGATTGCATTCAAGTCACACAGTTGAACCCTCCTTTTGATGGAGCAGTTTTGAAACTGTCTTTTTGTAGAATCTGTAAGTGGATACGTGGACCTCTTTGAAGATTTCTTTGGAAACGGGAATATTTCCACAGAAAAACTAAACTTAAACATTCTCAGAAACCGCTTTGTGATGTTTGTGTTCCAGCCACAGAGTTTAACATTGCTTTTCATAGAGCAGTTTTGAAATATTCTTTTCGCAGAATCTGCAAGTGGACATTTGGAGCGCTTTCAGGCCTGTGGTGGAAAAGGCCTGAAAGCCTTTTCCTTTATCTTCACAGAAAGACGAGAGAGAAGCATTGTCAGAAACTTCTTTGTGATGATTGCATTCAACTCACAGAGTTGAAGATTCCTTTTGAAACAGCAGTTTCGAAACACTCTTTCTGTGGGATCCGCAAGGGGATATTTGCACCTCTTTGAAGGTTTCGTTGGAAACGGGATAATCTTCACCTAAAAGCTAAACGGAAGCATTCTCAGAAACTTCTTTGGGATGTTTGCATTCACCTCACAGAGTTGAACTTTCCCTTTGATAGCGCAGCTTTGACACACTTTTTCTACAATGTGCAAGTGGCTATTTAGCGGGCTTGGAGGACTGTGTTGGAAAAGGAAATATCTTCTAAAAACGACATAGAAGCATTCTCAGAATCTGCTCTGTGATGATTGCATTCAACTCCCAGAGTTGAACATTCCTTTTGATAGAGCAGTTTGCAAACACTCTTTTTGTAGAATCTGCAAGTGGAGATTTGGACCGCTTTGAGGCCTGTGGTAGTGAAGGAAAGAACTTCATATAAAAACCAGACGGTAGCACTCTCAGAAAATTCTTTGTGACGATGGAGTTTAACTCAGGGAGCTGAACATTCGTTATGATGGAGCAGTTTCCAAACACACGTTTTGTAGAATCTGCGAGGGGATATTTGGACCTCTCTGAGGATTTCGTTGGAAACGGGATCAACTTCCCATAACTGAACGGAAGCAAACTCAGAACATTCTTTGTGATGTTTGTATTCAATTCACAGAGTTGAACCTTCCTTTGATAGTTCAGGTTTGCAACACCCTTGTAGTAGAATCTGCAAGTGTATATTTTGACCACTTTGTAGCCTTCGTTTGAAACGTCTATATCTTCACATCAAACCTAGACAGAAGCATTCTCAGAAAGTTTTCTGCGATGACTGCATTCAACTCACAGAGTTGAACAATCCTTCTGATGGAGCAGTTTTGAAACCCTCTTTCTTTGGAATCTGCAAGGGGATATGTGGACCTCTTTGAAGATTTCACTGGAAACGGGATCATCTTCACATAAAAACTAAACAGAAGCATTCTCGGAAACTACTTTGTGATGTTTGTATTCAACTCCCAGAGTTGAACTTTCCTTTTGAAAGAGCAGCTATGAAACACTCTTTTTCGAGAATCTGCAAGTGGACGTTTGGAGGGCTTGGAGGCCTGTGGTGGAAAAGGAAATACCTTCACATAAAAACTAGATAGAAGCATTCTCAGAAACTACTTTGTGAGGATGGCATTCAACTCATGGAGTTGAACAATCCTATTGATAGAGCAGATTGGAATCACTCTTTTTGTAGAATCTGCAAATGGAGATTTGGACTGCTTTGAGGCCTACGGTAGTACAGGAAGGAACTTCATATAAAAGGCAAACGGAAGCATTCTCAGAATATTCTTTGTGATGATGGAGTTTCACTGACAGAGCTGAACATGCCTTTTGATGGAGCAGTTTCCAAATACACTTTTGGTAGAATCTGCAGGTGGATATTTGGAGCTCTCTGAGGATTTCGTTGGAAACGGGAATAATTTCCCATAACTAAACACAAACACTCTGAGAAAGTTCTTCATGATGAATGCATTTAACTCGCAGAGATGAACCTGCCTTTGAGAGTTCAGGTTCGAAACACTCTTTCTGTAGAATCTGCAAGTGGATATTTGGACCACTGGCTGGCCTTCGTTCGAAACGGGTATATGTTCACGTAAAAACTAAAGAGAAGCATTCTCAGAAACTTCTGAGTGATGATTGCATTCAAGTCACACAGTTGAACCCTCCTTTTGATGGAGCAGTTTTGAAACTGTCTTTTTGTAGAATCTGTAAGTGGATGCGTGGACCTCTTTGAAGATTTCTTTGGAAACGGGAATATTTCCACAGAAAAACTAAACTGAAGCATTCTCAGAAACCGCTTTGTGATGTTTGTGTTCGAGCCACAGAGTTTAACATTGCTTTTCATAGAGCAGTTTTGAAATATTCTTTTGGCAGAATCTGCAAGTGGACACTTGGAGCGCTTTCAGGCCTGTGGTGGAAAAGGCCTGAAAGCCTTTTCCTTTATCTTCACAGAAAGACGAGAGAGAAGCATTGTCAGAAACTTCTTTGTGATGGTTGCATTCAACTCACAGAGTTGAAGATTCCTTTTGAAACAGCAGTTTCGAAACACTCTTTCTGTGGGATCCGCAAGGGGATATTTGGACCTCTTTGAAGGTTTCGTTGGAAACGGGATAATCTTCACCTAAAAGCTAAACGGAAGCATTCTCAGAAACTTCTTTGGGATGTTTGCATTCACCTCACAGAGTTGAACTTTCCCTTTGATAGCGCAGCTTCGACACACTTTTTCTACAATGTGCAAGTGGCTATTTAGCGGGCTTGGAGGACTGTGTTGGAAAAGGAAATATCTTCTCCTAAAAACGACATAGAAGCATTCTCAGAAACTGCTCTGTGATGATTGCATTCAACTCCCAGAGTTGAACATTCCTTTTGATAGAGCAGTTTGCAAACACTCTTTTTGTAGAATCTGCAAGTGGAGATTTGGACCGCTTTGAGGCCGGTGGTAGTAAAGGAAAGAACTTCATATAAAACTAGACGGTAGCACTCTCAGAAAATTCTTTGTGACGATGGAGTTTAACTCAGAGAGCTGAACATTCGTTATGATGGAGCAGTTTCCAAACACACGTTTTGTAGAATCTGCAAGGGGATATTTGGACCCCTCTGAGGATTTCGTTGGAAACGGGATCAACTTCCCATAACTGAACGGAAGCAAACTCAGAACATTCTTTGTGATGTTTGTATTCAACTCACAGAGTTGAACCTTCCTTTGATAGTTCAGGTTTGCATCACCCTTGTAGTAGAATCTGCAAGTGTATATTTTGACCACTTTGTAGCCTTCGTTTGAAACGTCTATATCTTCACATCAAACCTAGACAGAAGCATTCTCAGAAAGTTTTCTGCGATGACTGCATTCAACTCACAGAGTTGAACAATCCTTTTGATGGAGCAGTTTTGAAACCCTCTTTCTTTGGAATCTGCAAGGGGATATGTGGACCTCTTTGAAGATTTCACTGGAAACGGGATCATCTTCACATAAGAACTAAACAGAAGCATTCTCGGAAACTACTTTGTGATGTTTGTATTCAGCTCCCAGAGTTGAACTTTCCTTTTGAAAGAGCAGCTATGAAACACTCTTTTTCGAGAATCTGCAAGTGGACGTTTGGAGGGCTTTGAGGCCTGTGGTGGAAAAGGAAATATCTTCACATAAAAACTAGATAGAAACATTCTCAGAAACTACTTTGTGAGGATGGCATTCAACTCATGGAGTTGAACAGTCCTATTGATAGAGCAGATTGGAATCACTCTTTTTGTAGAATCTGCAAATGGAGATTTGGACTGCTTTGAGGCCTAGGGTAGTATAGGAAGGAACTTCATATAAAAGGCAAATGGAAGCATTCTCAGAATATTCTTTGAGATGATGGAGTTTCACTCACAGAGCTGAACATTCCTTTTGATGGAGCAGTTTCCAAATACACTTTTGGTAGAATCTACAGGTGGATATTTGGACCTCTCTGAGGATTTCGTTGGAAACGGGAATAATTTCCAATAACTAAACACAAACACGCTGAGAAAGTTCTTCATGATGAATGCATTGAACTCGCAGAGATGAACCTGCCTTTGAGAGTTCAGGTTCGAAACACTCTTTCTGTAGAATCTGCAAGTGGATATTTGGACCACTGGCTGGCCTTCGTTCGAAACGGGTATATGTTCACGTAAAAACTAAAGAGAAGCATTCTCAGAAACTTCTGAGTGATGATTGCATTCAAGTCACACAGTTGAACCCTCCTTTTGATTGAGCAGTTTTGAAACTGTCTTTTTGTAGAATCTGTAAGTGGATGCGTGGACCTCTTTGAAGATTTCTTTGGAAACGGGAATATTTCCACAGAAAAACTAAACTGAAGCATTCTCAGAAACTGCTTTGTGATGTTTGTGTTCGAGCCACAGAGTTTAACATTGCTTTTCATAGAGCAGTTTTGAAATATTCTTTTGGCAGAATCTGCAAGTGGACATTTGGAGCGCTTTCAGGCCTGTGGTGGAAAAGGCCTGAAAGCCTTTTCCTTTATCTTCACAGAAAGACGAGAGAGAAGCATTGTCAGAAACTTCTTTGTGATGATTGCATTCAACTCACAGAGTTGAAGATTCCTTTTGAAACAGCAGTTTCGAAACACTCTTTCTGTGGGATCCGCAAGGGGATATTTGGACCTCTTTGAAGATTTCGTTGGAAACGGGATAATCTTCACCTAAAAGCTAAACGGAAGCATTCTCAGAAACTTCTTTGGGATGTTTGCATTCACCTCACAGAGTTGAACTTTCCCTTTGATAGCGCAGCTTCGACACACTTTTTCTACAATGTGCAAGTGGATATTTAGCGGGCTTGGAGGACTGTGTTGGAAAAGGAAATATCTTCTCCTAAAAACGACATAGAAGCATTCTCAGAAACTGCTCTGTGATGATTGCATTCAACTCCCAGAGTTGAACATTCCTTTTGATAGAGCAGTTTGCAAACACTCTTTTTGTAGAATCTGCAAGTGGAGATTTGGACCGCTTTGAGGCCGGTGGTAGTAAAGGAAAGAACTTCATATAAAACTAGACGGTAGCACTCTCAGAAAATTCTTTGTGACGATGGAGTTTAACTCAGAGAGCTGAACATTCGTTATGATGGAGCAGTTTCCAAACACACGTTTTGTAGAATCTGCAAGGGGATATTTGGACCTCTCTGAGGATTTCGTTGGAAACGGGATCAACTTCCCATAACTGAACGGAAGCAAACTCAGAACATTCTTTGTGATGTTTGTATTCAACTCACAGAGTTGAACCTTCCTTTGATAGTTCAGGTTTGCATCACCCTTGTAGTAGAATCTGCAAGTGTATATTTTGACCACTTTGTAGCCTTCGTTTGAAACGTCTATATCTTCCCATCTAACCTAGACAGAAGCATTCTCAGAAAGTTTTCTGCGATGACTGCATTCAACTCACAGAGTTGAACAATCCTTTTGATGGAGCAGTTTTGAAACCCTCTTTCTTTGGAATCTGCAAGGGGATATGTGGACCTCTTTGAAGATTTCACTGGAAACGGGATCATCTTCACATAAGAACTAAACAGAAGCATTCTCGGAAACTACTTTGTGATGTTTGTATTCAGCTCCCAGAGTTGAACTTTCCTTTTGAAAGAGCAGCTATGAAACACTCTTTTTCGAGAATCTGCAAGTGGACGTTTGGAGGGCTTTGAGGCCTGTGGTGGAAAAGGAAATATCTTCACATAAAAACTAGATAGAAGCATTCTCAGAAACTACTTTGTGAGGACGGCATTCAACTCATGGAGTTGAACAGTCCTATTGATAGAGCAGATTGGAATCACTCTTTTTGTAGAATCTGCAAATGGAGATTTGGAATGCTTTGAGGCCTACGGTAGTATAGGAAGGAACTTCATATAAAAGGCAAATGGAAGCATTCTCAGAATATTCTTTGTGATGATGGAGTTTCACTCACAGAGCTGAACATGCCTTTTGATGGAGCAGTTTCCAAATACACTTTTGGTAGAATCTGCAGGTGGATATTTGGACCTCTCTTAGGATTTCGTTGGAAACGGGAATAATTTCCCATAACTAAACACAAACACGCTGAGAAAGTTCTTCATGATGAATGCATTTAACTCGCAGAGATGAACCTGCCTTTGAGAGTTCAGGTTCGAAACACTCTTTCTGTAGAATCTGCAAGTGGATATTTGGACCACTGGGTGGCCTTCGTTCGAAACGGGTATATGTTCACGTAAAAACTAAAGAGAAGCGTTCTCAGAAACTTCTGAGTGATGATTGCATTCAAGTCACACAGTTGAACCCTCCTTTTGATTGAGCAGTTTTGAAACTGTCTTTTTGTAGAATCTGTAAGTGGATGCGTGGACCTCTTTGAAGATTTCTTTGGAAACGGGAATATTTCCACAGAAAAACTAAACTGAAGCATTCTCAGAAACTGCTTTGTGATGTTTGTGTTCGAGCCACAGAGTTTAACATTGCTTTTCATAGAGCAGTTTTGAAATATTCTTTTGGCAGAATCTGCAAGTGGACATTTGGAGCGCTTTCAGGCCTGTGGTGGAAAAGGCCTGAAAGCCTTTTCCTTTATCTTCACAGAAAGACGAGAGAGAAGCATTGTCAGAAACTTCTTTGTGATGATTGCATTCAACTCACAGAGTTGAAGATTCCTTTTGAAACAGCAGTTTCGAAACACTCTTTCTGTGGGATCCGCAAGGGGATATTTGGACCTCTTTGAAGATTTCGTTGGAAACGGGATAATCTTCACCTAAAAGCTAAACGGAAGCATTCTCAGAAACTTCTTTGGGATGTTCGCATTCACCTCACAGAGTTGAACTTTCCCTTTGATAGCGCAGCTTCGACACACTTTTTCTAAAATGTGCAAGTGGATATTTAGCGGGCTTGCAGGACTGTGTTGGAAAAGGAAATATCTTCTCCTAAAAACCACATAGAAGCATTCTCAGAAACTGCTCTGTGATGATTGCATTCAACTCCCAGAGTTGAACATTCCTTTTGATAGAGCAGTTTGCAAACACTCTTTTTGTAGAATCTGCAAGTGGAGATTTGGACCGCTTTGAGGCCTGTGGTAGTGAAGGAAAGAACTTCATATAAAAACCAGACGGTAGCACTCTCAGAAAATTCTTTGTGACGATGGAGTTTAACTCAGGGAGCTGAACATTCGTTATGATGGAGCAGTTTCCAAACACACGTTTTGTAGAATCTGCAAGGGGATATTTGGACCTCTCCTGAGGATTTCGTTGGAAACGGGATCAACTTCCCATAACTGAACGGAAGCAAACTCAGAACATTCTTTGTGATGTTTGTATTCAACTCACAGAGTTGAACCTTCCTTTGATAGTTCAGGTTTGCAACACCCTTGTAGTAGAATCTGCAAGTGTATATTTTGACCACTTTGTAGCCTTCGTTTGAAACGTCTATATCTTCACATCAAACCTAGACAGAAGCATTCTCAGAAAGTTTTCTGCGATGACTGCATTCAACTCACAGAGATGAACAATCCTTCTGATGGAGCAGTTTTGAAACCCTCTTTCTTTGGAATCTGCAAGGGGATATGTGGACCTCTTTGAAGATTTCACTGGAAACGGGATCATCTTCACATAAAAACTAAACAGAAGCATTCTCGGAAACTACTTTGTGATGTTTGTATTCAACTCCCAGAGTTGAACTTTCCTTTTGAAAGAGCAGCTATGAAACACTCTTTTTCGAGAATCTGCAAGTGGACGTTTGGAGGGCTTTGAGGCCTGTGGTGGAAAAGGAAATATCTTCACATAAAAACTAGATAGAAGCATTCTCAGAAACGACTTTGTGAGGATGGCATTCAACTCATGGAGTTGAACAATCCTATTGATAGAGCAGATTGGAATCACTCTTTTTGTAGAATCTGCAAATGGAGATTTGGACTGCTTTGAGGCCTACGGTAGTATAGGAAGGAACTTCATATAAAAGGCAAACGGAAGCATTCTCAGAATATTCTTTGTGATGATGGAGTTTCACTCACAGAGCTGAACATGCCTTTTGATGGAGCAGTTTCCAAATACACTTTTGGTAGAATCTGCAGGTGGATATTTGGAGCTCTCTGAGATTTCGTTGGAAACGGGAATAATTTCCCATAACTAAACACAAACACTCTGAGAAAGTTCTTCATGATGAATGCATTTAACTCGCAGAGATGAACCTGCCTTTGAGAGTTCAGGTTCGAAACACTCTTTCTGTATAATCTGCAAGTGGATATTTGGACCACTGGGTGGCCTTCGTTCGAAACGGGTATATGTTCACGTAAAAACTAAAGAGAAGCATTCTCAGAAACTTCTGAGTGATGATTGCATTCAAGTCACACGGTTGAACCCTCCTTTTGATGGAGCAGTTTTGAAACTGTCTTTTTGTAGAATCTGTAAGTGGATACGTGGACCTCTTTGAAGATTTCTTTGGAAACGGGAATATTTCCACAGAAAAACTAAACTGAAGCATTCTCAGAAACCGCTTTGTGATGTTTGTGTTCGAGCCGCAGAGTTTAACATTGCTTTTCATAGAGCAGTTTTGAAATATTCTTTTCGCAGAATCTGCAAGTGGACATTTGGAGCGCTTTCAGGCCTGTGGGTGGAAAAGGCCTGAAAGCCTTTTCCTTTATCTTCACAGAAAGACGAGAGAGAAGCATTGTCAGAAACTTCTTTGTGATGATTGCATTCAACTCACAGAGTTGAAGATTCCTTTTGAAACAGCAGTTTCGAAACACTCTTTCTGTGGGATCCACAAGGGGATATTTGGACCTCTTTGAAGGTTTCGTTGGAAACGGGATAATCTTCACCTAAAAGCTAAACGGAAGCATTCTCAGAAACTTCTTTGGGATGTTTGCATTCACCTCACAGAGTTGAACTTTCCCTTTGATAGCGCAGCTTTGACACACTTTTTCTACAATGTGCAAGTGGCTATTTAGCGGGCTTGGAGGACTGTGTTGGAAAAGGAAATATCTTCTCCTAAAAACGACATAGAAGCATTCTCAGAAACTGCTCTGTGATGATTGCATTCAACTCCCAGAGTTGAACATTCCTTTTGATAGAGCAGTTTGCAAACACTCTTTTTGTAGAATCTGCAAGTGGAGATTTGGACCGCTTTGAGGCCTGTGGTAGTGAAGGAAAGAACTTCATATAAAAACCAGACGGTAGCACTCTCAGAAAATTCTTTGTGACGATGGAGTTTAACTCAGGGAGCTGAACATTCGTTATGATGGAGCAGTTTCCAAACACACGTTTTGTAGAATCTGCAAGGGGATATTTGGACCTCTCTGAGGATTTCGTTGGAAACGGGATCAACTTCCCATAACTGAACGGAAGCAAACTCAGAACATTCTTTGTGATGTTTGTATTCAACTCACAGAGTTGAACCTTCCTTTGATAGTTCAGGTTTGCAACACCCTTGTAGTAGAATCTGCAAGTGTATATTTTGACCACTTTGTAGCCTTCGTTTGAAACGTCTATATCTTCACATCAAACCTAGACAGAAGCATTCTCAGAAAGTTTTCTGCGATTACTGCATTCAACTCACAGAGTTGAACAATCCTTCTGATGGAGCAGTTTTGAAACCCTCTTTCTTTGGAATCTGCAAGGGGATATGTGGACCTCTTTGAAGATTTCACTGGAAACGGGATCATCTTCACATAAAAACTAAACAGAAGCATTCTCGGAAACTACTTTGTGATGTTTGTATTCAACTGCCAGAGTTGAACTTTCCTTTTGAAAGAGCAGCTATGAAACACTCTTTTTCGAGAATCTGCAAGTGGACGTTTGGAGGGCTTTGAGGCCTGTGGTGGAAAAGGAAATATCTTCACATAAAAACTAGATAGAAGCATTCTCAGAAACGACTTTGTGAGGATGGCATTCAACTCATGGAGTTGAACAATCCTATTGATAGAGCAGATTGGAATCACTCTTTTTGTAGAATCTGCAAATGGAGATTTGGACTGCTTTGAGGCCTACGGTCGTATAGGAAGGAACTTCAGATAAAAGGCAAACGGAAGCATTCTCAGAATATTCTTTGTGATGATGGAGTTTCACTCACAGACCTGAACATGCCTTTTGATGGAGCAGTTTCCAAATACACTTTTGGTAGAATCAGCAGGTGGATATTTGGAGCTCTCTGAGGATTTCGTTGGAAACGGGAATAATTTCCCATAACTAAACACAAAACACTCTGAGAAAGTTCTTCATGATGAATGCATTTAACTCGCAGAGATGAACCTGCCTTTGAGAGTTCAGGTTCGAAACACTCTTTCTGTAGAATCTGCAAGTGGATATTTGTACCACTGGCTGGCCTTCGTTCGAAACGGGTATATGTTCACGTAAAAACTAAAGAGAAGCATTCTCAGAAACTTCTGAGTGATGATTGCATTCAAGTCACACAGTTGAACCCTCCTTTTGATGGAGCAGTTTTGAAACTGTCTTTTTGTAGAATCTGTAAGTGGATACGTGGACCTCTTTGAAGATTTCTTTGGAAACGGGAATATTTCCACAGAAAAACTAAACTGAAGCATTCTCAGAAACTGCTTTGTGATGTTTGTGTTCGAGCCGCAGAGTTTAACATTGCTTTTCATAGAGCAGTTTTGAAATATTCTTTTGGCAGAATCTGCAAGTGGACATTTGGAGCGCTTTCAGGCCTGTGGTGGAAAAGGCCTGAAAGCCTTTTCCTTTATCTTCACAGAAAGACGAGAGAGAAGCATTGTCAGAAACTTCTTTGTGATGATTGCATTCAACTCACAGAGTTGAAGATTCCTTTTGAAACAGCAGTTTCGAAACACTCTTTCTGTGGGATCCGCAAGGGGATATTTGGATCTCTTTGAAGGTTTCGTTGGAAACTGGATAATCGTCACCTAAAAGCTAAACGGAAGCATTCTCAGAAACTTCTTTGGGATGTTTGCATTCACCTCACAGAGTTGAACTTTCCCTTTGATAGCGCAGCTTTGACACACTTTTTCTACAATGTGCAAGTGGCTATTTAGCGGGCTTGGAGGACTGTGTTGGAAAAGGAAATATCTTCTCCTAAAAACGACATAGAAGCATTCTCAGAAACTGCTCTGTGATGATTGCATTCAACTCCCAGAGTTGAACATTCCTTTTGATAGAGCAGTTTGCAAACACTCTTTTTGTAGAATCTGCAAGTGGAGATTTGGACCGCTTTGAGGCCTGTGGTAGTGAAGGAAAGAACTTCATATAAAAACCAGACGGTAGCACTCTCAGAAAATTCTTTGTGACGATGGAGTTTAACTCAGGGAGCTGAACATTCGTTATGATGGAGCAGTTTCCAAACACACGTTTTGTAGAATCTGCAAGGGGATATTTGGACCTCTCTGAGGATTTCGTTGGAAACGGGATCAACTTCCCATAACTGAACGGAAGCAAACTCAGAACATTCTTTGTGATGTTTGTATTCAACTCACAGAGTTGAACCTTCCTTTGATAGTTCAGGTTTGCAACACCCTTGTAGTAGAATCTGCAAGTGTATATTTTGACCACTTTGTAGCCTTCATTTGAAACGTCTATATCTTCACATCAAACCTAGACAGAAGCATTCTCAGAAAGTTTTCTGCGATGACTGCATTCAACTCACAGAGTTGAACAATCCTTCTGATGGAGCAGTTTTGAAACCCTCTTTCTTTGGAATCTGCAAGGGGATATGTGGACCTCTTTGAAGATTTCACTGGAAACGGGATCATCTTCACATAAAAACTAAACAGAAGCATTCTCGGAAACTACTTTGTGATGTTTGTATTCAACTCCCAGAGTTGAACTTTCCTTTTGAAAGAGCAGCTATGAAACACTCTTTTTCGAGAATCTGCAAGTGGACGTTTGGAAGGCTTTGAGGCCTGTGGTGGAAAAGGAAATATCTTCACATAAAAACTAGATAGAAGCATTCTCAGAAACTACTTTGTGAGGATGGCATTCAACTCATGGAGTTGAACAATCCTATTGATAGAGCAGATTGGAATCACTCTTTTTGTAGAATCTGCAAACGGAGATTTGGACTGCTTTGAGGCCTACGGTAGTATAGGAAGGAACTTCATATAAAAGGCAAACGGAAGCATTCTCAGAATATTCTTTGTGATGATGGAGTTTCACTCACAGAGCTGAACATGCCTTTTGATGGAGCAGTTTCCAAATACACTTTTGGTAGAATCTGCAGGTGGATATTTGGACCTCTCTGAGGATTTCGTTGGAAACGGGAATAATTTCCCATAACTAAACACAAACACACTGAGAAAGTTCTTCATGATGAATGCATTGAACTCGCAGAGATGAACCTGCCTTTGAGAGTTCAGGTTCGAAACACTCTTTCTGTAGAATCTGCAAGTGGATATTTGGACCACTGGCTGGCCTTCGTTCGAAACGGGTATATGTTCACGTAAAAACTAAAGAGAAGCATTCTCAGAAACTTCTGAGTGATGATTGCTTTCAAGTCACACGGTTGAACCCTCCTTTTGATTGAGCAGTTTTGAAACTGTCTTTTTGTAGAATCTGTAAGTGGATACGTGGACCTCTTTGAAGATTTCTTTGGAAACGGGAATATTTCCACAGAAAAACTAAACTGAAGCACTCTCAGAAACTGCTTTGTGATGTTTGTGTTCGAGCCACAGATTTTAACATTGCTTTTCATAGAGCAGTTTTGAAATATTCTTTTGGCAGAATCTGCAAGTGGACATTTGGAGCGCTTTCAGGCCTGTGGTGGAAAAGGCCTGAAAGCCTTTTCCTTTATCTTCACAGAAAGACGAGAGAGAAGCATTGTCAGAAACTTCTTTGTGATGATTGCATTCAACTCACAGAGTTGAAGATTCCTTTTGAAACAGCAGTTTCGAAACACTCTTTCTGTGGGATCCGCAAGGGGATATTTGGACCTCTTTGAAGATTTCGTTGGAAACGGGATAATCTTCACCTAAAAGCTAAACGGAAGCATTCTCAGAAACTTCTTTGGGATGTTTGCATTCACCTCACAGAGTTGAACTTTCCCTTTGATAGCGCAGCTTCGACACACTTTTTCTACAATGTGCAAGTGGATATTTAGCGGGCTTGGAGGACTGTGTTGGAAAAGGAAATATCTTCTCCTAAAAACGACATAGAAGCATTCTCAGAAACTGCTCTGTGATGATTGCATTCAACTCCCAGAGTTGAACATTCCTTTTGATAGAGCAGTTTGCAAACACTCTTTTTGTAGAATCTGCAAGTGGAGATTTGGACCGCTTTGAGGCCTGTGGTAGTAAAGGAAAGAACTTCATATAAAAACTAGAAGGTAGCACCCTCAGAAAATTCTTTGTGACGATGGAGTTTAACTCAGAGAGCTGAACATTCGTTATGATGGAGCAGTTTCCAAACACACGTTTTGTAGAATCTGCAAGGGGATATTTGGACCTCTCTGAGGATTTCGTTGGAAACGGGATCAACTTCCCATAACTGAACGGAAGCAAACTCAGAACATTCTTTGTGATGTTTGTATTCAACTCACAGAGTTGAACCTTCCTTTGATAGTTCAGGTTTGCATCACCCTTGTAGTAGAATCTGCAAGTGTATATTTTGAACACTTTGTAGCCTTCGTTTGAAACGTCTATATCTTCACCTCAAACCTAGACAGAAGCATTCTCAGAAAGTTTTCTGCGATGACTGCATTCAACTCACAGAGTTGAACAATCCTTTTGTTGGAGCAGTTTTGAAACCCTCTTTCTTTGGAATCTGCAAGGGGATATGTGGACCTCTTTGAAGGTTTCACTGGAAACAGGATCATCTTCACATAAGAACTAAACAGAAGCATTCTCGGAAACTACTTTGTGATGTTTGTATTCAACTCCCAGAGTTGAACTTTCCTTTTGAAAGAGCAGCTATGAAACACACTTTTTCGAGAATCTGCAAGTGGACGTTTGGAGGGCTTTGAGGCCTGTGGTGGAAAAGGAAATATCTTCACATAAAAACTAGATAGAAGCATTCTCAGAAACGACTTTGTGAGGATGGCATTCAACTCATGGAGTTGAACAATCCTATTGATAGAGCAGATTGGAATCACTCTTTTTGTAGAATCTGCAAATGGAGATTTGGACTGCTTTGAGGCCTACGGTAGTATAGGAAGGAACTTCATATAAAAGGCAAACGGAAGCATTCTCAGAATATTCTTTGTGATGATGGAGTTTCACTCACAGAGCTGAACATGCCTTTTGATGGAGCAGTTTCCAAATACACTTTTGGTAGAATCTGCAGGTGGATATTTGGAGCTCTCTGAGGATTTCGTTGGAAACGGGAATAATTTCCCATAACTAAACACAAACACTCTGAGAAAGTTCTTCATGATGAATGCATTTAACTCGCAGAGATGAACCTGCCTTTGAGAGTTCAGGTTCGAAACACTCTTTCTGTATAATCTGCAAGTGGATATTTGGACCACTGGGTGGCCTTCGTTCGAAACGGGTATATGTTCACGTAAAAACTAAAGAGAAGCATTCTCAGATACTTCTGAGTGATGATTGCATTCAAGTCACACGGTTGAACACTCCTTTTGATGGAGCAGTTTTGAAACTGTCTTTTTGTAGAATCTGTAAGTGGATACGTGGACCTCTTTGAAGATTTCTTTGGAAACGGGAATATTTCCACAGAAAAACTAAACTGAAGCATTCTCAGAAACCGCTTTGTGATGTTTGTGTTCGAGCCACAGAGTTTAACATTGCTTTTCATAGAGCAGTTTTGAAATATTCTTTTCGCAGAATCTGCAAGTGGACATTTGGAGCGCTTTCAGGCCTGTGGTGGCAAAGGCCTGAAAGCCTTTTCCTTTATCTTCACAGAAAGACGAGAGAGAAGCATTGTCAGAAACTTCTTTGTGATGATTGCATTCAACTCACAGAGTTGAAGATTCCTTTTGAAACAGCAGTTTCGAAACACTCTTTCTGTGGGATCCGCAAGGGGATATTTGGACCTCTTTGAAGGTTTCGTTGGAAACGGGATAATCTTCACCTAAAAGCTAAACGGAAGCATTCTCAGAAACTTCTTTGGGATGTTTGCATTCACCTCACAGAGTTGAACTTTCCCTTTGATAGCGCAGCTTTGACACACTTTTTCTACAATGTGCAAGTGGATATTTAGCGGGCTTGGAGGACTGTGTTGGAAAAGGAAATATCTTCTAAAAACGACATAGAAGCATTCTCAGAAACTGCTCTGTGATGATTGCATTCAACTCCCAGAGTTGAACATTCCTTTTGATAGAGCAGTTTGCAAACACTCTTTTTGTAGAATCTGCAAGTGGAGATTTGGACCGCTTTGAGGCCTGTGGTAGTGAAGGAAAGAGCTTCATATAAAAACCAGACGGTAGCACTCTCAGAAAATTCTTTGTGACGATGGAGTTTAACTCAGGGAGCTGAACATTCGTTATGATGGAGCAGTTTCCAAACACACGTTTTGTAGAATCTGCAAGGGGATATTTGGACCTCTCTGAGGATTTCGTTGGAAACGGGATCAACTTCCCATAACTGAACGGAAGCAAACTCAGAACATTCTTTGTGATGTTTGTATTCAACTCACAGAGTTGAACCTTCCTTTGATAGTTCAGGTTTGCAACACCCTTGTAGTAGAATCTGCAAGTGTATATTTTGACCACTTTGTAGCCTTCGTTTGAAACGTCTATATCTTCACATCAAACCTAGACAGAAGCATTCTCAGAAAGTTTTCTGCGATGACTGCATTCCACTCACAGAGTTGAACAATCCTTCTGATGGAGCAGTTTTGAAACCCTCTTTCTTTGGAATCTGCAAGGGGATATGTGGACCTCTTTGAAGATTTCACTGGAAACGGGATCATCTTCACATAAAAACTAAACAGAAGCATTCTCGGAAACTACTTTGTGATGTTTGTATTCAACTCCCAGTAGTTGAACTTTCCTTTTGAAAGAGCAGCTATGAAACACTCTTTTTCGAGAATCTGCAAGTGGACGTTTGGAGGGCTTTGAGGCCTGTGGTGGAAAAGGAAATATCTTCACACAAAAACCAGATAGAAGCATTCTCAGAAACGACTTTGTGAGGATGGCATTCAACTCATGGAGTTGAACAATCCTATTGATAGAGCAGATTGGAATCACTCTTTTTGTAGAATCTGCAAATGGAGATTTGGACTGCTTTGAGGCCTACGGTAGTATAGGAAGGAACTTCATATAAAAGGCAAACGGAAGCATTCTCAGAATATTCTTTGTGATGATGGAGTTTCACTCACAGAGCTGAACATGCCTTTTGATGGAGCAGTTTCCAAATACACTTTTGGTAGAATCTGCAGGTGGATATTTGGAGCTCTCTGAGGATTTCGTTGGAAACGGGAATAATTTCCCATAACTAAACACAAACACTCTGAGAAAGTTCTTCATGATGAATGCATTTAACTCGCAGAGATGAACCTGCCTTTGAGAGTTCAGGTTCGAAACACTCTTTCTGTAGAATCTGCAAGTGGATATTTGGACCACTGGCTGGCCTTCGTTCGAAACGGGTATATGTTCACGTAAAAACTAAAGAGAAGCATTCTCAGAAACTTCTGAGTGATGATTGCATTCAAGTCACACAGTTGAACCCTCCTTTTGATGGAGCAGTTTTGAAACTGTCTTTTTGTAGAATCTGTAAGTGGATACGTGGACCTCTTTGAAGATTTCTTTGGAAACGGGAATATTTCCACAGAAAAACTAAACTGAAGCATTCTCAGAAACTGCTTTGTGATGTTTGTGTTCGAGCCACAGAGTTTAACATTGCTTTTCATAGAGCAGTTTTGAAATATTCTTTTGGCAGAATCTGCAAGTGGACATTTGGAGCGCTTTCAGGCCTGTGGTTGAAAAGGCCTGAAAGCCTTTTCCTTTATCTTCACAGAAAGACGAGAGAGAAGCATTGTCAGAAACTTCTTTGTGATGATTGCATTCAACTCACAGAGTTGAAGATTCCTTTTGAAACAGCAGTTTCGAAACACTCTTTCTGTGGGATCCGCAAGGGGATATTTGGACCTCTTTGAAGCTTTCGTTGGAAACGGGATAATCTTCACCTAAAAGCTAAACGGAAGCACTCTCAGAAACTTCTTTGGGATGTTTGCATTCACCTCACAGAGTTGAACTTTCCCTTTGATAGCGCAGCTTTGACACACTTTTTTTCTACAATGTGCAAGTGGATATTTAGCGGGCGTGGAGGACTGTGTTGGAAAAGGAAATATCTTCTCCTAAAAACGACATAGAAGCATTCTCAGAAACTGCTCTGTGATGATTGCATTCAACTCCCAGGGTTGAACATTCCTTTTGATAGAGCAGTTTGCAAACACTCTTTTTGTAGAATCTGCAAGTGGAGATTTGGACCGCTTTGAGGCCTATGGTAGTAAAGGAAAGAACTTCATATAAAAACCAGACGGTAGCACTCTCAGAAAATTCTTTGTGACGATGGAGTTTAACTCAGGGAGCTGAACATTCGTTATGATGGAGCAGTTTCCAAACACACGTTTTGTAGAATCTGCAAGGGGATATTTGGACCTCTCTGAGGATTTCGCTGGAAACGGGATCAACTGCCCATAACTGAACGGAAGCAAACTCAGAACATTCTTTGTGATGTTTGTATTCAACTCACAGAGTTGAACCTTCCTTTGATAGTTCAGGTTTGCAACACCCTTGTAGTAGAATCTGCAAGTGTATATTTTGACCACTTTGTAGCCTTCATTTGAAACGTCTATATCTTCACATCAAACCTAGACAGAAGCATTCTCAGAAAGTTTTCTGCGATGACTGCATTCAACTCACAGAGTTGAACAGTCCTTTTGATGGAGCAGTTTTGAAACCCTCTTTCTTTGGAATCTGCAAGGGGATATGTGGACCTCTTTGAAGATTTCACTGGAAACGGGATCATCTTTACATAAGAACTAAACAGAAGCATTCTCGGAAACTACTTTGTGATGTTTGTATTCAACTCCCAGAGTTGAACTTTCCTTTTGAAAGAGCAGCTATGAAACCCTCTTTTTCGAGAATCTGCAAGTGGACGTTTGGAGGGCTTTGAGGCCTGTGGTGGAAAAGGAAATATCTTCACATAGAAACTAGATAGAAGCATTCTCAGAAACGACTTTGTGAGGATGGCATTCAACTCATGGAGTTGAACAATCCTATTGATAGAGCAGATTGGAATCACTCTTTTTGTAGAATCTGCAAATGAAGATTTGGACTGCTTTGAGGCCTACGGTAGTATAGGAAGGAGCTTCATATAAAAGGCAAACGGAAGCATTCTCAGAATATTCTTTGTGATGATGGAGTTTCACTCACAGAGCTGAACATGCCTTTTGATGGAGCAGTTTCCAAATACACTTTTGGTAGAATCTGCAGGTGGATATTTGGAGCTCTCTGAGGATTTCGTTGGAAACGGGAATAATTTCCCATAACTAAACACAAACACGCTGAGAAAGTTCTTCATGATGAATGCATTTAACTCGCAGAGATGAACCTGCCTTTGAGAGTTCAGGTTTGAAACACTCTTTCTGTAGAATCTGCAAGTGGATATTTGGACCACTGGCTGGCCTTCGTTCGAAACGGGTATATGTTCACGTAAAAACTAAAGAGAAGCGTTCTCAGAAACTTCTGAGTGATGATTGCATTCAAGTCACACAGTTGAACCCTCCTTTTGATTGAGCAGTTTTGAAACTGTCTTTTTGTAGAATCTGTAAGTGGATGCGTGGACCTCTTTGAAGATTTCTTTGGAAACGGGAATATTTCCACAGAAAAACTAAACTGAAGCATTCTCAGAAACTGCTTTGTGATGTTTGTGTTCGAGCCGCAGAGTTTAACATTGCTTTTCATAGAGCAGTTTTGAA
Source organism: Homo sapiens (assembly GCF_000001405.40). NCBI lineage: Eukaryota > Metazoa > Chordata > Mammalia > Primates > Hominidae > Homo > Homo sapiens. The sequence goes on from NC_000023.11 coordinate 60,602,906, forward strand.
ATATTCTTTTGGCAGAATCTGCAAGTGGACATTTGGAGCGCTTTCAGGCCTGTGGTGGAAAAGGCCTGAAAGCCTTTTCCTTTATCTTCACAGAAAGACGAGAGAGAAGCATTGTCAGAAACTTCTTTGTGATGATTGCATTCAACTCACAGAGTTGAAGATTCCTTTTGAAACAGCAGTTTCGAAACACTTTTTCTGTGGGATCCGCAAGGGGATATTTGGACCTCTTTGAAGATTTCGTTGGAAACGGGATAATCTTCACCTAAAAGCTAAACGGAAGCATTCTCAGAAACTTCTTTGGGATGTTTGCATTCACCTCACAGAGTTGAACTTTCCCTTTGATAGCGCAGCTTCGACACCCTTTTTCTACAATGTGCAAGTGGATATTTAGCGGGCTTGGAGGACTGTGTTGGAAAAGGAAATATCTTCTCCTAAAAACGACATAGAAGCATTCTCAGAAACTGCTCTGTGATGATTGCATTCAACTCCCAGAGTTGAACATTCCTTTTGATAGAGCAGTTTGCAAACACTCTTTTTGTAGAATCTGCAAGTGGAGATTTGGACCGCTTTGAGGCCTGTGGTAGTAAAGGAAAGAACTTCATATAAAAACCAGACGGTAGCACTCTCAGAAAATTTTTTGTGACGATGGAGTTTAACTCAGAGAGCTGAACATTCGTTATGATGGAGCAGTTTCCAAACACACGTTTTGTAGAATCTGCAAGGGGATATTTGGACCTCTCTGAGGATTTCGTTGGAAACGGGATCAACTTCCCATAACTGAACGGAAGCAAACTCAGAACATTCTTTGTGATGTTTGTATTCAACTCACAGAGTTGAACCTTCCTTTGATAGTTCAGGTTTGCAACACCCTTGTAGTAGAATCTGCAAGTGTATATTTTGACCACTTTGTAGCCTTCGTTTGAAACGTCTATATCTTCACCTCAAACCTAGACAGAAGCATTCTCAGAAAGTTTTCTGCGATGACTGCATTCAACTCACAGAGTTGAACAATCCTTTTGATGGAGCAGTTTTGAAACCCTCTTTCTTTGGAATCTGCAAGGGGATATGTGGACCTCTTTGAAGATTTCACTGGAAACGGGATCATCTTCACATAAGAACTAAACAGAAGCATTCTCGGAAACTACTTTGTGATGTTTGTATTCAACTCCCAGAGTTGAACTTTCCTTTTGAAAGAGCAGCTATGAAACACTCTTTTTCGAGAATCTGCAAGTGGACGTTTGGAAGGCTTTGAGGCCTGTGGTGGAAAAGGAAATATCTTCACATAAAAACTAGATAGAAGCATTCTCAGAAACTACTTTGTGAGGATGGCATTCAACTCATGGAGTTGAACAATCCTATTGATAGAGCAGATTGGAATCACTCTTTTTGTAGAATCTGCAAATGGAGATTTGGACTGCTTTGAGGCCTACGGTAGTACAGGAAGGAACTTCATATAAAAGGCAAACGGAAGCATTCTCAGAATATTCTTTGTGATGATGGAGTTTCACTCACAGAGCTGAACATGCCTTTTGATGGAGCAGTTTCCAAATACACTTTTGGTAGAATCTGCAGGTGGATATTTGGAGCTCTCTGAGGATTTCGTTGGAAACGGGAATAATTTCCCATAACTAAACACAAACACTCTGAGAAAGTTCTTCATGATGAATGCATTTAACTCGCAGAGATGAACCTGCCTTTGAGAGTTCAGGTTCGAAACACTCTTTCTGTATAATCTGCAAGTGGATATTTGGACCACTGGGTGGCCTTCGTTCGAAACGGGTATATGTTCACGTAAAAACTAAAGAGAAGCATTCTCAGAAACTTCTGAGTGATGATTGCATTCAAGTCACACGGTTGAACCCTCCTTTTGATGGAGCAGTTTTGAAACTGTCTTTTTGTAGAATCTGTAAGTGGATACGTGGACCTCTTTGAAGATTTCTTTGGAAACGGGAATATTTCCACAGAAAAACTAAACTGAAGCATTCTCAGAAACCGCTTTGTGATGTTTGTGTTCGAGCCGCAGAGTTTAACATTGCTTTTCATAGAGCAGTTTTGAAATATTCTTTTGGCAGAATCTGCAAGTGGACATTTGGAGCGCTTTCAGGCCTGTGGTGGAAAAGGCCTGAAAGCCTTTTCCTTTATCTTCACAGAAAGACGAGAGAGAAGCATTGTCAGAAACTTCTTTGTGATGATTGCATTCAACTCACAGAGTTGAAGATTCCTTTTGAAACAGCAGTTTCGAAACACTCTTTCTGTGGGATCCGCAAGGGGATATTTGGACCTCTTTGAAGGTTTCGTTGGAAACGGGATAATCTTCACCTAAAAGCTAAACGGAAGCATTCTCAGAAACTTCTTTGGGATGTTTGCATTCACCTCACAGAGTTGAACTTTCCCTTTGATAGCGCAGCTTTGACACACTTTTTCTACAATGTGCAAGTGGCTATTTAGCGGGCTTGGAGGACTGTGTTGGAAAAGGAAATATCTTCTAAAAACGACATAGAAGCATTCTCAGAAACTGCTCTGTGATGATTGCATTCAACTCCCAGAGTTGAACATTCCTTTTGATAGAGCAGTTTGCAAACACTCTTTTTGTAGAATCTGCAAGTGGAGATTTGGACCGCTTTGAGGCCTGTGGTAGTGAAGGAAAGAACTTCATATAAAAACCAGACGGTAGCACTCTCAGAAAATTCTTTGTGACGATGGAGTTTAACTCAGGGAGCTGAACATTCGTTATGATGGAGCAGTTTCCAAACACACGTATTGTAGAATCTGCGAGGGGATATTTGGACCTCTCTGAGGATTTCGTTGGAAACGGGATCAACTTCCCATAACTGAACGGAAGCAAACTCAGAACATTCTTTGTGATGTTTGTATTCAACTCACAGAGTTGAACCTTCCTTTGATAGTTCAGGTTTGCAACACCCTTGTAGTAGAATCTGCAAGTGTATATTTTGACCACTTTGTAGCCTTCGTTTGAAACGTCTATATCTTCACATCAAACCTAGACAGAAGCATTCTCAGAAAGTTTTCTGCGATGACTGCATTCAACTCACAGAGTTGAACAATCCTTCTGATGGAGCAGTTTTGAAACCCTCTTTCTTTGGAATCTGCAAGGGGATATGTGGACCTCTTTGAAGATTTCACTGGAAACGGGATCGATCATCTTCACATAAAAACTAAACAGAAGCATTCTCGGAAACTACTTTGTGATGTTTGTATTCAACTCCCAGAGTTGAACTTTCCTTTTGAAAGAGCAGCTATGAAACACTCTTTTTCGAGAATCTGCAAGTGGACGTTTGGAGGGCTTTGAGGCCTGTGGTGGAAAAGGAAATATCTTCACATAAAAACTAGATAGAAGCATTCTCAGAAACTACTTTGTGAGGATGGCATTCAACTCATGGAGTTGAACAATCCTATTGATAGAGCAGATTGGAATCACTCTTTTTGTAGAATCTGCAAATGGAGATTTGGACTGCTTTGAGGCCTACGGTCGTATAGGAAGGAACTTCATATAAAAGGCAAACGGAAGCATTCTCAGAATATTCTTTGTGATGATGGAGTTTCACTCACAGAGCTGAACATGCCTTTTGATGGAGCAGTTTCCAAATACACTTTTGGTAGAATCTGCAGGTGGATATTTGGAGCTCTCTGAGGATTTCGTTGGAAACGGGAATAATTTCCCATAACTAAACACAAACACTCTGAGAAAGTTCTTCATGATGAATGCATTTAACTCGCAGAGATGAACCTGCCTTTGAGAGTTCAGGTTCGAAACACTCTTTCTGTATAATCTGCAAGTGGATATTTGGACCACTGGGTGGCCTTCGTTCGAAACGGGTATATGTTCACGTAAAAACTAAAGAGAAGCATTCTCAGAAACTTCTGAGTGATGATTGCATTCAAGTCACACAGTTGAACCCTCCTTTTGATGGAGCAGTTTTGAAACTGTCTTTTTGTAGAATCTGTAAGTGGATACGTGGACCTCTTTGAAGATTTCTTTGGAAACGGGAATATTTCCACAGAAAAACTAAACTGAAGCATTCTCAGAAACTGCTTTGTGATGTTTGTGTTCGAGCCACAGAGTTTAACATTGCTTTTCATAGAGCAGTTTTGAAATATTCTTTTGGCAGAATCTGCAAGTGGACATTTGGAGCGCTTTCAGGCCTGTGGTGGAAAAGGCCTGAAAGCCTTTTCCTTTATTTTCACAGAAAGACGAGAGAGAAGCATTGTCAGAAACTTCTTTGTGATGATTGCATTCAACTCACAGAGTTGAAGATTCCTTTTGAAACAGCAGTTTCGAAACACTCTTTCTGTGGGATCCGCAAGGGGATATTTGGACCTCTTTGAAGGTTTCGTTGGAAACGGGATAATCTTCACCTAAAAGCTAAACGGAAGCATTCTCAGAAACTTCTTTGGGATGTTTGCATTCACCTCACAGAGTTGAACTTTCCCTTTGATAGCGCAGCTTTGACACACTTTTTCTACAATGTGCAAGTGGCTATTTAGCGGGCTTGGAGGACTGTGTTGGAAAAGGAAATATCTTCTCCTAAAAACGACATAGAAGCATTCTCAGAAACTGCTCTGTGATGATTGCATTCAACTCCCAGAGTTGAACATTCCTTTTGATAGAGCAGTTTGCAAACACTCTTTTTGTAGAATCTGCAAGTGGAGATTTGGACCGCTTTGAGGCCTGTGGTAGTGAAGGAAAGAACTTCATATAAAAACCAGACGGTAGCACTCTCAGAAAATTCTTTGTGACGATGGAGTTTAACTCAGGGAGCTGAACATTCGTTATGATGGAGCAGTTTCCAAACACACGTTTTGTAGAATCTGCAAGGGGATATTTGGACCTCTCTGAGGATTTCGTTGGAAACGGGATCAACTTCCCATAACTGAACGGAAGCAAACTCAGAACATTCTTTGTGATGTTTGTATTCAACTCACAGAGTTGAACCTTCCTTTGATAGTTCAGGTTTGCAACACCCTTGTAGTAGAATCTGCAAGTGTATATTTTGACCACTTTGTAGCCTTCGTTTGAAACGTCTATATCTTCACATCAAACCTAGACAGAAGCATTCTCAGAAAGTTTTCTGCGATGACTGCATTCAACTCACAGAGTTGAACAATCCTTCTGATGGAGCAGTTTTGAAACCCTCTTTCTTTGGAATCTGCAAGGGGATATGTGGACCTCTTTGAAGATTTCACTGGAAACGGGATCATCTTCACATAAAAACTAAACAGAAGCATTCTCGGAAACTATTTTGTGATGTTTGTATTCAACTCCCAGAGTTGAACTTTCCTTTTGAAAGAGCAGCTATGAAACACTCTTTTTCGAGAATCTGCAAGTGGACGTTTGGAGGGCTTTGAGGCCTGTGGTGGAAAAGGAAATATCTTCACACAAAAACCAGATAGAAGCATTCTCAGAAACGACTTTGTGAGGATGGCATTCAACTCATGGAGTTGAACAATCCTATTGATAGAGCAGATTGGAATCACTCTTTTTGTAGAATCTGCAAATGGAGATTTGGACTGCTTTGAGGCCTACGGTAGTACAGGAAGGAACTTCATATAAAAGGCAAACGGAAGCATTCTCAGAATATTCTTTGTGATGATGGAGTTTCACTCACAGAGCTGAACATGCCTTTTGATGGAGCAGTTTCCAAATACACTTTTGGTAGAATCTGCAGGTGGATATTTGGAGCTCTTTGAGGATTTCGTTGGAAACGGGAATAATTTCCTATACCTAAACACAAACACGCTGAGAAAGTTCTTCATGATGAATGCATTTAACTCGCAGAGATGAACCTGCCTTTGAGAGTTCAGGTTCGAAACACTCTTTCTGTAGAATCTGCAAGTGGATATTTGGACCACTGGGTGGCCTTCGTTCGAAACGGGTATATGTTCACGTAAAAACTAAAGAGAAGCATTCTCAGAAACTTCTGAGTGATGATTGCATTGAAGTCACACAGTTGAACCCTCCTTTTGATGGAGCAGTTTTGAAACTGTCTTTTTGTAGAATCTGTAAGTGGATACGTGGACCTCTTTGAAGATTTCTTTGGAAACGGGAATATTTCCACAGAAAAACTAAACTGAAGCATTCTCAGAAACCGCTTTGTGATGTTTGTGTTCGAGCCACAGAGTTTAACATTGCTTTTCATAGAGCAGTTTTGAAATATTCTTTTGGCAGAATCTGCAAGTGGACATTTGGAGCGCTTTCAGGCCTGTGGTGGAAAAGGCCTGAAAGCCTTTTCCTTTATCTTCACAGAAAGACGAGAGAGAAGCATTGTCAGAAACTTCTTTGTGATGATTGCATTCAACTCACAGAGTTGAAGATTCCTTTTGAAACAGCAGTTTCGAAACACTCTTTCTGTGGGATCCGCAAGGGGATATTTGGACCTCTTTGAAGGTTTCGTTGGAAACGGGATAATCTTCACCTAAAAGCTAAACGGAAGCATTCTCAGAAACTTCTTTGGGATGTTTGCATTCACCTCACAGAGTTGAACTTTCCCTTTGATAGCGCAGCTTCGACACACTTTTTCTAAAGTGTGCAAGTGGACATTTAGCGGGCTTGGAGGACTGTGTTGGAAAAGGAAATATCTTCTCCTAAAAACGACATAGAAGCATTCTCAGAAACTGCTCTGTGATGATTGCATTCAACTCCCAGAGTTGAACATTAGTTTTGATAGAGCAGTTTGCAAACACTGTTTTTGTAGAATCTGCAAGTGGAGATTTGGACCGCTTTGAGGCCTGTGGTAGTAAAGGAAAGAACTTCATATAAAAACCAGACGGTAGCACTCTCAGAAAATTCTTTGTGACGATGGAGTTTAACTCAGAGAGCTGAACATTCGTTATGATGGAGCAGTTTCCAAACACACGTTTCGTAGAATCTGCAAGGGGATATTTGGACCTCTCTGAGGATTTCGTTGGAAACGGGATCAACTTCCCATAACTGAACGGAAGCAAACTCAGAACATTCTTTGTGATGTTTGTATTCAACTCACAGAGTTGAACCTTCCTTTGATAGTTGAAGTTTGCAACACCCTTGTAGTAGAATCTGCAAGTGTATATTTTGACCACTTTGTAGCCTTCGTTTGAAACGTCTATATCTTCACCTCAAACCTAGACAGAAGCATTCTCAGAAAGTTTTCTGCGATGACTGCATTCAACTCACAGAGTTGAACAATCCTTTTGATGGAGCAGTTTTGAAACCCTCTTTCTTTGGAATCTGCAAGGGGATATGTGGACCTCTTTGAAGATTTCACTGGAAACGGGATCATCTTCACATAAGAACTAAACAGAAGCATTCTCGGAAACTACTTTGTGAGGTTTGTATTCAACTCCCAGAGTTGAACTTTCCTTTTGAAAGAGCAGCTATGAAACACTCTTTTTCGAGAATCTGCAAGTGGACGTTTGGAGGGCTTTGAGGCCTGTGGTGGAAAAGGAAATATCTTCACATAAAAACTAGATAGAAGCATTCTCACAAACGACTTTGTGAGGATGGCATTCAAATCATGGAGTTGAACAATCCTATTGATAGAGCAGATTGGAATCACTCTTTTTGTAGAATCTGCAAATGGAGATTTGGACTGCTTTGAGGCCTACGGTAGTATAGGAAGGAACTTCATATAAAAGGCAAACGGAAGCATTCTCAGAATATTCTTTGTGATGATGGAGTTTCACTCACAGAGCTGAACATGCCTTTTGATGGAGCAGTTTCCAAATACACTTTTGGTAGAATCTGCAGGTGGATATTTGGAGCTCTCTGAGGATTTCGTTGGAAACGGGAATAATTTCCCATAACTAAACACAAACACTCTGAGAAAGTTCTTCATGATGAATGCATTTAACTCGCAGAGATGAACCTGCCTTTGAGAGTTCAGGTTCGAAACACTCTTTCTGTAGAATCTGCAAGTGGATATTTGGACCACTGGGTGGCCTTCGTTCGAAACGGGTATATGTTCACGTAAAAACTAAAGAGAAGCATTCTCAGAAACTTCTGAGTGATGATTGCATTCAAGTCACACAGTTGAACCCTCCTTTTGATGGAGCAGTTTTGAAACTGTCTTTTTGTAGAATCTGTAAGTGGATACGTGGACCTCTTTGAAGATTTCTTTGGAAACGGGAATATTTCCACAGAAAAACTAAACTGAAGCATTCTCAGAAACCGCTTTGTGATGTTTGTGTTCGAGCCACAGAGTTTAACATTGCTTTTCACAGAGCAGTTTTGAAATATTCTTTTCGCAGAATCTGCAAGTGGACATTTGGAGCGCTTTCAGGCCTGTGGTGGAAAAGGCCTGAAAGCCTTTTCCTTTATCTTCACAGAAAGACGAGAGAGAAGCATTGTCAGAAACTTCTTTGTGATGATTGCATTCAACTCACAGAGTTGAAGATTCCTTTTGAAACAGCAGTTTCGAAACACTCTTTCTGTGGGATCCGCAAGGGGATATTTGGACCTCTTTGAAGGTTTCGTTGGAAACGGGATAATCTTCACCTAAAAGCTAAACGGAAGCATTCTCAGAAACTTCTTTGGGATGTTTGCATTCACCTCACAGAGTTGAACTTTCCCTTTGATAGCGCAGCTTCGACACACTTTTTCTAAAGTGTGCAAGTGGACATTTAGCGGGCTTGGAGGACTGTGTTGGAAAAGGAAATATCTTCTCCTAAAAACGACATAGAAGCATTCTCAGAAACTGCTCTGTGATGATTGCATTCAACTCCCAGAGTTGAACATTCCTTTTGATAGAGCAGTTTGCAAACACTGTTTTTGTAGAATCTGCAAGTGGAGATTTGGACCGCTTTGAGGCCTGTGGTAGTAAAGGAAAGAACTTCATATAAAAACCAGACGGTAGCACTCTCAGAAAATTCTTTGTGACGATGGAGTTTAACTCAGAGAGCTGAACATTCGTTATGATGGAGCAGTTTCCAAACACACGTTTCGTAGAATCTGCAAGGGGATATTTGGACCTCTCTGAGGATTTCGTTGGAAACGGGATCAACTTCCCATAACTGAACGGAAGCAAACTCAGAACATTCTTTGTGATGTTTGTATTCAACTCACAGAGTTGAACCTTCCTTTGATAGTTGAAGTTTGCAACACCCTTGTAGTAGAATCTGCAAGTGTATATTTTGACCACTTTGTAGCCTTCGTTTGAAACGTCTATATCTTCACCTCAAACCTAGACAGAAGCATTCTCAGAAAGTTTTCTGCGATGACTGCATTCAACTCACAGAGTTGAACAATCCTTTTGATGGAGCAGTTTTGAAACCCTCTTTCTTTGGAATCTGCAAGGGGATATGTGGACCTCTTTGAAGATTTCACTGGAAACGGGATCATCTTCACATAAGAACTAAACAGAAGCATTCTCGGAAACTACTTTGTGATGTTTGTATTCACCTCCCAGAGTTGAACTTTCCTTTTGAAAGAGCAGCTATGAAACACTCTTTTTCGAGAATCTGCAAGTGGACGTTTGGAGGGCTTTGAGGCCTGTGGTGGAAAAGGAAATATCTTCACATAAAAACTAGATAGAAGCATTCTCACAAACGACTTTGTGAGGATGGCATTCAACTCATGGAGTTGAACAATCCTATTGATAGAGCAGATTGGAATCACTCTTTTTGTAGAATCTGCAAATGGAGATTTGGACTGCTTTGAGGCCTACGGTAGTATAGGAAGGAACTTCATATAAAAGGCAAACGGAAGCATTCTCAGAATATTCTTTGTGATGATGGAGTTTCACTCACAGAGCTGAACATGCCTTTTGATGGAGCAGTTTCCAAATACACTTTTGGTAGAATCTGCAGGTGGATATTTGGACCTCTCTGAGGATTTCGTTGGAAACGGGAATAATTTCCCATAACTAAACACAAACACGCTGAGAAAGTTCTTCATGTTGAATGCATTGAACTCGCAGAGATGAACCTGCCTTTGAGAGTTCAGGTTCGAAACACTCTTTCTGTAGAATCTGCAAGTGGATATTTGGACCACTGGGTGGCCTTCGTTCGAAACGGGTATATGTTCACGTAAAAACTAAAGAGAAGCATTCTCAGAAACTTCTGAGTGATGATTGCATTCAAGTCACACGGTTGAACCCTCCTTTTGATTGAGCAGTTTTGAAACTGTCTTTTTGTAGAATCTGTAAGTGGATGCGTGGACCTCTTTGAAGATTTCTTTCGAAACGGGAATATTTCCACAGAAAAACTAAACTGAAGCATTCTCAGAAACTGCTTTGTGATGTTTGTGTTCGAGCCACAGAGTTTAACATTGCTTTTCATAGAGCAGTTTTGAAATATTCTTTTGGTAGAATCTGCAAGTGGACATTTGGAGCGCTTTCAGGCCTGTGGTGGAAAAGGCCTGAAAGCCTTTTCCTTTATCTTCACAGAAAGACGAGAGAGAAGCATTGTCAGAAACTTCTTTGTGATGATTGCATTCAACTCACAGAGTTGAAGATTCCTTTTGAAACAGCAGTTTCGAAACACTCTTTCTGTGGGATCCGCAAGGGGATATTTGGACCTCTTTGAAGATTTCGTTGGAAACGGGATAATCTTCACCTAAAAGCTAAACGGAAGCATTCTCAGAAACTTCTTTGGGATGTTTGCATTCACCTCACAGAGTTGAACTTTCCCTTTGATAGCGCAGCTTCGACACACTTTTTCTACAATGTGCAAGTGGATATTTAGCGGGCTTGGAGGACTGTGTTGGAAAAGGAAATATCTTCTCCTAAAAACGTCATAGAAGCATTCTCAGAAACTGCTCTGTGATGATTGCATTCAACTCCCAGAGTTGAACATTCCTTTTGATAGAGCAGTTTGCAAACACTCTTTTTGTAGAATCTGCAAGTGGAGATTTGGACCACTTTGAGGCCTGTGGTAGTAAAGGAACGAACTTCATATTAAAACTAGACGGTAGCACTCTCAGAAAATTCTTTGTGACGATGGAGTTTAACTCAGAGAGCTGAACATTCGTTATGATGGAGCAGTTTCCAATCACACGTTTTGTAGATTCTGCAAGGGGATATTTGGACCTCTCTAAGGATTTCTTTGGGAAAGGGATCAACTTCCCATAACTGAACGGAAGCAAACTCAGAACATTCTTTGTGATGTTTGTATTCAACTCACAGAGTTGAACCTTCCTTTGATAGTCCAGGTTTGCAACACCCTTGTAGTAGAATCTGCAAGTGTATATTTTGACCACTTTGTAGCCTTCGTTTGAAACGTCTATATCTTCACATCAAACCTAGACAGAAGCATTCTCAGAAAGTTTTCTGCGATGACTGCATTCAACTCACAGAGTTGAACAATCCTTTTGATGGAGCAGTTTTGAAACCCTCTTTCTTTGGAATCTGCAAGGGGATATGTGGACCTCTTTGAAGATTTCACTGGAAACGGGATCATCTTCACATAAGAACTAAACAGAAGCATTCTCGGAAACTACTTTGTGATGTTTGTATTCAACTCCCAGAGTTGAACTTTCCTTTTGAAAGAGCAGCTATGAAACACTCTTTTTTGAGAATCTGCAAGCGGACGTTTGGAGGGCTTTGAGGCCTGTGGTGGAAAAGGAAATATCTTCACATTAAAACTAGATAGAAGCATTCTCAGAAACGACTTTGTGAGGATGGCATTCAACTCATGGAGTTGAACAATCCTATTGATAGAGCAGATTGGAATCAGTCTTTTTGTAGAATCTGCAAATGGAGATTTGGACTGCTTTGTGGCCTATGGTAGTATAGGAAGGAACTTCATATAAAAGGCAAACGGAAGCATTCTCAGAATATTCTTTGTGATGATGGAGTTTCACTCACAGAGCTGAACATGCCTTTTGATGGAGCAGTTTCCAAATACACTTTTGGTAGAATCTGCAGGTGGATATTTGGACCTCTCTGAGGAGATCGTTGGAAACGGGAATAATTTCCCATAACTAAACACAAACACTCTGAGAAAGTTCTTCATGATGAATGCATTTAACTCGCAGAGATGAACCTGCCTTTCAGAGTTCAGGTTCGAAACACTCTTTCTGTAGAATCTGCAAGTGGATATTTGGACCACTGGCTGGCCTTCGTTCGAAACGGGTATATGTTCACGTAAAAACTAAAGAGAAGCATTCTCAGAAACTTCTGAGTGATGATTGCATTCAAGTCACACAGTTGAACCCTCCTTTTGATTGAGCAGTTTTGAAACTGTCTTTTTGTAAAATCTGTAAGTGGATACGTGGACCTCTTTGAAGATTTCTTTGGAAACGGGAATATTTCCACAGAAAAACTAAACTGAAGCATTCTCAGAAACTGCTTTGTGATGTTTGTGTTCGAGCCGCAGAGTTTAACATTGCTTTTCATAGAGCAGTTTTGAAATATTCTTTTGGCAGAATCTGCAAGTGGACATTTGGAGCGCTTTCAGGCCTGTGGGTGGAAAAGGCCTGAAAGCCTTTTCCTTTATCTTCACAGAAAGACGAGAGAGAAGCATTGTCAGAAACTTCTTTGTGATGATTGCATTCAACTCACAGAGTTGAAGATTCCTTTTGAAACAGCAGTTTCAAAACACTCTTTCTGTGGGATCCGCAAGGGGATATTTGGACCTCTTTGAAGATTTCGTTGGAAACGGGATAATCTTCACCTAAAAGCTAAACGGAAGCATTCTCAGAAACTTCTTTGGGATGTTTGCATTCACCTCACAGACTTGAACTTTCCCTTTGATAGCGCAGCTTCGACACACTTTTTCTACAATGTGCAAGTGGATATTTAGCGGGCTTGGAGGACTGTGTTGGAAAAGGAAATATCTTCTCCTAAAAACGACATAGAAGCATTCTCAGAAACTGCTCTGTGATGATTGCATTCAACTCCCAGAGTTGAACATTCCTTTTGATAGAGCAGTTTGCAAACACTCTTTTTGTAGAATCTGCAAGTGGAGATTTGGACCGCTTTGAGGCCTGTGGTAGTAAAGGAAAGAACTTCATATAAAAACTAGACGGTAGCACTCTCAGAAAATTCTTTGTGACGATGGAGTTTAACTCAGAGAGCTGAACGTTCGTTATGATGGAGCAGTTTCCAAACACAAGTTTTGTAGAATCTGCAAGGGGATATTTGGACCTCTCTGAGGATTTCGTTGGAAACGGGATCAACTTCCCATAACTGAACGGAAGCAAACTCAGAACATTCTTTGTGATGTTTGTATTCAACACACAGAGTTGAACCTTCCTTTGATAGTTCAGGTTTGCATCACCCTTGTAGTAGAATCTGCAAGTGTATATTTTGAACACTTTGTAGCCTTCGTTTGAAACGTCTATATCTTCACCTCAAACCTAGACAGAAGCATTCTCAGAAAGTTTTCTGCGATGACTGCATTCCACTCACAGAGTTGAACAATCCTTTTGATGGAGCAGTTTTGAAACCCTCTTTCTTTGGAATCTGCAAGGGGATATGTGGACCTCTTTGAAGGTTTCACTGGAAACAGGATCATCTTCACATAAGAACTAAACAGAAGCATTCTCGGAAACTACTTTGTGATGTTTGTATTCAACTCCCAGAGTTGAACTTTCCTTTTGAAAGAGCAGCTATGAAACACACTTTTTCGAGAATCTGCAAGTGGACGTTTGGAGGGCTTTGAGGCCTGTGGTGGAAAAGGAAATATCTTCACATAAAAACTAGATAGAAGCATTCTCAGAAACGACTTTGTGAGGATGGCGTTCAACTCATGGAGTTGAACAATCCTGTTGATAGAGCAGATTGGAATCACTCTTTTTGTAGAATCTGCAAATGGAGATTTGGACTGCTTTGAGGCCTACGGTAGTATAGGAAGGAACTTCATATAAAAGGCAAACGGAAGCATTCTCAGAATATTCTTTGTGATGATGGAGTTTCACTCACAGAGCTGAACATGCCTTTTGATGGAGCAGTTTCCAAATACACTTTTGGTAGAATCTGCAGGTGGATATTTGGAGCTCTCTGAGGCTTTCGTTGGAAACGGGAATAATTTCCCATAACTAAACACAAACACTCTGAGAAAGTTCTTCATGATGAATGCATTTAACTCGCAGAGATGAACCTGCCTTTGAGAGTTCAGGTTCGAAACACTCTTTCTGTAGAATCTGCAAGTGGATATTTGGACCACTGGCTGGCCTTCGTTCGAAACGGGTATATGTTCACGTAAAAACTAAAGAGAAGCATTCTCAGAAACTTCTGAGTGATGATTGCATTCAAGTCACACAGTTGAACCCTCCTTTTGATGGAGCAGTTTTGAAACTGTCTTTTTGTAGAATCTGTAAGTGGATACGTGGACCTCTTTGAAGATTTCTTTGGAAACGGGAATATTTCCACAGAAAAACTAAACTGAAGCATTCTCAGAAACCGCTTTGTGATGTTTGTGTTCGAGCCACAGAGTTTAACATTGCTTTTCATAGAGCAGTTTTGAAATATTCTTTTGGCAGAATCTGCAAGTGGACATTTGGAGCGCTTTCAGGCCTGTGGTGGAAAAGGCCTGAAAGCCTTTTCCTTTATCTTCACAGAAAGACGAGAGAGAAGCATTGTCAGAAACTTCTTTGTGATGATTGCATTCAACTCACAGAGTTGAAGATTCCTTTTGAAACAGCAGTTTCGAAACACTCTTTCTGTGGGATCCGCAAGGTGATATTTGGACCTCTTTGAAGGTTTCATTGGAAACGGGATAATCTTCACCTAAAAGCTAAACGGAAGCATTCTCAGAAACTTCTTTGGGATGTTTGCATTCACCTCACAGAGTTGAACTTTCCCTTTGATAGCGCAGCTTTGACACACTTTTTCTACAATGTGCAAGTGGCTATTTAGCGGGCTTGGAGGACTGTGTTGGAAAAGGAAATATCTTCTCCTAAAAACGACATAGAAGCATTCTCAGAAACTGCTGTGTGATGATTGCATTCAACTCCCAGAGTTGAACATTCCTTTTGATAGAGCAGTTTGCAAACACTCTTTTTGTAGAATCTGCAAGTGGAGATTTGGACCGCTTTGAGGTCTGTGGTAGTGAAGGAAAGAGCTTCATATAAAAACCAGACGGTAGCACTCTCAGAAAATTCTTTGTGACGATGGAGTTTAACTCAGGGAGCTGAACATTCGTTATGATGGAGCAGTTTCCAAACACACGTTTTGTAGAATCTGCAAGGGGATATTTGGACCTCTCTGAGGATTTCGTTGGAAACGGGATCAACTTCCCATAACTGAACGGAAGCAAACTCAGAACATTCTTTGTGATGTTTGTATTCAACTCACAGAGTTGAACCTTCCTTTGATAGTTCAGGTTTGCAACACCCTTGTAGTAGAATCTGCAAGTGTATATTTTGAACACTTTGTAGCCTTCGTTTGAAACGTCTATATCTTCACATCAAACCTAGACAGAAGCATTCTCAGAAAGTTTTCTGCGATGACTGCATTCAACTCACAGAGTTGAACAATCCTTCTGATGGAGCAGTTTTGAAACCCTCTTTCTTTGGAATCTGCAAGGGGATATGTGGACCTCTTTGAAGATTTCACTGGAAACGGGATCATCTTCACATAAAAACTAAACAGAAGCATTCTCGGAAACTACTTTGTGATGTTTGTATTCAACTCCCAGAGTTGAACTTTCCTTTTGAAAGAGCAGCTATGAAACACTCTTTTTCGAGAATCTGCAAGTGGACGTTTGGAAGGCTTTGAGGCCTGTGGTGGAAAAGGAAATATCTTCACATAAAAACTAGATAGAAGCATTCTCAGAAACGACTTTGTGAGGATGGCATTCAACTCATGGAGTTGAACAATCCTATTGATAGAGCAGATTGGAATCACTCTTTTTGTAGAATCTGCAAATGGAGATTTGGACTGCTTTGAGGCCTACGGTAGTATAGGAAGGAACTTCATATAAAAGGCAAACGGAAGCATTCTCAGAATATTCTTTGTGATGATGGAGTTTCACTCACAGAGCTGAACATGCCTTTTGATGGAGCAGTTTCCAAATACACTTTTGGTAGAATCTGCAGGTGGATATTTGGACCTCTCTGAGGATTTCGTTGGAAACGGGAATAATTTCCCATAACTAAACACAAACACGCTGAGAAAGTTCTTCATGATGAATGCATTTAACTCGCAGAGATGAACCTGCCTTTGAGAGTTCAGGTTCGAAACACTCTTTCTGTAGAATCTGCAAGTGGATATTTGGACCACTGGCTGGCCTTCGTTCGAAACGGGTATATGTTCACGTAAAAACTAAAGAGAAGCGTTCTCAGAAACTTCTGAGTGATGATTGCATTCCAGTCACACAGTTGAACCCTCCTTTTGATTGAGCAGTTTTGAAACTGTCTTTTTGTAGAATCTGTAAGTGGATGCGTGGACCTCTTTGAAGATTTCTTTGGAAACGGGAATATTTCCACAGAAAAACTAAACTGAAGCATTCTCAGAAACCGCTTTGTGATGTTTGTGTTCGAGCCACAGAGTTTAACATTGCTTTTCATAGAGCAGTTTTGAAATATTCTTTTGGCAGAATCTGCAAGTGGACATTTGGAGCGCTTTCAGGCCTGTGGTGGAAAAGGCCTGAAAGCCTTTTCCTTTACCTTCACAGAAAGACGAGAGAGAAGCATTGTCAGAAACTTCTTTGTGATGATTGCATTCAACTCACAGAGTTGAAGATTCCTTTTGAAACAGCAGTTTCGAAACACTCTTTCTGTGGGATCCGCAAGGGGATATTTGGACCTCTTTGAAGGTTTCGTTGGAAACGGGATAATCTTCACCTAAAAGCTAAACGGAAGCATTCTCAGAAACTTCTTTGGGATGTTTGCATTCACCTCACAGAGTTGAACTTTCCCTTTGATAGCGCAGCTTTGACACACTTTTTCTACAATGTGCAAGTGGCTATTTAGCGGGCTTGGAGGACTGTGTTGGAAAAGGAAATATCTTCTCCTAAAAACGACATAGAAGCATTCTCAGAAACTGCTCTGTGATGATTGCATTCAACTCCCAGAGTTGAACATTCCTTTTGATAGAGCAGTTTGCAAACACTCTTTTTGTAGAATCTGCAAGTGGAGATTTGGACCGCTTTGAGGCCTGTGGTAGTGAAGGAAAGAACTTCATATAAAAACCAGACGGTAGCACTCTCAGAAAATTCTTTGTGACGATGGAGTTTAACTCAGGGAGCTGAACATTCGTTATGATGGAGCAGTTTCCAAACACACGTTTTGTAGAATCTGCGAGGGGATATTTGGACCTCTCTGAGGATTTCGTTGGAAACGGGATCAACTTCCCATAACTGAACGGAAGCAAACTCAGAACATTCTTTGTGATGTTTGTATTCAACTCACAGAGTTGAACCTTCCTTTGATAGTTCAGGTTTGCAACACCCTTGTAGTAGAATCTGCAAGTGTATATTTTGACCACTTTGTAGCCTTCGTTTGAAACGTCTATATCTTCACATCAAACCTAGACAGAAGCATTCTCAGAAAGTTTTCTGCGATGACTGCATTCAACTCACAGAGTTGAACAATCCTTCTGATGGAGCAGTTTTGAAACCCTCTTTCTTTGGAATCTGCAAGGGGATATGTGGACCTCTTTGAAGATTTCACTGGAAACGGGATCATCTTCACATAAAAACTAAACAGAAGCATTCTCGGAAACTACTTTGTGATGTTTGTATTCAACTCCCAGAGTTGAACTTTCCTTTTGAAAGAGCAGCTATGAAACACTCTTTTTCGAGAATCTGCAAGTGGACGTTTGGAGGGCTTTGAGGCCTGTGGTGGAAAAGGAAATATCTTCACATAAAAACTAGATAGAAGCATTCTCAGAAACTACTTTGTGAGGATGGCATTCAACTCATGGAGTTGAACAATCCTATTGATAGAGCAGATTGGAATCACTCTTTTTGTAGAATCTGCAAATGGAGATTTGGACTGCTTTGAGGCCTACGGTCGTATAGGAAGGAACTTCATATAAAAGGCAAACGGAAGCATTCTCAGAATATTCTTTGTGATGATGGAGTTTCACTCACAGAGCTGAACATGCCTTTTGATGGAGCAGTTTCCAAATACACTTTTGGTAGAATCTGCAGGTGGATATTTGGAGCTCTCTGAGGATTTCGTTGGAAACGGGAATAATTTCCCATAACTAAACACAAACACTCTGAGAAAGTTCTTCATGATGAATGCATTTAACTCGCAGAGATGAACCTGCCTTTGAGAGTTCAGGTTCGAAACACTCTTTCTGTAGAATCTGCAAGTGGATATTTGGACCACTGGGTGGCCTTCGTTCGAAACGGGTATATGTTCACGTAAAAACTAAAGAGAAGCATTCTCAGAAACTTCTGAGTGATGATTGCATTCAAGTCACACAGTTGAACCCTCCTTTTGATGGAGCAGTTTTGAAACTGTCTTTTTGTAGAATCTGTAAGTGGATACGTGGACCTCTTTGAAGATTTCTTTGGAAACGGGAATATTTCCACAGAAAAACTAAACTGAAACATTCTCAGAAACCGCTTTGTGATGTTTGTGTTCCAGCCACAGAGTTTAACATTGCTTTTCATAGAGCAGTTTTGAAATATTCTTTTGGCAGAATCTGCAAGTGGACATTTGGAGCGCTTTCAGGCCTGTGGTGGAAAAGGCCTGAAAGCCTTTTCCTTTATCTTCACAGAAAGACGAGAGAGAAGCATTGTCAGAAACTTCTTTGTGATGATTGCATTCAACTCACAGAGTTGAAGATTCCTTTTGAAACAGCAGTTTCGAAACACTCTTTCTGTGGGATCCGCAAGGGGATATTTGGACCTCTTTGAAGGTTTCGTTGGAAACGGGATAATCTTCACCTAAAAGCTAAACGGAAGCATTCTCAGAAACTTCTTTGGGATGTTTGCATTCACCTCACAGAGTTGAACTTTCCCTTTGATAGCGCAGCTTTGACACACTTTTTCTACAATGTGCAAGTGGCTATTTAGCGGGCTTGGAGGACTGTGTTGGAAAAGGAAATATCTTCTCCTAAAAACGACATAGAAGCATTCTCAGAAACTGCTCTGTGATGATTGCATTCAACTCCCAGAGTTGAACATTCCTTTTGATAGAGCAGTTTGCAAACACTCTTTTTGTAGAATCTGCAAGTGGAGATTTGGACTGCTTTGAGGCCTGTGGTAGTGAAGGAAAGAACTTCATATAAAAACCAGACGGTAGCACTCTCAGAAAATTCTTTGTGACGATGGAGTTTAACTCAGGGAGCTGAACATTCGTTATGATGGAGCAGTTTCCAAACACACGTTTTGTAGAATCTGCGAGGGGATATTTGGACCTCTCTGAGGATTTCGTTGGAAACGGGATCAACTTCCCATAACTGAACGGAAGCAAACTCAGAACATTCTTTGTGATGTTTGTATTCAATTCACAGAGTTGAACCTTCCTTTGATAGTTCAGGTTTGCAACACCCTTGTAGTAGAATCTGCAAGTGTATATTTTGACCACTTTGTAGCCTTCGTTTGAAACGTCTATATCTTCACATCAAACCTAGACAGAAGCATTCTCAGAAAGTTTTCTGCGATGACTGCATTCAACTCACAGAGTTGAACAATCCTTCTGATGGAGCAGTTTTGAAACCCTCTTTCTTTGGAATCTGCAAGGGGATATGTGGACCTCTTTGAAGATTTCACTGGAAACGGGATCATCTTCACATAAAAACTAAACAGAAGCATTCTCGGAAACTACTTTGTGATGTTTGTATTCAACTCCCAGAGTTGAACTTTCCTTTTGAAAGAGCAGCTATGAAACACTCTTTTTCGAGAATCTGCAAGTGGACGTTTGGAGGGCTTTGAGGCCTGTGGTGGAAAAGGAAATATCTTCACATAAAAACTAGATAGAAGCATTCTCAGAAACGACTTTGTGAGGATGGCATTCAACTCATGGAGTTGAACAATCCTATTGATAGAGCAGATTGGAATCACTCTTTTTGTAGAATCTGCAAATGGAGATTTGGACTGCTTTGAGGCCTACGGTCGTATAGGAAGGAACTTCATATAAAAGGCAAACGGAAGCATTCTCAGAATATTCTTTGTGATGATGGAGTTTCACTCACAGAGCTGAACATGCCTTTTGATGGAGCAGTTTCCAAATACACTTTTGGTAGAATCTGCAGGTGGATATTTGGAGCTCTCTGAGGATTTCGTTGGAAACGGGAATAATTTCCCATAACTAAACACAAACACTCTGAGAAAGTTCTTCATGATGAATGCATTTAACTCGCAGAGATGAACCTGCCTTTGAGAGTTCAGGTTCGAAACACTCTTTCTGTAGAATCTGCAAGTGGATATTTGGACCACTGGCTGGCCTTCGTTCGAAACGGGTATATGTTCACGTAAAAACTAAAGAGAAGCATTCTCAGAAACTTGTGAGTGATGATTGCATTCAAGTCACACAGTTGAACCCTCCTTTTGATGGAGCAGTTTTGAAACTGTCTTTTTGTAGAATCTGTAAGTGGATACGTGGACCTCTTTGAAGATTTCTTTGGAAACGGGAATATTTCCACAGAAAAACTAAACTGAAGCATTCTCAGAAACCGCTTTTTGATGTTTGTGTTCGAGCCACAGAGTTTAACATTGCTTTTCATAGAGCAGTTTTGAAATATTCTTTTCGCAGAATCTGCAAGTGGACATTTGGAGCGCTTTCAGGCCTGTGGTGGAAAAGGCCTGAAAGCCTTTTCCTTTATCTTCACAGAAAGACGAGAGAGAAGCATTGTCAGAAACTTCTTTGTGATGATTGCATTCAACTCACAGAGTTGAAGATTCCTTTTGAAACAGCAGTTTCGAAACACTCTTTCTGTGGGATCCGCAAGGGGATATTTGGACCTCTTTGAAGGTTTCGTTGGAAACGGGATAATCTTCACCTAAAAGCTAAACGGAAGCATTCTCAGAAACTTCTTTGGGATGTTTGCATTCACCTCACAGAGTTGAACTTTCCCTTTGATAGCGCAGCTTCGACACACTTTTTCTACAATGTGCAAGTGGCTATTAAGCGGGCTTGGAAGACTGTGTTGGAAAAGGAAATATCTTCTCCTAAAAACGACATAGAAGCATTCTCAGAAACTGCTCTGTGATGATTGCATTCAATTCCCAGAGTTGAACATTCCTTTTGATAGAGCAGTTTGCAGACACTCTTTTTGTAGAATCTGCAAGTGGAGATTTGGACCGCTTTGAGGCCTGTGGTAGTAAAGGAAAGAACTTCATATAAAAACTAGACGGTAGCACTCTCAGTAAAATTCTTTGTGACGATAGAGTTTAACTCAGAGAGCTGAACATTCGTTATGATGGAGCAGTTTCCAAACACACATTTTGTAGAATCTGCAAAGGGATATTTGGACCTCTCTGAGGATTTCGTTGGAAATGGGATCAACTTCCCATAACTGAACGGAAGCAAACTCAGAACATTCTTTGTGATGTTTGTATTCAACTCACAGAGTTGAACCTTCCTTTGATAGTTCAGGTTTGCATCACCCTTGTAGTAGAATCTGCAAGTGTATATTTTGACCACTTTGTAGCCTTCATTTGAAACGTCTATATCTTCACATCAAACCTAGACAGAAGCATTCTCAGAAAGTTTTCTGCGATGACTGCATTCAACTCACAGAGTTGAACAGTCCTTTTGATGGAGCAGTTTTGAAACCCTCTTTCTTTGGAATCTGCAAGGGGATATGTGGACCTCTTTGAAGATTTCACTGGAAACGGGATCATCTTTACATAAGAACTAAACAGAAGCATTCTCGGAAACTACTTTGTGATGTTTGTATTCAACTCCCAGAGTTGAACTTTCCTTTTGAAAGAGCAGCTATGAAACACTCTTTTTCGAAAATCTGCAAGTGGACGTTTGGAGGGCTTTGAGGCCTGTGGTGGAAAAGGAAATATCTTCACATAAAAACTAGATAGAAGCATTCTCAGAAACTACTTTGTGAGGATGGCATTCAACTCATGGAGTTGAACAATCCTATTGATAGAGCAGATTGGAATCACTCTTTTTGTAGAATCTGCAAATGGAGATTTGGACTGCTTTGAGGCCTACGGTAGTATAGGAAGGAACTTCATATAAAAGGCAAACGGAAGCATTCTCAGAATATTCTTTGTGATGATGGAGTTTCACTCACAGAGCTTAACATGCCTTTTGTTGGAGCAGTTTCCAAATACACTTTTGGTAGAATCTGCAGGTGGATATTTGGAGCTCTCTGAGGATTTCGTTGGAAACGGGAATAATTTCCCATAACTAAACACAAACACTCTGAGAAAGTTCTTCATGATGAATGCATTTAACTCGCAGAGATGAACCTGCCTTTGAGAGTTCAGGTTCGAAACACTCTTTCTGTAGAATCTGCAAGTGGATATTTGGACCACTGGCTGGCCTTCGTTCGAAACGGGTATATGTTCACGTAAAAACTAAAGAGAAGCATTCTCAGAAACTTCTGAGTGATGATTGCATTCAAGTCACACAGTTGAACCCTCCTTTTGATGGAGCAGTTTTGAAACTGTCTTTTTGTAGAATCTGTAAGTGGATACGTGGACCTCTTTGAAGATTTCTTTGGAAACGGGAATATTTCCACAGAAAAACTAAACTGAAGCATTCTCAGAAACTGCTTTGTGATGTTTGTGTTCGAGCCACAGAGTTTAACATTGCTTTTCATAGAGCAGTTTTGAAATATTCTTTTGGCAGAATCTGCAAGTGGACATTTGGAGCGCTTTCAGGCCTGTGGTGGAAAAGGCCTGAAAGCCTTTTCCTTTATGTTCACAGAAAGACGAGAGAGAGAAGCATTGTCAGAAACTTCTTTGTGATGATTGCATTCAACTCACAGAGTTGAAGATTCCTTTTGAAACAGCAGTTTCGAAACACTCTTTCTGTGGGATCCGCAAGGGGATATTTGGACCTCTTTGAAGGTTTCGTTGGAAACGGGATAATCTTCACCTAAAAGCTAAACGGAAGCATTCTCAGAAACTTCTTTGGGATGTTTGCATTCACCTCACAGAGTTGAACTTTCCCTTTGATAGCGCAGCTTTGACACACTTTTTCTACAATGTGCAAGTGGATATTTAGCGGGCTTGGAGGACTGTGTTGGAAAAGGAAATATCTTCTCCTAAAAACGACATAGAAGCATTCTCAGAAACTGCTCTGTGATGATTGCATTCAACTCCCAGAGTTGAACATTCCTTTTGATAGAGCAGTTTGCAAACACTCTTTTTGTAGAATCTGCAAGTGGAGATTTGGACCGCTTTGAGGCCTGTGGTAGTGAAGGAAAGAACTTCATATAAAAACCAGACGGTAGCACTCTCAGAAAATTCTTTGTGACGATGGAGTTTAACTCAGGGAGCTGAACATTCGTTATGATGGAGCAGTTTCCAAACACACGTTTTGTAGAATCTGCAAGGGGATATTTGGACCTCTCTGAGGATTTCGTTGGAAACGGGATCAACTTCCCATAACTGAACGGAAGCAAACTCAGAACATTCTTTGTGATGTTTGTATTCAATTCACAGAGTTGAACCTTCCTTTGATAGTTCAGGTTTGCAACACCCTTGTAGTAGAATCTGCAAGTGTATATTTTGACCACTTTGTAGCCTTCGTTTGAAACGTCTATATCTTCACATCAAACCTAGACAGAAGCATTCTCAGAAAGTTTTCTGCGATGACTGCATTCAACTCACACAGTTGAACAATCCTTCTGATGGAGCAGTTTTGAAACCCTCTTTCTTTGGAATCTGCAAGGGGATATGTGGACCTCTTTGAAGATTTCACTGGAAACGGGATCATCTTCACATAAAAACTAAACAGAAGCATTCTCGGAAACTACTTTGTGATGTTTGTATTCAACTGCCAGAGTTGAACTTTCCTTTTGAAAGAGCAGCTATGAAACACTCTTTTTCGAGAATCTGCAAGTGGACGTTTGGAGGGCTTTGAGGCCTGTGGTGGAAAAGGAAATATCTTCACATAAAAACTAGATAGAAGCATTCTCAGAAACTACTTTGTGAGGATGGCATTCAACTCATGGAGTTGAACAATCCTATTGATAGAGCAGATTGGAATCACTCTTTTTGTAGAATCTGCAAATGGAGATTTGGACTGCTTTGAGGCCTACGGTCGTATAGGAAGGAACTTCATATAAAAGGCAAACGGAAGCATTCTCAGAATATTCTTTGTGATGATGGAGTTTCACTCACAGAGCTGAACATGCCTTTTGATGGAGCAGTTTCCAAATACACTTTTGGTAGAATCTGCAGGTGGATATTTGGAGCTCTTTGAGGATTTCGTTGGAAACGGGAATAATTTCCCATAACTAAACACAAACACTCTGAGAAAGTTCTTCATGATGAATGCATTTAACTCGCAGAGATGAACCTGCCTTTGAGAGTTCAGGTTCGAAACACTCTTTCTGTAGAATCTGCAAGTGGATATTTGGACCACTGGGTGGCCTTCGTTCGAAACGGGTATATGTTCACGTAAAAACTAAAGAGAAGCATTCTCAGAAACTTCTGAGTGATGATTGCATTCAAGTCACACAGTTGAACCCTCCTTTTGATGGAGCAGTTTTGAAACTGTCTTTTTGTAGAATCTGTAAGTGGATGCGTGGACCTCTTTGAAGATTTCTTTGGAAACGGGAATATTTCCACAGAAAAACTAAACTGAAGCATTCTCAGAAACTGCTTTGTGATGTTTGTGTTCGAGCCACAGAGTTTAACATTGCTTTTCATAGAGCAGTTTTGAAATATTCTTTTGGCAGAATCTGCAAGTGGACATTTGGAGCGCTTTCAGGCCTGTGGTGGAAAAGGCCTGAAAGCCTTTTCCTTTATCTTCACAGGAAGACGAGAGAGAAGCATTGTCAGAAACTTCTTTGTGATGATTGCATTCAACTCACAGAGTTGAAGATTCCTTTTGAAACAGCAGTTTCGAAACACTCTTTCTGTGGGATCCACAAGGGGATATTTGGACCTCTTTGAAGGTTTCGTTGGAAACGGGATAATCTTCACCTAAAAGCTAAACGGAAGCACTCTCAGAAACTTCTTTGGGATGTTTGCATTCACCTCTCAGAGTTGAACTTTCCCTTTGATAGCGCAGCTTTGACACACTTTTTCTACAATGTGCAAGTGGCTATTTAGCGGGCTTGGAGGACTGTGTTGGAAAAGGAAATATCTTCTCCTAAAAACGACATAGAAGCATTCTCAGAAACTGCTCTGTGATGATTGCATTCAACTCCCAGAGTTGAACATTCCTTTTGATAGAGCAGTTTGCAAACACTCTTTTTGTAGAATCTGCAAGTGGAGATTTGGACCGCTTTGAGGCCTATGGTAGTAAAGGAAAGAACTTCATATAAAAACCAGACGGTAGCACTCTCAGAAAATTCTTTGTGACGATGGAGTTTAACTCAGGGAGCTGAACATTCGTTATGATGGAACAGTTTCCAAACACACGTTTTGTAGAATCTGCAAGGGGATATATGGACCTCTCTGAGGATTTCGCTGGAAACGGGATCAACTGCCCATAACTGAACGGAAGCCAACTCAGAACATTCTTTGTGATGTTTGTATTCAACTCACAGAGTTGAACCTTCCTTTGATAGTTCAGGTTTGCAACACCCTTGTAGTAGAATCTGCAAGTGTATATTTTGACCACTTTGTAGCCTTCGTTTGAAACGTCTATATCTTCACATCAAACCTAGACAGAAGCATTCTCAGAAAGTTTTCTGCGATGACTGCATTCAACTCACAGAGTTGAACAATCCTTTTGATGGAGCAGTTTTGAAACCCTCTTTCTTTGGAATCTGCAAGGGGATATGTGGACCTCTTTGAAGATTTCACTGGAAACGGGATCATCTTCACATAAAAACTAAATAGAAGCATTCTCGGAAACTATTTTGTGATGTTTGTATTCAACTCCCAGAGTTGAACTTTCCTTTTGAAAGAGCAGCTATGAAACACTCTTTTTCGAGAATCTGCAAGTGGACGTTTGGAGGGCTTTGAGGCCTGTGGTGGAAAAGGAAATATCTTCACACAAAAACCAGATAGAAGCATTCTCAGAAACTACTTTGTGAGGATGGCATTCAACTCATGGAGTTGAACAATCCTATTGATAGAGCAGATTGGAATCACTCTTTTTGTAGAATCTGCAAATGGAGATTTGGACTGCTTTGAGGCCTACGGTAGTACAGGAAGGAACTTCATATAAAAGGCAAACGGAAGCATTCTCAGAATATTCTTTGTGATGATGGAGTTTCACTCACAGAGCTGAACATGCCTTTTGATGGAGCAGTTTCCAAATACACTTTTGGTAGAATCTGCAGGTGGATATTTGGAGCTCTCTGAGGATTTCGTTGGAAACGGGAATAATTTCCCATAACTAAACACAAACACTCTGAGAAAGTTCTTCATGATGAATGCATTTAACTCGCAGAGATGAACCTGCCTTTGAGAGTTCAGGTTCGAAACACTCTTTCTGTATAATCTGCAAGTGGATATTTGGACCACTGGGTGGCCTTCGTTCGAAACGGGTATATGTTCACGTAAAAACTAAAGAGAAGCATTCTCAGAAACTTCTGAGTGATGATTGCATTCAAGTCACACGGTTGAACCCTCCTTTTGATGGAGCAGTTTTGAAACTGTCTTTTTGTAGAATCTGTAAGTGGATACGTGGACCTCTTTGAAGATTTCTTTGGAAACGGGAATATTTCCACAGAAAAACTAAACTGAAGCATTCTCAGAAACCGCTTTGTGATGTTTGTGTTCGAGCCACAGAGTTTAACATTGCTTTTCATAGAGCAGTTTTGAAATATTCTTTTCGCAGAATCTGCAAGTGGACATTTGGAGCGCTTTCAGGCCTGTGGTGGCAAAGGCCTGAAAGCCTTTTCCTTTATCTTCACAGAAAGACGAGAGAGAAGCTTTGTCAGAAACTTCTTTGTGATGATTGCATTCAACTCACAGAGTTGAAGATTCCTTTTGAAACAGCAGTTTCGAAACACTCTTTCTGTGGGATCCGCAAGGGGATATTTGGACCTCTTTGAAGGTTTCGTTGGAAACGGGATAATCTTCACCTAAAAGCTAAACGGAAGCATTCTCAGAAACTTCTTTGGGATGTTTGCATTCACCTCACAGAGTTGAACTTTCCCTTTGATAGCGCAGCTTTGACACACTTTTTCTACAATGTGCAAGTGGCTATTTAGCGGGCTTGGAGGACTGTGTTGGAAAAGGAAATATCTTCTAAAAACGACATAGAAGCATTCTCAGAAACTGCTCTGTGATGATTGCATTCAACTCCCAGAGTTGAACATTCCTTTTGATAGAGCAGTTTGCAAACACTCTTTTTGTAGAATCTGCAAGTGGAGATTTGGACCGCTTTGAGGCCTGTGGTAGTGAAGGAAAGAACTTCATATAAAAACCAGACGGTAGCACTCTCAGAAAATTCTTTGTGACGATGGAGTTTAACTCAGGGAGCTGAACATTCGTTATGATGGAGCAGTTTCCAAACACACGTTTTGTAGAATCTGCAAGGGGATATTTGGACCTCTCTGAGGATTTCGTTGGAAACGGGATCAACTTCCCATAACTGAACGGAAGCAAACTCAGAACATTCTTTGTGATGTTTGTATTCAACTCACAGAGTTGAACCTTCCTTTGATAGTTCAGGTTTGCAACACCCTTGTAGTAGAATCTGCAAGTGTATATTTTGACCACTTTGTAGCCTTCGTTTGAAACGTCTATATCTTCACATCAAACCTAGACAGAAGCATTCTCAGAAAGTTTTCTGCGATGACTGCATTCAACTCACAGAGTTGAACAATCCTTCTGATGGAGCAGTTTTGAAACCCTCTTTCTTTGGAATCTGCAAGGGGATATGTGGACCTCTTTGAAGATTTCACTGGAAACGGGATCATCTTCACATAAAAACTAAACAGAAGCATTCTCGGAAACTACTTTGTGATGTTTGTATTCAACTGCCAGAGTTGAACTTTCCTTTTGAAAGAGCAGCTATGAAACACTCTTTTTCGAGAATCTGCAAGTGGACGTTTGGAGGGCTTTGAGGCCTGTGGTGGAAAAGGAAATATCTTCACATAAAACTAGATAGAAGCATTCTCAGAAACTACTTTGTGAGGATGGCATTCAACTCATGGAGTTGAACAATCCTATTGATAGAGCAGATTGGAATCACTCTTTTTGTAGAATCTGCAAATGGAGATTTGGACTGCTTTGAGGCCTACGGTCGTATAGGAAGGAACTTCAGATAAAAGGCAAACGGAAGCATTCTCAGAATATTCTTTGTGATGATGGAGTTTCACTCACAGAGCTGAACATGCCTTTTGATGGAGCAGTTTCCAAATACACTTTTGGTAGAATCTGCAGGTGGATATTTGGAGCTCTCTGAGGATTTCTTTGGAAACGGGAATAATTTCCCATAACTAAACACAAACACTCTGAGAAAGTTCTTCATGATGAATGCATTTAACTCGCAGAGATGAACCTGCCTTTGAGAGTTCAGGTTCGAAACACTCTTTCTGTAGAATCTGCAAGTGGATATTTGGACCACTGGCTGGCCTTCGTTCGAAACGGGTATATGTTCACGTAAAAACTAAAGAGAAGCATTCTCAGAAACTTCTGAGTGATGATTGCATTCAAGTCACACAGTTGAACCCTCCTTTTGATGGAGCAGTTTTGAAACTGTCTTTTTGTAGAATCTGTAAGTGGATACGTGGACCTCTTTGAAGATTTCTTTGGAAACGGGAATATTTCCACAGAAAAACTAAACTGAAGCATTCTCAGAAACCGCTTTGTGATGTTTGTGTTCGAGCCACAGAGTTTAACATTGCTTTTCATAGAGCAGTTTTGAAATATTCTTTTGGCAGAATCTGCAAGTGGACATTTGGAGCGCTTTCAGGCCTGTGGTGGAAAAGGCCTGAAAGCCTTTTCCTTTATCTTCACAGAAAGACGAGAGAGAAGCATTGTCAGAAACTTCTTTGTGATGATTGCATTCAACTCACAGAGTTGAAGATTCCTTTTGAAACAGCAGTTTCGAAACACTCTTTCTGTGGGATCCGCAAGGGGATATTTGGACCTCTTTGAAGGT
Source organism: Homo sapiens (assembly GCF_000001405.40). Taxonomy (NCBI): domain Eukaryota; kingdom Metazoa; phylum Chordata; class Mammalia; order Primates; family Hominidae; genus Homo; species Homo sapiens. The sequence goes on from NC_000023.11 coordinate 60,631,941, forward strand.
TTCGTTGGAAACGGGATAATCTTCACCTAAAAGCTAAACGGAAGCATTCTCAGAAACTTCTTTGGGATGTTTGCATTCACCTCACAGAGTTGAACTTTCCCTTTGATAGCGCAGCTTTGACACACTTTTTCTACAATGTGCAAGTGGCTATTTAGCGGGCTTGGAGGACTGTGTTGGAAAAGGAAATATCTTCTCCTAAAAACGACATAGAAGCATTCTCAGAAACTGCTCTGTGATGATTGCATTCAACTCCCAGAGTTGAACATTCCTTTTGATAGAGCAGTTTGCAAACACTCTTTTTGTAGAATCTGCAAGTGGAGATTTGGACCGCTTTGAGGCCTGTGGTAGTGAAGGAAAGAACTTCATATAAAAACCAGACGGTAGCACTCTCAGAAAATTCTTTGTGACGATGGAGTTTAACTCAGGGAGCTGAACATTCGTTATGATGGAGCAGTTTCCAAACACACGTTTTGTAGAATCTGCAAGGGGATATTTGGACCTCTCTGAGGATTTCTTTGGAAACGGGATCAACTTCCCATAACTGAACGGAAGCAAACTCAGAACATTCTTTGTGATGTTTGTATTCAACTCACAGAGTTGAACCTTCCTTTGATAGTTCAGGTTTGCAACACCCTTGTAGTAGAATCTGCAAGTGTATATTTTGACCACTTTGTAGCCTTCGTTTGAAACGTCTATATCTTCACATCAAACCTAGACAGAAGCATTCTCAGAAAGTTTTCTGCGATGACTGCATTCAACTCACAGAGTTGAACAATCCTTCTGATGGAGCAGTTTTGAAACCCTCTTTCTTTGGAATCTGCAAGGGGATATGTGGACCTCTTTGAAGATTTCACTGGAAACGGGATCATCTTCACATAAAAACTAAACAGAAGCATTCTCGGAAACTACTTTGTGATGTTTGTATTCAACTCCCAGAGTTGAACTTTCCTTTTGAAAGAGCAGCTATGAAACACTCTTTTTCGAGAATCTGCAAGTGGACGTTTGGAGGGCTTTGAGGCCTGTGGTGGAAAAGGAAATATCTTCACATAAAAACTAGATAGAAGCATTCTCAGAAACGACTTTGTGAGGATGGCATTCAACTCATGGAGTTGAACAATCCTATTGATAGAGCAGATTGGAATCACTCTTTTTGTAAAATCTGCAAATGGAGATTTGGACTGCTTTGAGGCCTACGGTCGTATAGGAAGGAACTTCAGATAAAAGGCAAACGGAAGCATTCTCAGAATATTCTTTGTGATGATGGAGTTTCACTCACAGAGCTGAACATGCCTTTTGATGGAGCAGTTTCCAAATACACTTTTGGTAGAATCTGCAGGTGGATATTTGGAGCTCTCTGAGGATTTCGTTGGAAACGGGAATAATTTCCCATAACTAAACACAGACACTCTGAGAAAGTTCTTCATGATGAATGCATTTAACTCGCAGAGATGAACCTGCCTTTGAGAGTTCAGGTTCGAAACACTCTTTCTGTAGAATCTGCAAGTGGATATTTGGACCACTGGGTGGCCTTCGTTCGAAACGGGTATATGTTCACGTAAAAACTAAAGAGAAGCATTCTCAGAAAACTTCTGAGTGATGATTGCATTCAAGTCACACAGTTGAACCCTCCTTTTGATGGAGCAGTTTTGAAACTGTCTTTTTGTAGAATCTGTAAGTGGATACGTGGACCTCTTTGAAGATTTCTTTGGAAACGGGAGTATTTCCACAGAAAATCTAAACTGAAGCATTCTCAGAAACTGCTTTGTGATGTTTGTGTTCGAGCCACAGAGTTTAACATTGCTTTTCGTAGAGCAGTTTTGAAATATTCTTTTGGCAGAATCTGCAAGTGGACATTTGGAGCGCTTTCAGGCCTGTGGTGGAAAAGGCCTGAAAGCCTTTTCCTTTATCTTCACAGAAAGACGAGAGAGAAGCATTGTCAGAAACTTCTTTGTGATGATTGCATTCAACTCACAGAGTTGAAGATTCCTTTTGAAACAGCAGTTTCGAAACACTCTTTCTGTGGGATCCGCAAGGGGATATTTGGACCTCTTTGAAGGTTTCGTTGGAAACGGGATAATCTTCACCTAAAAGCTAAACGGAAGCATTCTCAGAAACTTCTTTGGGATGTTTGCATTCACCTCACAGAGTTGAACTTTCCCTTTGATAGCGCAGCTTTGACACACTTTTTCTACAATGTGCAAGTGGCTATTTAGCGGGCTTGGAGGACTGTGTTGGAAAAGGAAATATCTTCTCCTAAAAACGACATAGAAGCATTCTCAGAAACTGCTCTGTGATGATTGCATTCAACTCCCAGAGTTGAACATTCCTTTTGATAGAGCAGTTTGCAAACACTCTTTTTGTAGAATCTGCAAGTGGAGATTTGGACCGCTTTGAGGTCTGTGGTAGTGAAGGAAAGAGCTTCATACAAAAACCAGACGGTAGCACTCTCAGAAAATTCTTTGTGACGATGGAGTTTAACTCAGGGAGCTGAACATTCGTTATGATGGAGCAGTTACCAAACACACGTTTTGTAGAATCTGCAAGGGGATATTTGGACCTCTCTGAGGATTTCGTTGGAAACGGGATCAACTTCCCATAACTGAACGGAAGCAAACTCAGAACATTCTTTGTGATGTTTGTATTCAACTCACAGAGTTGAACCTTCCTTTGATAGTTCAGGTTTGCAACACCCTTGTAGTAGAATCTGCAAGTGTATATTTTGACCACTTTGTAGCCTTCGGTTGAAACATCTATATCTTCACATCAAACCTAGACAGAAGCATTCTCAGAAAGTTTTCTGCGATGACTGCATTCAACTCACAGAGTTGAACAATCCTTCTGATGGAGCAGTTTTGAAACCCTCTTTCTTTGGAATCTGCAAGGGGATATGTGGACCTCTTTGAAGATTTCACTGGAAACGGGATCATCTTCACATAAAAACTAAACTGAAGCATTCTCGGAAACTATTTTGTGATGTTTGTATTCAACTCCCAGAGTTGAACTTTCCTTTTGAAAGAGCAGCTATGAAACACTCTTTTTCGAGAATCTGCAAGTGGACGTTTGGAGGGCTTTGAGGCCTGTGGTGGAAAAGGAAATATCTTCACACAAAAACCAGATAGAAGCATTCTCAGAAACTACTTTGTGAGGATGGCATTCAACTCATGGAGTTGAACAATCCTATTGATAGAGCAGATTGGAATCACTCTTTTTGTAGAATCTGCAAATGGAGATTTGGACTGCTTTGAGGCCTACGGTAGTACAGGAAGGAAGTTCATATAAAAGGCAAACGGAAGCATTCTCAGAATATTCTTTGTGATGATGGAGTTTCACTCACAGAGCTGAACATGCCTTTTGATGGAGCAGTTTCCAAATACACTTTTGGTAGAATCTGCAGGTGGATATTTGGAGCTCCCTGAGGATTTCGTTGGAAACGGGAATAATTTCCCATAACTAAACACAAACACTCTGAGAAAGTTCTTCATGATGAATGCATTTAACTCGCAGAGATGAACCTGCCTTTGAGAGTTCAGGTTCGAAACACTCTTTCTGTAGAATCTGCAAGTGGATATTTGGACCACTGGGTGGCCTTCGTTCGAAACGCGTATATGTTCACGTAAAAACTAAAGAGAAGCATTCTCAGAAACTTCTGAGTGATGATTGCATTCAAGTCACACAGTTGAACCCTCCTTTTGATGGAGCAGTTTTGAAACTGTCTTTTTGTAGAATCTGTAAGTGGATACGTGGACCTCTTTGAAGATTTCTTTGGAAACGGGAATATTTCCACAGAAAAACTAAACTGAAGCATTCTCAGAAACCGCTTTGTGATGTTTGTGTTCGAGCCACAGAGTTTAACATTGCTTTTCATAGAGCAGTTTTGAAATATTCTTTTCGCAGAATCTGCAAGTGGACATTTGGAGCGCTTTCAGGCCTGTGGTGGCAAAGGCCTGAAAGCCTTTTCCTTTATCTTCACAGAAAGACGAGAGAGAAGCATTGTCAGAAACTTCTTTGTGATGATTGCATTCAACTCACAGAGTTGAAGATTCCTTTTGAAACAGCAGTTTCGAAACACTCTTTCTGTGGGATCCGCAAGGGGATATTTGGACCTCTTTGAAGGTTTCGTTGGAAACGGGATAATCTTCACCTAAAAGCTAAACGGAAGCATTCTCAGAAACTTCTTTGGGATGTTTGCATTCACCTCACAGAGTTGAACTTTCCCTTTGATAGCGCAGCTTTGACACACTTTTTCTACAATGTGCAAGTGGCTATTTAGCGGGCTTGGAGGACTGTGTTGGAAAAGGAAATATCTTCTAAAAACGACATAGAAGCATTCTCAGAAACTGCTCTGTGATGATTGCATTCAACTCCCAGAGTTGAACATTCCTTTTGATAGAGCAGTTTGCAAACACTCTTTTTGTAGAATCTGCAAGTGGAGATTTGGACCGCTTTGAGGCCTGTGGTAGTGAAGGAAAGAGCTTCATATAAAAACCAGACGGTAGCACTCTCAGAAAATTCTTTGTGACGATGGAGTTTAACTCAGGGAGCTGAACATTCGTTATGATGGAGCAGTTTCCAAACACACGTTTTGTAGAATCTGCAAGGGGATATTTGGACCTCTCTAAGGATTTCGTTGGAAACGGGATCAACTTCCCATAACTGAACGGAAGCAAACTCAGAACATTCTTTGTGATGTTTGTATTCAACTCACAGAGTTGAACCTTCCTTTGATAGTTCAGGTTTGCAACACCCTTGTAGTAGAATCTGCAAGTGTATATTTTGACCACATTGTAGCCTTCGTTTGAAACGTCTATATCTTCACATCAAACCTAGACAGAAGCATTCTCAGAAAGTTTTCTGCGATGACTGCATTCAACTCACAGAGTTGAACAATCCTTCTGATGGAGCAGTTTTGAAACCCTCTTTCTTTGGAATCTGCAAGGGGATATGTGGACCTCTTTGAAGATTTCACTGGAAACGGGATCATCTTCACATAAAAACTAAACAGAAGCATTCTCGGAAACTACTTTGTGATGTTTGTATTCAACTCCCAGAGTTGAACTTTCCTTTTGAAAGAGCAGCTATGAAACACTCTTTTTCGAGAATCTGCAAGTGGACGTTTGGAAGGCTTTGAGTCCTGTGGTGGAAAAGAAAATATCTTCACATAAAAACTAGATAGAAGCATTCTCAGAAACTACTTTGTGAGGATGGCATTCAACACATGGAGTTGAACAATCCTATTGATAGAGCAGATTGGAATCACTCTTTTTGTAGAATCTGCAAATGGAGATTTGGACTGCTTTGAGGCCTACGGTCGTATAGGAAGGAACTTCATATAAAAGCAAACGGAAGCATTCTCAGAATATTCTTTGTGATGATGGAGTTTCACTCACAGAGCTGAACATGCCTTTTGATGGAGCAGTTTCCAAATACACTTTTGGTAGAATCTGCAGGTGGAAATTTAGAGCTCTCTGAGGATTTCGTTGGAAACGGGAATAATTTCCCATAACTAAACACAAACACTCTGAGAAAGTTCTTCATGATGAATGCATTTAACTCGCAGAGATGAACCTGCCTTTGAGAGTTCAGGTTCGAAACACTCTTTCTGTAGAATCTGCAAGTGGATATTTGGACCACTGGGTGGCCTTCTTTCGAAACGGGTATATGTTCACGTAAAAACTAAAGAGAAGCATTCTCAGAAACTTCTGAGTGATGATTGCATTCAAGTCACACAGTTGAACCCTCCTTTTGATGGAGCAGTTTTGAAACTGTCTTTTTGTAGAATCTGTAAGTGGATACGTGGACCTCTTTGAAGATTTCTTTGGAAACGGGAATATTTCCACAGAAAAACTAAACTGAAGCATTCTCAGAAACCGCTTTGTGATGTTTGTGTTCGAGCCACAGAGTTTAACATTGCTTTTCATAGAGCAGTTTTGAAATATTCTTTTCGCAGAATCTGCAAGTGGACATTTGGAGCGCTTTCAGGCCTGTGGTGGAAAAGGCCTGAAAGCCTTTTCCTTTATCTTCACAGAAAGACGAGAGAGAAGCATTGTCAGAAACTTCTTTGTGATGATTGCATTCAACTCACAGAGTTGAAGATTCCTTTTGAAACAGCAGTTTCGAAACACTCTTTCTGTGGGATCCGCAAGGGGATATTTGGACCTCTTTGAAGGTTTCGTTGGAAACGGGATAATCTTCACCTAAAAGCTAAACGGAAGCATTCTCAGAAACTTCTTTGGGATGTTTGCATTCACCTCACAGAGTTGAACTTTCCCTTTGATAGCGCAGCTTTGACACACTTTTTCTACAATGTGCAAGTGGCTATTTAGCGGGCTTGGAGGACTGTGTTGGAAAAGGAAATATCTTCTCCTAAAAACGACATAGAAGCATTCTCAGAAACTGCTCTGTGATGATTGCATTCAACTCCCAGAGTTGAACATTCCTTTGGATAGAGCAGTTTGCAAACACTCTTTTTGTAGAATCTGCAAGTGGAGATTTGGACCGCTTTGAGGCCTGTGGTAGTGAAGGAAAGAACTTCATATAAAAACCAGACGGTAGCACTCTCAGAAAATTCTTTGTGACGATGGAGTTTAACTCAGGGAGCTGAACATTCGTTATGATGGAGCAGTTTCCAAACACACGTTTTGTAGAATCTGCGAGGGGATATTTGGACCTCTCTGAGGATTTCGTTGGAAACGGGATCAACTTCCCATAACTGAACGGAAGCAAACTCAGAACATTCTTTGTGATGTTTGTATTCAATTCACAGAGTTGAACCTTCCTTTGATAGTTCAGGTTTGCAACACCCTTGTAGTAGAATCTGCAAGTGTATATTTTGACCACTTTGTAGCCTTCGTTTGAAACGTCTATATCTTCACATCAAACCTAGACAGAAGCATTCTCAGAAAGTTTTCTGCGATGACTGCATTCAACTCACAGAGTTGAACAATCCTTCTGATGGAGCAGTTTTGAAACCCTCTTTCTTTGGAATCTGCAAGGGGATATGTGGACCTCTTTGAAGATTTCACTGGAAACGGGATCATCTTCACATAAAAACTAAACAGAAGCATTCTCGGAAACTATTTTGTGATGTTTGTATTCAACTCCCAGAGTTGAACTTTCCTTTTGAAAGAGTAGCTATGAAACACTCTTTTTCGAGAATCTGCAAGTGGACGTTTGGAGGGCTTTGAGGCCTGTGGTGGAAAAGGAAATATCTTCACACAAAAACCAGATAGAAGCATTCTCAGAAACGACTTTGTGAGGATGGCATTCAACTCATGGAGTTGAACAATCCTATTGATAGAGCAGATTGGAATCACTCTTTTTGTAGAATCTGCAAATGGAGATTTGGACTGCTTTGAGGCCTACGGTAGTACAGGAAGGAACTTCATATAAAAGGCAAACGGAAGCATTCTCAGAATATTCTTTGTGATGATGGAGTTTCACTCACAGAGCTGAACATGCCTTTTGATGGAGCAGTTTCCAAATACACTTTTGGTAGAATCTGCAGGTGGATATTTGGAGCTCTCTGAGGATTTCGTTGGAAACGGGAATAATTTCCCATAACTAAACACAAACACTCTGAGAAAGTTCTTCATGATGAATGCATTTAACTCGCAGAGATGAACCTGCCTTTGAGAGTTCAGGTTCGAAACACTCTTTCTGTATAATCTGCAAGTGGATATTTGGACCACTGGGTGGCCTTCGTTCGAAACGGGTATATGTTCACGTAAAAACTAAAGAGAAGCATTCTCAGAAACTTCTGAGTGATGATTGCATTCAAGTCACACAGTTGAACCCTCCTTTTGAAGGAGCAGTTTTGAAACTGTCTTTTTGTAGAATCTGTAAGTGGATACGTGGACCTCTTTGAAGATTTCTTTGGAAACGGGAATATTTCCACAGAAAAACTAAACTGAAGCATTCTCAGAAACCGCTTTGTGATGTTTGTGTTCGAGCCACAGAGTTTAACATTGCTTTTCACAAAGCAGTTTTGAAATATTCTTTTGGCAGAATCTGCAAGTGGACATTTGGAGCGCTTTCAGGCCTGTGGTGGCAAAGGCCTGAAAGCATTTATTTATCTTCACAGAAAGACGAGAGAGAAGCATTGTCAGAAACTTCTTTGTGATGATTGCATTCAACTCACAGAGTTGAAGATTCCTTTTGAAACAGCAGTTTCGAAACACTCTTTCTGTGGGATCCGCAAGGGGATATTTGGACCTCTTTGAAGGTTTCGTTGGAAACGGGATAATCTTCACCTAAAAGCTAAACGGAAGCATTCTCAGAAACTTCTTTGGGATGTTTGCATTCACCTCACAGAGTTGAACTTTCCCTTTGATAGCGCAGCTTTGACACACTTTTTCTACAATGTGCAAGTGGCTATTTAGCGGGCTAGGAGGACTGTGTTGGAAAAGGTAATATCTTCTCCTAAAAACGACATAGAAGCATTCTCAGAAACTGCTCTGTGATGATTGCATTCAACTCCCAGAGTTGAACATTCCTTTTGATAGAGCAGTTTGCAAACACTCTTTTTGTAGAATCTGCAAGTGGAGATTTGGACCGCTTTGAGGCCTGTGGTAGTGAAGGAAAGAACTTCATATAAAAACCAGACGGTAGCACTCTCAGAAAATTCTTTGTGACGATGGAGTTTAACTCAGGGAGCTGAACATTCGTTATGATGGAGCAGTTTCCAAACACACGTTTTGTAGAATCTGCAAGGGGATATTTGGACCTCTCTGAGGATTTCGTTGGAAACGGGATCAACTTCCCATAACTGAACGGAAGCAAACTCAGAACATTCTTTGTGATGTTTGTATTCAACTCACAGAGTTGAACCTTCCTTTGATAGTTCAGGTTTGCAACACCCTTGTAGTAGAATCTGCAAGTGTATATTTTGACCACTTTGTAGCCTTCGTTTGAAACGTCTATATCTTCACATCAAACCTAGACAGAAGCATTCTCAGAAAGTTTTCTGCGATGACTGCATTCAACTCACAGAGTTGAACAATCCTTCTGATGGAGCAGTTTTGAAACCCTCTTTCTTTGGAATCTGCAAGGGGATATGTGGACCTCTTTGAAGATTTCACTGGAAACGGGATCATCTTCACATAAAAACTAAACAGAAGCATTCTCGGAAACTACTTTGTGATGTTTGTATTCAACTCCCAGAGTTGAACTTTCCTTTTGAAAGAGCAGCTATGAAACACTCTTTTTCGAGAATCTGCAAGTGGACGTTTTGAGGGCTTTGAGGCCTGTGGTGGAAAAGGAAATATCTTCACATAAAAACTAGATAGAAGCATTCTCAGAAACTACTTTGTGAGGATGGCATTCAACTCATGGAGTTGAACAATCCTATTGATAGAGCAGATTGGAATCACTCTTTTTGTAGAATCTGCAAATGGAGATTTGGACTGCTTTGAGGCCTACGGTAGTATAGGAAGGAACTTCATATAAAAGGCAAACGGAAGCATTCTCAGAATATTCTTTGTGATGATGGAGTTTCACTCACAGAGCTGAACATGCCTTTTGATGGAGCAGTTTCCAAATACACTTTTGGTAGAATCTGCAGGTGGATATTTGGAGCTCTCTGAGGATTTCGTTGGAAACGGGAATAATTTCCCATAACTAAACACAAACACTCTGAGAAAGTTCTTCATGATGAATGCATTTAACTCGCAGAGATGAACCTGCCTTTGAGAGTTCAGGTTCGAAACACTCTTTCTGTAGAATCTGCAAGTGGATATTTGGACCACTGGGTGGCCTTCGTTCGAAACGGGTATATGTTCACGTAAAAACTAAAGAGAAGCATTCTCAGAAACTTCTGAGTGATGATTGCATTCAAGTCACACAGTTGAACCCTCCTTTTGATGGAGCAGTTTTGAAACTGTCTTTTTGTAGAATCTGTAAGTGGATACGTGGACCTCTTTGAAGATTTCTTTGGAAACGGGAATATTTCCACAGAAAAACTAAACTGAAACATTCTCAGAAACCGCTTTGTGATGTTTGTGTTCCAGCCACAGAGTTTAACATTGCTTTTCATAGAGCAGTTTTGAAATATTCTTTTCGCAGAATCTGCAAGTGGACATTTGGAGCGCTTTCAGGCCTGTGGTGGAAAAGGCCTGAAAGCCTTTTCCTTTATCTTCACAGAAAGACGAGAGAGAAGCATTGTCAGAAACTTCTTTGTGATGATTGCATTCAACTCACAGAGTTGAAGATTCCTTTTGAAACAGCAGTTTCGAAACACTCTTTCTGTGGGATCCGCAAGGGGATATTTGGACCTCTTTGAAGGTTTCGTTGGAAACGGGATAATCTTCACCTAAAAGCTAAACGGAAGCATTCTCAGAAACTTCTTTGGGATGTTTGCATTCACCTCACAGAGTTGAACTTTCCCTTTGATAGCGCAGCTTCGACACACTTTTTCTACAATGTGCAAGTGGCTATTTAGCGGGCTTGGAGGACTGTGTTGGAAAAGGAAATATCTTCTCCTAAAAACGACATAGAAGCATTCTCAGAAACTGCTCTGTGATGATTGCATTCAACTCCCAGAGTTGAACATTCCTTTTGATAGAGCAGTTTGCAAACACTCTTTTTGTAGAATCTGCAAGTGGAGATTTGGACCGCTTTGAGGCCTGTGGTAGTGAAGGAAAGAACTTCATATAAAAACCAGACGGTAGCACTCTCAGAAAATTCTTTGTGACGATGGAGTTTAACTCAGGGAGCTGAACATTCGTTATGATGGAGCAGTTTCCAAACACACGTTTTGTAGAATCTGCGAGGGGATATTTGGACCTCTCTGAGGATTTCGTTGGAAACGGGATCAACTTCCCATAACTGAACGGAAGCAAACTCAGAACATTCTTTGTTATGTTTGTATTCAACTCACAGAGTTGAACCTTCCTTTGATAGTTCAGGTTTGCAAAACCCTTGTAGTAGAATCTGCAAGTGTATATTTTGACCACTTTGTAGCCTTCGTTTGAAACGTCTATATCTTCACATCAAACCTAGACAGAAGCATTCTCAGAAAGTTTTCTGCGATGACTGCATTCAACTCACAGAGTTGAACAATCCTTTTGATGGAGCAGTTTTGAAACCCTCTTTCTTTGGAATCTGCAAGGGGATATGTGGACCTCTTTGAAGATTTCACTGGAAACGGGATCATCTTCACATAAGAACTAAACAGAAGCATTCTCGGAAACTACTTTGTGATGTTTGTATTCAACTCCCAGAGTTGAACTTTCCTTTTGAAAGAGCAGCTATGAAACACTCTTTTTCGAGAATCTGCAAGTGGACGTTTGGAAGGCTTTGAGGCCTGTGGTGGAAAAGGAAATATCTTCACATAAAAACTAGATAGAAGCATTCTCAGAAACGACTTTGTGAGGATGGCATTCAACTCATGGAGTTGAACAATCCTATTGATAGAGCAGATTGGAATCACTCTTTTTGTAGAATCTGCAAATGGAGATTTGGACTGCTTTGAGGCCTACGGTAGTATAGGAAGGAACTTCATATAAAAGGCAAACGGAAGCATTCTCAGAATATTCTTTGTGATGATGGAGTTTCACTCACAGAGCTGAACATGCCTTTTGATGGAGCAGTTTCCAAATACACTTTTGGTAGAATCTGCAGGTGGATATTTGGACCTCTCTGAAGATTTCGTTGGAAACGGGAATAATTTCCCATACCTAAACACAAACACTCTGAGAAAGTTCTTCATGATGAATGCATTGAACTCGCAGAGATGAACCTGCCTTTGAGAGTTCAGGTTCGAAACACTCTTTCTGTAGAATCTGCAAGTGGATATTTGGACCACTGGGTGGCCTTCGTTCGAAACGGGTATATGTTCACGTAAAAACTAAAGAGAAGCATTCTCAGAAACTTCTGAGTGATGATTGCATTCAAGTCACACGGTTGAACCCTCCTTTTGATGGAGCAGTTTTGAAACTGTCTTTTTGTAGAATCTGTAAGTGGATACGTGGACCTCTTTGAAGATTTCTTTGGAAACGGGAATATTTCCACAGAAAAACTAAACTGAAGCATTCTCAGAAACTGCTTTGTGATGTTTGTGTTCGAGCCACAGAGTTTAACATTGCTTTTCATAGAGCAGTTTTGAAATATTCTTTTCGCAGAATCTGCAAGTGGACATTTGGAGCGCTTTCAGGCCTGTGGTGGAAAAGGCCTGAAAGCCTTTTCCTTTATCTTCACAGAAAGACGAGAGAGAAGCATTGTCAGAAACTTCTTTGTGATGATTGCATTCAACTCACAGAGTTGAAGATTCCTTTTGAAACAGCAGTTTCGAAACACTCTTTCTGTGGGATCCGCAAGGGGATATTTGGACCTCTTTGAAGGTTTCGTTGGAAACGGGATAATCTTCACCTAAAAGCTAAACGGAAGCATTCTCAGAAACTTCTTTGGGATGTTTGCATTCACCTCACAGAGTTGAACTTTCCCTTTGATAGCGCAGCTTTGACACACTTTTTCTACAATGTGCAAGTGGCTATTTAGCGGGCTTGGAGGACTGTGTTGGAAAAGGAAATATCTTCTCCTAAAAACGACATAGAAGCATTCTCAGAAACTGCTCTGTGATGATTGCATTCAACTCCCAGAGTTGAACATTCCTTTTGATAGAGCAGTTTGCAAACACTCTTTTTGTAGAATCTGCAAGTGGAGATTTGGACCGCTTTGAGGTCTGTGGTAGTGAAGGAAAGAGCTTCATACAAAAACCAGACGGTAGCACTCTCAGAAAATTCTTTGTGACGATGGAGTTTAACTCAGGGAGCTGAACATTCGTTATGATGGAGCAGTTACCAAACACACGTTTTGTAGAATCTGCAAGGGGATATTTGGACCTCTCTGAGGATTTCGTTGGAAACGGGATCAACTTCCCATAACTGAACGGAAGCAAACTCAGAACATTCTTTGTGATGTTTGTATTCAATTCACAGAGTTGAACCTTCCTTTGATAGTTCAGGTTTGCAACACCCTTGTAGTAGAATCTGCAAGTGTATATTTTGACCACTTTGTAGCCTTCGTTTGAAACGTCTATATCTTCACATCAAACCTAGACAGAAGCATTCTCAGAAAGTTTTCTGCGATGACTGCATTCAACTCACAGAGTTGAACAATCCTTCTGATGGAGCAGTTTTGAAACCCTCTTTCTTTGGAATCTGCAAGGGGATATGTGGACCTCTTTGAAGATTTCACTGGAAACGGGATCATCTTCACATAAAAACTAAACAGAAGCATTCTCGGAAACTACTTTGTGATGTTTGTATTCAACTCCCAGAGTTGAACTTTCCTTTTGAAAGAGCAGCTATGAAACACTCTTTCTCGAGAATCTGCAAGTGGACGTTTGGAGGGCTTTGAGGCCTGTGGTGGAAAAGGAAATATCTTCACATAAAAACTAGATAGAAGCATTCTCAGAAACGACTTTGTGAGGATGGCATTCAACTCATGGAGTTGAACAATCCTATTGATAGAGCAGATTGGAATCACTCTTTTTGTAGAATCTGCAAATGGAGATTTGGACTGCTTTGAGGCCTACGGTCGTATAGGAAGGAACTTCATATAAAAGGCAAACGGAAGCATTCTCAGAATATTCTTTGTGATGATGGAGTTTCACTCACAGAGCTGAACATGCCTTTTGATGGAGCAGTTTCCAAATACACTTTTGGTAGAATCTGCAGGTGGATATTTGGAGCTCTCTGAGGATTTCGTTGGAAACGGGAATAATTTCCCATAACTAAACACAAACACTCTGAGAAAGTTCTTCATGATGAATGCATTGAACTCTCAGAGATGAACCTGCCTTTGAGAGTTCAGGTTCAAAACACTCTTTCTGTAGAATCTGCAAGTGGATATTTGGACCACTGGCTGGCCTTCGTTTGAAACGGGTATATGTTCCCGTAAAAACTAAAGAGAAGCATTCTCAGAAACTTCTGAGTGATGATTGCATTCAAGTCACACAGTTGAACCCTCCTTTTGATGGAGCAGTTTTGAAACTGTCTTTTTGTAGAATCTGTAAGTGGATACGTGGACCTCTTTGAAGATTTCTTTGGAAACGGGAATATTTCCACAGAAAAACTAAACTGAAGCATTCTCAGAAACCGCTTTGTGATGTTTGTGTTCGAGCCACAGAGTTTAACATTGCTTTTCATAGAGCAGTTTTGAAATATTCTTTTCGCAGAATCTGCAAGTGGACATTTGGAGCGCTTTCAGGCCTGTGGTGGAAAAGGCCTGAAAGCCTTTTCCTTTATCTTCACAGAAAGACGAGAGAGAAGCATTGTCAGAAACTTCTTTGTGATGATTGCATTCAACTCACAGAGTTGAAGATTCCTTTTGAAACAGCAGTTTCGAAACACTCTTTCTGTGGGATCCGCAAGGGGATATTTGGACCTCTTTGAAGGTTTCGTTGGAAACGGGATAATCTTCACCTAAAAGCTAAACGGAAGCATTCTCAGAAACTTCTTTGGGATGTTTGCATTCACCTCACAGAGTTGAACTTTCCCTTTGATAGCGCAGCTTTGACACACTTTTTCTACAATGTGCAAGTGGATATTTAGCGGGCTTGGAGGACTGTGTTGGAAAAGGAAATATCTTCTAAAAACGACATAGAAGCATTCTCAGAAACTGCTCTGTGATGATTGCATTCAACTCCCAGAGTTGAACATTCCTTTTGATAGAGCAGTTTGCAAACACTCTTTTTGTAGAATCTGCAAGTGGAGATTTGGACCGCTTTGAGGCCTGTGGTAGTGAAGGAAAGAGCTTCATATAAAAACCAGACGGTAGCACTCTCAGAAAATTCTTTGTGACGATGGAGTTTAACTCAGGGAGCTGAACATTCGTTATGATGGAGCAGTTTCCAAACACACGTTTTGTAGAATCTGCAAGGGGATATTTGGACCTCTCTGAGGATTTCGTTGGAAACGGGATCAACTTCCCATAACTGAACGGAAGCAAACTCAGAACATTCTTTGTGATGTTTGTATTCAACTCACAGAGTTGAACCTTCCTTTGATAGTTCAGGTTTGCAACACCCTTGTAGTAGAATCTGCAAGTGTATATTTTGACCACTTTGTAGCCTTCGTTTGAAACGTCTATATCTTCACATCAAACCTAGACAGAAGCATTCTCAGAAAGTTTTCTGCGATGACTGCATTCAACTCACAGAGTTGAACAATCCTTCTGATGGAGCAGTTTTGAAACCCTCTTTCTTTGGAATCTGCAAGGGGATATGTGGACCTCTTTGAAGATTTCACTGGAAACGGGATCATCTTCACATAAAAACTAAACAGAAGCATTCTCGGAAACTACTTTGTGATGTTTGTATTCAACTCCCAGAGTTGAACTTTCCTTTTGAAAGAGCAGCTATGAAACACTCTTTTTCGAGAATCTGCAAGTGGACGTTTGGAGGGCTTTGAGGCCTGTGGTGGAAAAGGAAATATCTTCACATAAAAACTAGATAGAAGCATTCTCAGAAACTACTTTGTGAGGATGGCATTCAACTCATGGAGTTGAACAATCCTATTGATAGAGCAGATTGGAATCACTCTTTTTGTAGAATCTGCAAATGGAGATTTGGACTGCTTTGAGGCCTACGGTCGTATAGGAAGGAACTTCATATAAAAGGCAAACGGAAGCATTCTCAGAATATTCTTTGTGATGATGGAGTTTCACTCACAGAGCTGAACATGCCTTTTGATGGAGCAGTTTCCAAATACACTTTTGGTAGAATCTGCAGGTGGATATTTGGAGCTCTCTGAGGATTTCGTTGGAAACGGGAATAATTTCCCATAACTAAACACAAACACTCTGAGAAAGTTCTTCATGATGAATGCATTTAACTCGCAGAGATGAACCTGCCTTTGAGAGTTCAGGTTCGAAACACTCTTTCTGTAGAATCTGCAAGTGGATATTTGGACCACTGGGTGGCCTTCGTTCGAAACGGGTATATGTTCACGTAAAAACTAAAGAGAAGCATTCTCAGAAACTTCTGAGTGATGATTGCATTCAAGTCACACAGTTGAACCCTCCTTTTGATGGAGCAGTTTTGAAACTGTCTTTTTGTAGAATCTGTAAGTGGATGCGTGGACCTCTTTGAAGATTTCTTTGGAAACGGGAATATTTCCACAGAAAAACTAAACTGAAGCATTCTCAGAAACTGCTTTGTGATGTTTGTGTTCGAGCCACAGAGTTTAACATTGCTTTTCATAGAGCAGTTTTGAAATATTCTTTTCGCAGAATTTGCAAGTGGACATTTGGAGCGTTTTCAGGCCTGTGGTGGCAAAGGCCTGAAAGCCTTTTCCTTTATCTTCACAGAAAGACGAGAGAGAAGAAGCATTGTCAGAAACTTCTTTGTGATGATTGCATTCAACTCACAGAGTTGAAGATTCCTTTTGAAACAGCAGTTTCGAAACACTCTTTCTGTGGGATCCGCAAGGGGATATTTGGACTTCTTTGAAGGTTTCGTTGGAAACGGGATAATCTTCACCTAAAAGCTAAACGGAAGCATTCTCAGAAACTTCTTTGGGATGTTTGCATTCACCTGACAGAGTTGAACTTTCCCTTTGATAGCGCAGCTTTGACACACTTTTTCTACAATGTGCAAGTGGCTATTTAGCGGGCTTGGAGGACTGTGTTGGAAAAGGAAATATCTTCTCCTAAAAACGACATAGAAGCATTCTCAGAAACTGCTCTGTGATGATTGCATTCAACTCCCAGAGTTGAACATTCCTTTTGATAGAGCAGTTTGCAAACACTCTTTTTGTAGAATCTGCAAGTGGAGATTTGGACCGCTTTGAGGCCTGTGGTAGTGAAGGAAAGAACTTCATATAAAAACCAGACGGTAGCACTCTCAGAAAATTCTTTGTGACGATGGAGTTTAACTCAGGGAGCTGAACATTCGTTATGATGGAGCAGTTTCCAAACACACGTTTTGTAGAATCTGCAAGGGGATATTTGGACCTCTCTGAGGATTTCGTTGGAAACGGGATCAACTTCCCATAACTGAACGGAAGCAAACTCAGAACATTCTTTGTGATGTTTGTATTCAACTCACAGAGTTGAACCTTCCTTTGATAGTTCAGGTTTGCAACACCCTTGTAGTAGAATCTGCAAGTGTATATTTTGACCACTTTGTAGCCTTCGTTTGAAACATCTATATCTTCACATCAAACCTAGACAGAAGCATTCTCAGAAAGTTTTCTGCGATGACTGCATTCAACTCACAGAGTTGAACAATCCTTCTGATGGAGCAGTTTTGAAACCCTCTTTCTTTGGAATCTGCAAGGGGATATGTGGACCTCTTTGAAGATTTCACTGGAAACGGGATCATCTTCACATAAAAACTAAACAGAAGCATTCTCGGAAACTACTTTGTGATGTTTGTATTCAACTCCCAGAGTTGAACTTTCCTTTTGAAAGAGCAGCTATGAAACACTCTTTTTCGAGAATCTGCAAGTGGACGTTTGGAGGGCTTTGAGGCCTGTGGTGGAAAAGGAAATATCTTCACATAAAAACTAGATAGAAGCATTCTCAGAAACGACTTTGTGAGGATGGCATTCAACTCATGGAGTTGAACAATCCTATTGATAGAGCAGATTGGAATCACTCTTTTTGTAGAATCTGCAAATGGAGATTTGGACTGCTTTGAGGCCTACGGTCGTATAGGAAGGAACTTCATATAAAAGGCAAACGGAAGCATTCTCAGAATATTCTTTGTGATGATGGAGTTTCACTCACAGAGCTGAACATGCCTTTTGATGGAGCAGTTTCCAAATACACTTTTGGTAGAATCTGCAGGTGGATATTTGGAGCTCTCTGAGGATTTCGTTGGAAACGGGGAATAATTTCCCATAACTAAACACAAACACTCTGAGAAAGTTCTTCATGATGAATGCATTTAACTCGCAGAGATGAACCTGCCTTTGAGAGTTCAGGTTCGAAACACTCTTTCTGTATAATCTGCAAGTGGATATTTGGACCACTGGGTGGCCTTCGTTCGAAACGGGTATATGTTCACGTAAAAACTAAAGAGAAGCATTCTCAGAAACTTCTGAGTGATGATTGCATTCAAGTCACACAGTTGAACCCTCCTTTTGATGGAGCAGTTTTGAAACTGTCTTTTTGTAGAATCTGTAAGTGGATACGTGGACCTCTTTGAAGATTTCTTTGGAAACGGGAATATTTCCACAGAAAAACTAAACTGAAACATTCTCAGAAACCGCTTTGTGATGTTTGTGTTCGAGCCACAGAGTTTAACATTGCTTTTCATAGAGCAGTTTTGAAATATTCTTTTCGCAGAATCTGCAAGTGGACATTTGGAGCGCTTTCAGGCCTGTGGTGGAAAAGGCCTGAAAGCCTTTTCCTTTATCTTCACAGAAAGACGAGAGAGAAGCATTGTCAGAAACTTCTTTGTGATGATTGCATTCAACTCACAGAGTTGAAGATTCCTTTTGAAACAGCAGTTTCGAAACACTCTTTCTGTGGGATCCGCAAGGGGATATTTGGACCTCTTTGAAGGTTTCGTTGGAAACGGGATAATCTTCACCTAAAAGCTAAACGGAAGCATTCTCAGAAACTTCTTTGGGATGTTTGCATTCACCTCACAGAGTTGAACTTTCCCTTTGATAGCGCAGCTTTGACACACTTTTTCTACAATGTGCAAGTGGCTATTTAGCGGGCTTGGAGGACTGTGTTGGAAAAGGAAATATCTTCTCCTAAAAACGACATAGAAGCATTCTCAGAAACTGCTCTGTGATGATTGCATTCAACTCCCAGAGTTGAACATTCCTTTTGATAGAGCAGTTTGCAAACACTCTTTTTGTAGAATCTGCAAGTGGAGATTTGGACCGCTTTGAGGCCTGTGGTAGTGAAGGAAAGAACTTCATATAAAAACCAGACGGTAGCACTCTCAGAAAATTCTTTGTGACGATGGAGTTTAACTCAGGGAGCTGAACATTCGTTATGATGGAGCAGTTTCCCAACACACGTTTTGTAGAATCTGCAAGGGGATATTTGGACCTCTCTGAGGATTTCGTTGGAAACGGGATCAACTTCCCATAACTGGACGGAAGCAAACTCAGAACATTCTTTGTGATGTTTGTATTCAACTCACAGAGTTGAACCTTCCTTTGATAGTTCAGGTTTGCAACACCCTTGTAGTAGAATCTGCAAGTGTATATTTTGACCACTTTGTAGCCTTCGTTTGAAACGTCTATATCTTCACATCAAACCTAGACAGAAGCATTCTCAGAAAGTTTTCTGCGATGACTGCATTCAACTCACAGAGTTGAACAATCCTTCTGATGGAGCAGTTTTGAAACCCTCTTTCTTTGGAATCTGCAAGGGGATATGTGGACCTCTTTGAAGATTTCACTGGAAACGGGATCATCTTCACATAAAAACTAAACAGAAGCATTCTCGGAAACTACTTTGTGATGTTTGTATTCAACTCCCAGAGTTGAACTTTCCTTTTGAAAGAGCAGCTATGAAACACTCTTTTTCGAGAATCTGCAAGTGGACGTTTGGAGGGCTTTGAGGCCTGTGGTGGAAAAGGAAATATCTTCACATAAAAACTAGATAGAAGCATTCTCAGAAACGACTTTGTGAGGATGGCATTCAACTCATGGAGTTGAACAATCCTATTGATAGAGCAGATTGGAATCACTCTTTTTGTAGAATCTGCAAATGGAGATTTGGACTGCTTTGAGGCCTCCGGTCGTATAGGAAGGAACTTCATATAAAAGGCAAACGGAAGCATTCTCAGAATATTCTTTGTGATGATGGAGTTTCACTCACAGAGCTGAACATGCCTTTTGATGGAGCAGTTTCCAAATACACTTTTGGTAGAATCTGCAGGTGGATATTTGGACCTCTCTGAGGATTTCGTTGGAAACGGGAATAATTTCCCATAACTAAACACAAACACGCTGAGAAAGTTCTTCATGATGAATGCATTTAACTCGCAGAGATGAACCTGCCTTTGAGAGTTCAGGTTCGAAACACTCTTTCTGTAGAATCTGCAAGTGGATATTTGGACCGCTGGCTGGCCTTCGTTCGAAACGGGTATATGTTCACGTAAAAACTAAAGAGAAGCGTTCTCAGAAACTTCTGAGTGATGATTGCATTCAAGTCACACAGTTGAACCCTCCTTTTGATTGAGCAGTTTTGAAACTGTCTTTTTGTAGAATCTGTAAGTGGATGCGTGGACCTCTTTGAAGATTTCTTTGGAAACGGGAATATTTCCACAGAAAAACTAAACTGAAGCATTCTCAGAAACTGCTTTGTCATGTTTGTGTTCGAGCCGCAGAGTTTAACATTGCTTTTCATAGAGCAGTTTTGAAATATTCTTTTGGCAGAATCTGCAAGTGGACATTTGGAGCGCTTTCAGGCCTGTGGTGGAAAAGGCCTGAAAGCCTTTTCCTTTATCTTCACAGAAAGACGAGAGAGAAGCATTGTCAGAAACTTCTTTGTGATGATTGCATTCAACTCACAGAGTTGAAGATTCCTTTTGAAACAGCAGTTTCGAAACACTCTTTCTGTGGGATCCGCAAGGGGATATTTGGACCTCTTTGAAGATTTCGTTGGAAACGGGATAATCTTCACCTAAAAGCTAAACGGAAGCATTCTCAGAAACTTCTTTGGGATGTTTGCATTCACCTCACAGAGTTGAACTTTCTCTTTGATAGCGCAGCTTTGACACACTTTTTCTACAATGTGCAAGTGGATATTTAGCGGGCTTGGAGGACTGTGTTGGAAAAGGAAATATCTTCTCCTAAAAACGACATAGAAGCATTCTCAGAAACTGCTCTGTGATGATTGCATTCAACTCCCAGAGTTGAACATTCCTTTTGATAGAGCAGTTTGCAAACACTCTTTTTGTAGAATCTGCAAGTGGAGATTTGGACCGCTTTGAGGCCTGTGGTAGTAAAGGAAAGAACTTCATATAAAAACTAGACGGTAGCACTCTCAGAAAATTCTTTGTGACGATGGAGTTTAACTCAGAGAGCTGAACATTCGTTATGATGGAGCAGTTTCCAAACACACGTTTTGTAGAATCTGCAAGGGGATATTTGGACCTCTCTGAGCATTTCGTTGGAAACGGGATCAACTTCCCATAACTGAACGGAAGCAAACTCAGAACATACTTTGTGATGTTTGTATTCAACTCACAGAGTTGAACCTTCCTTTGATAGTTCAGGTTTGCAACACCCTTGTAGTAGAATCTGCAAGTGTATATTTTGACCACTTTGTAGCCTTCGTTTGAAACGTCTATATCTTCACCTCAAACCTAGACAGAAGCATTCTCAGAAAGTTTTCTGCGATGACTGCATTCAACTCACAGAGTTGAACAATCCTTTTGATGGAGCAGTTTTGAAACCCTCTTTCTTTGGAATCTGCAAGGGGATATGTGGACCTCTTTGAAGATTTCACTGGAAACGGGATCATCTTCACATAAGAACTAAACAGAAGCATTTTCGGAAACTACTTTGTGATGTTTGTATTCACCTCCCAGAGTTGAACTTTCCTTTTGAAAGAGCAGCTATGAAACACTCTTTCTCTAGAATCTGCAAGTGGACGTTTGGAGGGCTTTGAGGCCTGTGGTGGAAAAGGAAATATCTTCACATAAAAAGTAGATAGAAGCATTCTCAGAAACTACTTTGTGAGGATGGCATTCAACTCATGGAGTTGAACAATCCTATTGATAGAGCAGATTGGAATCACTCTTTTTGTAGAATCTGCAAATGGAGATTTGGACTGCTTTGAGGCCTACGGTAGTATAGGAAGGAACTTCATATAAAAGGCAAACGGAAGCATTCTCAGAATATTCTTTGTGATGATGGAGTTTCACTCACAGAGCTGAACATGCCTTTTCATGGAGCAGTTTCCAAATACACTTTTGGTAGAATCTGCAGGTGGATATTTGGACCTCTCTGAGGATTTCGTTGGAAACGGGAATAATTTCCCATAACTGAACACAAACACTCTGAGAAAGTTCTTCATGATGAATGCATTTAACTCGCAGAGATGAACCTGCCTTTGAGAGTTCATGTTCGAAACACTCTTTCTGTAGAATCTGCAAGTGGATATTTGGACCACTGGCTGGCCTTCGTTCGAAACGAGTATATGTTCACGTAAAAACTAAAGAGATGCATTCTCAGAAACTTCTGAGTGATGATTGCATTCAAGTCACACAGTTGAACCCTCCTTTTGATTGAGCAGTTTTGAAACTGTCTTTTTGTAGAATCTGTAAGTGGATGCGTGGACCTCTTTGAAGATTTCTTTGGAAACGGGAATATTTCCACAGAAAAACTAAACTGAAGCATTCTCAGAAACTGCTTTGTTATGTTTGTGTTCGAGCCGCAGAATTTAACATTGCTATTCATAGAGCAGTTTTGAAATATTCTTTTGGCAGAATCTGCAAGTGGACATTTGGAGCGCTTTCAGGCCTGTGGTGGAAAAGGCCTGAAAGCCTTTTCCTTTATCTTCACAGAAAGATGAGAGAGAAGCATTGTCAGAAACTTCTTTGTGATGATTGCATTCAACTCACAGAGTTGAAGATTCCTTTTGAAACAGCAGTTTCGAAACACTCTTTCTGTGGGATCCGCAAGGGGATATTTGGACCTCTTTGAAGATTTCGTTGCAAACGGGATAATCTTCACCTAAAAGCTAAACGGAAGCATTCTCAGAAACTTCTTTGGGATGTTTGCATTCACCTCACAGAGTTGAACTTTCCCTTTGATAGCGCAGCTTCGACACACTTTTTCTACAATGTGCAAGTGGATATTTAGCGGGCTTGGAGGACTGTGTTGGAAAAGGAAATATCTTCTCCTAAAAACGACATAGAAGCATTCTCAGAAACTGCTCTGTGATGATTGCATTCAACTCCCAGAGTTGAACATTCCTTTTGATAGAGCAGTTTGCAAACACTCTTTTTGTAGAATCTGCAAGTGGAGATTTGGACCGCTTTGAGGCCTGTGGTAGTAAAGGAAAGAACTTCATATAAAAACTAGACGGTAGCACTCTCAGAAAATTCTTTGTGACGATGGAGTTCAACTCAGAGAGCTGAACATTCGTTATGATGGAGCAGTTTCCAAACACACGTTTTGTAGAATCTGCAAGGGGATATTTGGACCTCTCTGAGGATTTCGTAGGAAACGGGATCAACTTCCCATAACTGAACGGAAGCAAACTCAGAACATTCTTTGTGATGTTTGTATTCAACTCACAGAGTTGAACCTTCCTTTGATAGTTCAGGTTTGCAACACCCTTGTAGTAGAATCTGCAAGTGTATATTTTGACCACTTTGTAGCCTTCGTTTGAAACGTCTATATCTTCACATCAAACCTAGAAAGAAGCATTCTTAGAAAGTTTTCTGCGATGACTGCATTCAACTCACAGAGTTGAACAATCCTTCTGATGGAGCAGTTTTGAAACCCTCTTTCTTTGGAATCTGCAAGGGGATATGTGGACCTCTTTGAAGATTTCACTGGAAACGGGATCATCTTCACATAAAAACTAAATATAAGCATTCTCGGAAACTACTTTGTGATGTTTGTATTCAACTCCCAGAGTTGAACTTTCCTTTTGAAAGAGCAGCTATGAAACACTCTTTTTCGAGAATCTGCAAGTGGACGTTTGGAGGGCTTTGAGGCCTGTGGTGGAAAAGGAAATATCTTCACACAAAAACCAGATAGAAGCATTCTCAGAAACTACTTTGTGAGGATGGCATTCAACTCATGGAGTTGAACAATCCTATTGATAGAGCAGATTGGAATCACTCTTTTTGTAGAATCTGCAAATGGAGATTTGGACTGCTTTGAGGCCTACAGTAGTACAGGAAGGAACTTCATATAAAAGGCAAACGGAAGCATTCTCAGAATATTCTTTGTGATGATGGAGTTTCACTCACAGAGCTGAACATGCCTTTTGATGGAGCAGTTTCCAAATACACTTTTGGTAGAATCTGCAGGTGGATATTTGGAGCTCTCTGAGGATTTCGTTGGAAACGGGAATAATTTCCCATAACTAAACACAAACACTCTGAGAAAGTTCTTCATGATGAATGCATTTAACTCGCAGAGATGAACCTGCCTTTGAGAGTTCAGGTTCGAAACACTCTTTCTGTAGAATCTGCAAGTGGATATTTGGACCACTGGGTGGCCTTCGTTCGAAACGGGTATATGTTCACGTAAAAACTAAAGAGAAGCATTCTCAGAAACTTCTGAGTGATGATTGCATTCAAGTCACACAGTTGAACCCTCCTTTTGATGGAGCAGTTTTGAAACTGTCTTTTTATAGAATCTGTAAGTGGATACGTGGACCTCTTTGAAGATTTCTTTGGAAACGGGAATATTTCCACAGAAAAACTAAACTGAAGCATTCTCAGAAACTGCTTTGTGATGTTTGTGTTCAAGCCACAGAGTTTAACATTGCTTTTCATAGAGCAGTTTTGAACTATTCTTTTGGCAGAATCTGCAAGTGGACATTTGGAGCGCTTTCAGGCCTGTGGTGGAAAAGGCCTGAAAGCCTTTTCCTTTATCTTCACAGAAAGACGAGAGAGAAGCATTGTCAGAAACTTCTTTGTGATGATTGCATTCAACTCACAGAGTTGAAGATTCCTTTTGAAACAGCAGTTTCGAAACACTCTTTCTGTGGGAACCGCAAGGGGATATTTGGATCTATTTGAAGGTTTCGTTGGAAACTGGATAATCGTCACCTAAAAGCTAAACGGAAGCATTCTCAGAAACTTCTTTTGGATGTTTGCATTCACCTCACAGAGTTGAATTTTCCCTTTGATAGCGCAGCTTCGACACACTTTTTCTACAATGTGCAAGTGGATATTTAGCGGGCTTGGAGGACTGTGTTGGAAAAGGAAATATCTTCTCCTAAAAACGACATAGAAGCATTCTCAGAAACTGCTCTGTGATGATTGCATTCAACTCCCAGAGTTGAACATTCCTTTTGATAGAGCAGTTTGCAAACACTCTTTTTGTAGAATCTGCAAGTGGAGATTTGGACCGCTTTGAGGCCTGTGGTAGTAAAGGAAACAACTTCATATAAAAACCAGACGGTAGCACTCTCAGAAAATTCTTTGTGACGATGGAGTTTAACTCAGAGAGCTGAACATCCGTTATGATGGAGCAGTTTCCAAACACACGTTTTGTAGAATCTGCAAGGGGATATTTGGACCTCTCTGAGGATTTCGTTGGAAACGGGATCAACTTCCCATAACTGAACGGAAGCAAACTCAGAACATTCTTTGTGATGTTTGTATTCAACTCACAGAGTTGAACCTTCCTTTGATAGTTGAGGTTTGCATCACCCTTGTAGTAGAATCTGCAAGTGTATATTTTGACCACTTTGTAGCCTTCGTTTGAAACGTCTATATCTTCACATCAAACCTAGACAGAAGCATTCTCAGAAAGTTTTCTGTGATGACTGCATTCAACTCACAGAGTTGCACAATCCTTTTGATGGAGCAGTTTTGAAACCCTCTTTCTTTGGAATCTGCAAGGGGATATATGGACCTCTTTGAAGATTTCACTGGAAACGGGATCATCTTCACATAACAACTAAACAGAAGCATTCTCGGAAACTACTTTGTGATGTTTGTATTCAACTCCCAGAGTTGAACTTTCCTTTTGAAAGAGCAGCTATGAAACACTCTTTTTCGAGAATCTGCAAGTGGACGTTTGGAGGGCTTTGAGGCCTGTGGTGGAAAAGGAAATATCTTCACATAAAAACTAGATAGAAGCATTCTCAGAAACTACTTTGTGAGGATGGCATTCAACTCATGGAGTTGAACAATCCTATTGATAGAGCAGATTGGAATCACTCTTTTTGTAGAATCTGCAAATGGAGATTTGGACTGCTTTGAGGCCTACAGTAGTACAGGAAGGAACTTCATATAAAAGGCAAACGGAAGCATTCTCAGAATATTCTTTGTGATGATGGAGTTTCACTCACAGAGCTGAACATGCCTTTTGATGGAGCAGTTTCCAAATACACTTTTGGTAGAATCTGCAGGTGGATATTTGGAGCTCTCTGAGGATTTCGTTGGAAACGGGAATAATTTCCCATAACTAAACACAAACACTCTGAGAAAGTTCTTCATGATGAATGCATTTAACTCGCAGAGATGAACCTGCCTTTGAGAGTTCAGGTTCGAAACACTCTTTCTGTAGAATCTGCAAGTGGATATTTGGACCACTGGGTGGCCTTCGTTCGAAACGGGTATATGTTCACGTAAAAACTAAAGAGAAGCATTCTCAGAAACTTCTGAGTGATGATTGCATTCAAGTCACACAGTTGAACCCTCCTTTTGATGGAGCAGTTTTGAAACTGTCTTTTTGTAGAATCTGTAAGTGGATACGTGGACCTCTTTGAAGATTTCTTTGGTAACGGGAATATTTCCACAGAAAAACTAAACTGAAGCATTCTCAGAAACCGCTTTGTGATGTTTGTGTTCGAGCCACAGAGTTTAACATTGCTTTTCATAGAGCAGTTTTGAAATATTCTTTTCGCAGAATCTGCAAGTGGACATTTGGAGCGCTTTCAGGCCTGTGGTGGAAAAGGCCTGAAAGCCTTTTCCTTTATCTTCACAGAAAGACGAGAGAGAAGCATTGTCAGAAACTTCTTTGTGATGATTGCATTCAACTCACAGAGTTGAAGATTCCTTTTGAAACAGCAGTTTCGAAACACTCTTTCTGTGGGATCCGCAAGGGGATATTTGGACCTCTTTGAAGGTTTCGTTGGAAACGGGATAATCTTCACCTAAAAGCTAAACGGAAGCATTCTCAGAAACTTCTTTGGGATGTTTGCATTCACCTCACAGAGTTGAACTTTCCCTTTGATAGCGCAGCTTTGACACACTTTTTCTACAATGTGCAAGTGGCTATTTAGCGGGCTTGGGGGACTGTGTTGGAAAAGGAAATATCTTCTCCTAAAAACGACATAGAAGCATTCTCAGAAACTGCTCTGTGATGATTGCATTCAACTCCCAGAGTTGAACATTCCTTTTGATAGAGCAGTTTGCAAACACTCTTTTTGTAGAATCTGCAAGTGGAGATTTGGACCGCTTTGAGGCCTGTGGTAGTGAAGGAAAGAACTTCATATAAAAACCAGACGGTAGCACTCTCAGAAAATTCTTTGTGACGATGGAGTTTAACTCAGAGAGCTGAACATTCGTTATGATGGAGCAGTTTCCAAACACACGTTTTGTAGAATCTGCAAGGGGATATTTGGACCTCTCTGAGGATTTTGTTGGAAACGGGATCAACTTCCCATAACTGAACGGAAGCAAACTCAGAACATTCTTTGTGATGTTTGTATTCAACTCACAGAGTTGAACCTTCCTTTGATAGTTCAGGTTTGCAACACCCTTGTAGTAGAATCTGCAAGTGTATATTTTGACCACTTTGTAGCCTTCGTTTGAAACGTCTATATCTTCACATCAAACCTAGACAGAAGCATTCTCAGAAAGTTTTCTGCGATGACTGCATTCAACTCACAGAGTTGAACAATCCTTTTGATGGAGCAGTTTTGAAACCCTCTTTCTTTGGAATCTGCAAGGGGATATGTGGACCTCTTTGAAGATTTCACTGGAAAGGGGATCATCTTCACATAAGAACTAAACAGAAGCATTCTCGGAAACTACTTTGTGATGTTTGTATTCAACTCCCAGAGTTGAACTTTCCTTTTGAAAGAGCAGCTATGAAACACTCTTTTTCGAGAATCTGCAAGTGGACGTTTGGAGGGCTTTGAGGCCTGTGGTGGAAAAGGAAATATCTTCACATAAAAAGTAGATAGAAGCATTCTCAGAAACGACTTTGTGAGGATGGCATTCAACTCATGGAGTTGAACAGTCCTATTGATAGAGCAGATTGGAATCACTCTTTTTGTAGAATCTGCAAATGGAGATTTGGACTGCTTTGAGGCCTACGGTAGTATAGGAAGGAACTTCATATAAAAGGCGAACGGAAGCATTCTCAGAATATTCTTTGTGATGATGGAGTTTCACTCACAGAGCTGAACATGCCTTTTGATGGAGCAGTTTCCAAATACACTTTTGGTAGAATCTGCAGGTGGATATTTGGAGCTCTCTGAGGATTTCGTTGGAAACGGGAATAATTTCCCATAACTAAACACAAACACGCTGAGAAAGTTCTTCATGATGAATGCATTTAACTCGCAGAGATGAACCTGCCTTTGAGAGTTCAGGTTCGAAACACTCTTTCTGTAGAATCTGTAAGTGGATATTTGTACCACTGGCTGGACTTCGTTCGAAACGGGTATACGTTCACGTAAAAACTAAAGAGAAGCGTTCTCAGAAACTTCTGAGTGATGATTGCATTCAAGTCACACAGTTGAACCCTCCTTTTGATTGAGCAGTTTTGAAACTGTCTTTTTGTAGAATCTGTAAGTGGATGCGTGGACCTCTTTGAAGATTTCTTTGGAAACGGGAATATTTCCACAGAAAAACTAAACTGAAGCATTCTCAGAAACTGCTTTGTGATGTTTGTGTTCGAGCCGCAGAGTTTAACATTGCTTTTCATAGAGCAGTTTTGAAATATTCTTTTGGCAGAATCTGCAAGTGGACATTTGGAGCGCTTTCAGGCCTGTGGGTGGAAAAGGCCTGAAAGCCTTTTCCTTTATCTTCACAGAAAGACGAGAGAGAAGCATTGTCAGAAACTTCTTTGTGATGATTGCATTCAACTCACAGAGTTGAAGATTCCTTTTGAAACAGCAGTTTCAAAACACTCTTTCTGTGGGATCCGCAAGGGGATATTTGGACTTCTTTGAAGGTTTCGTTGGAAACGGGATAATCTTCACCTAAAAGCTAAACGGAAGCACTCTCAGAAACTTCTTTGGGATGTTTGCATTCACCTCTCAGAGTTGAACTTTCCCTTTGATAGCGCAGCTCTGACACACTTTTTCTACAATGTGCAAGTGGCTATTTAGCGGGCTTGGAGGACTGTGTTGGAAAAGGAAATATCTTCTCCTAAAAACGACATAGAAGCATTCTCAGAAACTGCTCTGTGATGATTGCATTCAACTCCCAGAGTTGAACATTCCTTTTGATAGAGCAGTTTGCAAACACTCTTTTTGTAGAATCTGCAAGTGGAGATTTGGACCGCTTTGAGGCCTGGGGTAGTAAAGGAAAGAGCTTCATATAAAAACCAGACGGTAGCACTCTCAGAAAATTCTTTGTGACGATGGAGTTTAACTCAGGGAGCTGAACATTCGTTATGATGGAGCAGTTTCCAAACACACGTTTTGTAGAATCTGCAAGGGGATATTTGGACCTCTCTGAGGATTTCGTTGGAAACGGGATCAACTTCCCATAACTGAACGGAAGCAAACTCAGAACATTCTTTGTGATGTTTGTATTCAACTCACAGAGTTGAACCTTCCTTTGATAGTTCAGGTTTGCAACACCCTTGTAGTAGAATCTGCAAGTGTATATTTTGACCACTTTGTAGCCTTCATTTGAAACGTCTATATCTTCACATCAAACCTAGACAGAAGCATTCTCAGAAAGTTTTCTGCGATGACTGCATTCAACTCACAGAGTTGAACAATCCTTCTGATGGAGCAGTTTTGAAACCCTCTTTCTTTGGAATCTGCAAGGGGATATGTGGACCTCTTTGAAGATTTCACTGGAAACGGGATCATCTTCACATAAAAACTAAACAGAAGCATTCTCGGAAACTACTTTGTGATGTTTGTATTCAACTCCCAGAGTTGAACTTTCCTTTTGAAAGAGCAGCTATGAAACACTCTTTTTCGAGAATCTGCAAGTGGACGTTTGGAGGGCTTTGAGGCCTGTGGTGGAAAAGGAAATATCTTCACATAAAACTAGATAGAAGCATTCTCAGAAACTACTTTGTGAGGATGGCATTCAACTCATGGAGTTGAACAATCCTATTGATAGAGCAGATTGGAATCACTCTTTTTGTGGAATCTGCAAATGGAGATTTGGACTGCTTTGAGGCCTACGGTCGTATAGGAAGGAACTTCATATAAAAGGCAAACGGAAGCATTCTCAGAATATTCTTTGTGATGATGGAGTTTCACTCACAGAGCTGAACATGCCTTTTGATGGAGCAGTTTCCAAATACACTTTTGGTAGAATCAGCAGGTGGATATTTGGAGCTCTCTGAGGATTTCGTTGGAAACGGGAATAATTTCCCATAACTAAACACAAACACTCTGAGAAAGTTCTTCATGATGAATGCATTTAACTTGCAGAGATGAACCTGCCTTTGAGAGTTCAGGTTCGAAACACTCTTTCTGTAGAATCTGCAAGTGGATATTTGGACCACTGGGTGGCCTTCGTTCGAAACGGGTATATGTTCACGTAAAAACTAAAGAGAAGCATTCTCAGAAACTTCTGAGTGATGATTGCATTCAAGTCACACAGTTGAACCCTCCTTTTGATGGAGCAGTTTTGAAACTGTCTTTTTGTAGAATCTGTAAGTGGATACGTGGACCTCTTTGAAGATTTCTTTGGAAACGGGAATATTTCCACAGAAAAACTAAACTGAAACATTCTCAGAAACCGCTTTGTGATGTTTGTGTTCCAGCCACAGAGTTTAACATTGCTTTTCATAGAGCAGTTTTGAAATATTCTTTTCGCAGAATCTGCAAGTGGACATTTGGAGCGCTTTCAGGCCTGTGGTGGAAAAGGCCTGAAAGCCTTTTCCTTTATCTTGACAGAAAGACGAGAGAGAAGCATTGTCAGAAACTTCTTTGTGATGATTGCATTCAACCCACAGAGTTGAAGATTCCTTTTGAAACAGCAGTTTCAAAACACTCTTTCTGTGGGATCCGCAAGGGGATATTTGGACCTCTTTGAAGATTTCGTTGGAAACGGGATAATCTTCACCTAAAAGCTAAACGGAAGCATTCTCAGAAACTTCTTTGGGATGTTTGCATTCACCTCACAGAGTTGAACTTTCCCTTTGATAGCGCAGCTTTGACACACTTTTTCTACAATGTGCAAGTGGCTATTTAGCGGGCTTGGAGGACTGTGTTGGAAAAGGAAATATCTTCTCCTAAAAACGACATAGAAGCATTCTCAGAAACTGCTCTGTGATGATTGCATTCAACTCCCAGAGTTGAACATTCCTTTTGATAGAGCAGTTTGCAAACACTCTTTTTGTAGAATCTGCAAGTGGAGATTTGGACCGCTTTGAGGCCTGTGGTAGTGAAGGAAAGAACTTCATATAAAAACCAGACGGTAGCACTCTCAGAAAATTCTTTGTGACGATGGAGTTTAACTCAGGGAGCTGAACATTCGTTATGATGGAGCAGTTTCCAAACACACGTTTTGTAGAATCTGTGAGGGGATATTTGGACCTCTCTGAGGATTTCGTTGGAAACGGGATCAACTTCCCATAACTGAACGGAAGCAAACTCAGAACATTCTTTGTGATGTTTGTATTCAACTCACAGAGTTGAACCTTCCTTTGATAGTTCAGGTTTGCAACACCCTTGTAGTAGAATCTGCAAGTGTATATTTTGACCACTTTGTAGCCTTCGTTTGAAACGTCTATATCTTCACATCAAACCTAGACAGAAGCATTCTCAGAAAGTTTTCTGCGATGACTGCATTCAACTCACAGAGTTGAACAATCCTTCTGATGGAGCAGTTTTGAAACCCTCTTTCTTTGGAATCTGCAAGGGGATATGTGGACCTCTTTGAAGATTTCACTGGAAACGGGATCATCTTCACATAAAAACTAAACAGAAGCATTCTCGGAAACTACTTTGTGATGTTTGTATTCAACTCCCAGAGTTGAACTTTCCTTTGGAAAGAGCAGCTATGAAACACTCTTTTTCGAGAATCTGCAAGTGGACGTTTGGAGGGCTTTGAGGCCTGTGGTGGAAAAGGAAATATCTTCACACAAAAACCAGATAGAAGCATTCTCAGAAACTACTTTGTGAGGATGGCATTCAACTCATGGAGTTGAACAATCCTATTGATAGAGCAGATTGGAATCACTCTTTTTATAGAATCTGCAAATGGAGATTTGGACTGCTTTGAGGCCTACGGTAGTACAGGAAGGAACTTCATATAAAAGGCAAACGGAAGCATTCTCAGAATATTCTTTGTGATGATGGAGTTTCACTCACAGAGCTGAACATGCCTTTTGATGGAGCAGTTTCCAAATACACTTTTGGTAGAATCTGCAGGTGGATATTTGGAGCTCTCTGAGGATTTCGTTGGAAACGGGAATAATTTCCCATAACTAAACACAAACACTCTGAGAAAGTTCTTCATGATGAATGCATTTAACTCGCAGAGATGAACCTGCCTTTGAGAGTTCAGGTTCGAAACACTCTTTCTGTAGAATCTGCAAGTGGATATTTGGACCACTGGGTGGCCTTCGTTCGAAACGGGTATATGTTCACCTAAAAACTAAAGAGAAGCGTTCTCAGAAACTTCTGAGTGATGATTGCATTCAAGTCACACAGTTGAACCCTCCTTTTGATTGAGCAGTTTTGAAACTGTCTTTTTGTAGAATCTGTAAGTGGATACGTGGACCTCTTTGAAGATTTCTTTGGAAACGGGAATATTTCCACAGAAAAACTTAACCGAAGCATTCTCAGAAACTGCTTTGTGATGTTTGTGTTCGAGCCGCAGAGTTTAACATTGCTTTTCATAGAGCAGTTTTGAAATATTCTTTTGGCAGAATCTGCAAGTGGACATTTGGAGCGCTTTCAGGCCTGTGGTGGAAAAGGCCTGAAAGCCTTTTCCTTTATCTTCACAGAAAGACGAGAGAGAAGCATTGTCAGAAACTTCTTTGTGATGATTGCATTCAACTCACAGAGTTGAAGATTCCTTTTGAAACAGCAGTTTCGAAACACTCTTTC
The DNA here is from genome assembly GCF_000001405.40 of Homo sapiens. Classification (NCBI taxonomy): domain Eukaryota; kingdom Metazoa; phylum Chordata; class Mammalia; order Primates; family Hominidae; genus Homo; species Homo sapiens. Next base: position 60,664,809 of record NC_000023.11, read on the forward strand.
TGTGGGATCCGCAAGGGGATATTTGGACCTCTTTGAAGTTTTCGTTGGAAACGGGATAATCTTCACCTAAAAGCTAAACGGAAGCATTCTCAGAAACTTCTTTGGGATGTTTGCATTCACCTCACAGAGTTGAACTTTCCCTTTGATAGCGCAGCTTCGACACACTTTTTCTACAATGTGCAAGTGGATATTTAGCGGGCTTGGAGGACTGTGTTGGAAAAGGAAATATCTTCTCCTAAAAACGACATAGAAGCATTCTCAGAAACTGCTCTGTGATGATTGCATTCAACTCCCAGAGTTGAACATTCCTTTTGATAGAGCAGTTTGCAAACACTCTTTTTGTAGAATCTGCAAGTGGAGATTTGGACCGCTTTGAGGCCTGTGGTAATAAAGGAAAGAACTTCATATAAAAACCAGACGGTAGCACTCTCAGAAAATTCTTTGTGACGATGGAGTTTAACTCAGAGAGCTGAACATTCGTTATGATGGAGCAGTTTCCAAACACACGTTTTGTAGAATCTGCAAGGGGATATTTGGACCTCTCTGAGGATTTCGTTGGAAACGGGATCAACTTCACATAACTGAACGGAAGCAAACTCAGAACATTCTTTGTGATGTTTGTATTCAACTCACAGAGTTGAACCTTCCTTTGATAGTTCAGGTTTGCAACACCCTTGTAGTAGAATCTGCAAGTGTATATTTTGACCACTTTGTAGCCTTCGTTTGAAACGTCTATATCTTCACCTCAAACCTAGACAGAAGCATTCTCAGAAAGTTTTCTGCGATGACTGCATTCAACTCACAGAGTTGAACAATCCTTTTGATGGAGCAGTTTTGAAACCCTCTTTCTTTGGAATCTGCAAGGGGATATGTGGACCTCTTTGAAGATTTCACTGGAAACGGGATCATCTTCACATAAGAACTAAACAGAAGCATTCTCGGAAACTACTTTGTGATGTTTGTATTCAACTCCCAGAGTTGAACTTTCCTTTTGAAAGAGCGGCTATGAAACACTCTTTTTCGAGAATCTGCAAGTGGACGTTTGGAGGGCCTTGAGGCCTGTGGTGGAAAAGGAAATATCTTCACATAAAAACTAGATAGAAGCATTCTCAGAAACGACTTTGTGAGGATGGCATTCAACTCATGGAGTTGAACAATCCTATTGATAGTGCAGATTGGAATCACTCTTTTGGTAGAATCTGCAAATGGAGATTTGGACTGCTTTGAGGCCTACGGTAGTATAGGAAGGAACTTCATATAAAAGGCAAACGGAAGCATTCTCAGAATATTCTTTGTGATGATGGAGTTTGACTCACAGAGCTGAACATGCCTTTTGATGGAGCAGTTTCCAAATACACTTTTGGTAGAATCTGCAGGTGGATATTTGGACCTCTCTGAGGATTTCGTTGGAAACGGGAATAATTTCCCATACCTAAACACAAACACGCTGAGAAAGTTCTTCATGATGAATGCATTTAACTCGCAGAGATGAACCTGCCTTTGAGAGTTCAGATTCGAAACACTCTTTCTGTAGAATCTGCAAGTGGATATTTGGACCACTGGGTGGCCTTCGTTCGAAACGGGTATATGTTCACGTAAAAACTAAAGAGAAGCATTCTCAGAAACTTCTGAGTGATGATTGCATTCAAGTCACACAGTTGAACCCTCCTTTTGATTGAGCAGTTTTGAAACTGTGTTTTTGTAGAATCTGTAAGTGGATGCGTGGACCTCTTTGAAGATTTCTTTGGAAACGGGAATATTTCCACAGAAAAACTAAACTGAAGCATTCTCAGAAACTGCTTTGTGATGTTTGTGTTCGAGCCGCAGAGTTTAACATTGCTTTTCATAGAGCAGTTTTGAAATATTCTTTTGGCAGAATCTGCAAGTGGACATTTGGAGCGCTTTCAGGCCTGTGGTGGAAAAGGCCTGAAAGCCTTTTCCTTTATCTTCACAGAAAGACGAGAGAGAAGCATTGTCAGAAACTTCTTTGTGATGATTGCATTCAACTCACAGAGTTGAAGATTCCTTTTGAAACAGCAGTTTCGAAACACTCTTTCTGTGGGAACCGCAAGGGGATATTTGGATCTATTTGAAGGTTTCGTTGGAAACTGGATAATCTTCACCTAAAAGCTAAACGGAAGCATTCTCAGAAACTTCTTTGGGATGTTTGCATTCACCTCACAGAGTTGAACTTTCCCTTTGATAGCGCAGCTTTGACACACTTTTTCTACAATGTGCAAGTGGCTATTTAGCGGGCTTGGAGGACTGTGTTGGAAAAGGAAATATCTTCTCCTAAAAACGACATAGAAGCATTCTCAGAAACTGCTCTGTGATGATTGCATTCAACTCCCAGAGTTGAACATTCCTTTTGATAGAGCAGTTTGCAAACACTCTTTTTGTAGAATCTGCAAGTGGAGATTTGGACCGCTTTGAGGCCTGTGGTAGTGAAGGAAAGAACTTCATATAAAAACCAGACGGTAGCACTCTCAGAAAATTCTTTGTGACGATGGAGTTTAACTCAGGGAGCTGAACATTCTTTATGATGGAGCAGTTTCCAAACACACGTTTTGTAGAATCTGCGAGGGGATATTTGGACCTCTCTGAGGATTTCGTTGGAAACGGGATCAACTTCCCATAACTGAACGGAAGCAAACTCAGAACATTCTTTGTGATGTTTGTATTCAACTCACAGAGTTGAACCTTCCTTTGATAGTTCAGGTTTGCAACACCCTTGTAGTAGAATCTGCAAGTGTATATTTTGACCACTTTGTAGCCTTCGTTTGAAACGTCTATATCTTCACATCAAACCTAGAAAGAAGCATTCTCAGAAAGTTTGCTGTGATGACTGCATTCAACTCACAGAGTTGAACAATCCTTTTGATGGAGCAGTTTTGAAACCATCTTTCTTTGGAATCTGCAAGGGGATATGTGGACCTCTTTGAAGAATTCACTGGAAACGGGATCATCTTCACATAAAAACTAAACAGAAGATTCTCGGAAACTACTTTGTGATGTTTGTATTCAACTCCCAGAGTTGAACTTTCCTTTTGAAAGAGCAGCTATGAAACACTCTTTTTCGAGAATCTGCAAGTGGACATTTGGAGGGCTTTGAGGCCTGTGGTGGAAAAGGAAATATCTTCACATAAAAACTAGATAGAAGCATTCTCAGAAACGACTTTGTGAGGATGGCATTCAACTCATGGAGCTGAACAATCCTATTGATAGAGCAGATTGGAATCACTCTTTTTGTAGAATCTGCAAATGGAGATTTGGACTGCTTTGAGGCCTACGGTAGTATAGGAAGGAACTTCATATAAAAGGCAAACGGAAGCATTCTCGGAATATTCTTTGTGATGATGGAGTTTCACTCACAGAGCTGAACATGCCTTTTGATGGAGCAGTTTCCAAATACACTTTTGGTAGAATCTGCAGGTGGATATTTGGAGCTCTTTGAGGATTTCGTTGGAAACGGGAATAATTTCCCATAACTAAACACAAACACGCTGAGAAAGTTCTTCATGATGAATGCATTTAACTCGCAGAGATGAACCTGCCTTTGAGAGTTCAGGTTCGAAACACTCTTTCTGTAGAATCTGCAAGTGGATATTTGGACCACTGGGTGGCCTTCGTTCGAAACGGGTATATGTTCACGTAAAAACTAAAGAGAAGCATTCTCAGAAACTTCTGAGTGATGATTGCATTCAAGTCACACAGTTGAACCCTCCTTTTGATTGAGCAGTTTTGAAACTGTCTTTTTGTAGAATCTGTAAGTGGATACGTGGACCTCTTTGAAGATTTCTTTGGAAACGGGAATATTTCCACAGAAAAACTAAACTGAAGCATTCTCAGAAACGGCTTTGTGATGTTTGTGTTCGAGCCGCAGAGTTTAACATTGCTTTTCATAGAGCAGTTTTGAAATATTCTTTTGGCAGAATCTGCAAGTGGACATTTGGAGTGCTTTCAGGCCTGTGGTGGAAAAGGCCTGAAAGCCTTTTCCTTTATCTTCACAGAAAGACGAGAGAGAAGCATTGTCAGAAACTTCTTTGTGATGATTGCATTCAACTCACAGAGTTGAAGATTCCTTTTGAAACAGCAGTTTCGAAACACTCTTTCTGTGGGATCCGCAAGGGGATATTTGGACCTCTTTGAAGATTTCGTTGGAAACGGGATAATCTTCACCTAAAAGCTAAACGGAAGCATTCTCAGAAACTTCTTTGGGATGTTTGCATTCACCTCACAGAGTTGAACTTTCCCTTTGATAGCGCAGCTTTGACACACTTTTTCTACAATGTGCAAGTGGATATTTAGCGGGCTTGGAGGACTGTGTTGGAAAAGGAAATATCTTCTCCTAAAAACGACATAGAAGCATTCTCAGAAACTGCTCTGTGATGATTGCATTCAACTCCCAGAGTTGAACATTCCTTTTGATAGAGCAGTTTGCAAACACTCTTTTTGTAGAATCTGCAAGTGGAGATTTGGACCGCTTTGAGGCCTGTGGTAGTAAAGGAAAGAACTTCATATAAAAACTAGACGGTAGCACTCTCAGAAAATTCTTTGTGACGATTGAGTTTAACTCAGGGAGCTGAACATTCGTTATGATGGAGCAGTTTCCAAACACACGTTTTGTAGAATCTGCAAGGGGATATTTGGACCTCTCTGAGGATTTCGTTGGAAACGGGATCAACTTCCCATAACTGAACGGAAGCAAACTCAGAACATTCTTTGTGATGTTTGTATTCAACTCACAGTGTTGAACCTTCCTTTGATAGTTCAGGTTTGCAACACCCTTGTAGTAGAATCTGCAAGTGTATATTTTGACCAGTTTGTAGCCTTCGTTTGAAACGTCTATATCTTCACATCAAACCTAGACAGAAGCATTCTCAGAAAGATTTCTGCGATGACTGCATTCAACTCACAGAGTTGAACAATCCTTTTGATGGAGCAGTTTTGAAACCCTCTTTCTTTGGAATCTGCAAGGGGATATGTGGACCTCTTTGAAGATTTCACTGGAAACGGGATCATCTTCACATAAGAACTAAACAGAAGCATTCTCGGAAACTACTTTGTGATGTTTGTATTCAACTCCCAGAGTTGAACTTTCCTTTTGAAAGAGCAGCTATGAAACACTCTTTTTCGAGAATCTGCAAGTGGACGTTTGGAAGGCTTTGAGGCCTGTGGTGGAAAAGGAAATATCTTCACATAAAAACTAGATAGAAGCATTCTCAGAAACTACTTTGTGAGGATGGCATTCAACTCATGGAGTTGAACAATCCTATTGATAGAGCAGATTGGAATCACTCTTTTTGTAGAATCTGCAAATGGAGATTTGGACTGCTTTGAGGCCTACGGTCGTATAGGAAGGAACTTCATATAAAAGGTAAACGGAAGCATTCTCAGAATATTCTTTGTGATGATGGAGTTTCACTCACAGAGCTGAACATGCCTTTTGATGGAGCAGTTTCCAAATACACTTTTGGTAGAATCTGCAGGTGGATATTTGGAGCTCTCTGAGGATTTCGTTGGAAACGGGAATAATTTCCCATAACTAAACACAAACACTCTGAGAAAGTTCTTCATGATGAATGCATTTAACTCGCAGAGATGAACCTGCCTTTGAGAGTTCAGGTTCGAAACACTCTTTCTGTAGAATCTGCAAGTGGATATTTGGACCACTGGGTGGCCCTTCGTTCGAAACGGGTATATGTTTCACGTAAAAACTAAAGAGAAGCATTCTCAGAAACTTCTGAGTGATGACTGCATTCAAGTCACACAGTTGAACCCTCCTTTTGATTGAGCAGTTTTGAAACTGTATTTTTGTAGAATCTGTAAGTGGATGCGTGGACCTCTTTGAAGATTTCTTTGGAAACGGGAATATTTCCACAGAAAAACTAAACTGAAGCATTCTCAGAAACTGCTTTGTGATGTTTGTGTTCGAGCCACAGAGTTTAACATTGCTTTTCACAGAGCAGTTTTGAAATATTCTTTTGGCAGAATCTGCAAGTGGACATTTGGAGCGCTTTCTGGCCTGTGGTGGAAAACGCATGAAAGCCTTTTCCTTTATCTTCACTGAAAGACGAGAGAGAAGCATTGTCAGAAACTTCTTTGTGATGATTGCATTCAACTCACAGAGTTGAAGATTCCTTTTGAAACAGCAGTTTCGAAACATTCTTTCTGTGGGATCCGCAAGGGGATATTTGGACCTCTTTGAAGATTTCGTTGCAAACGGGATAATCTTCACCTAAAAGCTAAACGGAAGCATTCTCAGAAACTTCTTTGGGATGTTTGCATTCACCTCACAGAGTTGAACTTTCCCTTTGATAGCGCAGCTTCGACACACTTTTTCTACAATGTGCAAGTGGATATTTAGCGGGCTTGGAGGACTGTGTTGGAAAAGGAAATATCTTCTCCTAAAAACGACATAGAAGCATTCTCAGAAACTGCTCTGTGATGATTGCATTCAACTCCCAGAGTTGAACATTCCTTTTGATAGAGCAGTTTGCAAACACTGTTTTTGTAGAATCTGCAAGTGGAGACTTGGATCGCTTTGAGGCCTGTGGTAGTAAAGGAAAGAACTTCATATAAAAACCAGACGGTAGCACTCTCAGAAAATTCTTTGTGACGATGGAGTTTAACTCAGGGAGCTGAACATTCGTTATGATGGAGCAGTTTCCAAACACACGTTTTGTAGAATCTGCGAGGGGATATTTGGACCTCTCTGAGGATTTCGTTGGAAAAGGGATCAACTTCCCATAACTGAACGGAAGCAAACTCAGAACATTCTTTGTGATGTTTGTATTCAACTCACAGAGTTGAACCTTCCTTTGATAGTTCAGGTTTGCAACACCCTTGTAGTAGAATCTGCAAGTGTATATTTTGACCACTTTGTAGCCTTCGTTTGAAACGTCTATATCTTCACATCAAACCTAGAAAGAAGCATTCTCAGAAAGTTTTCTGCGATGACTGCATTCAACTCACAGAGTTGAACAATCCTTCTGATGGAGCAGTTTTGAAACCCTCTTTCTTTGGAATCTGCAAGGGGATATGTGGACCTCTTTGAAGATTTCACTGGAAACGGGATCATCTTCACATAAAAACTAAACAGAAGCATTCTCGGAAACTACTTTGTGATGTTTGTATTCAACTGCCAGAGTTGAACTTTCCTTTTGAAAGAGCAGCTATGAAACACTCTTTTTCGAGAATCTGCAAGTGGACGTTTGGAGGGCTTTGAGGCCTGTGGTGGAAAAGGAAATATCTTCACATAAAAACTAGATAGAAGCATTCTCAGAAACGACTTTGTGAGGATGGCATTCAACTCATGGAGTTGAACAATCCTATTGATAGAGCAGATTGGAATCACTCTTTTTGTGGAATCTGCAAATGGAGATTTGGACTGCTTTGAGGCCTACGGTCGTATAGGAAGGAACTTCAGATAAAAGGCAAACGGAAGCATTCTCAGAATATTCTTTGTGATGATGGAGTTTCACTGACAGAGCTGAACATGCCTTTTGATGGAGCAGTTTCCAAATACACTTTTGGTAGAATCTGCAGGTGGATATTTGGAGCTCTCTGAGGATTTCGTTGGAAACGGGAATAATTTCCCATAACTAAACACAAACACTCTGAGAAAGTTCTTCATGATGAATGCATTTAACTCGCAGAGATGAACCTGCCTTTGAGAGTTCAGGTTCGAAACACTCTTTCTGTAGAATCTGCAAGTGGATATTTGGACCACTGGCTGGCCTTCGTTCGAAACGGGTATATGTTCACGTAAAAACTAAAGAGAAGCATTCTCAGAAACTTGTGAGTGATGATTGCATTCAAGTCACACAGTTGAACCCTCCTTTTGATGGAGCAGTTTTGAAACTGTCTTTTTGTAGAATCTGTAAGTGGATACGTGGACCTCTTTGAAGATTTCTTTGGAAACGGGAATATTTCCACAGAAAAACTAAACTGAAGCATTCTCAGAAACTGCTTTGTGATGTTTGTGTTCGAGCCACAGAGTTTAACATTGCTTTTCATAGAGCAGTTTTGAAATATTCTTTTGGCAGAATCTGCAAGTGGACATTTGGAGCGCTTTCAGGCCTGTGGTGGAAAAGGCCTGAAAGCCTTTTCCTTTATCTTCACAGAAAGACGAGAGAGAAGCATTGTCAGAAACTTCTTTGTGATGATTGCATTCAACTCACAGACTTGAAGATTCCTTTTGAAACAGCAGTTTCGAAACACTCTTTCTGTGGGATCCGCAAGGGGATATTTGGACCTTTTGAAGGTTTCGTTGGAAACGGGATAATCTTCACCTAAAAGCTAAACGGAAGCATTCTCAGAAACTTCTTTGGGATGTTTGCATTCACCTCACAGAGTTGAACTTTCCCTTTGATAGCGCAGCTTTGACACACTTTTTCTACAATGTGCAAGTGGCTATTTAGCGGGCTTGGAGGACTGTGTTGGAAAAGGAAATATCTTCTCCTAAAAACGACATAGAAGCATTCTCAGAAACTGCTCTGTGATGATTGCATTCAACTCCCAGAGTTGAACATTCCTTTTGATAGAGCAGTTTGCAAACACTCTTTTTGTAGAATCTGGAAGTGGAGATTTGGACCGCTTTGAGGCCTGTGGTAGTGAAGGAAAGAGCTTCATATAAAAACCACACGGTAGCACTCTCAGAAAATTCTTTGTGACGATGGAGTTTAACTCAGGGAGCTGAACATTCGTTATGATGGAGCAGTTTCCAAACACACGTTTTGTAGAATCTGCAAGGGGATATTTGGACCTCTCTGAGGATTTCGTTGGAAACGGGATCAACATCCCATAACTGAACGGAAGCAAACTCAGAACATTCTTTGTGATGTTTGTATTCAACTCACAGAGTTGAACCTTCCTTTGATAGTTCAGGTTTGCAACACCCTTGTAGTAGAATCTGCAAGTGTATATTTTGACCACTTTGTAGCCTTCGTTTGAAACGTCTATATCTTCACATCAAACCTAGAAAGAAGCATTCTCAGAAAGTTTTCTGCGATGACTGCATTCAACTCACAGAGTTGAACAATCCTTCTGATGGAGCAGTTTTGAAACCCTCTTTCTTTGGAATCTGCAAGGGGATATGTGGACCTCTTTGAAGATTTCACTGGAAACGGGATCATCTTCACATAAAAACTAAACAGAAGCATTCTCGGAAACTACTTTGTGATGTTTGTATTCAACTCCCAGAGTTGAACTTTCCTTTTGAAAGAGCAGCTATGAAACACTCTTTTTCGAGAATCTGCAAGTGGACGTTTGGAGGGCTTTGAGGCCTGTGGTGGAAAAGGAAATATCTTCACATAAAAACTAGATAGAAGCATTCTCAGAAACGACTTTGTGAGGATGGCATTCAACTCATGGAGTTGAACAATCCTATTGATAGAGCAGATTGGAATCACTCTTTTTGTAGAATCTGCAAATGGAGATTTGGACTGCTTTGAGGCCTACGGTCGTATAGGAAGGAACTTCATATAAAAGGCAAACGGAAGCATTCTCAGAATATTCTTTGTGATGATGGAGTTTCACTCACAGAGCTGAACATGCCTTTTGATGGAGCAGTTTCCAAATACACTTTTGGTAGAATCTGCAGGTGGATATTTGGACCTCTCTGAGGATTTCGTTGGAAACGGGAATAATTTCCCATAACTAAATACAAACACTCTGAGAAAGTTCTTCATGATGAATGCATTTAACTCGCAGAGATGAACCTGCCTTTGAGAGTTCATGTTCGAAACACTCTTTCTGTAGAATCTGCAAGTGGATATTTCGACCACTGGCTGGCCTTCGTTCGAAACGGGTATATGTTCACGTAAAAACTAAAGAGAAGCATTCTCAGAAACTTCTGAGTGATGATTGCATTCAAGTCACACAGTTGAACCCTCCTTTTGATGGAGCAGTTTTGAAACTGTCTTTTTGTAGAATCTGTAAGTGGATACGTGGACCTCTTTGAAGATTTCTTTGAAAACGGGAATATTTCCACAGAAAAACTAAACTGAAGCATTCTCAGAAACCGCTTTGTGATGTGTTTGTTCGAGCCACAGAGTTTAACATTGCTTTTCACAAAGCAGTTTTGAAATATTCTTTTCGCAGAATCTGCAAGTGGACATTTGGAGCGCTTTCAGGCCTGTGGTGGCAAAGGCCTGAAAGCATTTATTTATCTTCACAGAAAGACGAGAGAGAAGCATTGTCAGAAACTTCTTTGTGATGATTGCATTCAACTCACAGAGTTGAAGATTCCTTTTGAAACAGCAGTTTCGAAACACTCTTTCTGTGGGATCCGCAAGGGGATATTTGGACTTCTTTGAAGGTTTCGTTGGAAACGGGATAATCTTCACCTAAAAGCTAAACGGAAGCACTCTCAGAAACTTCTTTGGGATGTTTGCATTCACCTCTCAGAGTTGAACTTTCCCTTTGATAGCGCAGCTTTGACACACTTTTTCTACAATGTGCAAGTGGCTATTTAGCGGACTTGGAGGACTGTGTTGGAAAAGGAAATATCTTCTCCTAAAAACGACATAGAAGCATTCTCAGAAACTGCTCTGTGATGATTGCATTCAACTCCCAGAGTTGAACATTCCTTTTGATAGAGCAGTTTGCAAACACTCTTTTTGTAGAATCTGCAAGTGGAGATTTGGACCGCTTTGAGGCCAGTGGTAGTGAAGGAAAGAACTTCATATAAAAACCAGACGGTAGCACTCTCAGAAAATTCTTTGTGACGATGGAGTTTAACTCAGGGAGCTGAACATTCGTTATGATGGAGCAGTTTCCAAACACACGTTTTGTAGAATCTGCAAGGGGATATTTGGACCTCTCTGAGGATTTCGTTGGAAACGGGATCAACTTCCCATAACTGAACGGAAGCAAACTCAGAACATTCTTTGTGATGTTTGTATTCAACTCACAGAGTTGAACCTTCCTTTGATAGTTGAGGTTTGCATCACCCTTGTAGTAGAATCTGCAAGTGTATATGTTGACCACTATGTAGCCTTCGTTTGAAACGTCTATATCTTCACATCAAACCTAGACAGAAGCATTCTCAGAAAGTTTTCTGCGATGACTGCATTCAACTCACAGAGTTGAACAATCCTTTTGATGGAGCAGTTTTGAAACCCTCTTTCTTTGGAATCTGCAAGGGGATATGTGGACCTCTTTGAAGATTTCACTGGAAACGGGATCATCTTCACATAAGAACTAAACAGAAGCATTCTCGGAAACTACTTTGTGATGTTTGTATTCAACTCCCAGAGTTGAACTTTCCTTTTGAAAGAGCAGCTATGAAACACTCTTTTTCGAGAATCTGCAAGTGGACGTTTGGAGGGCTTTGAGGCCTGTGGTGGAAAAGGAAATATCTTCACATAAAAACTAGATAGAAGCATTCTCAGAAACTACTTTGTGAGGATGGCATTCAACTCATGGAGTTGAACAATCCTATTGATAGAGCAGATTGGAATCACTCTTTTTGTAGAATCTGCAAATGGAGATTTGGACTGCTTTGAGGCCTACGGTAGTATAGGAAGGAACTTCATATAAAAGGCAAACGGAAGCATTCTCAGAATATTCTTTGTGATGATGGAGTTTCACTCACAGAGCTGAACATGCCTTTTGATGGAGCAGTTTCCAAATACACTTTTGGTAGAATCTGCAGGTGGATATTTGGAGCTCTCTGAGGATTTCGTTGGAAACGGGAATAATTTCCCATAACTAAACACAAACACGCTGAGAACGTTCTTCATGATGAATGCATTTAACTCACAGAGATGAACCTTCCTTTGAGAGTTCAGGTTCGAAACACTCTTTCTGTAGAATCTGCAAGTGGATATTTGGACCACTGGGTGGCCTTCTTTCGAAACAGGTATATGTTCACGTAAAAACTAAAGAGAAGCGTTCTCAGAAACTTCTGAGTGATGATTGCATTCATGTCACACGGTTGAACCCTCCTTTTGATTGAGCAGTTTTGAAACTGTCTTTTTGTAGAATCTGTAATTGGATGCGTGGACCTCTTTGAAGATTTCTTTCGAAACGGGAATATTTCCACAGAAAAACTAAACTGAAGCATTCTCAGAGACTGCTTTGTGATGTTTGTGTTCAAGCCACAGAGTTTAACATTGCTTTTCATAGAGCAGTTTTGAAATATTCTTTTGGCAGAATCTGCAAGTGGACATTTGGAGCGCTTTCAGGCCTGTGGTGGAAAAGGCCTGAAAGCCTTTTCCTTTATCTTCACAGAAAGACGAGAGAGAAGCATTGTCAGAAACTTCTTTGTGATGATTGCATTCAACCCACAGAGTTGAAGATTCCTTTTGAAACAGCAGTTTCAAAACACTCTTTCTGTGGGATCCGCAAGGGGATATTTGGACCTCTTTGAAGATTTCGTTGGAAACGGGATAATCTTCACCTAAAAGCTAAACGGAAGCATTCTCAGAAACTTCTTTGGGATGTTTGCATTCACCTCACAGAGTTGAACTTTCCCTTTGATAGCGCAGCTTCGACACACTTTTTCTCCAATGTGCAAGTGGATATTTAGCGGGCTTGGAGGACTGTGTTGGAAAAGGAAATATCTTCTCCTAAAAACGACATAGAAGCATTCTCAGAAACTGCTCTGTGATGATTGCATTCAACTCCCAGAGTTGAACATTCCTTTTGATAGAGCAGTTTGCAAACACTCTTTTTGTAGAATCTGCAAGTGGAGATTTGGACCGCTTTGAGGCCTGTGGTAGTGAAGGAAAGAACTTCATATAAAAACCAGACGGTAGCACTCTCAGAAAATTCTTTGTGACGATGGAGTTTAACTCAGGGAGCTGAACATTCGTTATGATGGAGCAGTTTCCAAACACACGTTTTGTAGAATCTGCGAGGGGATATTTGGACCTCTCTGAGGATTTCGTTGGAAAAGGGATCAACTTCCCATAAATGAACGGAAGCAAACTCAGAACATTCTTTGTGATGTTTGTATTCAACTCACAGAGTTGAACCTTCCTTTGATAGTTCAGGTTTGCATCACCCTTGTAGTAGAATCTGCAAGTGTATATTTTGACCACTTTGTAGCCTTCGTTTGAAACGTCTATATCTTCACATCAAACCTAGACAGAAGCATTCTCAGAAAGTTTTCTGCAATGACTGCATTCAATTCACAGACTTGAACAGTCCTTTTGATGGAGCAGTTTTGAAACCCTCTTTCTTTGGAATCTGCAAGGGGATATGTGGACCTCTTTGAAGGTTTCACTGGAAACGGGATCATCTTCACATAAGAACTAAACAGAAGCATTCTCGGAAACTACTTTGTGATGTTTGTATTCAACTCCCAGAGTTGAACTTTCCTTTTGAAAGAGCAGCTATGAAACACACTTTTTCGAGAATCTGCAAGTGGACGTTTGGAGGGCTTTGAGGCCTGTGGTGGAAAAGGAAATATCTTCACATAAAAACTAGATAGAAGCATTCTCAGACACGACTTTGTGAGGATGGCATTCAACTCATGGAGTTGAACAGTCCTGTTGATAGAGCAGATTGGAATCACTCTTTTTGTAGAATCTGCAAATGGAGATTTGGACTGCTTTGAGGCCTACGGTAGTATAGGAAGGAACTTCATATAAAAGGCAAACGGAAGCATTCTCAGAATATTCTTTGTGATGATGGAGTTTCACTCACAGAGCTGAACATGCCTTTTGATGGAGCAGTTTCCAAATACACTTTTGGTAGAATCTGCAGGTGGATATTTGGAGCTCTCTGAGGATTTCGTTGGAAACGGGAATAATTTCCCATAACTAAACACAAACACGCTGAGAAAGTTCTTCATGATGAATGCATTGAACTCGCAGAGATGAACCTGCCTTTGAGAGTTCAGGTTCGAAACACTCTTTCTGTAGAATCTGCAAGTGGATATTTGGACCACTGGCTGGCCTTCGTTCGAAACGGGTATATGTTCACGTAAAAACTAAAGAGAAGCGTTCTCAGAAACTTCTGAGTGATGATTGCATTCAAGTCACACAGTTGAACCCTCCTTTTGATTGAGCAGTTTTGAAACTGTCTTTTTGTAGAATCTGTAAGTGGATGCGTGGACCTCTTTGAAGATTTCTTTGGAAACGGGAATATTTCCACAGAAAAACTAAACTGAAGCATTCTCAGAAACGGCTTTGTGATGTTTGTGTTCGAGCCACAGAGTTTAACATTGCTTTTCGTAGAGCAGTTTTGAAATATTCTTTTGGCAGAATCTGCAAGTGGACATTTGGAGCACGTTCAGGCCTGTGGTGGAAAAGGCCTGAAAGCCTTTTCCTTTATCTTCACAGAAAGACGAGAGAGAAGCATTGTCAGAAACTTCTTTGTGATGATTGCATTCAACTCACAGAGTTGAAGATTCCTTTTGAAACAGCAGTTTCGAAACACTCTTTCTGTGGGATCCGCAGGGGGATATTTGGACCTCTTTGAAGATTTCGTTGGAAACGGGATAATCTTCACCTAAAAGCTAAACGGAAGTATTCTCAGAAACTTCTTTGGGATGTTTGCATTCACCTCACAGAGTTGAACTTTCCCTTTGATAGCGCAGCTTCGACACACTTTTTCTACAATGTGCAAGTGGATATTTAGCGGGCTTGGAGGACTGTGTTGGAAAAGGAAATATCTTCTCCTAAAAACGACATAGAAGCATTCTCAGAAACTGCTCTGTGATGATTGCTTTCAACTCCCAGAGTTGAACATTCCTTTTGATAGAGCAGTTTGCAAACACTCTTTTTGTAGAATCTGCAAGTGGAGATTTGGACCGCTTTGAGGCCTGTGGTAGTAAAGGAAAGAACTTCATATAAAAACTAGACGGTAGCACTCTCAGAAAATTCTTTGTGACGATGGAGTTTAACTCAGAGAGCTGAACATTCGTTATGATGGAGCAGTTTCCAAACACACGTTTTGTAGAATCTGCAAGGGGATATTTGGACCTCTCTGAGGATTTCGTTGGAAACGGTATCAATTTCCCATAACTGAACGGAAGCAAACTCAGAACATTTTTTGTGATGGTTGCATTCATCTCACAGAGTTGAACCTTCCTTTGATAGTTGAGGTTTGCATCACCCTTGTAGTAGAATCTGCAAGTGTATATTTTGACCACTTTGTAGCCTTCGTTTGAAACGTCTATATCTTCACATCAAACCTAGACAGAAGCATTCTCAGAAAGTTTTCTGCGATGACTGCATTCAACTCACAGAGTTGAACAATCCTTTTGATGGAGCAGTTTTGAAACCCTCTTTCTTTGGAATCTGCAAGGGGATATGTGGACCTCTTTGAAGATTTCACTGGAAACGGGATCATCTTCACATAAGAACTAAACAGAAGCATTCTCGGAAACTACTTTGTGATGTTTGTATTCAGCTCCCAGAGTTGAACTTTCCTTTTGAAAGAGCAGCTATGAAACACTCTTTTTCGAGAATCTGCAAGTGGACGTTTGGAGGGCTTTGAGGCCTGTGGTGGAAAAGGAAATATCTTCACATAAAAACTAGATAGAAACATTCTCAGAAACTACTTTGTGAGGATGGCATTCAACTCATGGAGTTGAACAGTCCTATTGATAGAGCAGATTGGAATCACTATTTTTGTAGAATCTGCAAATGGAGATTTGGACTGCTTTGAGGCCTACGGTAGTATAGGAAGGAACTTCATATAAAAGGCAAATGGAAGCATTCTCAGAATATTCTTTGTGATGATGGAGTTTCACTCACAGAGCTGAACATTCCTTTTGATGGAGCAGTTTCCAAATACACTTTTGGTAGAATCTACAGGTGGATATTTGGACCTCTCTGAGGATTTCGTTGGAAACGGGAATAATTTCCAATAACTAAACACAAACACGCTGAGAAAGTTCTTCATGATGAATGCATTTAACTCGCAGAGATGAACCTGCCTTTGAGAGTTCAGGTTCGAAACACTCTTTCTGTAGAGTCTGCAAGTGGATATTTGGACCACTGGGTGGCCTTCGTTCGAAACGGGTATATGTTCACGTAAAAACTAAAGAGAAGCATTCTCAGAAACTTCTGAGTGATGATTGCATTCAAGTCACACAGTTGAACCCTCCTTTTGATGGAGCAGTTTTGAAACTGTCTTTTTGTAGAATCTGTAAGTGGATACGTGGACCTCTTTGAAGATTTCTTTGGAAACGGGAATATTTCCACAGAAAAACTAAACTGAAGCATTCTCAGAAACCGCTTTGTGATGTTTGTGTTCGAGCCGCAGAGTTTAACATTGCTTTTCATAGAGCAGTTTTGAAATATTCTTTTGGCAGAATCTGCAAGTGGACATTTGGAGCGCTTTCAGGCCTGTGGTGGCAAAGGCCTGAAAGCCTTTTCCTTTATCTTCACAGAAAGACGAGAGAGAAGCATTGTCAGAAACTTCTTTGTGATGATTGCATTCAACTCACAGAGTTGAAGATTCCTTTTGAAACAGCAGTTTCGAAACACTCTTTCTGTGGGATCCGCAAGGGGATATTTGGACCTCTTTGAAGGTTTCGTTGGAAACGGGATAATCTTCACCTAAAAGCTAAACGGAAGCATTCTCAGAAACTTCTTTGGGATGTTTGCATTCACCTCACAGAGTTGAACTTTCCCTTTGATAGCGCAGCTTTGACACACTTTTTCTACAATGTGCAAGTGGCTATTTAGCGGGCTTGGAGGACTGTGTTGGAAAAGGAAATATCTTCTAAAAACGACATAGAAGCATTCTCAGAAACTGCTCTGTGATGATTGCATTCAACTCCCAGAGTTGAACATTCCTTTTGATAGAGCAGTTTGCAAACACTCTTTTTGTAGAATCTGGAAGTGGAGATTTGGACCGCTTTGAGGCCTGGGGTAGTGAAGGAAAGAGCTTCATATAAAAACCAGACGGTAGCACTCTCAGAAAATTCTTTGTGACGATGGAGTTTAACTCAGGGACCTGAACATTCGTTATGATGGAGCAGTTTCCAAACACACGTTTTGTAGAATCTGCAAGGGGATATTTGGACCTCTCTGAGGATTTGGTTGGAAACGGGATCAACTTCCCATAACTGAACGGAAGCAAACTCAGAACATTCTTTGTGATGTTTGTATTCAACTCACAGAGTTGAACCTTCCTTTGATAGTTCAGGTTTGCAACACCCTTGTAGTAGAATCTGCAAGTGTATATTTTGACCACTTTGTAGCCTTCGTTTGAAACGTCTATATCTTCACATCAAACCTAGACAGAAGCATTCTCAGAAAGTTTTCTGCGATGACTGCATTCAACTCACAGAGTTGAACAATCCTTCTGATGGAGCAGTTTTGAAACCCTCTTTCTTTGGAATCTGCAAGGGGATATGTGGACCTCTTTGAAGATTTCACTGGAAACGGGATCATCTTCACATAAAAACTAAACAGAAGCATTCTCGGAAACTACTTTGTGATGTTTGTATTCAACTCCCAGAGTTGAACTTTCCTTTTGAAAGAGCAGCTATGAAACACTCTTTTTCGAGAATCTGCAAGTGGACGTTTGGAAGGCTTTGAGTCCTGTGGTGGAAAAGAAAATATCTTCACATAAAAACTAGATAGAAGCATTCTCAGAAACGACTTTGTGAGGATGGCATTCAACACATGGAGTTGAACAATCCTATTGATAGAGCAGATTGGAATCACTCTTTTTGTAGAATCTGCAAATGGAGATTTGGACTGCTTTGAGGCCTACGGTCGTATAGGAAGGAACTTCATATAAAAGCAAACGGAAGCATTCTCAGAATATTCTTTGTGATGATGGAGTTTCACTCACAGAGCTGAACATGCCTTTTGATGGAGCAGTTTCCAAATACACTTTTGGTAGAATCTGCAGGTGGAAATTTAGAGCTCTCTGAGGATTTCGTTGGAAACGGGAATAATTTCCCATAACTAAACACAAACACTCTGAGAAAGTTCTTCATGATGAATGCATTTAACTCGCAGAGATGAACCTGCCTTTGAGAGTTCAGGTTCGAAACACTCTTTCTGTAGAATCTGCAAGTGGATATTTGGACCACTGGCTGGCCTTCGTTCGAAACGGGTATATGTTCACGTAAAAACTAAAGAGAAGCATTCTCAGAAACTTCTGAGTGATGATTGCATTCAAGTCACACGGTTGAACCCTCCTTTTGATTGAGCAGTTTTGAAACTGTCTTTTTGTAGAATCTGTTAGAGGACACGTGGACCTCTTTGAAGATTTCTTTGGAAACGGGAATATTTCCACAGAAAAACTAAACTGAAGCATTCTCAGAAACCGCTTTGTGATGTTTGTGTTCGAGCCGCAGAGTTTAACATTGCTTTTCATAGAGCAGTTTTGAAATATTCTTTTGGCAGAATCTGCAAGTGGACATTTGGAGCGCTTTCAGGCCTGTGGTGGCAAAGGCCTGAAAGCCTTTTCCTTTATCTTCACAGAAAGACGAGAGAGAAAGCATTGTCAGAAACTTCTTTGTGATGATTGCATTCAACTCACAGTAGTTGAAGATTCCTTTTGAAACAGCAGTTTCGAAACACTCTTTCTGTGGGATCCGCAAGGGGATATTTGGACCTCTTTGAAGGTTTCGTTGGAAACGGGATAATCTTCACCTAAAAGCTAAACGGAAGCATTCTCAGAAACTTCTTTGGGATGTTTGCATTCACCTCACAGAGTTGAACTTTCCCTTTGATAGCGCAGCTTTGACACACTTTTTCTACAATGTGCAAGTGGCTATTTAGCGGGCTTGGAGGACTGTGTTGGAAAAGGAAATATCTTCTCCTAAAAACGACATAGAAGCATTCTCAGAAACTGCTCTGTGATGATTGCATTCAACTCCCAGAGTTGAACATTCCTTTTGATAGAGCAGTTTGCAAACACTCTTTTTGTAGAATCTGCAAGTGGAGATTTGGACCGCTTTGAGGCCTGTGGTAGTGAAGGAAAGAACTTCATATAAAAACCAGACGGTAGCACTCTCAGAAAATTCTTTGTGACGATGGAGTTTAACTCAGGGAGCTGAACATTCGTTATGATGGAGCAGTTTCCAAACACACGTTTTGTAGAATCTGCAAGGGGATATTTGGACCTCTCTGAGGATTTCTTTGGAAACGGGATCAACTTCCCATAACTGAACGGAAGCAAACTCAGAACATTCTTTGTGATGTTTGTATTCAACTCACAGAGTTGAACCTTCCTTTGATAGTTCAGGTTTGCAACACCCTTGTAGTAGAATCTGCAAGTGTATATTTTGACCACTTTGTAGCCTTCGTTTGAAACGTCTATATCTTCACATCAAACCTAGACAGAAGCATTCTCAGAAAGTTTTCTGCGATGACTGCATTCAACTCACAGAGTTGAACAATCCTTCTGATGGAGCAGTTTTGAAACCCTCTTTCTTTGGAATCTGCAAGGGGATATGTGGACCTCTTTGAAGATTTCACTGGAAACGGGATCATCTTCACATAAAAACTAAACAGAAGCATTCTCGGAAACTACTTTGTGATGTTTGTATTCAACTCCCAGAGTTGAACTTTCCTTTTGAAAGAGCAGCTATGAAACACTCTTTTTCGAGAATCTGCAAGTGGACGTTTGGAGGGCTTTGAGGCCTGTGGTGGAAAAGGAAATATCTTCACATAAAAACTAGATAGAAGCATTCTCAGAAACGACTTTGTGAGGATGGCATTCAACTCATGGAGTTGAACAATCCTATTGATAGAGCAGATTGGAATCACTCTTTTTGTAGAATCTGCAAATGGAGATTTGGACTGCTTTGAGGCCTACGGTCGTATAGGAAGGAACTTCATATAAAAGGCAAACGGAAGCATTCTCAGAATATTCTTTGTGATGATGGAGTTTCACTCACAGAGCTGAACATGCCTTTTGATGGAGCAGTTTCCAAATACACTTTTGGTAGAATCTGCAGGTGGATATTTGGAGCTCTCTGAGGATTTCGTTGGAAACGGGAATAATTTCCCATAACTAAACACAAACACTCTGTGAAAGTTCTTCATGATGAATGCATTTAACTCGCAGAGATGAACCTGCCTTTGAGAGTTCAGGTTCGAAACACTCTTTCTGTAGAATCTGCAAGTGGATATTTGGACCACTGGCTGGCCTTCGTTCGAAACGGGTATATGTTCACGTAAAAACTAAAGAGAAGCATTCTCAGAAACTTGTGAGTGATGATTGCATTCAAGTCACACAGTTGAACCCTCCTTTTGATGGAGCAGTTTTGAAACTGTCTTTTTGTAGAATCTGTAAGTGGATACGTGGACCTCTTTGAAGATTTCTTTGGAAACGGGAATATTTCCACAGAAAAACTAAACTGAAGCATTCTCAGAAACCGCTTTGTGATGTTTGTGTTCGAGCCACACAGTTTAACATTGCTTTTCATAGAGCAGTTTTGAAATATTCTTTTGGCAGAATCTGCAAGTGGACATTTGGAGCGCTTTCAGGCCTGTGGTGGAAAAGGCCTGAAAGCCTTTTCCTTTATCTTCACAGAAAGACGAGAGAGAAGCATTGTCAGAAACTTCTTTGTGATGATTGCATTCAACTCACAGAGTTGAAGATTCCTTTTGAAACAGCAGTTTCGAAACACTCTTTCTGTGGGATCCGCAAGGGGATATTTGGACCTCTTTGAAGGTTTCGTTGGAAACGGGATAATCTTCACCTAAAAGCTAAACGGAAGCATTCTCAGAAACTTCTTTGGGATGTTTGCATTCACCTCACAGAGTTGAACTTTCCCTTTGATAGCGCAGCTTTGACACACTTTTTCTACAATGTGCAAGTGGATATTTAGCGGGCTTGGAGGACTGTGTTGGAAAAGGAAATATCTTCTAAAAACGACATAGAAGCATTCTCAGAAACTGCTCTGTGATGATTGCATTCAACTCCCAGAGTTGAACATTCCTTTTGATAGAGCAGTTTGCAAACACTCTTTTTGTAGAATCTGCAAGTGGAGATTTGGACCGCTTTGAGGCCTGTGGTAGTGAAGGAAAGAACTTCATATAAAAACCAGACGGTAACACTCTCAGAAAATTCTTTGTGACGATGGAGTTTAACTCAGGGAGCTGAACATTCGTTATGATGGAGCAGTTTCCAAACACACGTTTTGTAGAATCTGCAAGGGGATATTTGGACCTCTCTGAGGATTTCGTTGGAAACGGGATCAACTTCCCATAACTGAACGGAAGCAAACTCAGAACATTCTTTGTGATGTTTGTATTCAATTCACAGAGTTGAACCTTCCTTTGATAGTTCAGGTTTGCAACACCCTTGTAGTAGAATCTGCAAGTGTATATTTTGACCACTTTGTAGCCTTCGTTTGAAACGTCTATATCTTCACATCAAACCTAGACAGAAGCATTCTCAGAAAGTTTTCTGCGATGAGTGCATTCAACTCACAGAGTTGAACAATCCTTTTGATGGAGCAGTTTTGAAACCCTCTTTCTTTGGAATCTGCAAGAGGATATGTGGACCTCTTTGAAGATTTCACTGGAAACGGGATCATCTTCACATAAGAACTAAACAGAAGCATTCTCGGAAACTACTTTGTGATGTTTGTATTCAACTCCCAGAGTTGAACTTTCCTTTTGAAAGAGCAGCTATGAAACAGTCTTTTTCGAGAATGTGCAAGTGGACGTTTGGAGGGCTTTGAGGCCTGTGGTGGAAAAGGAAATATCTTCACATAAAAACTAGATAGAAGCATTCTCAGAAACGACTTTGTGAGGATGGCATTCAACTCATGGAGTTGAACAATCCTATTGATAGAGCAGATTGGAATCACTCTTTTTGTAGAATCTGCAAATGGAGATTTGGACTGCTTTGAGGCCTACGGTCGTATAGGAAGGAACTTCATATAAAAGGCAAACGGAAGCATTCTCAGAATATTCTTTGTGATGATGGAGTTTCACTCACAGAGCTGAACATGCCTTTTGATGGAGCAGTTTCCAAATACACTTTTGGTAGAATCTGCAGGTGGATATTTGGAGCTCTCTGAGGATTTCGTTGGAAACGGGAATAATTTCCCATAACTAAACACAAACACTCTGAGAAAGTTCTTCATGATGAATGCATTTAACTCGCAGAGATGAACCTGCCTTTGAGAGTTCATGTTCGAAACACTCTTTCTGTAGAATCTGCAAGTGGATATTTGGACCACTGGCTGGCCTTCGTTCGAAACGGGTATATGTTCACGTAAAAACTAAAGAGAAGCATTCTCAGAAACTTCTGAGTGATGATTGCATTCAAGTCACACAGTTGAACCTTCCTTTTGATGGAGCAGTTTTGAAACTGTCTTTTTGTAGAATCTGTAAGTGGATACTTGGACCTCTTTGAAGATTTCTTTGGAAACGGGAATATTTCCACAGAAAAACTAAACTGAAGCATTCTCAGAAACTGCTTTGTGATGTTTGTGTTCGAGCCACAGAGTTTAACATTGCTTTTCATAGAGCAGTTTTGAAATATTCTTTTGGCAGAATCTGCAAGTGGACATTTGGAGCGCTTTCAGGCCTGTGGTGGAAAAGGCCTGAAAGCCTTTTCCTTTATCTTCACAGAAAGACGAGAGAGAAGCATTGTCAGAAACTTCTTTGTGATGATTGCATTCAACTCACAGAGTTGAAGATTCCTTTTGAAACAGCAGTTTCGAAACACTCTTTCTGTGGGATCCGCAAGGGGATATTTGGACCTCTTTGAAGGTTTCGTTGGAAACGGGATAATCTTCACCTAAAAGCTAAACGGAAGCATTCTCAGAAACTTCTTTGGGATGTTTGCATTCACCTCACAGAGTTGAACTTTCCCTTTGATAGCGCAGCTTTGACACACTTTTTCTACAATGTGCAAGTGGCTATTTAGCGGGCTTGGAGGACTGTGTTGGAAAAGGAAATATCTTCTCCTAAAAACGACATAGAAGCATTCTCAGAAACTGCTCTGTGATGATTGCATTCAACTCCCAGAGTTGAACATTCCTTTTGATAGAGCAGTTTGCAAACACTCTTTTTGTAGAATCTGCAAGTGGAGATTTGGACCGCTTTGAGGCCTGTGGTAGTGAAGGAAAGAGCTTCATATAAAAACCAGACGGTAGCACTCTCAGAAAATTCTTTGTGACGATGGAGTTTAACTCAGGGAGCTGAACATTCGTTATGATGGAGCAGTTTCCAAACACACGTTTTGTAGAATCTGCAAGGGGATATTTGGACCTCTCTGAGGATTTCGTTGGAAACGGGATCAACTTCCCATAACTGAACGGAAGCAAACTCAGAACATTCTTTGTGATGTTTGTATTCAACTCACAGAGTTGAACCTTCCTTTGATAGTTCAGGTTTGCAACACCCTTGTAGTAGCATCTGCAAGTGTATATTTTGACCACTTTGTAGCCTTCGTTTGAAACGTCTATATCTTCACATCAAACCTAGACAGAAGCATTCTCAGAAAGTTTTCTGCGATGACTGCATTCAACTCACAGAGTTGAACAATCCTCTGATGGAGCAGTTTTGAAACCCTCTTTCTTTGGAATCTGCAAGGGGATATGTGGACCTCTTTGAAGATTTCACTGGAAACGGGATCATCTTCACATAAAAACTAAACAGAAGCATTCTCGGAAACTATTTTGTGATGTTTGTATTCAACTCCCAGAGTTGAACTTTCCTTTTGAAAGAGCAGCTATGAAACACTCTTTTTCGAGAATCTGCAAGTGGACGTTTGGAGGGCTTTGAGGCCTGTGGTGGAAAAGGAAATATCTTCACACAAAAACCAGATAGAAGCATTCTCAGAAACTACTTTGTGAGGATGGCATTCAACTCATGGAGTTGAACAATCCTATTGATAGAGCAGATTGGAATCACTCTTTTTATAGAATCTGCAAATGGAGATTTGGACTGCTTTGAGGCCTACGGTAGTACAGGAAGGAACTTCATATAAAAGGCAAACGGAAGCATTCTCAGAATATTCTTTGTGATGATGGAGTTTCACTCACAGAGCTGAACATGCCTTTTGATGGAGCAGTTTCCAAATACACTTTTGGTAGAATCTGCAGGTGGATATTTGGAGCTCTCTGAGGATTTCGTTGGAAACGGGAATAATTTCCCATAACTAAACACAAACACTCTGAGAAAGTTCTTCATGATGAATGCATTTAACTCGCAGAGATGAACCTGCCTTTGAGAGTTCAGGTTCGAAACACTCTTTCTGTAGAATCTGCAAGTGGATATTTGGACCACTGGGTGGCCTTCGTTCGAAACGGGTATATGTTCACGTAAAAACTAAAGAGAAGCATTCTCAGAAACTTCTGAGTGATGATTGCATTCAAGTCACACAGTTGAACCCTCCTTTTGATGGAGCAGTTTTGAAACTGTCTTTTTGTAGAATCTGTAAGTGGATACAGTGGACCTCTTTGAAGATTTCTTTGGAAACGGGAATATTTCCACAGAAAAACTAAACTGAAGCATTCTCAGAAACTGCTTTGTGATGTTTGTGTTCGAGCCGCAGAGTTTAACATTGCTTTTCATAGAGCAGTTTTGAAATATTCTTTTGGCAGAATCTGCAAGTGGACATTTGGAGCGCTTTCAGGCCTGTGGTGGAAAAGGCCTGAAAGCCTTTTCCTTTATCTTCACAGAAAGACGAGAGAGAAGCATTGTCAGAAACTTCTTTGTGATGATTGCATTCAACTCACAGAGTTGAAGATTCCTTTTGAAACAGCAGTTTCGAAACACTCTTTCTGTGGGAACCGCAAGGGGATATTTGGATCTATTTGAAGGTTTCGTTGGAAACTGGATAATCTTCACCTAAAAGCTAAACGGAAGCATTCTCAGAAACTTCTTTGGGATGTTTGCATTCACCTCACAGAGTTGAACTTTCCCTTTGATAGCGCAGCTTTGACACACTTTTTCTACAATGTGCAAGTGGCTATTTAGCGGGCTTGGAGGACTGTGTTGGAAAAGGAAATATCTTCTCCTAAAAACGACATAGAAGCATTCTCAGAAACTGCTCTGTGATGATTGCATTCAACTCCCAGAGTTGAACATTCCTTTTGATAGAGCAGTTTGCAAACACTCTTTTTGTAGAATCTGCAAGTGGAGATTTGGACCGCTTTGAGGTCTGTGGTAGTGAAGGAAAGAACTTCATATAAAAACCAGACGGTAGCACTCTCAGAAAATTCTTTGTGACGATGGAGTTTAACTCAGGGAGCTGAACATTCGTTATGATGGAGCAGTTTCCAAACACACGTTTTGTAGAATCTGCAAGGGGATATTTAGACCTCTCTGAGGATTTCGTTGGAAACGGGATCAACTTCCCATAACTGAACGGAAGCAAACTCAGAACATTCTTTGTGATGTTTGTATTCAACTCACAGAGTTGAACCTTCCTTTGATAGTTCAGGTTTGCAACACCCTTGTAGTAGAATCTGCAAGTGTATATTTTGACCACTTTGTAGCCTTCATTTGAAACGTCTATATCTTCACATCAAACCTAGACAGAAGCATTCTCAGAAAGTTTTCTGCGATGACTGCATTCAACTCACAGAGTTGAACAATCCTTCTGATGGAGCAGTTTTGAAACCCTCTTTCTTTGGAATCTGCAAGGGGATATGTGGACCTCTTTGAAGATTTCACTGGAAACGGGATCATCTTCACATAAAAACTAAACAGAAGCATTCTCAGAAACTACTTTGTGATGTTTGTATTCAACTCCCAGAGTTGAACTTTCCTTTTGAAAGAGCAGCTATGAAACACTCTTTTTCGAGAATCTGAAAGTGGACGTTTGGAGGGCTTTGAGGCCTGTGGTGGAAAAGGAAATATCTTCACATAAAAACTAGATAGAAGCATTCTCAGAAACGACATTGTGAGGATGGCATTCAACTCATGGAGTTGAACAATCCTATTGATAGAGCAGATTGGAATCACTCTTTTTGTAGAATCTGCAAATGGAGATTTGGACTGCTTTGAGGCCTACGGTAGTATAGGAAGGAACTTCATATAAAAGGCAAACGGAAGCATTCTCAGAATATTCTTTGTGATGATGGAGTTTCACTCACAGAGCTGAACATGCCTTTTGATGGAGCAGTTTCCAAATACACTTTTGGTAGAATCTGCAGGTGGATATTTGGAGCTCTCTGAGGATTTCGTTGGAAACGGGAATAATTTCCCATAACTAAACACAAACACTCTGAGAAAGTTCTTCATGATGAATGCATTTAACTCGCAGAGATGAACGTGCCTTTGAGAGTTCAGGTTCGAAACACTCTTTCTGTAGAATCTGCAAGTGGATATTTGGACCACTGGCTGGCCTTCGTTCGAAACGGGTATATGTTCACGTAAAAACTAAAGAGAAGCATTCTCAGAAACTTCTGAGTGATGATTGCATTCAAGTCACACAGTTGAACCCTCCTTTTGATTGAGCAGTTTTGAAACTGTCTTTTTGTAGAATCTGTAAGTGGATACGTGGACCTCTTTGAAGATTTCTTTGGAAACGGGAATATTTCCACAGAAAAACTTAACCGAAGCATTCTCAGAAACTGCTTTGTGATGTTTGTGTTCGAGCCGCAGAGTTTAACATTGCTTTTCATAGAGCAGTTTTGAAATATTCTTTTGGCAGAATCTGCAAGTGGACATTTGGAGCGCTTTCAGGCCTGTGGTGGAAAAGGCCTGAAAGCCTTTTCCTTTATCTTCACAGAAAGACGAGAGAGAAGCATTGTCAGAAACTTCTTTGTGATGATTGCATTCAACTCACAGAGTTGAAGATTCCTTTTGAAACAGCAGTTTCGAAACACTCTTTCTGTGGGATCCGCAAGGGGATATTTGGACCTCTTTGAAGATTTCGTTGGAAACGGGATAATCTTCACCTAAAAGCTAAACGGAAGCATTCTCAGAAACTTCTTTGGGATGTTTGCATTCACCTCACAGAGTTGAACTTTCCCTTTGATAGCACAGCTTCGACACACTTTTTCTACAATGTGCAAGTGGATATTTAGCGGGCTTGGAGGACTGTGTTGGAAAAGGAAATATCTTCTCCTAAAAACGACATAGAAGCATTCTCAGAAACTGCTCTGTGATGATTGCATTCAACTCCCAGAGTTGAACATTCCTTTTGATAGAGCAGTTTGCAAACACTCTTTTTGTAGAATCTGCAAGTGGAGATTTGGACAGCTTTGAGGCCTGTGGTAGTAAAGGAAAGAACTTCATATAAAAACTAGACGGTAGCACTCTCAGAAAATTCTTTGTGACGATGGAGTTTAACTCAGAGAGCTGAACATTCGTTATGATGGAGCAGTTTCCAAACACACGTTTTGTAGAATCTGCAAGGGGATATTTGGACCTCTCTGAGGATTTCGTTGGGAACGGGATCAACTTCCCATAACTGAACGGAAGCAAACTCAGAACATTCTTTGTGATGTTTGTATTCAACTCACAGAGTTGAACCTTCCTTTGATAGTTCAGGTTTGCAACACCCTTGTAGTAGAATCTGCAAGTGTATATTTTGACCACTTTGTAGCCTTCGTTTGAAACGTCTATATCTTCACATCAAACCTAGAAAGAAGCATTCTCAGAAAGTTTTCTGCGATGACTGCATTCAACTCACAGAGTTGAACAATCCTTTTGATGGAGCAGTTTTGAAACCCTCTTTCTTTGGAATCTGCAAGGGGATATGTGGACCTCTTTGAAGATTTCACTGGAAACGGGATCATCTTCACATAAAAACTAAACAGAAGCAATCTCGGAAGCTATTTTGTGATGTTTGTATTCAACTCCCAGAGTTGAACTTTCCTTTTGAAAGAGCAGCTATGAAACACTCTTTTTCGAGAATCTGCAAGTGGACGTTTGGAGGGCTTTGAGGCCTGTGGTGGAAAAGGAAATATCTTCACACAAAAACCAGATAGAAGCATTCTCAGAAACTACTTTGTGAGGATGGCATTCAACTCATGGGAGTTGAACAATCCTATTGATAGAGCAGATTGGAATCACTCTTTTTGTAGAATCTGCAAATGGAGATTTGGACTGCTTTGAGGCCTACGGTCGTATAGGAAGGAACTTCATATAAAAGGCAAACGGAAGCATTCTCAGAATATTCTTTGTGATGATGGAGTTTCACTCACAGAGCTGAACATGCCTTTTGATGGAGCAGTTTCCAAATACACTTTTGGTAGAATCTGCAGGTGGATATTTGGAGCTCTCTGAGGATTTCGTTGGAAACGGGAATAATTTCCCATAACTAAACACAAACACTCTGAGAAAGTTCTTCATGATGAATGCATTTAACTCGCAGAGATGAACCTGCCTTTGAGAGTTCAGGTTCGAAACACTCTTTCTGTAGAATCTGCAAGTGGATATTTGGACCACTGGCTGGCCTTCGTTCGAAACGGGTATATGTTCACGTAAAAACTAAAGAGAAGCATTCTCAGAAACTTCTGAGTGATGATTGCATTCAAGTCACACAGTTGAACCCTCCTTTTGATGGAGCAGTTTTGAAACTGTCTTTTTGTAGAATCTGTAAGTGGATACGTGGACCTCTTTGAAGATTTCTTTGGAAACGGGAATATTTCCACAGAAAAACTAAACTGAAGCATTCTCAGAAACCGCTTTGTGATGTTTGTGTTCGAGCCACAGAGTTTAACATTGCTTTTCATAGAGCAGTTTTGAAATATTCTTTTGGCAGAATCTGCAAGTGGACATTTGGAGCGCTTTCAGGCCTGTGGTGGAAAAGGCCTGAAAGCCTTTTCCTTTACCTTCACAGAAAGACGAGAGAGAAGCATTGTCAGAAACTTCTTTGTGATGATTGCATTCAACTCACAGAGTTGAAGATTCCTTTTGAAACAGCAGTTTCGAAACACTCTTTCTGTGGGATCCGCAAGGGGATATTTGGACCTCTTTGAAGGTTTCGTTGGAAACGGGATAATCTTCACCTAAAAGCTAAACGGAAGCATTCTCAGAAACTTCTTTGGGATGTTTGCATTCACCTCACAGAGTTGAACTTTCCCTTTGATAGCGCAGCTTTGACACACTTTTTCTACAATGTGCAAGTGGCTATTTAGCGGGCTTGGAGGACTGTGTTGGAAAAGGAAATATCTTCTCCTAAAAACGACATAGAAGCATTCTCAGAAACTGCTCTGTGATGATTGCATTCAACTCCCAGAGTTGAACATTCCTTTTGATAGAGCAGTTTGCAAACACTCTTTTTGTAGAATCTGCAAGTGGAGATTTGGACCGCTTTGAGGCCTGTGGTAGTGAAGGAAAGAACTTCATATAAAAACCAGACGGTAGCACTCTCAGAAAATTCTTTGTGACGATGGAGTTTAACTCAGGGAGCTGAACATTCGTTATGATGGAGCAGTTTCCAAACACACGTTTTGTAGAATCTGCGAGGGGATATTTGGACCTCTCTGAGGATTTCGTTGGAAACGGGATCAACTTCCCATAACTGAACGGAAGCAAACTCAGAACATTCTTTGTGATGTTTGTATTCAACTCACAGAGTTGAACCTTCCTTTGATAGTTCAGGTTTGCAACACCCTTGTAGTAGAATCTGCAAGTGTATATTTTGACCACTTTGTAGCCTTCGTTTGAAACGTCTATATCTTCACATCAAACCTAGACAGAAGCATTCTCAGAAAGTTTTCTGCGATGACTGCATTCAACTCACAGAGTTGAACAATCCTTCTGATGGAGCAGTTTTGAAACCCTCTTTCTTTGGAATCTGCAAGGGGATATGTGGACCTCTTTGAAGATTTCACTGGAAACGGGATCATCTTCACATAAAAACTAAACAGAAGCATTCTCGGAAACTACTTTGTGATGTTTGTATTCAACTCCCAGAGTTGAACTTTCCTTTTGAAAGAGCAGCTATGAAACACTCTTTTTCGAGAATCTGCAAGTGGACGTTTGGAGGGCTTTGAGGCCTGTGGTGGAAAAGGAAATATCTTCACATAAAACTAGATAGAAAACATTCTCAGAAACGACTTTGTGAGGATGGCATTCAACTCATGGAGTTGAACAATCCTATTGATAGAGCAGATTGGAATCACTCTTTTTGTAGAATCTGCAAATGGAGATTTGGACTGCTTTGAGGCCTACGGTAGTATAGGAAGGAACTTCATATAAAAGGCAAACGGAAGCATTCTCAGAATATTCTTTGTGATGATGGAGTTTCACTCACAGAGCTGAACATGCCTTTTGATGGAGCAGTTTCCAAATACACTTTTGGTAGAATCTGCAGGTGGATATTTGGAGCTCTCTGAGGATTTCGTTGGAAACGGGAATAATTTCCCATAACTAAACACAAACACGCTGAGAAAGTTCTTCATGATGAATGCATTTAACTCGCAGAGATGAACGTGCCTTTGAGAGTTCAGGTTCGAAACACTCTTTCTGTAGAATCTGCAAGTGGATATTTGGACCACTGGCTGGCCTTCGTTCGAAACGGGTATATGTTCACGTAAAAACTAAAGAGAAGCGTTCTCAGAAACTTCTGAGTGATGATTGCATTCAAGTCACACAGTTGAACCCTCCTTTTGATTGAGCAGTTTTGAAACTGTCTTTTTGTAGAATCTGTAAGTGGATACGTGGACCTCTTTGAAGATTTCTTTGGAAACGGGAATATTTCCACAGAAAAACTTAACCGAAGCATTCTCAGAAACTGCTTTGTGATGTTTGTGTTCGAGCCGCAGAGTTTAACATTGCTTTTCATAGAGCAGTTTTGAAATATTCTTTTGGCAGAATCTGCAAGTGGACATTTGGAGCGCTTTCAGGCCTGTGGTGGAAAAGGCCTGAAAGCCTTTTCCTTTATCTTCACAGAAAGACGAGAGAGAAGCATTGTCAGAAACTTCTTTGTGATGATTGCATTCAACTCACAGAGTTGAAGATTCCTTTTGAAACAGCAGTTTCGAAACACTCTTTCTGTGGGATCCGCAAGGGGATATTTGGACCTCTTTGAAGGTTTCGTTGGAAACGGGATAATCTTCACCTAAAAGCTAAACGGAAGCATTCTCAGAAACTTCTTTGGGATGTTTGCATTCACCTCACAGAGTTGAACTTTCCCTTTGATAGCGCAGCTTTGACACACTTTTTCTACAATGTGCAAGTGGCTATTTAGCGGGCTTGGAGGACTGTGTTGGAAAAGGAAATATCTTCTCCTAAAAACGACATAGAAGCATTCTCAGAAACTGCTCTGTGATGATTGCATTCAACTCCCAGAGTTGAACATTCCTTTTGATAGAGCAGTTTACAAACACTCTTTTTGTAGAATCTGCAAGTGGAGATTTGGACCGCTTTGAGGCCTGTGGTAGTGAAGGAAAGAACTTCATATAAAAACCAGACGGTAGCACTCTCAGAAAATTCTTTGTGACGATGGAGTTTAACTCAGGGAGCTGAACATTCGTTACGATGGAGCAGTTTCCAAACACACGTTTTGTAGAATCTGCAAGGGGATATTTGGACCTCTCTGAGGATTTCGTTGGAAACGGGATCAACTTCCCATAACTGAACGGAAGCAAACTCAGAACATTCTTTGTGATGTTTGTATTCAACTCACAGAGTTGAACCTTCCTTTGATAGTTCAGGTTTGCAACACCCTTGTAGTAGAATCTGCAAGTGTATATTTTGACCACTTTGTAGCCTTCGTTTGAAACGTCTATATCTTCACATCAAACCTAGACAGAAGCATTCTCAGAAAGTTTTCTGCGATGACTGCATTCAACTCACAGAGTTGAACAATCCTTCTGATGGAGCAGTTTTGAAACCCTCTTTCTTTGGAATCTGCAAGGGGATATGTGGACCTCTTTGAAGATTTCACTGGAAACGGGATCATCTTCACATAAAAACTAAACAGAAGCATTCTCGGAAACTACTTTGTGATGTTTGTATTCAACTCCCAGAGTTGAACTTTCCTTTTGAAAGAGCAGCTATGAAACACTCTTTTTCGAGAATCTGCAAGTGGACGTTTGGAGGGCTTTGAGGCCTGTGGTGGAAAAGGAAATATCTTCACATAAAAACTAGATAGAAGCATTCTCAGAAACGACTTGGTGAGGATGGCATTCAACTCATGGAGTTGAACAATCCTATTGATAGAGCAGATTGGAATCACTCTTTTTGTAGAATCTGCAAATGGAGATTTGGACTGCTTTGAGGCCTACGGTCGTATAGGAAGGAACTTCATATAAAAGGCAAACGGAAGCATTCTCAGAATATTCTTTGTGATGATGGAGTTTCACTCACAGAGCTGAACATGCCTTTTGATGGAGCAGTTTCCAAATACACTTTTGGTAGAATCTGCAGGTGGATATTTGGAGCTCTCTGAGGATTTCGTTGGAAACGGGAATAATTTCCCATAACTAAACACAAACACTCTGAGAAAGTTCTTCATGATGAATGCATTTAACTCGCAGAGATGAACCTGCCTTTGAGAGTTCAGGTTCGAAACACTCTTTCTGTATAATCTGCAAGTGGATATTTGGACCACTGGGTGGCCTTCGTTCGAAACGGGTATATGTTCACGTAAAAACTAAAGAGAAGCATTCTCAGAAACTTCTGAGTGATGATTGCATTCAAGTCACACAGTTGAACCCTCCTTTTGATGGAGCAGTTTTGAAACTGTCTTTTTGTAGAATCTGTAAGTGGATACGTGGACCTCTTTGAAGATTTCTTTGGAAACGGGAATATTTCCACAGAAAAACTAAACTGAAACATTCTCAGAAACCGCTTTGTGATGTTTGTGTTCCAGCCACAGAGTTTAACATTGCTTTTCATAGAGCAGTTTTGAAATATTCTTTTGGCAGAATCTGCAAGTGGACATTTGGAGCGCTTTCAGGCCTGTGGTGGAAAAGGCCTGAAAGCCTTTTCCTTTATCTTCACAGAAAGAGAAGCATTGTCAGAAACTTCTTTGTGATGATTGCATTCAACTCACAGAGTTGAAGATTCCTTTTGAAACAGCAGTTTCGAAACACTCTTTCTGTGGGATCCGCAAGGGGATATTTGGACCTCTTTGAAGGTTTCGTTGGAAACGGGATAATCTTCACCTAAAAGCTAAACGGAAGCATTCTCAGAAACTTCTTTGGGATGTTTGCATTCACCTCACAGAGTTGAACTTTCCCTTTGATAGCGCAGCTTTGACACACTTTTTCTACAATGTGCAAGTGGCTATTTAGCGGGCTAGAGGACTGTGTTGGAAAAGGAAATATCTTCTCCTAAAAACGACATAGAAGCATTCTCAGAAACTGCTCTGTGATGATTGCATTCAACTCCCAGGGTTGAACATTCCTTTTGATAGAGCAGTTTGCAAACACTCTTTTTGTAGAATCTGCAAGTGGAGATTTGGACCGCTTTGAGGCCTATGGTAGTAAAGGAAAGAACTTCATATAAAAACCAGACGGTAGCACTCTCAGAAAATTCTTTGTGACGATGGAGTTTAACTCAGGGAGCTGAACATTCGTTATGATGGAGCAGTTTCCAAACACACGTTTTGTAGAAACTGCAAGGGGATATTTGGACCTCTCTGAGGATTTCGCTGGAAACGGGATCAACTTCCCATAACTGAACGGAAGCAAACTCAGAACATTCTTTGTGATGTTTGTATTCAACTCACAGAGTTGAACCTTCCTTTGATAGTTCAGGTTTGCAACACCCTTGTAGTAGAATCTGCAAGTGTATATTTTGACCACTTTGTAGCCTTCGTTTGAAACGTCTATATCTTCACATCAAACCTAGACAGAAGCATTCTCAGAAAGTTTTCTGCGATGACTGCATTCAACTCACAGAGTTGAACAATCCTTTTGATGGAGCAGTTTTGAAACCCTCTTTCTTTGGAATCTGCAAGGGGATATGTGGACCTCTTTGAAGATTTCACTGGAAACGGGATCATCTTCACATAAAAACTAAACAGAAGCATTCTCGGAAACTATTTTGTGATGTTTGTATTCAACTCCCAGAGTTGAACTTTCCTTTTGAAAGAGCAGCTATGAAACACTCTTTTTCTAGAATCTGCAAGTGGACGTTTGGAGGGCTTTGAGGCCTGTGGTGGAAAAGGAAATATCTTCACACAAAAACCAGATAGAAGCATTCTCAGAAACTACTTTGTGAGGATGGCATTCAACTCATGGAGTTGAACAATCCTATTGATAGAGCAGATTGGAATCACTCTTTTTGTAGAATCTGCAAATGGAGATTTGGACTGCTTTGAGGCCTACGGTAGTACAGGAAGGAACTTCATATAAAAGGCAAACGGAAGCATTCTCAGAATATTCTTTGTGATGATGGAGTTTCACTCACAGAGCTGAACATGCCTTTTGATGGAGCAGTTTCCAAATACACTTTTGGTAGAATCTGCAGGTGGATATTTGGAGCTCTCTGAGGATTTCGTTGGAAACGGGAATAATTTCCCATAACTAAACACAAACACTCTGAGAAAGTTCTTCATGATGAATGCATTTAACTCGCAGAGATGAACCTGCCTTTGAGAGTTCAGGTTCGAAACACTCTTTCTGTATAATCTGCAAGTGGATATTTGGACCACTGGGTGGCCCTTCGTTCGAAACGGGTATATGTTCACGTAAAAACTAAAGAGAAGCATTCTCAGAAACTTCTGAGTGATGATTGCATTCAAGTCACACAGTTGAACCCTCCTTTTGATGGAGCAGTTTTGAAACTGTCTTTTTGTAGAATCTGTAAGTGGATGCGTGGACCTCTTTGAAGATTTCTTTGGAAACGGGAATATTTCCACAGAAAAACTAAACTGAAGCATTCTCAGAAACTGCTTGGTGATGTTTGTGTTCGAGCCACAGAGTTTAACATTGCTTTTCATAGAGCAGTTTTGAAATATTCTTTTCGCAGAATCTGCAAGTGGACATTTGGAGCGCTTTCAGGCCTGTGGTTGCAAAGGCCTGAAAGCCTTTTCCTTTATCTTCACAGAAAGACGAGAGAGAAGCATTGTCAGAAACTTCTTTGTGATGATTGCATTCAACTCACAGAGTTGAAGATTCCTTTTGAAACAGCAGTTTCGAAACACTCTTTCTGTGGGATCCGCAAGGGGATATTTGGACCTCTTTGAAGGTTTCGTTGGAAACGGGATAATCTTCACCTAAAAGCTAAACGGAAGCATTCTCAGAAACTTCTTTGGGATGTTTGCATTCACCTCACAGAGTTGAACTTTCCCTTTGATAGCGCAGCTTTGACACACTTTTTCTACAATGTGCAAGTGGCTATTTAGCGGACTTGGAGGACTGTGTTGGAAAAGGAAATATCTTCTCCTAAAAACGACATAGAAGCATTCTCAGAAACTGCTCTGTGATGATTGCATTCAACTCCCAGAGTTGAACATTCCTTTTGATAGAGCAGTTTGCAAACACTCTTTTTGTAGAATCTGCAAGTGGAGATTTGGACCGCTTTGAGGCCTGTGGTAGTGAAGGAAAGAACTTCATATAAAAACCAGACGGTAGCACTCTCAGAAAATTCTTTGTGACGATGGAGTTTAACTCAGGGAGCTGAACATTCGTTATGATGGAGCAGTTTCCAAACACACGTTTTGTAGAATCTGCAAGGGGATATTTGGACCTCTCTGAGGATTTCGTTGGAAACGGGATCAACTTCCCATAACTGAACGGAAGCAAACTCAGAACATTCTTTGTGATGTTTGTATTCAACTCACAGAGTTGAACCTTCCTTTGATAGTTCAGGTTTGCAACACCCTTGTAGTAGAATCTGCAAGTGTATATTTTGACCACTTTGTAGCCTTCGTTTGAAACGTCTATATCTTCACATCAAACCTAGACAGAAGCATTCTCAGAAAGTTTTCTGCGATGACTGCATTCAACTCACAGAGTTGAACAATCCTTCTGATGGAGCAGTTTTGAAACCCTCTTTCTTTGGAATCTGCAAGGGGATATGTGGACCTCTTTGAAGATTTCACTGGAAACGGGATCATCTTCACATAAAAACTAAACAGAAGCATTCTCGGAAACTACTTTGTGATGTTTGTATTCAACTGCCAGAGTTGAACTTTCCTTTTGAAAGAGCAGCTATGAAACACTCCTTTTCGAGAATCTGCAAGTGGACGTTTGGAGGGCTTTGAGGCCTGTGGTGGAAAAGGAAATATCTTCACATAAAAACTAGATAGAAGCATTCTCAGAAACGACTTTGTGAGGATGGCATTCAACTCATGGAGTTGAACAATCCTATTGATAGAGCAGATTGGAATCACTCTTTTTGTAGAATCTGCAAATGGAGATTTGGACTGCTTTGAGGCCTACGGTCGTATAGGAAGGAACTTCAGATAAAAGGCAAACGGAAGCATTCTCAGAATATTCTTTGTGATGATGGAGTTTCACTCACAGAGCTGAACATGCCTGTTGATGGAGCAGTTTCCAAATACACTTTTGGTAGAATCTGCAGGTGGACATTTGGACCTCTCTGAGGATTTCGTTGGAAACGGGAATAATTTCCCATAACTAAACACAAACACGCTGAGAAAGTTCTTCATGATGAATGCATTGAACTCGCAGAGATGAACCTGCCTCTGAGAGTTCAGGTTCGAAACACTCTTTCTGTAGAATCTGCAAGTGGATATTTGGACCACTGGGTGGCCTTCGTTCGAAACGGTTATATGTTCACGTAAAAACTAAAGAGAAGCATTCTCAGAAACTTCTGAGTGATGATTGCATTCAAGTCACACGGGTTGAACCCTCCCTTTTGATTGAGCAGTTTTGAAACTGTCTTTTTGTAGAATCTGTAAGTGGATACGTGGACCTCTTTGAAGATTTCTTTGGAAACGGGAATATTTCCACAGAAAAACTAAACTGAAGCATTCTCAGAAACCGCTTTGTGATGTTTGTGTTCGAGCCGCAGAGTTTAACATTGCTTTTCATAGAGCAGTTTTGAAATATTCTTTTGGCAGAATCTGCAAGTGGACATTTGGAGCGCTTTCAGGCCTGTGGTGGAAAAGGCCTGAAAGCCTTTTCCTTTATCTTCACAGAAAGACGAGAGAGAAGCATTGTCAGAAACTTCTTTGTGATGATTGCATTCAACTCACAGAGTTGAAGATTCCTTTTGAAACAGCAGTTTCGAAACACTCTTTCTGTGGGATCCGCAAGGGGATATTTGGACCTCTTTGAAGGTTTCGTTGGAAACGGGATAATCTTCACCTAAAAGCTAAACGGAAGCATTCTCAGAAACTTCTTTGGGATGTTTGCATTCACCTCACAGAGTTGAACTTTCCCTTTGATAGCGCAGCTTTGACACACTTTTTCTACAATGTGCAAGTGGCTATTTAGCGGGCTTGGAGGACTGTGTTGGAAAAGGAAATATCTTCTCCTAAAAACGACATAGAAGCATTCTCAGAAACTGCTCTGTGATGATTGCATTCAACTCCCAGAGTTGAACATTCCTTTTGATAGAGCAGTTTGCAAACACTCTTTTTGTAGAATCTGCAAGTGGAGATTTGGACCGCTTTGAGGACTGGGGTAGTAAAGGAAAGAGCTTCATATAAAAAACAGACGGTAGCACTCTCAGAAAATTCTTTGTGACGATGGAGTTTAACTCAGGGAGCTGAACATTCGTTATGATGGAGCAGTTTCCAAACACACGCTTTGTAGAATCTGCAAGGGGATATTTGGACCTCTCTGAGGATTTCGTTGGAAACGGGATCAACTTCCCATAACTGAACGGAAGCAAACTCAGAACATTCTTTGTGATGTTTGTATTCAACTCCCAGAGTTGAACTTTCCTTTTGAAAGAGCAGCTATGAAACACTCTTTTTCGAGAATCTGCAAGTGGACGTTTGGAGGGCTTTGAGGCCTGTGGTGGAAAAGGAAATATCTTCACACAAAAACCAGATAGAAGCATTCTCAGAAACTACTTTGTGAGGATGGCATTCAACTCATGGAGTTGAACAATCCTATTGATAGAGCAGATTGGAATCACTCTTTTTGTAGAATCTGCAAATGGAGATTTGGACTGCTTTGAGGCCTACGGTAGTACAGGAAGGAACTTCATATAAAAGGCGAACGGAAGCATTCTCAGAATATTCTTTGTGATGATGGAGTTTCACTCACAGAGCTGAACATGCCTTTTGATGGAGCAGATTCCAAGTACACTTTTGGTAGAATCTGCAGGTGGATATTTGGTCCACTCTGAGGATTTCGTTGGAAACGGGAATAATTTCCCATAACTAAACACAAACACTCTGAGAAAGTTCTTCATGATGAATGCATTTAACTCGCAGAGATGAACCTGCCTTTGAGAGTTCAGGTTCGAAACACTCTTTCTGTAGAATCTGCAAGTGGATATTTGGACCACTGGGTGGCCTTCGTTCGAAACGGGTATATGTTCACGTAAAAACTAAAGAGAAGCATTCTCAGAAACTTCTGAGTGATGATTGCATTCAAGTCACACAGTTGAACCCTCCTTTTGATGGAGCAGTTTTGAAACTGTCTTTTTGTAGAATCTGTAAGTGGATACGTGGACCTCTTTGAAGATTTCTTTGGAAACGGGAATATTTCCACAGAAAAACTAAACTGAAGCATTCTCAGAAACCGCTTTGTGATGTTTGTGTTCGAGCCACAGAGTTTACCATTGCTTTTCATAGAGCAGTTTTGAAATATTCTTTTCGCAGAATCTGCAAGTGGACATTTGGAGCGCTTTCAGGCCTGTGGTGGAAGAGGCCTGAAAGCCTTTTCCTTTATCTTCACAGAAAGACGAGAGAGAAGCATTGTCAGAAACTTCTTTGTGATGATTGCATTCAACTCACAGAGTTGAAGATTCCTTTTGAAACAGCAGTTTCGAAACACTCTTTCTGTGGGATCCGCAAGGGGATATTTGGACCTCTTTGAAGGTTTCGTTGGAAACGGGATAATCTTCACCTAAAAGCTAAACGGAAGCATTCTCTGAAACTTCTTTGGGATGTTTGCATTCACCTCACAGAGTTGAACTTTCCCTTTGATAGCGCAGCTTTGACACACTTTTTCTACAATGTGCAAGTGGCTATTTAGCGGGCTTGGAGGACTGTGTTGGAAAAGGAAATATCTTCTCCTAAAAACGACATAGAAGCATTCTCAGAAACTGCTCTGTGATGATTGCATTCAACTCCCAGAGTTGAACATTCCTTTTGATAGAGCAGTTTGCAAACACTCTTTTTGTAGAATCTGCAAGTGGAGATTTGGACCGCTTTGAGGCCTGTGGTAGTGAAGGAAAGAACTTCATATAAAAACCAGACGGTAGCACTCTCAGAAAATTCTTTGTGACGATGGAGTTTAACTCAGGGAGCTGAACATTCGTTATGATGGAGCAGTTTCCGAACACACGTTTTGTAGAATCTGCAAGGGGATATTTGGACCTCTCTGAGGATTTCATTGGAAACGGGATCAACTTCCCATAACTGAACGGAAGCAAACTCAGAACATTCTTTGTGATGTTTGTATTCAACTCCCAGAGTTGAAATTTCCTTTTGAAAGAGCAGCTATGAAACACTCTTTTTCGAGAATCTGCAAGTGGACGTTTGGAGGGCTTTGAGGCCTGTGGTGGAAAAGGAAATATCTTCACATAAAAACTAGATAGAAGCATTCTCAGAAACTACTTTGTGAGGATGGCATTCAACTCATGGAGTTGAACAATCCTATTGATAGAGCAGATTGGAATCACTCTTTTTGTAGAATCTGCAAATGGAGATTTGGACTGCTTTGAGGCCTACGGTAGTATAGGAAGGAACTTCATATAAAAGGCAAACGGAAGCATTCTCAGAATATTCTTTGTGATGATGGAG
Source organism: Homo sapiens (assembly GCF_000001405.40). NCBI lineage: Eukaryota > Metazoa > Chordata > Mammalia > Primates > Hominidae > Homo > Homo sapiens. The sequence continues at coordinate 60,704,505 of NC_000023.11, forward strand.
TTTCACTCACAGAGCTGAACATGCCTTTTGATGGAGCAGTTTCCAAATACACTTTTGGTAGAATCTGCAGGTGGATATTTGGAGCTCTCTGAGGATTTCGTTGGAAAAGGGAATAATTTCCCATAACTAAACACAAACACTCTGAGAAAGTTCTTCATGATGAATGCATTTAACTCGCAGAGATGAACCTGCCTTTGAGAGTTCAGGTTCGAAACACTCTTTCTGTATAATCTGCAAGTGGATATTTGGACCACTGGGTGGCCTTCGTTCGAAACGGGTATATGTTCACGTAAAAACTAAAGAGAAGCATTCTCAGAAACTTCTGAGTGATGATTGCATTCAAGTCACACAGTTGAACCCTCCTTTTGATGGAGCAGTTTTGAAACTGTCTTTTTGTAGAATCTGTAAGTGGATACGTGGACCTCTTTGAAGATTTCTTTGGAAACGGGAATATTTCCACAGAAAAACTAAACTGAAACATTCTCAGAAACCGCTTTGTGATGTTTGTGTTCCAGCCACAGAGTTTAACATTGCTTTTCATAGAGCAGTTTTGAAATATTCTTTTGGCAGAATCTGCAAGTGGACATTTGGAGCGCTTTCAGGCCTGTGGTGGAAAAGGCCTGAAAGCCTTTTCCTTTATCTTCACAGAAAGACGAGAGAGAAGCATTGTCAGAAACTTCTTTTTGATGATTGCATTCAACTCACAGAGTTGAAGATTCCTTTTGAAACAGCAGTTTCGAAACACTCTTTCTGTGGGATCCGCAAGGGGATATTTGGACCTCTTTGAAGGTTTCGTTGGAAACGGGATAATCTTCACCTAAAAGCTAAACGGAAGCATTCTCAGAAACTTCTTTGGGATGTTTGCATTCACCTCACAGAGTTGAACTTTCCCTTTGATAGCGCAGCGTCGACACACTTTTTCTACAATGTGCAAGTGGATATTTAGCGGGCTTGGAGGACTGTGTTGGAAAAGGAAATATCTTCTCCTAAAAACGACATAGAAGCATTCTCAGAAACTGCTCTGTGATGATTGCATTCAACTCCCAGAGTTGAACATTCCTTTTGATAGAGCAGTTTGCAAACACTCTTTTTGTAGAATCTGCAAGTGGAGATTTGGACCGCTTTGAGGCCTGTGGTAGTGAAGGAAAGAACTTCATATAAAAACCAGACGGTAGCACTCTCAGAAAATTCTTTGTGACGATGGAGTTTAACTCAGGGAGCTGAACATTCGTTATGATGGAGCAGTTTCCAAACACACGTTTTGTAGAATCTGCGAGGGGATATTTGGACCTCTCTGAGGATTTCGTTGGAAACGGGATCAACTTCCCATAACTGAACGGAAGCAAACTCAGAACATTCTTTGTGACGTTTGTATTCAACTCACAGAGTTGAACCTTCCTTTGATAGTTCAGGTTTGCAACACCCTTGTAGTAGAATCTGCAAGTGTATATTTTGACCACTTTGTAGCCTTCGTTTGAAACGTCTATATCTTCACATCAAACCTAGACAGAAGCATTCTCAGAAAGTTTTCTGCGATGACTGCATTCAACTCACAGAGTTGAAAAATCCTTCTGATGGAGCAGTTTTGAAACCCTCTTTCTTTGGAATCTGCAAGGGGATATGTGGACCTCTTTGAAGATTTCACTGGAAACGGGATCATCTTCACATAAAAACTAAACAGAAGCATTCTCGGAAACTACTTTGTGATGTTTGTATTCAACTCCCAGAGTTGAACTTTCCTTTTGAAAGAGCAGCTATGAAACACTCTTTTTCGAGAATCTGCAAGTGGACGTTTGGAGGGCTTTGAGGCCTGTGGTGGAAAAGGAAATATCTTCACATAAAAACTAGATAGAAGCATTCTCAGAAACTACTTTGTGAGGATGGCATTCAACTCATGGAGTTGAACAATCCTATTGATAGAGCAGATTGGAATCACTCTTTTTGTAGAATCTGCAAATGGAGATTTGGACTGCTTTGAGGCCTACGGTAGTATAGGAAGGAACTTCATATAAAAAGCAAACGGAAGCATTCTCAGAATATTCTTTGTGATGATGGAGTTTCACTCACAGAGCTGAACATGCCTTTTGATGGAGCAGTTTCCAAATACACTTTTGGTAGAATCTGCAGGTGGATATTTGGAGCTCTCTGAGGATTTCGTTGGAAACGGGAATAATTTCCCATAACTAAACACAAACACTCTGAGAAAGTTCTTCATGATGAATGCATTTAACTCGCAGAGATGAACCTGCCTTTGAGAGTTCAGGTTCGAAACACTCTTTCTGTAGAATCTGCAAGTGGATATTTGGACCACTGGGTGGCCTTCGTTCGAAACGGGTATATGTTCACGTAAAAACTAAAGAGAAGCATTCTCAGAAACTTCTGAGTGATGATTGCATTCAAGTCACACAGTTGAACCCTCCTTTTGATGGAGCAGTTTTGAAACTGTCTTTTTGTAGAATCTGTAAGTGGATACGTGGACCTCTTTGAAGATTTCTTTGGAAACGGGAATATTTCCACAGAAAAACTAAACTGAAGCATTCTCAGAAACTGCTTTGTGATGTTTGTGTTCGAGCCACAGAGTTTAACATTGCTTTTCATAGAGCAGTTTTGAAATATTCTTTTGGCAGAATCTGCAAGTGGACATTTGGAGCGCTTTCAGGCCTGTGGTGGAAAAGGCCTGAAAGCCTTTTCCTTTATCTTCACAGAAAGACGAGAGAGAAGCATTGTCAGAAACTTCTTTGTGATGATTGCATTCAACTCACAGAGTTGAAGATTCCTTTTGAAACAGCAGTTTCGAAACACTCTTTCTGTGGGATCCGCAAGGGGATATTTGGACCTCTTTGAAGGTTTCGTTGGAAACGGGATAATCTTCACCTAAAAGCTCAACGGAAGCATTGTCAGAAACTTCTTTGGGATGTTTGCATTCACCTCACAGAGTTGAACTTTCCCTTTGATAGCGCAGCGTCGACACACGTTTTCTACAATGTGCAAGTGGATATTTAGCGGGCTTGGAGGACTGTGTTGGAAAAGGAAATATCTTCTCCTAAAAACGACATAGAAGCACTCTCAGAAAATTCTTTGTGACGATGGAGTTTAACTCAGAGAGCTGAATATTCGTTATGATGGAGCAGTTTCCAAACACACGTTTTGTAGAATCTGCAAGGGGATATTTGGACCTCTCTGAGGATTTCGTTGGAAACGGGATCAACTTCCCATAACTGAACGGAAGCAAACTCAGAACATTCTTTGTGATGTTTGTATTCAACTCACAGAGTTGAACCTTCCTTTGATAGTTCAGGTTTGCAACACCCTTGTAGTAGAATCTGCAAGTTTATATTTTGACCACTTTGTAGCCTTCGTTTGAAACGTCTATATCTTCACATCAAACCCAGACAGAAGCATTCTCAGAAAGTTTTCTGCGATGACTGCATTCAACTCACAGAGTTGAACAATCCTTTTGATGGAGCAGTTTTGAAACCCTCTTTCTTTGGAATCTGCAAGGGGATATGTGGACCTCTTTGAAGATTTCACTGGAAACGGGATCATCTTCACATAAGAACTAAACAGAAGCATTCTCGGAAACTACTTTGTGATGTTTGTATTCACCTCCCAGAGTTGAACTTTCCTTTTGAAAGAGCAGCTATGAAACACTCTTTTTCGAGAATCTGCAAGTGGACGTTTGGAGGGCTTTGAGGCCTGTGGTGGAAAAGGAAATATCTTCACATAAAAACTAGATAGAAGCATTCTCAGAAACGACTTTGTGAGGATGGCATTCAACTCATGGAGTTGAACAGTCCTATTGATAGAGCAGATTGGAATCACTCTTTTTGTAGAATCTGCAAATGGAGATTTGGACTGCTTTGAGGCCTACGGTCGTATAGGAAGGAACTTCATATAAAAGGCAAACGGAAGCATTCTCAGAATATTCTTTGTGATGATGGAGTTTCACTCACAGAGCTGAACATGCCTTTTGATGGAGCAGTTTCCAAATACACTTTTGGTAGAATCTGCAGGTGGATATTTGGATCTCTCTGAGGATTTCTTTGGAAACGGGAATAATTTCCCATAACTAAACACAAACACGCTGAGAAAGTTCTTCATGATGAATGCATTTAACTCGCAGAGATGAACCTGCCTTTGAGAGTTCAGGTTCGAAACACTCTTTCTGTAGAATCTGCAAGTGGATATTTGGACCACTGGCTGGCCTTCGTTCGAAACGGGTATATGTTCACGTAAAAACTAAAGAGAAGCGTTCCCAGAAACTTCTGAGTGATGATTGCATTCAAGTCACACAGTTGAACCCTCCTTTTGATTGAGCAGTTTTGAAACTGTCTTTTTGTAGAATCTGTAAGTGGATGCGTGGACCTCTTTGAAGATTTCTTTGGAAACGGGAATATTTCCACAGAAAAAGTAAACTGAAGCATTCTCTGAAACTGCTTTGTGATGTTTGTGTTCGAGCCGCAGAGTTTAACATTGCTTTTCATAGAGCAGTTTTGAAATATTCTTTTGGCAGAATCTGCAAGTGGACATTTGGAGCGCTTTCAGGCCTGTGGTGGAAAAGGCCTGAAAGCATTTTCCTTTATCTTCATAGAAAGACGAGAGAGAAGCATTGTCAGAAACTTCTTTGTGATGATTGCATTCAACTCACAGAGTTGAAGATTCCTTTTGAAACAGCAGTTTCGAAACACTCTTTCTGTGGGATCCGCAAGGGGATATTTGGACTTCTTTGAAGATTTCGTTGGAAACGGGATAATCTTCACCTAAAAGCTAAACGGAAGCATTCTCAGAAACTTCGTTGGGATGTTTGTATTCACCTCACAGAGTTGAACTTTCCCTTTGATAGCGCAGCTTCGACACTCTTTTTCTACAATGTGCAAGTGGCTATTTAGCGGGCTTGGAGGACTGTGTTGGAAAAGGAAATATCTTCTCCTAAAAACGACATAGAAGCATTCTCAGAAACTGCTCTGTGATGATTGCATTCAACTCCCAGAGTTGAACATTCCTTTTGATAGAGCAGTTTGCAAACACTCTTTTTGTAGAATCTGCAAGTGGAGATTTGGACCGCTTTGAGGACTGGGGTAGTAAAGGAAAGAGCTTCATATAAAAACCAGACGGTAGCACTCTCAGAAAATTCTTTGTGACGATGGAGTTTAACTCAGGGAGCTGAACATTCGTTATGATGGAGCAGTTTCCAAACACACGTTTTGTAGAATCTGCAAGGGGATATTTGGACCTCTCTGAGGATTTCGCTGGAAACGGGATCAACTTCCCATAACTGAACGGAAGCAAACTCAGAACATTCTTTGTGATGTTTGTATTCAACTCACAGAGTTGAACCTTCCTTTGATAGTTCAGGTTTGCAACACCCTTGTAGTAGAATCTGCAAGTGTATATTTTGACCACTTTGTAGCCTTCGTTTGAAACGTCTATATCTTCACATCAAACCTAGACAGAAGCATTCTCAGAAAGTTTTCTGCGATGACTGCATTCAACTCACAGAGTTGAACAATCCTTCTGATGGAGCAGTTTTGAAACCCTCTTTCTTTGGAATCTGCAAGGGGATATGTGGACCTCTTTGAAGATTTCACTGGAAACGGGATCATCTTCACATAAAAACTAAACAGAAGCATTCTCGGAAACTACTTTGTGATGTTTGTATTCAACTCCCAGAGTTGAACTTTCCTTTTGAAAGAGCAGCTATGAAACACTCTTTTTCGAGAATCTGCAAGTGGACGTTTGGAGGGCTTTGAGGCCTGTGGTGGAAAAGGAAATATCTTCACATAAAAACTAGATAGAAGCATTCTCAGAAACTACTTTGTGAGGATGGCATTCAACTCATGGAGTTGAACAATCCTATTGATAGAGCAGATTGGAATCACTCTTTTTGTAGAATCTGCAAATGGAGATTTGGACTGCTTTGAGGCCTACGGTCGTATAGGAAGGAACTTCATATAAAAGGCAAACGGAAGCATTCTCAGAATATTCTTTGTGATGATGGAGTTTCACTCACAGAGCTGAACATGCCTTTTGATGGAGCAGTTTCCAAATACACTTTTGGTAGAATCTGCAGGTGGATATTTGGAGCTCTCTGAGGATTTCGTTGGAAACGGGAATAATTTCCCATAACTAAACACAAAAACACTCTGAGAAAGTTCTTCATGATGAATGCATTTAACTCGCCAGAGATGAACCTGCCTTTGAGAGTTCAGGTTCGAAACACTCTTTCTGTAGAATCTGCAAGTGGATATTTGGACCACTGGGTGGCCTTCGTTCGAAACGGGTATATGTTCACGTAAAAACTAAAGAGAAGCATTCTCAGAAACTTCTGAGTGATGATTGCATTCAAGTCACACAGTTGAACCCTCCTTTTGATGGAGCAGTTTTGAAACTGTCTTTTTGTAGAATCTGTAAGTGGATACGTGGACCTCTTTGAAGATTTCTTTGGAAACGGGAATATTTCCACAGAAAAACTAAACTGAAACATTCTCAGAAACCGCTTTGTGATGTTTGTGTTCCAGCCACAGAGTTTAACATTGCTTTTCATAGAGCAGTTTTGAAATATTCTTTTGGCAGAATCTGCAAGTGGACATTTGGAGCGCTTTCAGGCCTGTGGTGGAAAAGGCCTGAAAGCCTTTTCCTTTATCTTCACAGAAAGACGAGAGAGAAGCATTGTCAGAAACTTCTTTGTGATGATTGCATTCAACTCACAGAGTTGAAGATTCCTTTTGAAACAGCAGTTTCGAAACACTCTTTCTGTGGGATCCGCAAGGGGATATTTGGACCTCTTTGAAGGTTTCGTTGGAAACGGGATAATCTTCACCTAAAAGCTAAACGGAAGCATTCTCAGAAACTTCTTTGGGATGTTTGCATTCACCTCACAGAGTTGAAATTTCCCTTTGATAGCGCAGCTTTGACACACTTTTTCTACAATGTGCAAGTGGCTATTTAGCGGGCTTGGAGGACTGTGTTGGAAAAGGAAATATCTTCTCCTAAAAACGACATAGAAGCATTCTCAGAAACTGCTCTGTGATGATTGCATTCAACTCCCAGAGTTGAACATTCCTTTTGATAGAGCAGTTTGCAAACACTCTTTTTGTAGAATCTGCAAGTGGAGATTTGGACCGCTTTGAGGCCTGTGGTAGTGAAGGAAAGAACTTCATATAAAAACCAGACGGTAGCACTCTCAGAAAATTCTTTGTGACGATGGAGTTTAACTCAGGGAGCTGAACATTCGTTATGATGGAGCAGTTTCCAAACACACGTTTTGTAGAATCTGCGAGGGGATATTTGGACCTCTCTGAGGATTTCGTTGGAAACGGGATCAACTTCCCATAACTGAACGGAAGCAAACTCAGAACATTCTTTGTGATGTTTGTATTCAATTCACAGAGTTGAACCTTCCTTTGATAGTTCAGGTTTGCAACACCCTTGTAGTAGAATCTGCAAGTGTATATTTTGACCACTTTGTAGCCTTCGTTTGAAACGTCTATATCTTCACATCAAACCTAGACAGAAGCATTCTCAGAAAGTTTTCTGCGATGAGTGCATTCAACTCACAGAGTTGAACAATCCTTTTGATGGAGCAGTTTTGAAACCCTCTTTCTTTGGAATCTGCAAGAGGATATGTGGACCTCTTTGAAGATTTCACTGGAAACGGGATCATCTTCACATAAGAACTAAACAGAAGCATTCTCGGAAACTATTTTGTGATGTTTGTATTCAACTCCCAGAGTTGAACTTTCCTTTTGAAAGAGCAGCTATGAAACACTCTTTTTCGAGAATCTGCAAGTGGACGTTTGGAGGGCTTTGAGGCCTGTGGTGGAAAAGGAAATATCTTCACACAAAAACCAGATAGAAGCATTCTCAGAAACGACTTTGTGAGGATGGCATTCAACTCATGGAGTTGAACAATCCTATTGATAGAGCAGATTGGAATCACTCTTTTTGTAGAATCTGCAAATGGAGATTTGGACTGCTTTGAGGCCTACGGTCGTATAGGAAGGAACTTCATATAAAAGGCAAACGGGAAGCATTCTCAGAATATTCTTTGTGATGATGGAGTTTCACTCACAGAGCTGAACATGCCTTTTGATGGAGCAGTTTCCAAATACACTTTTGGTAGAATCTGCAGGTGGATATTTGGAGCTCTCTGAGGATTTCGTTGGAAACGGGAATAATTTCCCATAACTAAACACAAACACTCTGAGAAAGTTCTTCATGATGAATGCATTTAACTCGCAGAGATGAACCTGCCTTTGAGAGTTCAGGTTCGAAACACTCTTTCTGTAGAATCTGCAAGTGGATATTTGGACCACTGGCTGGCCTTCGTTCGAAACGGGTATATGTTCACGTAAAAACTAAAGAGAAGCATTCTCAGAAACTTCTGAGTGATGATTGCATTCAAGTCACACAGTTGAACCCTCCTTTTGATGGAGCAGTTTTGAAACTGTCTTTTTGTAGAATCTGTAAGTGGATACGTGGACCTCTTTGAAGATTTCTTTGGAAACGGGAATATTTCCACAGAAAAACTAAACTGAAGCATTCTCAGAAACCGCTTTGTGATGTTTGTGTTCGAGCCACAGAGTTTAACTTTGCTTTTCATAGAGCAGTTTTGAAATATTCTTTTCGCAGAATCTGCAAGTGGACATTTGGAGCGCTTTCAGGCCTGTGGTGGAAAAGGCCTGAAAGCCTTTTCCTTTATCTTCACAGAAAGACGAGAGAGAAGCATTGTCAGAAACTTCTTTGTGATGATTGCATTCAACTCACAGAGTTGAAGATTCCTTTTGAAACAGCAGTTTCGAAACACTCTTTCTGTGGGATCCGCAAGGGGATATTTGGACCTCTTTGAAGGTTTCGTTGGAAACGGGATAATCTTCACCTAAAAGCTAAACGGAAGCATTCTCAGAAACTTCTTTGGGATGTTTGCATTCACCTCACAGAGTTGAACTTTCCCTTTGATAGCGCAGCTTTGACACACTTTTTCTACAATGTGCAAGTGGCTATTTAGCGGGCTTGGAGGACTGTGTTGGAAAAGGAAATATCTTCTCCTAAAAACGACATAGAAGCATTCTCAGAAACTGCTCTGTGATGATTGCATTCAACTCCCAGAGTTGAACATTCCTTTTGATAGAGCAGTTTGCAAACACTCTTTTTGTAGAATCTGCAAGTGGAGATTTAGACCGCTTTGAGGCCTGTGGTAGTGAAGGAAAGAACTTCATATAAAAACCAGACGGTAGCACTCTCAGAAAATTCTTTGTGACGATGTAGTTTAACTCAGGGAGCTGAACATTCGTTATGATGGAGCAGTTTCCAAACACACGTTTTGTAGAATCTGCGAGGGGATATTTGGACCTCTCTGAGGATTTCGTTGGAAACGGGATCAACTTCCCATAACTGAACGGAAGCAAACTCAGAACATTCTTTGTGATGTTTGAATTCAACTCACAGAGTTGAACCTTCCTTTGATAGTTCAGGTTTGCAACACCCTTGTAGTAGAATCTGCAAGTGTATATTTTGACCACTTTGTAGCCTTCGTTTGAAACGTCTATATCTTCACATCAAACCTAGACAGAAGCATTCTCAGAAAGTTTTCTGCGATGACTGCATTCAACTCACAGAGTTGAACAATCCTTCTGATGGAGCAGTTTTGAAACCCTCTTTCTTTGGAATCTGCAAGGGAATATGTGGACCTCTTTGAAGATTTCACTGGAAACGGGATCATCTTCACATAAAAACTAAACAGAAGCATTCTCGGAAACTACTTTGTGATGTTTGTATTCAACTCCCAGAGTTGAACTTTCCTTTTGAAAGAGCAGCTATGAAACACTCTTTTTCGAGAATCTGCAAGTGGACGTTTGGAGGGCTTTGAGGCCTGTGGTGGAAAAGGAAATATCTTCACACAAAAACCAGATAGAAGCATTCTCAGAAACTACTTTGTGAGGATGGCATTCAACTCATGGAGTTGAACAATCCTATTGATAGAGCAGATTGGAATCACTCTTTTCATAGAATCTGCAAATGGAGATTTGGACTGCTTTGAGGCCTACGGTAGTACAGGAAGGAACTTCAAATAAAAGGCAAACGGAAGCATTCTCAGAATATTCTTTGTGATGATGGAGTTTCACTCACAGAGCTGAACATGCCTTTTGATGGAGCAGTTTCCAAATACACTTTTGGTAGAATCAGCAGGTGGATATTTGGAGCTCTCTGAGGATTTCGTTGGAAACGGGAATAATTTCCCATAACTAAACACAAACACTCTGAGAAAGTTCTTCATGATGAATGCATTTAACTCGCAGAGATGAACCTGCCTTTGAGAGTTCAGGTTCGAAACACTCTTTCTGTATAATCTGCAAGTGGATATTTGGACCACTGGGTGGCCTTCGTTCGAAACGGGTATATGTTCACGTAAAAACTAAAGAGAAGCATTCTCAGAAACTTCTGAGTGATGATTGCATTCAAGTCACACAGTTGAACCCTCCTTTTGATGGAGCAGTTTTGAAACTGTCTTTTTGTAGAATCTGTAAGTGGATACGTGGACCTCTTTGAAGATTTCTTTGGAAACGGGAATATTTCCACAGAAAAACTAAACTGAAACATTCTCAGAAACCGCTTTGTGATGTTTGTGTTCCAGCCACAGAGTTTAACATTGCTTTTCATAGAGCAGTTTTGAAATATTCTTTTGGCAGAATCTGCAAGTGGACATTTGGAGCGCTTTCAGGCCTGTGGTGGAAAAGGCCTGAAAGCCTTTTCCTTTATCTTCACAGAAAGACGAGAGAGAAGCATTGTCAGAAACTTCTTTGTGATGATTGCATTCAACTCACAGAGTTGAAGATTCCTTTTGAAACAGCAGTTTCGAAACACTCTTTCTGTGGGATCCGCAAGGGGATATTTGGACCTCTTTGAAGGTTTCGTTGGAAACGGGATAATCTTCACCTAAAAGCTAAACGGAAGCATTCTCAGAAACTTCTTTGGGATGTTTGCATTCACCTCACAGAGTTGAACTTTCCCTTTGATAGCGCAGCTTTGACACACTTTTTCTACAATGTGCAAGTGGCTATTTAGCGGGCTTGGAGGACTGTGTTGGAAAAGGAAATATCTTCTCCTAAAAACGACATAGAAGCATTCTCAGAAACTGCTCTGTGATGATTGCATTCAACTCCCAGTGTTGAACATTCCTTTTGATAGAGCAGTTTGCAAACACTCTTTTTGTAGAATCTGCAAGTGGAGATTTGGACCGCTTTGAGGCCTGTGGTAGTGAAGGAAAGAACTTCATATAAAAACCAGACGGTAGCACTCTCAGAAAATTCTTTGTGACGATGGAGTTTAACTCAGGGAGCTGAACATTCGTTATGATGGAGCAGTTTCCCAACACACGTTTTGTAGAATCTGCAAGGGGATATTTGGACCTCTCTGAGGATTTCGTTGGAAACGGGATCAACTTCCCATAACTGGACGGAAGCAAACTCAGAACATTCTTTGTGATGTTTGTATTCAATTCACAGAGTTGAACCTTCCTTTGATAGTTCAGGTTTGCAACACCCTTGTAGTAGAATCTGCAAGTGTATATTTTGACCACTTTGTAGCCTTCGTTTGAAACGTCTATATCTTCACATCAAACCTAGACAGAAGCATTCTCAGAAAGTTTTCTGTGATGACTGCATTCAACTCACAGATTGGAACAATCCTTTTGATGGAGCAGTTTTGAAACCCTCTTTCTTTGGAATCTGCAAGTGGTATGTGGAACTCCTTGAAGATTTCACTGGAAACGTGATCATCTTCACATAAAAACTAAACAGAAAGCATTCTCGGAACTACTTTGTGATGTTTGTATTCAACTCCCAGAGTTGAACTTTCCTTTTGAAAGAGCAGCTATGAAACACTCTTTTTCGAGAATCTGCAAGTGGACGTTTGGAGGGCTTTGAGGCCTGTGGTGGAAAAGGAAATATCTTCACATAAAAACTAGATAGAGCATTCTCAGAAACGACTTTGTGAGGATGGCATTCAACTCATGGAGTTGAACAGTCCTATTGATAGAGCAGATTGGAATCACTCTTTTTGTAGAATCTGCAAATGGAGATTTGGACTGCTTTGAGGCCTACGGTCGTATAGGAAGGAACTTCATATAAAAGGCAAACGGAAGCATTCTCAGAATATTCTTTGTGATGATGGAGTTTCACTCACAGAGCTGAACATGCCTTTTGATGGAGCAGTTTCCAAATACACTTTTGGTAGAATCTGCAGGTGGATATTTGGAGCTCTCTGAGGATTTCGTTGGAAACGGGAATAATTTCCCATAACTAAACACAAACACTCTGAGAAAGTTCTTCATGATGAATGCATTTAACTCGCAGAGATGAACCTGCCTTTGAGAGTTCAGGTTCGAAACACTCTTTCTGTAGAATCTGCAAGTGGATATTTGGACCACTGGGTGGCCTTCGTTCGAAACGGGTATATGTTCACGTAAAAACTAAAGAGAAGCATTCTCAGAAACTTCTGAGTGATGATTGCATTCAAGTCACACAGTTGAACCCTCCTTTTGATGGAGCAGTTTTGAAACTGTCTTTTTGTAGAATCTGTAAGTGGATACGTGGACCTCTTTGAAGATTTCTTTGGAAACGGGAATATTTCCACAGAAAAACTAAACTGAAGCATTCTCAGAAACTGCTTTGTGATGTTTGTGTTCGAGCCACAGAGTTTAACATTGCTTTTCATAGAGCAGTTTTGAAATATTCTTTTGGCAGAATCTGCAAGTGGACATTTGGAGCGCTTTCAGGCCTGTGGTGGAAAAGGCCTGAAAGCCTTTTCCTTTATCTTCACAGGAAGACGAGAGAGAAGCATTGTCAGAAACTTCTTTGTGATGATTGCATTCAACTCACAGAGTTGAAGATTCCTTTTGAAACAGCAGTTTCGAAACACTCTTTCTGTGGGATCCGCAAGGGGATATTTGGACCTCTTTGAAGGTTTCGTTGGAAACGGGATAATCTTCACCTAAAAGCTAAACGGAAGCATTCTCAGAAACTTCTTTGGGATGTTTGCATTCACCTCTCAGAGTTGAACTTTCCCTTTGATAGCGCAGCTTTGACACACTTTTTCTACAATGTGCAAGTGGCTATTTAGCGGGCTTGGAGGACTGTGTTGGAAAAGGAAATATCTTCTCCTAAAAACGACATAGAAGCATTCTCAGAAACTGCTCTGTGATGATTGCATTCAACTCCCAGAGTTGAACATTCCTTTTGATAGAGCAGTTTGCAAACACTCTTTTTGTAGAATCTGCAAGTGGAGATTTGGACCGCTTTGAGGCCTGTGGTAGTGAAGGAAAGAACTTCATATAAAAACCAGACGGTAGCACTCTCAGAAAATTCTTTGTGACGATGGAGTTTAACTCAGGGAGCTGAACATTCGTTATGATGGAGCAGTTTCCAAACACACGTTTTGTAGAATCTGCGAGGGGATATTTGGACCTCTCTGAGGATTTCGTTGGAAACGGGATCAACTTCCCATAACTGAACGGAAGCAAACTCAGAACATTCTTTGTGATGTTTGTATTCAACTCACAGAGTTGAACCTTCCTTTGATAGTTCAGGTTTGCAACACCCTTGTAGTAGAATCTGCAAGTGTATATTTTGACCACTTTGTAGCCTTCATTTGAAACGTCTATATCTTCACATCAAACCTAGACAGAAGCATTCTCAGAAAGTTTTCTACGATGACTGCATTCAACTCACAGAGTTGAACAATCCTCTGATGGAGCAGTTTTGAAACCCTCTTTCTTTGGAATCTGCAAGGGGATATGTGGACCTCTTTGAAGATTTCACTGGAAACGGGATCATCTTCACATAAAAACTAAACAGAAGCATTCTCGGAAACTATTTTGTGATGTTTGTATTCAACTCCCAGAGTTGAACTTTCCTTTTGAAAGAGCAGCTATGAAACACTCCTTTTCGAGAATCTGCAAGTGGACGTTTGGAGGGCTTTGAGGCCTGTGGTGGAAAAGGAAATATCTTCACACAAAAACCAGATAGAAGCATTCTCAGAAACTACTTTGTGAGGATGGCATTCAACTCATGGAGTTGAACAATCCTATTGATAGAGCAGATTGGAATCACTCTTTTTATAGAATCTGCAAATGGAGATTTGGACTGCTTTGAGGCCTACGGTAGTACAGGAAGGAACTTCATATAAAAGGCAAACGGAAGCATTCTCAGAATATTCTTTGTGATGATGGAGTTTCACTCACAGAGCTGAACATGCCTTTTGATGGAGCAGTTTCCAAATACACTTTTGGTAGAATCTGCAGGTGGATATTTGGAGCTCTCTGAGGATTTCGTTGGAAACGGGAATAATTTCCCATAACTAAACACAAACACTCTGAGAAAGTTCTTCATGATGAATGCATTTAACTCGCAGAGATGAACCTGCCTTTGAGAGTTCAGGTTCGAAACACTCTTTCTGTAGAATCTGCAAGTGGATATTTGGACCACTGGGTGGCCTTCGTTCGAAACGGGTATATGTTCACGTAAAAACTAAAGAGAAGCATTCTCAGAAACTTCTGAGTGATGATTGCATTCAAGTCACACAGTTGAACCCTCCTTTTGATGGAGCAGTTTTGAAACTGTCTTTTTGTAGAATCTGTAAGTGGATACGTGGACCTCTTTGAAGATTTCTTTGGAAACGGGAATATTTCCACAGAAAAACTAAACTGAAGCATTCTCAGAAACTGCTTTGTGATGTTTGTGTTCGAGCCACAGAGTTTAACATTGCTTTTCATAGAGCAGTTTTGAAATATTCTTTTCGCAGAATCTGCAAGTGGACATTTGGAGCGCTTTCAGGCCTGTGGTGGAAAAGGCCTGAAAGCCTTTTCTTTATCTTCACAGAAAGACGAGAGAGAAGCATTGTCAGAAACTTCTTTGTGATGATTGCATTCAACTCACAGAGTTGAAGATTCCTTTTGAAACAGCAGTTTCGAAACACTCTTTCTGTGGGATCCGCAAGGGGATATTTGCACCTCTTTGAAGGTTTCGTTGGAAACGGGATAATCTTCACCTAAAAGCTAAACGGAAGCATTCTCAGAAACTTCTTTGGGATGTTTGCATTCACCTCACAGAGTTGAACTTTCCCTTTGATAGCGCAGCTTTGACACACTTTTTCTACAATGTGCAAGTGGCTATTTAGCGGGCTAGGAGGACTGTGTTGGAAAAGGAAATATCTTCTCCTAAAAACGACATAGAAGCATTCTCAGAAACTGCTCTGTGATGATTGCATTCAACTCCCAGAGTTGAACATTCCTTTTGATAGAGCAGTTTGCAAACACTCTTTTTGTAGAATCTGCAAGTGGAGATTTGGACCGCTTTGAGGCCTGTGGTAGTGAAGGAAAGAACTTCATATAAAAACCAGACGGTAGCACTCTCAGAAAATTCTTTGTGACGATGGAGTTTAACTCAGGGAGCTGAACATTCGTTATGATGGAGCAGTTTCCAAACACACGTTTTGTAGAATCTGCAAGGGGATATTTGGACCTCTCTGAGGATTTCGTTGGAAACGGGATCAACTTCCCATAACTGAACGGAAGCAAACTCAGAACATTCTTTGTGATGTTTGTATTCAATTCACAGAGTTGAACCTTCCTTTGATAGTTCACGTTTGCAACACCCTTGTAGTAGAATCTGCAAGTGTATATTTTGACCACTTTGTAGCCTTCGTTTGAAACGTCTATATCTTCACATCAAACCTAGACAGAAGCATTCTCAGAAAGTTTTCTGCGATGACTGCATTCAACTCACAGAGTTGAACAATCCTTCTGATGGAGCAGTTTTGAAACCCTCTTTCTTTGGAATCTGCAAGGGGATATGTGGACCTCTTTGAAGATTTCACTGGAAACGGGATCATCTTCACATAAAAACTAAACAGAAGCATTCTCGGAAACTACTTTGTGATGTTTGTATTCAACTCCCAGAGTTGAACTTTCCTTTTGAAAGAGCAGCTATGAAACACTCTTTTTCGAGAATCTGCAAGTGGACGTTTGGAGGGCTTTGAGGCCTGTGGTGGAAAAGGAAATATCTTCACATAAAAACTAGATAGAAGCATTCTCAGAAACGACTTTGTGAGGATGGCATTCAACTCATGGAGTTGAACAATCCTATTGATAGAGCAGATTGGAATCACTCTTTTTGTAGAATCTGCAAATGGAGATTTGGACTGCTTTGAGGCCTACGGTCGTATAGGAAGGAACTTCATATAAAAGGCAAACGGAAGCATTCTCAGAATATTCTTTGTGATGATGGAGTTTCACTCACAGAGCTGAACATGCCTTTTGATGGAGCAGTTTCCAAATACACTTTTGGTAGAATCTGCAGGTGGATATTTGGACCTCTCTGAGGATTTCGTTGGAAACGGGAATAATTTCCCATAACTAAACACAAACACTCTGAGAAAGTTCTTCATGATGAATGCATTTAACTCGCAGAGATGAACCTGCCTTTGAGAGTTCAGGTTCGAAACACTCTTTCTGTAGAATCTGCAAGTGGATATTTGGACCACTGGCTGGCCTTCGTTCGAAACGGGTATATGTTCACGTAAAAACTAAAGAGAAGCATTCTCAGAAACTTCTGAGTGATGATTGCATTCAAGTCACACAGTTGAACCCTCCTTTTGATGGAGCAGTTTTGAAACTGTCTTTTTGTAGAATCTGTAAGTGGATACGTGGACCTCTTTGAAGATTTCTTTGGAAACGGGAATATTTCCACAGAAAAACTAAACTGAAGCATTCTCAGAAACCGCTTTGTGATGTTTGTGTTCGAGCCACAGAGTTTAACATTGCTTTTCATAGAGCAGTTTTGAAATATTCTTTTGGCAGAATCTGCAAGTGGACATTTGGAGCGCTTTCAGGCCTGTGGTGGAAAAGGCCTGAAAGCCTTTTCCATTATCTTCACAGAAAGACGAGAGAGAAGCATGTCAGAAACTTCTTTGCGATGATTGCATTCAACTCACAGAGTTGAAGATTCCTTTTGAAACAGCAGTTTCGAAACACTCTTTCTGTGGGATCCGCAAGGGGATATTTGGACCTCTTTGAAGGTTTCGTTGGAAACGGGATAATCTTCACCTAAAAGCTAAACGGAAGCATTCTCAGAAACTTCTTTGGGATGTTTGCATTCACCTCACAGAGTTGAACTTTCCCTTTGATAGCGCAGCTTTGACACACTTTTTCTACAATGTGCAAGTGGCTATTTAGCTGGCTTGGAGGACTGTGTTGGAAAAGGAAATATCTTCTCCTAAAAACGACATAGAAGCATTCTCAGAAACTGCGCTGTGATGATTGCATTCAACTCCCAGAGTTGAACATTCCTTTTGATAGAGCAGTTTGCAAACACTCTTTTTGTAGAATCTGCAAGTGGAGATTTGGACCGCTTTGAGGCCTGCGGTAGTAAAGGAAAGAACTTCATATAAAAACCAGACGGTAGCACTCTCAGAAAATTCTTTGTGACGATGGAGTTTAACTCAGGGAGCTGAACATTCGTTATGATGGAGCAGTTTCCAAACACACGTTTTGTAGAATCTGCAAGGGGATATTTGGACCTCTCTGAGGATTTCGTTGGAAACGGGATCAACTTCCCATAACTGAATGGAAGCAAACTCAGAACATTCTTTGTGATGTTTGTATTCAACTCACAGAGTTGAACCTTCCTTTGATAGTTCAGGTTTGCAACACCCTTGTAGTAGAATCTGCAAGTGTATATTTTGACCACTTTGTAGCCTTCATTTGAAACGTCTATATCTTCACATCAAACCTAGACAGAAGCATTCTCAGAAAGTTTTCTGCGATGACTGCATTCAACTCACAGAGTTGAACAATCCTTCTGATGGAGCAGTTTTGAAACCCTCTTTCTTTGGAATCTGCAAGGGGATATGTGGACCTCTTTGAAGATTTCACTGGAAACGGGATCATCTTCACATAAAAACTAAACAGAAGCATTCTCGGAAACTATTTTGTGATGTTTGTATTCAACTCCCAGAGTTGAACTTTCCTTTTGAAAGAGCAGCTATGAAACACTCTTTTTCGAGAATCTGCAAGTGGACGTTTGGAGGGCTTTGAGGCCTGTGGTGGAAAAGGAAATATCTTCACACAAAAACCAGATAGAAGCATTCTCAGAAACTGCTTTGTGAGGATGGCATTCAACTCATGGAGTTGAACAATCCTATTGATAGAGCAGATTGGAATCACTCTTTTTGTAGAATCTGCAAATGGAGATTTGGACTGCTTTGAGGCCTACGGTAGTACAGGAAGGAACTTCATATAAAACGCAAACGGAAGCATTCTCAGAATATTCTTTGTGATGATGGAGTTTCACTCACAGAGCTGAACATGCCTTTTGATGGAGCAGTTTCCAAATACACTTTTGGTAGAATCTGTAGGTGGATATTTGGAGCTCTCTGAGGATTTCGTTGGAAACGGGAATAATTTCCCATAACTAAACACAAACACTCTGAGAAAGTTCTTCATGATGAATGCATTTAACTCGCAGAGATGAACCTGCCTTTGAGAGTTCAGGTTCGAAACACTCTTTCTGTATAATCTGCAAGTGGATATTTGGACCACTGGGTGGCCTTCGTTCGAAACGGGTATATGTTCACGTAAAAACTAAAGAGAAGCATTCTCAGAAACTTCTGAGTGATGATTGCATTCAAGTCACACGGTTGAACCCTCCTTTTGATGGAGCAGTTTTGAAACTGTCTTTTTGTAGAATCTGTAAGTGGATACGTGGACCTCTTTGAAGATTTCTTTGGAAACGGGAATATTTCCACAGAAAAACTAAACTGAAGCATTCTCAGAAACCGCTTTGTGATGTTTGTGTTCGAGCCACAGAGTTTAACATTGCTTTTCATAGAGCAGTTTTGAAATATTCTTTTCGCAGAATCTGCAAGTGGACATTTGGAGCGCTTTCAGGCCTGTGGTGGAAAAGGCCTGAAAGCCTTTTCCTTTATCTTCACAGAAAGACGAGAGAGAAGCATTGTCAGAAACTTCTTTGTGATGATTGCATTCAACTCACAGAGTTGAAGATTCCTTTTGAAACAGCAGTTTCGAAACACTCTTTCTGTGGGATCCGCAAGGGGATATTTGCACCTCTTTGAAGGTTTCGTTGGAAACGGGATAATCTTCACCTAAAAGCTAAACGGAAGCATTCTCAGAAACTTCTTTGGGATGTTTGCATTCACCTCACAGAGTTGAACTTTCCCTTTGATAGCGCAGCTTCGACACACTTTTTCTACAATGTGCAAGTGGCTATTTAGCGGGCTTGGAGGACTGTGTTGGAAAAGGAAATATCTTCTCCTAAAAACGACATAGAAGCATTCTCAGAAACTGCTCTGTGATGATTGCATTCAACTCCCAGAGTTGAACATTCCTTTTGATAGAGCAGTTTGCAAACACTCTTTTTGTAGAATCTGGAGGTGGAGATTTGGACCGCTTTGAGGTCTGTGGTAGTGAAGGAAAGAGCTTCATATAAAAACCAGACGGTAGCACTCTCAGAAAATTCTTTGTGACGATGGAGTTTAACTCAGGGAGCTGAACATTCGTTATGATGGAGCAGTTTCCAAACACACGTTTTGTAGAATCTGCAAGGGGATATTTGGACCTCTCTGAGGATTTGGTTGGAAACGGGATCAACTTCCCATAACTGAACGGAAGCAAACTCAGAACATTCTTTGTGATGTTTGTATTCAACTCACAGAGTTGAACCTTCCATTGATAGTTCAGGTTTGCAACACCCTTGTAGTAGAATCTGCAAGTGTATATTTTGACCACTTTGTAGCCTTCGTTTGAAACGTCTATATCTTCACATCAAACCTAGACAGAAGCATTCTCAGAAAGTTTTCTGCGATGACTGCATTCAACTCACAGAGTTGAACAATCCTTCTGATGGAGCAGTTTTGAAACCCTCTTTCTTTGGAATCTGCAAGGGGATATGTGGACCTCTTTGAAGATTTCACTGGAAACGGGATCATCTTCACATAAAAACTAAACAGAAGCATTCTCGGAAACTACTTTGTGATGTTTGTATTCAACTCCCAGAGTTGAACTTTCCTTTTGAAAGAGCAGCTATGAAACACTCTTTTTCGAGAATCTGAAAGTGGACGTTTGGAGGGCTTTGAGGCCTGTGGTGGAAAAGGAAATATCTTCACATAAAAACTAGATAGAAGCATTCTCAGAAACGACATTGTGAGGATGGCATTCAACACATGGAGTTGAACAATCCTATTGATAGAGCAGATTGGAATCACTCTTTTTGTAGAATCTGCAAATGGAGATTTGGACTGCTTTGAGGCCTACGGTAGTATAGGAAGGAACTTCATATAAAAGGCAAACGGAAGCATTCTCAGAATATTCTTTGTGATGATGGAGTTTCACTCACAGAGCTGAACATGCCTTTTGATGGAGCAGTTTCCAAATACACTTTTGGTAGAATCTGCAGGTGGATATTTGGAGCTCTCTGAGGATTTCGTTGGAAACGGGAATAATTTCCCATAACTAAGCACAAACACGCTGAGAATGTTCTTCATGATGAATGCATTTAACTCGCAGAGATGAACCTGCCTTTGAGAGTTCAGGTTCGAAACACTCTTTCTGTAGAATCTGCAAGTGGATATTTGGACCACTGGGTGGCCTTCGTTCGAAACGGGTATATGTTCACGTAAAAACTAAAGAGAAGCATTCTCAGAAACTTCTGAATGATGATTGCATTCAAGTCACACGGTTGAACCCTCCTTTTGATGGAGCAGTTTTGAAACTGTCTTTTTGTAGAATCTGTAAGTGGATACGTGGACCTCTTTGAAGATTTCTTTGGAAACGGGAATATTTCCACAGAAAAACTAAACTGAAGCATTCTCAGAAACTGCTTTGTGATGTTTGTGTTCGAGCCACAGAGTTTAACATTGCTTTTCATAGAGCAGTTTTGAAATATTCTTTTGGCAGAATCTGCAAGTGGACATTTGGAGCGCTTTCAGGCCTGTGGTGGAAAAGGCCTGAAAGCCTTTTCCTTTATCTTCACAGAAAGACGAGAGAGAAGCATTGTCAGAAACTTCTTTGTGATGATTGCATTCAACTCACAGAGTTGAAGATTCCTTTTGAAACAGCAGTTTCGAAACACTCTTTCTGTGGGATCCGCAAGGGGATATTTGGACCTCTTTGAAGCTTTCGTTGGAAACGGGATAATCTTCACCTAAAAGCTAAACGGAAGCACTCTCAGAAACTTCTTTGGGATGTTTGCATTCACCTCACAGAGTTGAACTTTCCCTTTGATAGCGCAGCTTTGACACACTTTTTCTACAATGTGCAAGTGGATATTTAGCGGGCGTGGAGGACTGTGTTGGAAAAGGAAATATCTTCTCCTAAAAACGACATAGAAGCATTCTCAGAAACTGCTCTGTGATGATTGCATTCAACTCCCAGGGTTGAACATTCCTTTTGATAGAGCAGTTTGCAAACACTCTTTTTGTAGAATCTGCAAGTGGAGATTTGGACCGCTTTGAGGCCTATGGTAGTAAAGGAAAGAACTTCATATAAAAACCAGACGGTAGCACTCTCAGAAAATTCTTTGTGACGATGGAGTTTAACTCAGGGAGCTGAACATTCGTTATGATGGAGCAGTTTACAAACACACGTTTTGTAGAATCTGCAAGGGGATATTTGGACCTCTCTGAGGATTTCGTTGGAAACGGGATCAACTTCCCATAACTGAACGGAAGCAAACTCAGAACATTCTTTGTGATGTTTGTATTCAACTCACAGAGTTGAACCTTCCTTTGATAGTTCAGGTTTGCAACACCCTTGTAGTAGAATCTGCAAGTGTATATTTTGACCACTTTGTAGCCTTCGTTTGAAACGTCTATATCTTCACATCAAACCTAGAAAGAAGCATTCTCAGAAAGTTTTCTGCGATGACTGCATACAACTCATAGAGTTGAGTAATCCTTTTGATGGAGCAGTTTTGAAACCCTCTTTCTTTGGAATCTGCAAGGGGATATGTGGACCTCTTTCAAGATTTCACTGGAAACGGGATCATCTTCACATAAGAACTAAACAGAAGCATTCTCGGAAACTACTTTGTGATGTTTGTATTCAACTCCCAGAGTTGAACTTTCCTTTTGAAAGAGCAGCTATGAAACACTCTTTTTCGAGAATCTGCAAGTGGACGTTTGGAGGGCTTTGAGGCCTGTGGTGGAAAAGGAAATATCTTCACATAAAAACTAGATAGAAGCATTCTCAGAAACGACTTTGTGAGGATGGCATTCAACTCATGGAGTTGAACAATCCTATTGATAGAGCAGATTGGAATCACTCTTTTTGTAGAATCTGCAAAGGGAGATTTGGACTGCTTTGAGGCCTACGGTAGTATAGGAAGGAACTTCATATAAAAGGCAAACGGACGCATTCTCAGAATATTCTTTGTGATGATGGAGTTTCACTCACAGAGCTGAACATGCCTTTTGATGGAGCAGTTTCCAAATACACTTCTGGTAGAATCTGCAGGTGGATATTTGGAGCTCTCTGAGGATTTCGTTGGATAAGGGAATAATTTCCCATAACTAAACACAAACACGCTGAGAATGTTCTTCATGATGAATGCATTTAACTCGCAGAGATGAACCTGCCTTTGAGAGTTCAGGTTCGAAACACTCTTTCTGTAGAATCTGCAAGTGGATATTTGGACCACTGGGTGGCCTTCGTTCGAAACGGGTATATGTTCACGTAAAAACTAAAGAGAAGCATTCTCAGAAACTTCTGAGTGATGATTGCATTCAAGTCACACAGTTGAACCCTCGTTTTGATTGAGCAGTTTTGAAACTGTGTTTTTGTAGAATCTGTAAGTGGATGCGTGGACCTCTTTGAAGATTTCTTTGGAAACGGGAATATTTCCACAGAAAAACTAAACTGAAGCATTCTCAGAAACTGCTTTGTGATGTTTGTGTTCGAGCCACAGAGTTTAACATTGCTTTTCATAGAGCAGTTTTGAAATATTCTTTTGGCAGAATCTGCAAGTGGACATTTGGAGCGCTTTCAGGCCTGTGGTGGAAAAGGCCTGAAAGCCTTTTCCTTTATCTTCACAGAAAGACGAGAGAGAAGCATTGTCAGAAACTTCTTTGTGATGATTGCATTCAACTCACAGAGTTGAAGATTCCTTTTGAAACAGCAGTTTCGAAACACTCTTTCTGTGGGATCCGCAAGGGGATATTTGGACCTCTTTGAAGATTTCGTTGGAAACGGGATAATCTTCACCTAAAAGCTAAACGGAAGCATTCTCAGAAACTTCTTTGGGATGTTTGCATTCACCTCACAGAGTTGAACTTTCCCTTTGATAGCGCAGCTTCGACACACTTTTTCTACAATGTGCAAGTGGATATTTAGCGGGCTTGGAGGACTGTGTTGGAAAAGGAAATATCTTCTCCTAAAAACGACATAGAAGCATTCTCAGAAACTGCTCTGTGATGATTGCATTCAACTCCCAGAGTTGAACATTCCTTTTGATAGAGCAGTTTGCAAACACTCTTTTTGTAGAATCTGCAAGTGGAGATTTGGACCGCTTTGAGGCCTGTGGTAGTAAAGGAAAGAACTTCATATAAAAAGCAGACGGTAGCACTCTCAGAAAATTCTTTGTGACGATGGAGTTTAACTCAGAGAGCTGAACATTCGTTATGATGGAGCAGTTTCCAAACACACGTTTTGTAGAATCTGCAAGGGGATATTTGGACCTCTCTGAGGATTTCGTTGGAAACGGGATCAACTTCCCATAACTGAACAGAAGCAAACTGAGAACATTCTTTGTGATGTTTGTATTCAACTCACAGAGTTGAACCTTCCTTTGATAGTTGAGGTTTGCAACACCCTTGTAGTAGAATCTGCAAGTGTATATTTTGACCACTTTGTAGCCTTCGTTTGAAACGTCTATATCTTCACCTCAAACCTAGACAGAAGCATTCTCAGAAAGTTTTCTGCGATGACTGCATTCAACTCACAGAGTTGAACAATCCTTTTGATGGAGCAGTTTTGAAACCCTCTTTCTTTGGAATCTGCAAGGGGATATGTGGACCTCTTTGAAGATTTCACTGGAAACGGGATCATCTTCACATAAGAACTAAACAGAAAGCATTCTCGGAAACTACTTTGTGATGTTTGTATTCAACTCCCAGAGTTGAACTTTCCTTTTGAAAGAGCAGCTATGAAACACTCTTTTTCGAGAATCTGAAAGTGGACGTTTGGAGGGCTTTGAGGCCTGTGGTGGAAAAGGAAATATCTTCACATAAAAACTAGATAGAAGCATTCTCAGAAACGACTTTGTGAGGATGGCATTCAACTCATGGAGTTGAACAGTCCTATTGATAGAGGAGATTGGAATCACTCTTTTTGTAGAATCTGCAAATGGAGATTTGGACTGCTTTGAGGCCTACGGTAGTATAGGAAGGAACTTCATATAAAAGGCAAACGGAAGCATTCTCAGAATATTTTGTGTGATGATGGAGTTTCACTCACAGAGCTGAACATGCCTTTTGATGGAGCAGTTTCCAAATACACTTTTGGTAGAATCTGCAGGTGGATATTTGGAGCTCTCTGAGGATTTCGTTGGAAACGGGAATAATTTCCCATAACTAAACACAAACACGCTGAGAAAGTTCTTCATGATGAATGCATTGAACTCGCAGAGATGAACCTGCCTTTGAGAGTTCAGATTCGAAACACTCTTTCTGTAGAATCTGCAAGTGGATATTTGGACCACTGGCTGGCCTTCGTTCGAAACGGGTATATGTTCACGTAAAAACTAAAGAGAAGCGTTCTCAGAAACTTCTGAGTGATGATTGCATTCAAGTCACACAGTTGAACCCTCCTTTTGATTGACCAGTTTTGAAACTGTCTTTTTGTAGAATCTGTAAGTGGATACGTGGACCTCTTTGAAGATTTCTTTGGAAACGGGAATATTTCCACAGAAAAACTAAACTGAAGCATTCTCAGAAACTGCTTTGTGATGTTTGTGTTCGAGCCGCAGAGTTTAACATTGCTTTTCATAGAGCAGTTTTGAAATATTCTTTTGGCAGAATCTGCAAGTGGACATTTGGAGCGCTTTCAGGCCTGTGGTGGAAAAGGCCTGAAAGCCTTTTCCTTTATCTTCACAGAAAGACGAGAGAGAAGCATTGTCAGAAACTTCTTTTTGATGATTGCATTCAACTCACAGAGTTGAAGATTCCTTTTGAAACAGCAGTTTCGAAACACTCTTTCTGTGGGATCCGCAAGGGGATATTTGGACCTCTTTGAAGGTTTCGTTGGAAACGGGATAATCTTCACCTAAAAGCTAAACGGAAGCATTCTCAGAAACTTCTTTGGGATGTTTTCACTCTCCTCACAGAGTTGAACTTTCCCTTTGATAGCGCAGCTTTGACACACTTTTTCTACAATGTGCAAGTGGATATTTAGCGGGCTTGGAGGACTGTGTTGGAAAAGGAAATATCTTCTCCTAAAAACGACATAGAAGCATTCTCAGAAACTGCTCTGTGATGATTGCATTCAACTCCCAGGGTTGAACATTCCTTTTGATAGAGCAGTTTGCAAACACTCTTTTTGTAGAATCTGCAAGTGGAGATTTGGACCGCTTTGAGGCCTGTGGTAGTGAAGGAAAGAGCTTCATATAAAAACCAGACGGTAGCACTCTCAGAAAATTCTTTGTGACGATGGAGTTTAACTCAGGGAGCTGAACATTCGTTATGATGGAGCAGTTTCCAAACACACGTTTTGTAGTATCTGCAAGGGGATATTTGGACCTCTCTGAGGATTTCGTTGGAAACGGGATCAACTTCCCATAACTGAACGGAAGCAAACTCAGAACATTCTTTGTGATGTTTGTATTCAACTCACAGAGTTGAACCTTCCTTTGATAGTTCAGGTTTGCAACACCCTTGTAGTAGAATCTGCAAGTGTATATTTTGACCACTTTGTAGCCTTCGTTTGAAACGTCTATATCTTCACATCAAACCTAGACAGAAGCATTCTCAGAAAGTTTTCTGCGATGACTGCATTCAACTCACAGAGTTGAACAATCCTTCTGATGGAGCAGTTTTGAAACCCTCTTTCTTTGGAATCTGCAAGGGGATATGTGGACCTCTTTGAAGATTTCACTGGAAACGGGATCATCTTCACATAAAAACTAAACAGAAGCATTCTCGGAAACTGTTTTGTGATGTTTGTATTCAACTCCCAGAGTTGAACTTTCCTTTTGAAAGAGCAGCTATGAAACACTCTTTTTCGAGAATCTGCAAGTGGACGTTTGGAGGGCTTTGAGGCCTGTGGTGGAAAAGGAAATATCTTCACACAAAAACCAGATAGAAGCATTCTCAGAAACTACTTTGTGAGGATGGCATTCAACTCATGGAGTTGAACAATCCTATTGATAGAGCAGATTGGAATCACTCTTTTTATAGAATCTGCAAATGGAGATTTGGACTGCTTTGAGGCCTACGGTAGTACAGGAAGGAACTTCATATAAAAGGCAAACGGGAAGCATTCTCAGAATATTCTTTGTGATGACGGAGTTTCACTCACAGAGCTGAACATGCCTTTTCATGGAGCAGTTTCCAAATACACTTTTGGTAGAATCTGCAGGTGGATATTTGGAGCTCTCTGAGGATTTCGTTGGAAACGGGAATAATTTCCCATAACTAAACACAAACACGCTGAGAAAGTTCTTCATGATGAATGCATTGAACTCGCAGAGATGAACCTGCCTTTGAGAGTTCAGGTTCGAAACACTCTTTCTGTAGAATCTGCAAGTGGATATTTGGACCACTGGGTGGCCTTCGTTCGAAACGGCTATATGTTCACGTAAAAACTAAACAGAAGCGTTCTCAGAAACTTCTGAGTGATGATTGCATTCAAGTCACACAGTTGAACCCTCCTTTTGATGGAGCAGTTTTGAAACTGTCTTTTTGTAGAATCTGTAAGTGGATACGTGGACCTCTTTGAAGATTTCTTTCGAAACGGGAATATTTCCACAGAAAAACTAAACTGAAGCATTCTCAGAAACCGCTTTGTGATGTTTGTGTTCGAGCCACAGAGTTTAACATTGCTTTTCATAGAGCAGTTTTGAAATATTCTTTTGGCAGAATCTGCAAGTGGACATTTGGAGCGCTTTCAGGCCTGTGGTGGAAAAGGCCTGAAAGCCTTTTCCTTTATCTTCACAGAAAGACGAGAGAGAAGCATTGTCAGAAACTTCTTTGTGATGATTGCATTCAACTCACAGAGTTGAAGATTCCTTTTGAAACAGCAGTTTCGAAACACTCTTTCTGTGGGATCCGCAAGGGGATATTTGGACCTCTTTGAAGATTTCGTTGGAAACGGGATAATCTTCACCTAAAAGCTAAACGGAAGCATTCTCAGAAACTTCTTTGGGATGTTTGCATTCACCTCACAGAGTTGAACTTTCCCTTTGATAGCGCAGCTTCGACACACTTTTTCTACAATGTGCAAGTGGATATTTAGCGGGCTTGGAGGACTGTGTTGGAAAAGGAAATATCTTCTCCTAAAAACGACATAGAAGCATTCTCAGAAACTGCTCTGTGATGATTGCATTAAACTCCCAGAGTTGAACATTCCTTTTGATAGAGCAGTTTGCAAACACTCTTTTTGTAGAATCTGCCAGTGGAGATTTGGACCGCTTTGAGGCCTGTGGTAGTAAAGGAAAGAACTTCATATAAAAACCAGACGGTAGCACTCTCAGAAAATTCTTTGTGACGATGGAGTTTAACTCAGGGAGCTGAACATTCGTTATGATGGAGCAGTTTCCAAACACACGTTTTGTAGAATCTGCAAGGGGATATTTGGACCTCTCTGAGGATTTCGTTGGAAACGGGATCAACTTCCCATAACTGAACGGAAGCAAACTCAGAACATTCTTTGTGATGTTTGTATTCAACTCACAGAGTTGAACCTTCCTTTGATAGTTCAGGTTTGCAACACCCTTGTAGTACAATCTGCAAGTGTATATTTTGACCACTTTGTAGCCTTCATTTGAAACGTCTATATCTTCACATCAAACCTAGACAGAAGCATTCTCAGAAAGTTTTCTGCGATGACTGCATTCAACTCACAGAGTTGAACAATCCTTCTGATGGAGCAGTTTTGAAACCCTCTTTCTTTGGAATCTGCAAGGGGATATGTGGACCTCTTTGAAGATTTCACTGGAAACGGGATCATCTTCACATAAAAACTAAACAGAAGCATTCTCGGAAACTACTTTGTGATGTTTGTATTCAACTGCCAGAGTTGAACTTTCCTTTTGAAAGAGCAGCTATGAAACACTCTTTTTCGAGAATCTGCAAGTGGACGTTTGGAGGGCTTTGAGGCCTGTGGTGGAAAAGGAAATATCTTCACATAAAAACTAGATAGAAGCATTCTCAGAAACGACTTTGTGAGGATGGCATTCAACTCATGGAGTTGAACAATCCTATTGATAGAGCAGATTGGAATCACTCTTTTTGTAGAATCTGCAAATGGAGATTTGGACTGCTTTGAGGCCTACGGTCGTATAGGAAGGAACTTCAGATAAAAGGCAAACGGAAGCATTCTCAGAATATTCTTTGTGATGATGGAGTTTCACTCACAGAGCTGAACATGCCTTTTGATGGAGCAGTTTCCAAATACACTTTTGGTAGAATCTGCAGGTGGATATTTGGACCACTCTGAGGATTTCGTTGGAAACGGGAATAATTTCCCATAACTAAGCACAAACACTCTGAGAAAGTTCTTCATGATGAATGCATTTAACTCGCAGAGATGAACCTGCCTTTGAGAGTTCAGGTTCGAAACACTCTTTCTGTAGAATCTGCAAGTGGATATTTGGACCACTGTGTGGCCTTCGTTCTAAACGGGTATATGTTCACGTAAAAACTAAAGAGAAGCATTCTCAGAAACTTCTGAGTGATGATTGCATTCAAGTCACACAGTTGAACCCTCCTTTTGATGGAGCAGTTTTGAAACTGTCTTTTTGTAGAATCTGTAAGTGGATACGTGGACCTCTTTGAAGATTTCTTTGGAAACGGGAATATTTCCACAGAAAAACTAAACTGAAGCATTCTCAGAAACCGCTTTGTGATGTTTGTGTTCGAGCCACAGAGTTTAACATTGCTTTTCATAGAGCAGTTTTGAAATATTCTTTTCGCAGAATCTGCAAGTGGACATTTGGAGCGCTTTCAGGCCTGTGGTGGAAAAGGCCTGAAAGCCTTTTCCTTTATCTTCACAGAAAGACGAGAGAGAAGCATTGTCAGAAACTTCTCTGTGATGATTGCATTCAACTCAGAGTTGAAGATTCCTTTTGAAACAGCAGTTTCGAAACACTCTTTCTGTGGGATCCGCAAGGGGATATTTGGACCTCTTTGAAGGTTTCGTTGGAAACGGGATAATCTTCACCTAAAAGCTAAATGGAAGCATTCTCAGAAACTTCTTTGGGATGTTTGCATTCACCTCACAGAGTTGAACTTTCCCTTTGATAGCGCAGCTTTGACACACTTTTTCTACAATGTGCAAGTGGCTATTTAGCGGGCTTGGAGGACTGTGTTGGAAAAGGAAATATCTTCTCCTAAAAACGACATAGAAGCATTCTCAGAAACTGCTCTGTGATGATTGCATTCAACTCCCAGAGTTGAACATTCCTTTTGATAGAGCAGTTTGCAAACACTCTTTTTGTAGAATCTGCAAGTGGAGATTTGGACCGCTTTGAGGTCTGTGGTAGTGAAGGAAAGAGCTTCATATAAAAACCAGACGGTAGCACTCTCAGAAAATTCTTTGTGACGATGGAGTTTAACTCAGGGAGCTGAACATTCGTTATGATGGAGCAGTTTCCAAACACACGTTTTGTAGAATCTGCAAGGGGATATTTGGACCTCTCTGAGGATTTCGTTGGAAACGGGATCAACTTCCCATAACTGAACGGAAGCAAACTCAGAACATTCTTTGTGATGTTTGTATTCAACTCACAGAGTTGAACCTTCCTTTGATAGTTCAGGTTTGCAACACCCTTGTAGTAGAATCTGCAAGTGTATATTTTGACCACTTTGTAGCCTTCGTTTGAAACGTCTATATCTTCACATCAAACCTAGACAGAAGCATTCTCAGAAAGTTTTCTGCGATGACTGCATTCAACTCACAGAGTTGAACAATCCTTCTGATGGAGCAGTTTTGAAACCCTCTTTCTTTGGAATCTGCAAGGGGATATGTGGACCTCTTTGAAGATTTCACTGGAAACGGGATCATCTTCACATAAAAACTAAACAGAAGCATTCTCGGAAACTACTTTGTGATGTTTGTATTCAACTCCCAGAGTTGAACTTTCCTTTTGAAAGAGCAGCTATGAAACACTCTTTTTCGAGAATCTGCAAGTGGACGTTTGGAGGGCTTTGAGGCCTGTGGTGGAAAAGGAAATATCTTCACATAAAAACTAGATAGAAGCATTCTCAGAAACGACTTTGTGAGGATGGCATTCAACTCATGGAGTTGAACAATCCTATTGATAGAGCAGATTGGAATCACTCTTTTTGTAGAATCTGCAAATGGAGATTTGGACTGCTTGAGGCCTACGGTCGTATAGGAAGGAACTTCATATAAAAGGCAAACGGAAGCATTCTCAGAATATTCTTTGTGATGATGGAGTTTCACTCACAGAGCTGAACATGCCTTTTGATGGAGCAGTTTCCAAATACACTTTTGGTAGAATCTGCAGGTGGATATTTGGACCTCTCTGAGGATTTCGTTGGGAACGGCAATAATTTCCCATAACTAAACACAAACACTCTGAGAAAGTTCTTCATGATGAATGCATTTAACTCGCAGAGATGAACTTGCCTTTGAGAGTTCAGGTTCGAAACACTCTTTCTGTAGAATCTGCAAGTGGATATTTGGACCACTGGCTGGCCTTCGTTCGAAACGGGTATATGTTCACGTAAAAACTAAAGAGAAGCATTCTCAGAAACTTCTGAGTGATGATTGCATTCAAGTCACACAGTTGAACCCGCCTTTTGATTGAGCAGTTTTGAAACTGTCTTTTTGTAGAATCTGTAAGTGGATTCGTGGACCTCTTGGAAGATTTCTTTGGAAACGGGAATATTTCCACAGAAAAACTAAACTGAAGCATTCTCAGAAACTGCTTTGTGATGTTGGTGTTCGAGCCGCAGAGTTTAACATTGCTTTTCATAGAGCACTTTTGAAATATTCTTTTGGCAGAATCTGCAAGTGGACATTTAGAGCGTTTTCAGGCCTGTGGTGGAAAAGGCCTGAAAGCCTTTTCCTTTATCTTCACAGAAAGACGAGAGAGAAGCATTGTCAGAAACTTCTTTGTGATGATTGCATTCAACTCACAGAGTTGAAGATTCCTTTTGAAACAGCAGTTTCGAAACACTCTTTCTGTGGGATCCGCAAGGGGATATTTGGACCTCTTTGAAGATTTCGTTGGAAACGGGATAATCTTCACCTAAAAGCTAAACGGAAGCATTCTCAGAAACTTCTTTGGGATGTTTGCATTCACCTCACAGAGTTGAACTTTCCCTTTGATAGCGCAGCTTTGACACACTTTTTCTACAATGTGCAAGTGGATATTTAGCGGGCTTGGAGGACTGTGTTGGAAAAGGAAATATCTTCTCCTAAAAACGACATAGAAGCATTCTCAGAAACTGCTCTGTGATGATTGCATTCAACTCCCAGAGTTGAACATTCCTTTTGATAGAGCAGTTTGCAAACACTCTTTTTGTAGAATCTGCAAGTGGAGATTTGGACCGCTTTGAGGCCTGTGGTAGTAAAGGAAAGAACTTCATATAAAAACCAGACGGTAGCACTCTCAGAAAATTCTTTGTGACGATGGAGTTTAACTCAGAGAGCTGAACATTCGTTATGATGGAGCAGTTTCCAAACACACGTTTTGCAGAATCTGCAAGGGGATATTTGGACCTCTCTGAGGATTTCGTTGGAAACGGGATCAACTTCCCATAACTGAACGGAAGCAAACTCAGAACATTCTTTGTGATGTTTGTATTCAACTCACAGAGTTGAACCTTCCTTTGATAGTTCAGGTTTGCAACACCCTTGTAGTAGAATCTGCAAGTGTATATTTTGACCACTTTGTAGCCTTCGTTTGAAACGTCTATATCTTCACCTCAAACCTAGACAGAAGCATTCTCAGAAAGTTTTCTGCGATGACTGCATTCAACTCACAGAGTTGAACAATCCTTTTGATGGAGCAGTTTTGAAACCCTCTTTCTTTGGAATCTGCAAGGGGATATGTGGACCTCTTTGAAGATTTCACTGGAAACGGGATCATCTTCACATAAGAACTAAACAGAAGCATTCTCGGAAACTACTTTGTGATGTTTGTATTCAACTCCCAGAGTTGAACTTTCCTTTTGAAAGAGCGGCTATGAAACACTCTTTTTCGAGAATCTGCAAGTGGACGTTTGGAGGGCCTTGAGGCCTGTGGTGGAAAAGGAAATATCTTCACATAAAAACTAGATAGAAGCATTCTCAGAAACGACTTTGTGAGGATGGCATTCAACTCATGGAGTTGAACAATCCTATTGATAGTGCAGATTGGAATCACTCTTTTGGTAGAATCTGCAAATGGAGATTTGGACTGCTTTGAGGCCTACGGTAGTATAGGAAGGAACTTCATATAAAAGGCAAACGGAAGCATTCTCAGAATATTCTTTGTGATGATGGAGTTTCACTCACAGAGCTGAACATGCCTTTTGATGGAGCAGTTTCCAAATACACTTTTGGTAGAATCTGCAGGTGGATATTTGGAGCTCTCTGAGGATTTCGTTGGAAACGGGAATAATTTCCCATAACTAAACACAAACACTCTGAGAAAGTTCTTCATGATGAATGCATTTAACTCGCAGAGATGAACCTGCCTTTGAGAGTTCAGGTTCGAAATACTCTTTCTGTATAATCTGCAAGTGGATATTTGGACCACTGGGTGGCCTTCGTTCGAAACGGGTATATGTTCACGTAAAAACTAAAGAGAAGCATTCTCAGAAACTTCTGAGTGATGATTGCATTCAAGTCACACAGTTGAACCCTCCTTTTGATGGAGCAGTTTTGAAACTGTCTTTTTGTAGAATCTGTAAGTGGATGCGTGGACCTCTTTGAAGATTTCTTTGGAAACGGGAATATTTCCACAGAAAAACTAAACTGAAGCATTCTCAGAAACTGCTTTGTGATGTTTGTGTTCGAGCCACAGAGTTTAACATTGCTTTTCATAGAGCAGTTTTGAAATATTCTTTTCGCAGAATCTGCAAGTGGACATTTGGAGCGCTTTCAGGCCTGTGGTGGAAAAGGCCTGAAAGCCTTTTCCTTTATCTTCACAGAAAGACGAGAGAGAAGCATTGTCAGAAACTTCTTTGTGATGATTGCATTCAACTCACAGAGTTGAAGATTCCTTTTGAAACAGCAGTTTCGAAACACTCTTTCTGAGGGATCCGCAAGGGGATATTTGGACCTCTTTGAAGGTTTCGTTGGAAGCGGGATAATCTTCACCTAAAAGCTAAACGGAAGCACTCTCAGAAACTTCTTTGGGATGTTTGCATTCACCTCACAGAGTTGAACTTTCCCTTTGATAGCGCAGCTTTGACACACTTTTTCTACAATGTGCAAGTGGCTATTTAGCGGGCTTGGAGGACTGTGTTGGAAAAGGAAATATCTTCTCCTAAAAACGACATAGAAGCATTCTCAGAAACTGCTCTGTGATGATTGCATTCAACTCCCAGGGTTGAACATTCCTTTTGATAGAGCAGTTTGCAAACACTCTTTTTGTAGAATCTGCAAGTGGAGATTTGGACCGCTTTGAGGCCTATGGTAGTAAAGGAAAGAACTTCATATAAAAACCAGACGGTAGCACTCTCAGAAAATTCTTTGTGACGATGGAGTTTAACTCAGGGAGCTGAACATTCGTTATGATGGAGCAGTTTCCCAACACACGTTTTGTAGAATCTGCAAGGGGATATTTGGACCTCTCTGAGGATTTTGTTGGAAACGGGATCAACTTCCCATAACTGAACGGAAGCAAACTCAGAACATTCTTTGTGATGTTTGTATTCAACTCACAGAGTTGAACCTTCCTTTGATAGTTCAGGTTTGCAACACCCTTGTAGCAGAATCTGCAAGTGTATATTTTGACCACTTTGTAGCCTTCGTTTGAAACGTCTATATCTTCACATCAAACCTAGACAGAAGCATTCTCAGAAAGTTTTCTGCGATGACTGCATTCAACTCACAGAGTTGAACAATCCTTCTGATGGAGCAGTTTTGAAACCCTCTTTCTTTGGAATCTGCAAGGGGATATGTGGACCTCTTTGAAGATTTCACTGGAAACGGGATCATCTTCATATAAAAACTAAACAGAAGCATTCTCGGAAACTACTTTGTGATGTTTGTATTCAACTCCCAGAGTTGAACTTTCCTTTTGAAAGAGCAGCTATGAAACACTCTTTTTCGAGAATCTGCAAGTGGACGTTTGGAGGGCTTTGAGGCCTGTGGTGGAAAAGGAAATATCTTCACACAAAAACCAGATAGAAGCATTCTCAGAAACTACTTTGTGAGGATGGCATTCAACTCATGGAGTTGAACAATCCTATTGATAGAGCAGATTGGAATCACTCTTTTTGTAGAATCTGCAAATGGAGATTTGGACTGCTTTGAGGCCTACGGTAGTACAGGAAGGAACTTCATATAAAAGGCAAACGGAAGCATTCTCAGAATATTCTTTGTGATGATGGAGTTTCACTCACAGAGCTGAACATGCCTTTTGATGGAGCAGTTTCCAAATACACTTTTGGTAGAATCTGCAGGTGGATATTTGGAGCTCTCTGAGGATTTCGTTGGAAACGGGAATAATTTCCCATAACTAAACACAAACACTCTGAGAAAGTTCTTCATGATGAATGCATTTAACTCGCAGAGATGAACCTGCCTTTGAGAGTTCAGGTTCGAAACACTCTTTCTGTATAATCTGCAAGTGGATATTTGGACCACTGGGTGGCCTTCGTTCGAAACGGGTATATGTTCACGTAAAAACTAAAGAGAAGCATTCTCAGAAACTTCTGAGTGATGATTGCATTCAAGTCACACAGTTGAACCCTCCTTTTGATGGAGCAGTTTTGAAACTGTCTTTTTGTAGAATCTGTAAGTGGATACGTGGACCTCTTTGAAGATTTCTTTGGAAACGGGAATATTTCCACAGAAAAACTAAACTGAAACATTCTCAGAAACTGCTTTGTGATGTTTGTGTTCCAGCCACAGAGTTTAACATTGCTTTTCATAGAGCAGTTTTGAAATATTCTTTTCGCAGAATCTGCAAGTGGACATTTGGAGCGCTTTCAGGCCTGTGGTGGAAAAGGCCTGAAAGCCTTTTCCTTTATCTTCACAGAAAGACGAGAGAGAAGCATTGTCAGAAACTTCTTTGTGATGATTGCATTCAACTCACAGAGTTGAAGATTCCTTTTGAAACAGCAGTTTCGAAACACTCTTTCTGTGGGATCCGCAAGGGGATATTTGGACCTCTTTGAAGGTTTCGTTGGAAACGGGATAATCTTCACCTAAAAGCTAAACGGAAGCACTCTCAGAAACTTCTTTGGGATGTTTGCATTCACCTCTCAGAGTTGAACTTTCCCTTTGATAGCGCAGCTTTGACACACTTTTTCTAAAATGTGCAAGTGGCTATTTAGCGGGCTTGGAGGACTGTGTTGGAAAAGGAAATATCTTCTCCTAAAAACGACATAGAAGCATTCTCAGAAACTGCTCTGTGATGATTGCATTCAACTCCCAGAGTTGAACATTCCTTTTGATAGAGCAGTTTGCAAACACTCTTTTTGTAGAATCTGCAAGTGGAGATTTGGACCGCTTTGAGGCCTGGGGTAGTGAAGGAAAGAGCTTCATATAAAAACCAGACGGTAGCACTCTCAGAAAATTCTTTGTGACGATGGAGTTTAACTCAGGGAGCTGAACATTCGTTATGATGGAGCAGTTTCCAAACACACGTTTTGTAGAATCTGCAAGGGGATATATGGACCTCTCTGAGGATTTCGCTGGAAACGGGATCAACTTCCCATAACTGAACGGAAGCAAACTCAGAACATTCTTTGTGATGTTTGTATTCAACTCACAGAGTTGAACCTTCCTTTGATAGTTCAGGTTTGCAACACCCTTGTAGTAGAATCTGCAAGTGTATATTTTGACCACTGTGTAGCCTTCGTTTGAAACGTCTATATCTTCACATCAAACCTAGACAGAAGCATTCTCAGAAAGTTTTCTGCGATGACTGCATTCAACTCACAGAGTTGAACAATCCTTTTGATGGAGCAGTTTTGAAACCCTCTTTCTTTGGAATCTGCAAGGGGATATGTGGACCTCTTTGAAGATTTCACTGGAAACGGGATCATCTTCACATAAAAACTAAACAGAAGCATTCTCGGAAACTATTTTGTGATGTTTGTATTCAACTCCCAGAGTTGAACTTTCCTTTTGAAAGAGCAGCTATGAAACACTCTTTTTCGAGAATCTGCAAGTGGACGTTTGGAGGGCTTTGAGGCCTGTGGTGGAAAAGGAAATATCTTCACACAAAAACCAGATAGAAGCATTCTCAGAAACTACTTTGTGAGGATGGCATTCAACTCATGGAGTTGAACAATCCTATTGATAGAGCAGATTGGAATCACTCTTTTTGTAGAATCTGCAAATGGAGATTTGGACTGCTTTGAGGCCTACGGTCGTATAGGAAGGAACTTCAGATAAAAGGCAAACGGAAGCATTCTCAGAATATTCTTTGTGATGATGGAGTTTCACTCACAGAGCTGAACATGCCTTTTGATGGAGCAGTTTCCAAATACACTTTTGGTAGAATCTGCAGGTGGATATTTGGACCACTCTGAGGATTTCGTTGGAAACGGGAATAATTTCCC
Source organism: Homo sapiens (assembly GCF_000001405.40). Classification (NCBI taxonomy): domain Eukaryota; kingdom Metazoa; phylum Chordata; class Mammalia; order Primates; family Hominidae; genus Homo; species Homo sapiens. The sequence goes on from NC_000023.11 coordinate 60,741,480, forward strand.
ATAACTAAGCACAAACACTCTGAGAAAGTTCTTCATGATGAATGCATTTAACTCGCAGAGATGAACCTGCCTTTGAGAGTTCAGGTTCGAAACACTCTTTCTGTATAATCTGCAAGTGGATATTTGGACCACTGGGTGGCCTTCGTTCGAAACGGGTATATGTTCACGTAAAAACTAAAGAGAAGCATTCTCAGAAACTTCTGAGTGATGATTGCATTCAAGTCACACAGTTGAACCCTCCTTTTGATGGAGCAGTTTTGAAACTGTCTTTTTGTAGAATCTGTAAGTGGATACGTGGACCTCTTTGAAGATTTCTTTGGAAACGGGAATATTTCCACAGAAAAACTAAACTGAAGCATTCTCAGAAACCGCTTTGTGATGTTTGTGTTCGAGCCACAGAGTTTAACATTGCTTTTCATAGAGCAGTTTTGAAATATTCTTTTCGCAGAATCTGCAAGTGGACATTTGGAGCGCTTTCAGGCCTGTGGGTGGAAAAGGCCTGAAAGCCTTTTCCTTTATCTTCACAGAAAGACGAGAGAGAAGCATTGTCAGAAACTTCTTTGTGATGATTGCATTCAACTCACAGAGTTGAAGATTCCTTTTGAAACAGCAGTTTCGAAACACTCTTTCTGTGGGATCCGCAAGGGGATATTTGGACCTCTTTGAAGGTTTCGTTGGAAACGGGATAATCTTCACCTAAAAGCTAAACGGAAGCATTCTCAGAAACTTCTTTGGGATGTTTGCATTCACCTCACAGAGTTGAACTTTCCCTTTGATAGCGCAGCTTTGACACACTTTTTCTACAATGTGCAAGTGGCTATTTAGCGGGCTTGCAGGATTGTGTTGGAAAAGGAAATATCTTCTCCTAAAAACGACATAGAAGCATTCTCAGAAACTGCTCTGTGATGATTGCATTCAACTCCCAGAGTTGAACATTCCTTTTGATAGAGCAGTTTGCAAACACTCTTTTTGTAGAATCTGCAAGTGGAGATTTGGACCGCTTTGAGGCCTGTGGTAGTGAAGGAAAGAACTTCATATAAAAACCAGACGGTAGCACTCTCAGAAAATTCTTTGTGACGATGGAGTTTAACTCAGGGAGCTGAACATTCGTTACGATGGAGCAGATTCCAAACACACGTTTTGTAGAATCTGCAAGGGGATATTTGGACCTCTCTGAGGATTTCGTTGGAAACGGGATCAACTTCCCATAACTGAACGGAAGCAAACTCAGAACATTCTTTGTGATGTTTGTATTCAACTCACAGAGTTGAACCTTCCTTTGATAGTTCAGGTTTGCAACACCCTTGTAGTAGAATCTGCAAGTGTATATTTTGACCACTTTGTAGCCTTCGTTTGAAACGTCTATATCTTCACATCAAACCTAGACAGAAGCATTCTCAGAAAGTTTTCTGCGATGACTGCATTCAACTCACAGAGTTGAACAATCCTTCTGATGGAGCAGTTTTGAAACCCTCTTTCTTTGGAATCTGCAAGGGGATATGTGGACCTCTTTGAAGATTTCACTGGAAACGGGATCATCTTCACATAAAAACTAAACAGAAGCATTCTCGGAAACTACTTTGTGATGTTTGTATTCAACTCCCAGAGTTGAACTTTCCTTTTGAAAGAGCAGCTATGAAACACTCTTTTTCGAGAATCTGCAAGTGGACGTTTGGAGGGCTTTGAGGCCTGTGGTGGAAAAGGAAATATCTTCACATAAAAACTAGATAGAAGCATTCTCAGAAACTACTTCGTGAGGATGGCATTCAACTCATGGAGTTGAACAATCCTATTGATAGAGCAGATTGGAATCACTCTTTTTGTAGAATCTGCAAATGGAGATTTGGACTGCTTTGAGGCCTACGGTAGTATAGGAAGGAACTTCATATAAAAGGCAAACGGAAGCATTCTCAGAATATTCTTTGTGATGATGGAGTTTCACTCACAGAGCTGAACATGCCTTTTGATGGAGCAGTTTCCAAATACACTTTTGGTAGAATCTGCAGGTGGATATTTGGAGCTCTCTGAGGATTTCGTTGGAAACGGGAATAATTTCCCATAACTAAACACAAACACTCTGAGAAAGTTCTTCATGATGAATGCATTTAACTCGCAGAGATGAACCTGCCTTTGAGAGTTCAGGTTCGAAACACTCTTTCTGTATAATCTGCAAGTGGATATTTGGACCACTGGGTGGCCTTCGTTCGAAACGGGTATATGTTCACGTAAAAACTAAAGAGAAGCATTCTCAGAAACTTCTGAGTGATGATTGCATTCAAGTCACACAGTTGAACCCTCCTTTTGATGGAGCAGTTTTGAAACTGTCTTTTTGTAGAATCTGTAAGTGGATACGTGGACCTCTTTGAAGATTTCTTTGGAAACGGGAATATTTCCACAGAAAAACTAAACTGAAGCATTCTCAGAAACTGCTTTGTGATGTTTGTGTTCGAGCCACAGAGTTTAACATTGCTTTTCATAGAGCAGTTTTGAAATATTCTTTTAGCAGAATCTGCAAGTGGACATTTGGAGCGCTTTCAGGCCTGTGGTGGAAAAGGCCTGAAAGCCTTTTCCTTTATCTTCACAGAAAGACGAGAGAGAAGCATTGTCAGAAACTTCTTTTTGATGATTGCATTCAACTCACAGAGTTGAAGATTCCTTTTGAAACAGCAGTTTCGAAACACTCTTTCTGTGGGATCCGCAAGGGGATATTTGGACCTCTTTGAAGGTTTCGTTGGAAACGGGATAATCTTCACCTAAAAGCTAAACGGAAGCATTCTCAGAAACTTCTTTGGGATGTTTGCATTCACCTCACAGAGTTGAACTTTCCCTTTGATAGCGCAGCTTCGACACACTTTTTCTACAATGTGCAAGTGGCTATTTAGCGGGCTTGGAGGACTGTGTTGGAAAAGGAAATATCTTCTCCTAAAAACGACATAGAAGCATTCTCAGAAACTGCTCTGTGATGATTGCATTCAACTCCCAGAGTTGAACATTCCTTTTGATAGAGCAGTTTGCAAACACTCTTTTTGTAGAATCTGCAAGTGGAGATTTGGACCGCTTTGAGGCCTGTGATAGTGAAGGAAAGAACTTCATATAAAAACCAGACGGTAGCACTCTCAGAAAATTCTTTGTGACGATGGAGTTTAACTCAGGGAGCTGAACATTCGTTATGATGGAGCAGTTTCCAAACACACGTTTTGTAGAATCTGCGAGGGGATATTTGGACCTCTCTGAGTATTTCGTTGGAAACGGGATCAACTTCCCATAACTGAACGGAAGCAAACTCAGAACATTCTTTATGATGTTTGAATTCAACTCACAGAGTTGAACATTCCTTTGATAGGTCAGGTTTGCAACACCCTTGCAGTAGAATCTGCAAGTGTATATTTTGACCACTTTGTAGCCTTCGTTTGAAAGGTCTATATCTTCACATCAAACCTAGACAGAAGCATTCTCAGAAAATTTTCTGCGATGACTGCATTCAACTCACAGAGTTGAACAATCCTTTTGATGGAGCAGTTTTGAAACCCTCTTTCTTTGGAATCTGCAATGGGATATGTGGACCTCTTTGAAGATTTCACTGGAAACGGGATCATCTTCACATAAGAACTAAACAGAAGCATTCTCGGAAACTACTTTGTGATGTTTGTATTCAACTCCCAGAGTTGAACTTTCCTTTTGAAAGAGCAGCTATGAAACACTCTTTTTCGAGAATCTGCAAGTGGACGTTTGGAGGGCTTTGAGGCCTGTGGTGGAAAAGGAAATATCTTCACATAAAAACTAGATAGAAGCATTCTCAGAAACGACTTTGTGAGGATGGCATTCAACTCATGGAGTTGAACAATCCTATTGATAGAGCAGATTGGAATCACTCTTTTTGTAGAATCTGCAAAAGGAGATTTGGACTGCTTTGAGGCCTACGGTAGTATAGGAAGGAGCTTCATATAAAAGGCAAACGGAAGCATTCTCAGAATATTCTTTGTGATGATGGTGTTTCACTCACATAGCTGAACATGCCTTTTGATGGAGCAGTTTCCAAATACACTTTTGGTAGAATCTGCAGGTGGATATTTGGAGCTCTCTGAGGATTTCGTTGGAAACGGGAATAATTTCCCATAACTAAACACAAACACGCTGAGAAAGTTCTTCATGATGAATGCATTTAACTCGCAGAGATGAACCTGCCTTTGAGAGTTCAGGTTTGAAACACTCTTTCTGTAGAATCTGCAAGTGGATATTTGGACCACTGGCTGGCTTTCGTTCGAAACGGGTATATGTTCACGTAAAAACTAAAGAGAAGCGTTCTCAGAAACTTCTGAGTGATGATTGCATTCAAGTCACACAGTTGAACCCTCCTTTTGATTGAGCAGTTTTGAAACTGTCTTTTTGTAGAATCTGTAAGTGGATGCGTGGACCTCTTTGAAGATTTCTTTGGAAACGGGAATATTTCCACAGAAAAACTAAACTGAAGCATTCTCAGAAACTGCTTTGTGATGTTTGTGTTCGAGCCGCAGAGTTTAACATTGCTTTTCATAGAGCAGTTTTGAAATATTCTTTTGGCAGAATCTGCAAGTGGACATTTGGAGCGCTTTCAGGCCTGTGGTGGAAAAGGCCTGAAAGCCTTTTCCTTTATCTTCACAGAAAGACGAGAGAGAAGCATTGTCAGAAACTTCTTTGTGATGATTGCATTCAACTCACAGAGTTGAAGATTCCTTCTGAAACAGCAGTTTCGAAACACTCTTTCTGTGGGATCCGCAAGGGGATATTTGGACCTCTTTGAAGCTTTCGTTGGAAACGGGATAATCTTCACCTAAAAGCTGAACGGAAGCATTCTCAGAAACTTCTTTGGGATGTTTGCATTCACCTCACTGAGTTGAACTTTCCCTTTGATAGAGCAGCTTCGACACACTTTTTCTACAATGTGCAAGTGGATATATATCGGGCTTGGAGGACTGTGTTGGAAAAGGAAATATCTTCTCCTAAAAACGACATAGAAGCATTCTCAGAAACTGCTCTGTGATGATTGCATTCAACTCCCAGAGTTGAACATTCCTTTTGATAGAGCAGTTTGCAAACACTCTTTTTGTAGAATCTGCAAGTGGAGATTTGGACCGCTTTGAGGCCTGTGGTAGTGAAGGAAAGAACTTCATATAAAAACCAGACGGTAGCACTCTCAGAAAATTCTTTGTGACGATGGAGTTTAACTCCGGGAGCTGAACATTCGTTATGATGGAGCAGTTTCCAAACACACGTTTTGTAGAATCTGCGAGGGGATATTTGGACCTCTCTGAGGATTTCGTTGGAAACGGGATCAACTTCCCATAACTGAACGGAAGCAAACTCAGAACATTCTTTGTGATGTTTGTATTCAACTCACAGAGTTGAACCTTCCTTTGATAGTTCAGGTTTGCAACACCCTTGTAGTAGAATCTGCAAGTGTATATTTTGACCACTTTGTAGCCTTCGTTTGAAACGTCTATATCTTCACATCAAACCTAGACAGAAGCATTCTCAGAAAGTTTTCTGCGATGACTGCATTCAACTCACAGAGTTGAACAATCCTTCTGATGGAGCAGTTTTGAAACCCTCTTTCTTTGGAATCTGCAAGGGGATATGTGGACCTCTTTGAAGATTTCACTGGAAACGGGATCATCTTCACATAAAAACTAAACAGAAGCATTCTCGGAAACTACTTTGTGATGTTTGTATTCAACTCCCAGAGTTGAACTTTCCTTTTGAAAGAGCAGCTATGAAACACTCTTTTTCGAGAATCTGAAAGTGGACGTTTGGAGGGCTTTGAGGCCTGTGGTGGAAAAGGAAATATCTTCACATAAAAACTAGATAGAAGCATTCTCAGAAACGACATTGTGAGGATGGCATTCAACACATGGAGTTGAACAATCCTATTGATAGAGCAGATTGGAATCACTCTTTTTGTAGAATCTGCAAATGGAGATTTGGACTGCTTTGAGGCCTACGGTAGTATAGGAAGGAACTTCATATAAAAGGCAAACGGAAGCATTCTCAGAATATTCTTTGTGATGATGGAGTTTCACTCACAGAGCTGAACATGCCTTTTGATGGAGCAGTTTCCAAATACACTTTTGGTAGAATCTGCAGGTGGATATTTGGAGCTCTCTGAGGATTTCGTTGGAAACGGGAATAATTTCCCATAACTAAGCACAAACACGCTGAGAAAGTTCTTCATGATGAATGCATTTAACTCGCAGAGATGAACCTGCCTTTGAGAGTTCAGGTTCGAAACACTCTTTCTGTAGAATCTGTAAGTGGATATTTGGACCACTGGCTGGCCTTCGTTCGAAACGGGTATACGTTCACGTAAAAACTAAAGAGAAGCGTTCTCAGAAACTTCTGAGTGATGATTGCATTCAAGTCACACAGTTGAACCCTCCTTTTGATTGAGCAGTTTTGAAACTGTCTTTTTGTAGAATCTGTAAGTGGATGCGTGGACCTCTTTGAAGATTTCTTTGGAAACGGGAATATTTCCACAGAAAAACTAAACTGAAGCATTCTCAGAAACCGCTTTTTGATGTTTGTGTTCGAGCCACAGAGTTTAACATTGCTTTTCATAGAGCAGTTTTGAAATATTCTTTTCGCAGAATCTGCAAGTGGACATTTGGAGCGCTTTCAGGCCTGTGGTGGAAAAGGCCTGAAAGCCTTTTCCTTTATCTTCACAGAAAGACGAGAGAGAAGCATTGTCAGAAACTTCTTTGTGATGATTGCATTCAACTCACAGAGTTGAAGATTCCTTTTGAAACAGCAAGTTTTGAAACACTCTTTCTGTGGGATCCGCAAGGGGATATTTGGACCTCTTTGAAGGTTTCGTTGGAAACGGGATAATCTTCACCTAAAAGCTAAACGGAAGCATTCTCAGAAACTTCTTTGGGATGTTTGCATTCACCTCACAGAGTTGAACTTTCCCTTTGATAGCGCAGCTTCGACACACTTTTTCTACAATGTGCAAGTGGCTATTTAGCGGGCTTGGAGGACTGTGTTGGAAAAGGAAATATCTTCTCCTAAAAACGACATAGAAGCATTCTCAGAAACTGCTCTGTGATGATTGCATTCAACTCCCAGAGTTGAACATTCCTTTTGATAGAGCAGTTTGCAAACACTCTTTTTGTAGAATCTGCAAGTGGAGATTTGGACCGCTTTGAGGCCTGTGGTAGTGAAGGAAAGAGCTTCATATAAAAACCAGACGGTAGCACTCTCAGAAAATTCTTTGTGACGATGGAGTTTAACTCAGGGAGCTGAACATTCGTTATGATGGAGCAGTTTCCAAACACACGTTTTGTAGAATCTGCAAGGGGATATTTGGACCTCTCTGAGGATTTCGTTGGAAACGGGATCAACATCCCATAACTGAACAGAAGCAAACTCAGAACATTCTTTGTGATGTTTGTATTCAACTGACGGAGTTGAACCTTCCTTTGATATTTCAGGTTTGCAACACCCTTGTAGTAGAATCTGCAAGTGTATATTTTGACCACTTTGTAGCCTTCGTTTGAAACGTCTATATCTTCACATCAAACCTAGACAGAAGCATTCTCAGAAAGTTTTCTGCGATGACTGCATTCAACTCACAGAGTTGAACAATCCTTCTGATGGAGCAGTTTTGAAACCCTCTTTCTTTGGAATCTGCAAGGGGATATGTGGACCTCTTTGAAGATTTCACTGGAAACGGGATCATCTTCACATAAAAACTAAACAGAAGCATTCTCGGAAACTACTTTGTGATGTTTGTATTCAACTCCCAGAGTTGAACTTTCCTTTTGAAAGAGCAGCTATGAAACACTCTTTTTCGAGAATCTGCAAGTGGACGTTTGGAGGGCTTTGAGGCCTGTGGTGGAAAAGGAAATATCTTCACACAAAAACCAGATAGAAGCATTCTCAGAAACTACTTTGTGAGGATGGCATTCAACTCATGGAGTTGAACAATCCTATTGATAGAGCAGATTGGAATCACTCTTTTCATAGAATCTGCAAATGGAGATTTGGACTGCTTTGAGGCCTACGGTAGTACAGGAAGGAACTTCATATAAAAGGCAAACGGAAGCATTCTCAGAATATTCTTTGTGATGATGGAGTTTCACTCACAGAGCTGAACATGCCTTTTGATGGAGCAGTTTCCAAATACACTTTTGGTAGAATCAGCAGGTGGATATTTGGAGCTCTCTGAGGATTTCGTTGGAAACGGGAATAATTTCCCATAACTAAACACAAACACTCTGAGAAAGTTCTTCATGATGAATGCATTTAACTCGCAGAGATGAACCTGCCTTTGAGAGTTCAGGTTCGAAACACTCTTTCTGTATAATCTGCAAGTGGATATTTGGACCACTGGGTGGCCTTCGTTCGAAACGGGTATATGTTCACGTAAAAACTAAAGAGAAGCATTCTCAGAAACTTCTGAGTGATGATTGCATTCAAGTCACACAGTTGAACCCTCCTTTTGATGGAGCAGTTTTGAAACTGTCTTTTTGTAGAATCTGTAAGTGGATACGTGGACCTCTTTGAAGATTTCTTTGGAAACGGGAATATTTCCACAGAAAAACTAAACTGAAGCATTCTCAGAAACTGCTTTGTGATGTTTGTGTTCGAGCCACAGAGTTTAACATTGCTTTTCATAGAGCAGTTTTGAAATATTCTTTTCGCAGAATCTGCAAGTGGACATTTGGAGCGCTTTCAGGCCTGTGGTGGAAAAGGCCTGAAAGCCTTTTCCTTTATCTTCACAGAAAGACGAGAGAGAAGCATTGTCAGAAACTTCTTTGTGATGATTGCATTCAACTCACAGAGTTGAAGATTCCTTTTGAAACAGCAGTTTCGAAACACTCTTTCTGTGGGATCCGCAAGGGGATATTTGGACCTCTTTGAAGGTTTCGTTGGAAACGGGATAATCTTCACCTAAAAGCTAAACGGAAGCATTCTCAGAAACTTCTTTGGGATGTTTGCATTCACCTCACAGAGTTGAACTTTCCCTTTGATAGCGCAGCTTTGACACACTTTTTCTACAATGTGCAAGTGGCTATTTAGCGGGCTTGGAGGACTGTGTTGGAAAAGGAAATATCTTCTCCTAAAAACGACATAGAAGCATTCTCAGAAACTGCTCTGTGATGATTGCATTCAACTCCCAGAGTTGAACATTCCTTTTGATAGAGCAGTTTGCAAACACTCTTTTTGTAGAATCTGCAAGTGGAGATTTGGACCGCTTTGAGGCCTGTGGTAGTGAAGGAAAGAACTTCATATAAAAACCAGACGGTAGCACTCTCAGAAAATTCTTTGTGACGATGGAGTTTAACTCAGGGAGCTGAACATTCGTTATGATGGAGCAGTTTCCAAACACACGTTTTGTAGAATCTGCAAGGGGATATTTGGACCTCTCTGAGGATTTCGTTGGAAACGGGATCAACATCCCATAACTGAACAGAAGCAAACTCAGAACATTCTTTGTGATGTTTGTATTCAATTCACAGAGTTGAACCTTCCTTTGATAGTTCAGGTTTGCAACACCCTTGTAGTAGAATCTGCAAGTGTATATTTTGACCACTTTGTAGCCTTCGTTTGAAACGTCTATATCTTCACATCAAACCTAGACAGAAGCATTCTTAGAAAGTTTTCTGCGATGACTGCATTCAACTCACAGAGTTGAACAATCCTTCTGATGGAGCAGTTTTGAAACCCTCTTTCTTTGGAATCTGCAAGGGAATATGTGGACCTCTTTGAAGATTTCACTGGAAACGGGATCATCTTCACATAAAAACTAAATATAAGCATTCTCGGAAACTACTTTGGGATGTTTGTATTCAACTCCCAGAGTTGAACTTTCCTTTTGAAAGAGCAGCTATGAAACACTCTTTTTCGAGAATCTGCAAGTGGACGTTTGGAGGGCTTTGAGGCCTGTGGTGGAAAAGGAAATATCTTCACATAAAAACTAGATAGAAGCATTCTCACAAACGACATTGTGAGGATGGAATTCAACTCATGGAGTTGAACAATCCTATTGATAGAGCAGATTGGAATCACTCTTTTTGTAGAATCTGCAAATGGAGATTTGGACTGCTTTGAGGCCTACGGTAGTATAGGAAGGAACTTCATATAAAAGGCAAACGGAAGCATTCTCAGAATATCCTTTGTGATGATGGAGTTTCACTCACAGAGCTGAACATGCCTTTTGATGGAGCAGTTTCCAAATACACTTTTGGTAGAATCTGCAGGTGGATATTTGGAGCTCTCTGAGGATTTCGTTGGAAACGGGAATAATTTCCCATAACTAAACACAAACACTCTGAGAAAGTTCTTCATGATGAATGCATTTAACTCGCAGAGATGAACCTGCCTTTGAGAGTTCAGGTTCGAAACACTCTTTCTGTATAATCTGCAAGTGGATATTTGGACCACTGGGTGGCCTTCGTTCGAAACGGGTATATGTTCACGTAAAAACTAAAGAGAAGCATTCTCAGAAATTTCTGAGTGATGATTGCATTCAAGTCACACGGTTGAACCCTCCTTTTGATGGAGCAGTTTGAAACTGTCTTTTTGTAGAATCTGTAAGTGGATACGTGGACCTCTTTGAAGATTTCTTTCGAAACGGGAATATTTCCACAGAAAAACTAAACTGAAGCATTCTCAGAAACCGCTTTGTGATGTTTGTGTTCGAGCCACAGAGTTTAACATTGCTTTTCATAGAGCAGTTTTGAAATATTCTTTTCGCAGAATCTGCAAGTGGACATTTGGAGCGCTTTCAGGCCTGTGGTGGAAAAGGCCTGAAAGCCTTTTCCTTTATCTTCACAGAAAGACGAGAGAGAAGCATTGTCAGAAACTTCTTTGTGATGATTGCATTCAACTCACAGAGTTGAAGATTCCTTTTGAAACAGCAGTTTCGAAACACTCTTTCTGTGGGATCCGCAAGGGGATATTTGGACCTCTTTGAAGGTTTCGTTGGAAACGGGATAATCCTCACCTAAAAGCTAAACGGGAAGCATTCTCAGAAACTTCTTTGGGATGTTTGCATTCACCTCACAGAGTTGAACTTTCCCTTTGATAGCGCAGCTTCGACACACTTTTTCTACAATGTGCAAGTGGATATTTAGCGGGCTTGGAGGACTGTGTTGGAAAAGGAAATATCTTCTCCTAAAAACGACATAGAAGCATTCTCAGAAACTGCTCTGTGATGATTGCATTCAACTCCCAGAGTTGAACATTCCTTTTGATAGAGCAGTTTGCAAACACTCTTTTTGTAGAATCTGCAAGTGGAGATTTGGACCACTTTGAGGCCTGTGGTAGTAAAGGAACGAACTTCATATTAAAACTAGACGGTAGCACTCTCAGAAAATTCTTTGTGACGATGGAGTTTAACTCAGGGAGCTGAACATTCGTTATGATGGAGCAGTTTCCAAACACACGTTTTGTAGAATCTGCAAGGGGATATTTGGACCTCTCTGAGGATTTCGTTGGAAACGGGATCAACTTCCCATAACTGAACGGAAGCAAACTCAGAACATTCTTTGTGATGTTTGTATTCAACTCACAGAGTTGAACCTTCCTTTGATAGTTCAGGTTTGCAACACCCTTGTAGTAGAATCTGCAAGTGTATATTTTGACCACTTTGTAGCCTTCGTTTGAAACGTCTATATCTTCACATCAAACCTAGACAGAAGCATTCTCAGAAAGTTTTCTGCGATGACTGCATTCAACTCACAGAGTTGAACAATCCTTCTGATGGAGCAGTTTTGAAACCCTCTTTCTTTGGAATCTGCAAGGGGATATGTGGACCTCTTTGAAGATTTCACTGGAAACGGGATCATCTTCACATAAAAACTAAACAGAAGCATTCTCGGAAACTACTTTGTGATGTTTGTATTCAACTCCCAGAGTTGAACTTTCCTTTTGAAAGAGCAGCTATGAAACACTCTTTTTCGAGAATCTGCAAGTGGACGTTTGGAGGGCTTTGAGGCCTGTGGTGGAAAAGGAAATATCTTCACATAAAAACTAGATAGAAGCATTCTCAGAAACGACTTTGTGAGGATGGCATTCAACTCATGGAGTTGAACAATCCTATTGATAGAGCAGATTGGAATCACTCTTTTTGTAGAATCTGCAAATGGAGATTTGGACTGCTTTGAGGCCTACGGTAGTATAGGAAGGAACTTCATATAAAAGGCAAACGGAAGCATTCTCAGAATATTCTTTGTGATGATGGAGTTTCACTCACAGAGCTGAACATGCCTTTTGATGGAGCAGTTTCCAAATACACTTTTGGTAGAATCTGCAGGTGGATATTTGGAGCTCTCTGAGGATTTCGTTGGAAACGGGAATAATTTCCCATAACTAAACACAAACACTCTGAGAAAGTTCTTCATGATGAATGCATTGAACTCGCAGAGATGAACCTGCCTTTGAGAGTTCAGGTTCGAAACACTCTTTCTGTAGAATCTGCAAGTGGATATTTGGACCACTGGCTGGCCTTCGTTCGAAACGGGTATATGTTCACGTAAAAACTAAAGAGAAGCGTTCTCATAAACTTCTGAGTGATGATTGCATTCAAGTCACACAGTTGAACCCTCCTTTTGATTGAGCAGTTTTGAAACTGTCTTTTTGTAGAATCTGTAAGTGGATGCGTGGACCTCTTTGAAGATTTCTTTCGAAACGGGAATATTTCCACAGAAAAACTAAACTGAAGCATTCTCAGAAACGGCTTTGTGATGTTTGTGTTCGAGCCACAGAGTTTAACATTGCTTTTCATAGAGCAATTTTGAAATATTCTTTTGGCAGAATCTGCAAGTGGACATTTGGAGCGCTTTCAGGCCTGTGGTGGAAAAGGCCTGAAAGCCTTTTCCTTTATCTTCACAGAAAGATGAGAGAGAAGCATTGTCAGAAACTTCTTTGTGATGATTGCATTCAACTCACAGAGTTGAAGATTCCTTTTGAAACAGCAGTTTCGAAACACTCTTTCTGTGGGATCCGCAAGGGGATATTTGGACCTCTTTGAAGATTTCGTTGGAAACGGGATAATCTTCACCTAAAAGCTAAACGGAAGTATTCTCAGAAACTTCTTTGGGATGTTTGCATTCACCTCACAGACTTGAACTTTCCCTTTGATAGCGCAGCTTCTACACCCTTTTTCTACAATGTGCAAGTGGATATTTAGCGGGCTTGGAGGACTGTGTTGGAAAAGGAAATATCTTCTCCTAAAAACGACATAGAAGCATTCTCAGAAACTGCTCTGTGATGATTGCATTCAACTCCCAGAGTTGAACATTCCTTTTGATAGAGCAGTTTGCAAACACTCTTTTTGTAGAATCTGCAAGTGGAGATTTGGACCGCTTTGAGGCCTGTGGTAGTAAAGGAAAGAACTTCATATAAAAACCAGACGGTAGCACTCTCAGAAAATTCTTTGTGACGATGGAGTTTAACTCAGAGAGCTGAACATTCGTTATGATGGAGCAGTTTCCAAACACACGTTTTGTAGAATCTGCAAGGGGATATTTGGACCTCTCTGAGGATTTCGTTGGAAACGGGATCAACTTCCCATAACTGAATGGAAGCAAACTCAGAACATTCTTTGTGATGTTTGTATTCAACTCACAGAGTTGAACCTTCCTTTGATAGTTCAGGTTTGCAACACCCTTGTAGTAGAATCTGCAAGTGTATATTTTGACCACTTTGTAGCCTTCGTTTGAAACGTCTATATCTTCACCTCAAACCTAGACAGAAGCATTCTCAGAAAGTTTTCTGCGATGACTGCATTCAACTCACAGAGTTGAACAATCCTTTTGATGGAGCAGTTTTGAAACCCTCTTTCTTTGGAATCTGCAAGGGGATATGTGGACCTCTTTGAAGATTTCACTGGAAACGGGATCATCTTCACATAAGAACTAAACAGAAGCATTCTCGGAAACTACTTTGTGATGTTTGTATTCAACTCCCAGAGTTGAACTTTCCTTTTGAAAGAGCGGCTATGAAACACTCTTTTTCGAGAATCTGCAAGTGGACGTTTGGAGGGCTTTGAGGCCTGTGGTGGAAAAGGAAATATCTTCACATAAAAACTAGATAGAAGCATTCTCAGAGACTACTTTGTGAGGATGGCATTCAACTCATGGAGTTGAACAATCCTATTGATAGAGCAGATTGGAATCACTCTTTTTGTAGAATCTGCAAATGGAGATTTGGACTGCTTTGAGGCCTACGGTAGTATAGGAAGGAACTTCATATAAAAGGCAAACGGAAGCATTCTCAGAATATTCTTTGTGATGATGGAGTTTCACTCACAGAGCTGAACATGCCTTTTGATGGAGCAGTTTCCAAATACACTTTTGGTAGAATCTGCAGGTGGATATTTGGACCTCTCTGAAGATTTCGTTGGAAACGGGAATAATTTCCCATACCTAAACACAAACACTCTGAGAAAGTTCTTCATGATGAATGCATTGAACTCGCAGAGATGAACCTGCCTTTGAGAGTTCAGGTTCGAAACACTCTTTCTGTAGAATCTGCAAGTGGATATTTGGACCACTGGGTGGCCTTCGTTCGAAACGGGTATATGTTCACGTAAAAACTAAAGAGAAGCGTTCTCAGAAACTTCTGAGTGATGATTGCATTCAAGTCACACGGTTGAACCCTCCTTTTGATTGAGCAGTTTTGAAACTGTCTTTTTGTAGAATCTGTAAGTGGATGCGTGGACCTCTTTGAAGATTTCTTTCGAAACGGGAATATTTCCACAGAAAAACTAAACTGAAGCATTCTCAGAAACTGCTTTGTGATGTTTGTGTTCGAGCCGCAGAGTTTAACATTGCTTTTCATAGAGCAGTTTTGAAATATTCTTTTGGCAGAATCTGCAAGTGGACATTTGGAGCGCTTTCAGGCCTGTGGTGGAAAAGGCCTGAAAGCCTTTTCCTTTATCTTCACAGAAAGACGAGAGAGAAGCATTGTCAGAAACTTCTTTGTGATGATTGCATTCAACTCACAGAGTTGAAGATTCCTTTTGAAACAGCAGTTTCGAAACACTCTTTCTGTGGGATCCGCAAGGGGATATTTGGACCTCTTTGAAGGTTTCGTTGGAAACGGGATAATCTTCACCTAAAAGCTAAACGGAAGCATTCTCAGAAACTTCTTTTGGATGTTTGCATTCACCTCACAGAGTTGAATTTTCCCTTTGATAGCGCAGCTTCGACACACTTTTTCTACAATGTGCAAGTGGATATTTAGCGGGCTTGGAGGACTGTGTTGGAAAAGGAAATATCTTCTCCTAAAAACGACATAGAAGCATTCTCAGAAACTGCTCTGTGATGATTGCATTCAACTCCCAGAGTTGAACATTCCTTTTGATAGAGCAGTTTGCAAACACTCTTTTTGTAGAATCTGCAAGTGGAGATTTGGACCGCTTTGAGGCCTGTGGTAGTAAAGGAAACAACTTCATATAAAAACCAGACGGTAGCACTCTCAGAAAATTCTTTGTGACGATGGAGTTTAACTCAGAGAGCTGAATATCCGTTATGATGGAGCAGTTTCCAAACACACGTTTTGTAGAATCTGCAAGGGGATATTTGGACCTCTCTGAGGATTTCGTTGGAAACGGGATCAACTTCCCATAACTGAACGGAAGCAAACTCAGAACATTCTTTGTGATGTTTGTATTCAACTCACAGAGTTGAACCTTCCTTTTATAGTTGAGGTTTGCATCACCCTTGTAGTAGAATCTGCAAGTGTATATTTTGACCACTTTGTAGCCTTCGTTTGAAACGTCTATATCTTCACATCAAACCTAGACAGAAGCATTCTCAGAAAGTTTTCTGCGATGACTGCATTCAACTCACAGAGTTGAACAATCCTTTTGATGGAGCAGTTTTGAAACCCTCTTTCTTTGGAATCTGCAAGGGGATATGTGGGACCTCTTTGAAGATTTCACTGGAAACGGGATCATCTTCACATAAAAACTAAACAGAAGCATTCTCGGAAACTACTTTGTGATGTTTGTATTCAACTCCCAGAGTTGAACTTTCCTTTTGAAAGAGCAGCTATGAAACACTCTTTTTCGAGAATCTGCAAGTGGACGTTTGGAGGGCTTTGAGGCCTGTGGTGGAAAAGGAAATATCTTCACATAAAAACTAGATAGAAGCATTCTCAGAAACGACTTTGTGAGGATGGCATTCAACTCATGGAGTTGAACAATCCTATTGATAGAGCAGATTGGAATCACTCTTTTTGTAGAATCTGCAAATGGAGATTTGGACTGCTTTGAGGCCTACGGTAGTATAGGAAGGAACTTCATATAAAAGGCAAACGGAAGCATTCTCAGAATATTCTTTGTGATGATGGAGTTTCACTCACAGAGCTGAACATGCCTTTTGATGGAGCAGTTTCCAAATACACTTTTGGTAGAATCTGCAGGTGGATATTTGGAGCTGCTCTGAGGATTTCGTTGGAAACGGGAATAATTTCCCATAACTAAACACAAACACGCTGAGAAAGTTCTTCATGATGAATGCATTTAACTCGCAGAGATGAACCTGCCTTTGAGAGTTCAGGTTCAAAACACTCTTTCTGTAGAATCTGCAAGTGGATATTTGGACCACTGGCTGGCCTTCGTTCGAAACGGGTATATGTTCACGTAAAAACTAAAGAGAAGCGTTCTCAGAAACTTCTGAGTGATGAATGCATTCAAGTCACACAGTTGAACCCTCCTTTTGATTGAGCAGTTTTGAAACTGTCTTTTTGTAGAATCTGTAAGTGGATGCGTGGACCTCTTTGAAGATTTCTTTGGAAACGGGAATATTTCCACAGAAAAACTAAACTGAAGCATTCTCAGAAACTGCTTTGTGATGTTTGTGTTCGAGCCGCAGAGTTTAACATTGCTTTTCATAGAGCAGTTTTGAAATATTCTTTTGGCAGAATCTGCAAGTGGACATTTGGAGCGCTTTCAGGCCTGTGGTGCAAATGGCCTGAAAGCCTTTTCCTTTATCTTCACAGAAAGACGAGAGAGAAGCATTGTCAGAAACTTCTTTGTGATGATTGCATTCAACTCACAGAGTTGAAGATTCCTTTTGAAACAGCAGTTTCGAAACACTCTTTCTGTGGGATCCGCAAGGGGATATTTGGACCTCTTTGAAGATTTCGTTGGAAACGGGATAATCTTCACTTAAAGCTAAACGGAAGCATTCTCAGAAACTTCTTTGGGATGTTTGCATTCACCTCACAGAGTTGAACTTTCCCTTTGATAGCGCAGCTTTGACACACTTTTTCTACAATGTGCAAGTGGATATTTAGCGGGCTTGGAGGACTGTGTTGGAAAAGGAAATATCTTCTCCTAAAAACGACATAGAAGCATTCTCAGAAACTGCTCTGTGATGATTGCATTCAACTCCCAGAGTTGAACATTCCTTTTGATAGAGCAGTTTGCAAACACTCTTTTTGTAGAATCTGCAAGTGGAGATTTGGACCGCTTTGAGGCCTGTGGTAGTAAAGGAAAGAACTTCATATAAAAACTAGACGGTAGCACTCTCAGAAAATTCTTTGTGACGATGGAGTTTAACTCAGAGAGCTGAACATTCGTTATGATGGAGCAGTTTCCAAACACACGTTTTGTAGAATCTGCAAGGGGATATTTGGACCTCTCTGAGGATTTCGTTGGGAACGGGATCAACTTCCCATAACTGAACGGAAGCAAACTCAGAACATTCTTTGTGATGTTTGTATTCAACTCACAGAGTTGAACCTTCCTTTGATAGTTCAGGTTTGCATCACCCTTGTAGTAGAATCTGCAAGTGTATATGTTGACCACTTTGTAGCCTTCGTTTGAAACGTCTATATCTTCACATCAAACCTAGACAGAAGCATTCTCAGAAAGTTTTCTGCGATGACTGCATTCAACTCACAGAGTTGAACAATCCTTTTGATGGAGCAGTTTTGAAACCCTCTTTCTTTGGAATCTGCAAGGGGATATGTGGACCTCTTTGAAGATTTCACTGGAAACGGGATCATCTGCACATAAGAACTAAACAGAAGCATTCTCGGAAACTACTTTGTGATGTTTGTATTCAGCTCCCAGAGTTGAACTTTCCTTTTGAAAGAGCAGCTATGAAACACTCTTTTTCGAGAATCTGCAAGTGGACGTTTGGAGGGCTTTGGGGCCTGTGGTGGAAAAGGAAATATCTTCACATAAAAACTAGATAGAAGCATTCTCAGAAACTGCTTTGTGAGGATGGCATTCAACTCATGGAGTTGAACAATCCTATTGATAGAGCAGATTGGAATCACTCTTTTTGTAGAATCTGCAAATGGAGATTTGGACTGCTTTGAGGCCTACGGTAGTACAGGAAGGAACTTCATATAAAAGGCAAACGGAAGCATTCTCAGAATATTCTTTGTGATGATGGAGTTTCACTCACAGAGCTGAACATGCCTTTTGATGGAGCAGTTTCCAAATACACTTTTGGTAGAATCTGCAGGTGGATATTTGGAGCTCTCTGAGGATTTCGTTGGAAAGGGGAATAATTTCCCATAACTAAACACAAACACTCTGAGAAAGTTCTTCAAGATGAATGCATTTAACTCGCAGAGATGAACCTGCCTTTGAGAGTTCAGGTTCGAAACACTCTTTCTGTAGAATCTGCAAGTGGATATTTGGACCACTGGGTGGCCTTCGTTCGAAACGGGTATATGTTCACGTAAAAACTAAAGAGAAGCATTCTCAGAAACTTCTGAGTGATGATTGCATTCAAGTCACACAGTTGAACCCTCCTTTTGATGGAGCAGTTTTGAAACTGTCTTTTTGTAGAATCTGTAAGTGGATACGTGGACCCCCTTTGAAGATTTCTTTGGAAACGGGAATATTTCCACAGAAAAACTAAACTGAAACATTCTCAAAAACCGCTTTGTGATGTTTGTGTTCGAGCCACAGAGTTTAACATTGCTTTTCATAGAGCAGTTTTGAAATATTCTTTTCGCAGAATCTGCAAGTGGACATTTGGAGTGCTTTCAGGCCTGTGGTGGCAAAGGCCTGAAAGCCTTTTCCTTTATCTTCACAGAAAGACGAGAGAGAAGCATTGTCAGAAACTTCTTTGTGATGATTGCATTCAACTCACAGAGTTGAAGATTCCTTTTGAAACAGCAATTTCGAAACACTCTTTCTGTGGGATCCGCAAGGGGATATTTGGACCTCTTTGAAGGTTTCGTTGGAAACGGGATAATCTTCTCCTAAAAGCTAAACGGAAGCATTCTCAGAAACTTCTTTGGGATGTTTGCATTGACCTCACAGAGTTGAACTTTCCCTTTGATAGCGCAGCTTTGACACACTTTTTCTACAATGTGCAAGTGGCTATTTAGCGGGCTTGGAGGACTGTGTTGGAAAAGGAAATATCTTCTCCTAAAAACGACATAGAAGCATTCTCAGAAACTGCTCTGTGATGATTGCATTCAACTCCCAGAGTTGAACATTCCTTTTGATAGAGCAGTTTGCAAACACTCTTTTTGTAGAATCTGCAAGTGGAGATTTGGACCGCTTTGAGGCCTGTGGTAGTGAAGGAAAGAGCTTCATATAAAAACCAGACGGTAGCACTCTCAGAAAATTCTTTGTGACGATGGAGTTTAACTCAGGGAGCTGAACATTCGTTATGATGGAGCAGTTTCCAAACACACGTTTTGTAGAATCTGCAAGGGGATATTTGGACCTCTCTGAGGATTTCGTTGGAAACGGGATCAACATCCCATAACTGAACGGAAGCAAACTCAGAACATTCTTTGTGATGTTTGTATTCAACTCACAGAGTTGAACCTTCCTTTGATAGTTCAGGTTTGCAACACCCTTGTAGTAGAATCTGCAAGTGTATATTTTGACCACTTTGTAGCCTTCGTTTGAAACGTCTATATCTTCACATCAAACCTAGACAGAAGCATTCTCAGAAAGTTTTCTGCGATGACTGCATTCAACTCACAGAGTTGAACAATCCTTCTGATGGAGCAGTTTTGAAACCCTCTTTCTTTGGAATCTGCAAGGGGATATGTGGACCTCTTTGAAGATTTCACTGGAAACGGGATCATCTTCACATAAAAACTAAACAGGAAGCATTCTCGGAAACTACTTTGTGATGTTTGTATTCAACTCCCAGAGTTGAACTTTCCTTTTGAAAGAGCAGCTATGAAACACTCTTTTTCAAGAATCTGCAAGTGGACGTTTGGAGGGCTTTGAGGCCTGTGGTGGAAAAGGAAATATCTTCACACAAAAACCAGATAGAAGCATTCTCAGAAACTGCTTTGTGAGGATGGCATTCAACTCATGGAGTTGAACAATCCTATTGATAGAGCAGATTGGAATCACTCTTTTTGTAGAATCTGCAAATGGAGATTTGGACTGCTTTGAGGCCTACGGTAGTACAGGAAGGAACTTCATATAAAAGGCAAACGGAAGCATTCTCAGAATATTCTTTGTGATGATGGAGTTTCACTCACAGAGCTGAACATGCCTTTTGATGGAGCAGTTTCCAAATACACTTTTGGTAGAATCTGCAGGTGGATATTTGGAGCTCTCTGAGGATTTCGTTGGAAACGGGAATAATTTCCCATAACTAAACACAAACACTCTGAGAAAGTTCTTCATGATGAATGCATTTAACTCGCAGAGATGAACCTGCCTTTGAGAGTTCAGGTTCGAAACACTCTTTCTATATAATCTGCAAGTGGATATTTGGACCACTGGGTGGCCTTCGTTCGAAACGGGTATATGTTCACGTAAAAACTAAAGAGAAGCATTCTCAGAAACTTCTGAGTGATGATTGCATTCAAGTCACACAGTTGAACCCTCGTTTTGATTGAGCAGTTTTGAAACTGTCTTTTTGTAGAATCTGTAAGTGGATGCGTGGACCTCTTTGAAGATTTCTTTGGAAACGGGAATATTTCCACAGAAAAACTAAACTGAAGCATTCTCAGAAACTGCTTTGTGATGTTTGTGTTCGAGCCGCAGAGTTTAACATTGCTTTTCATAGAGCAGTTTTGAAATATTCTTTTGGCAGAATCTGCAAGTGGACATTTGGAGCGCTTTCAGGCCTGTGGTGGAAAAGGCCTGAAAGCCTTTTCCTTTATCTTCACAGAAAGACGAGAGAGAAGCATTGTCAGAAACTTCTTTGTGATGATTGCATTCAACTCACAGAGTTGAAGATTCCTTTTGAAACAGCAGTTTCGAAACACTCTTTCTGTGGGAACCGCAAGGGGATATTTGGATCTATTTGAAGGTTTCGTTGGAAACTGGATAATCGTCACCTAAAAGCTAAACGGAAGCATTCTCAGAAACTTCTTTTGGATGTTTGCATTCACCTCATAGAGTTGAATTTTCCCTTTGATAGCGCAGCTTCGACACACTTTTTCTACAATGTGCAAGTGGATATTTAGCGGGCTTGGAGGACTGTGTTGGAAAAGGAAATATCTTCTCCTAAAAACGACATAGAAGCATTCTCAGAAACTGCTCTGTGATGATTGCATTCAACTCCCAGAGTTGAACATTCCTTTTGATAGAGCAGTTTGCAAACACTCTTTTTGTAGAATCTGCAAGTGGAGATTTGGACCGCTTTGAGGCCTGTGGTAGTAAAGGAAACAACTTCATATAAAAACCAGACGGTAGCACTCACAGAAAATTCTTTGTGACGATGGAGTTTAACTCAGAGAGCTGAACATCCGTTATGATGGAGCAGTTTCCAAACACACGTTTTGTAGAATCTGCAAGGGGATATTTGGACCTCTCTGAGGATTTCGTTGGAAACGGGATCAACTTCCCATAACTGAACGGAAGCAAACTCAGAACATTCTTTGTGATGTTTGTATTCAACTCACAGAGTTGAACCTTCCTTTGATAGTTCAGGTTTGCAACACCCTTGTAGTAGAATCTGCAAGTGTATATTTTGACCACTTTGTAGCCTTCGTTTGAAACATGCTATATCTTCACATCAAACCTAGACAGAAGCATTCTCAGAAAGTTTTCTGCGATGACTGCATTCAACTCACAGAGTTGAACAATCCTTTTGATGGAGCAGTTTTGAAACCCTCTTTCTTTGGAATCTGCAAGGGGATATGTGGACCTCTTTGAAGATTTCACTGGAAACGGGATCATCTTCACATAAGAACTAAACAGAAGCATTCTCGGAAACTACTTTGTGATGTTTGTATTCAACTCCCAGAGTTGAACTTTCCTTTTGAAAGAGCAGCTATGAAACACACTTTTTCGAGAATCTGCAAGTGGACGTTTGGAGGGCTTTGAGGCCTGTGGTGGAAAAGGAAATATCTTCACATAAAAACTAGATAGAAGCATTCTCAGACACGACTTTGTGAGGATGGCATTCAACTCATGGAGTTGAACAGTCCTGTTGATAGAGCAGATTGGAATCACTCTTTTTGTAGAATCTGCAAATGGAGATTTGGACTGCTTTGAGGCCTACGGTAGTATAGGAAGGAACTTCATATAAAAGGCAAACGGAAGCATTCTCAGAATATTCTTTGTGATGATGGAGTTTCACTCACAGAGCTGAACATGCCTTTTGATGGAGCAGTTTCCAAATACACTTTTGGTAGAATCTGCAGGTGGATATTTGGAGCTCTCTGAGGCTTTCGTTGGAAACGGGAATAATTTCCCATAACTAAACACAAACACGCTGAGAAAGTTCTTCATGATGAATGCATTGAACTCGCAGAGATGAACCTGCCTTTGAGAGTTCAGGTTCGAAACACTCTTTCTGTAGAATCTGCAAGTGGATATTTGGACCACTGGGTGGCCTTCGTTCGAAACGGGTATATGTTCACGTAAAAACTAAAGAGAAGCATTCTCAGAAACTTCTGAGTGATGATTGCATTCAAGTCACACAGTTGAACCCTCCTTTTGATTGAGCAGTTTTGAAACTGTCTTTTTGTAGAATCTGTAAGTGGATACGTGGACCTCTTTGAAGATTTCTTTGGAAACGGGAATATTTCCACAGAAAAACTAAACTGAAACATTCTCACAAACCGCTTTGTGATGTTTGTGTTCCAGCCACAGAGTTTAACATTGCTTTTCATAGAGCAGTTTTGAAATATTCTTTTGGCAGAATCTGCAAGTGGACATTTGGAGCGCTTTCAGGCCTGTGGTGGCAAAGGCCTGAAAGCCTTTTCCTTTATCTTCACAGAAAGACGAGAGAGAAGCATTGTCAGAAACTTCTTTGTGATGATTGCATTCAACTCACAGAGTTGAAGATTCCTTTTGAAACAGCAGTTTCGAAACACTCTTTCTGTGGGATCCGCAAGGGGATATTTGGACCTCTTTGAAGGTTTCGTTGGAAACGGGATAATCTTCACCTAAAAGCTAAACGGAAGCATTCTCAGAAACTTCTTTGGGATGTTTGCATTCACCTCACAGAGTTGAACTTTCCCTTTGATAGCGCAGCTTCGACACACTTTTTCTACAATGTGCAAGTGGCTATTTAGCGGGCTTGGAGGACTGTGTTGGAAAAGGAAATATCTTCTCCTAAAAACGACATAGAAGCATTCTCAGAAACTGCTCTGTGATGATTGCATTCAACTCCCAGAGTTGAACATTCCTTTTGATAGAGCAGTTTGCAAACACTCTTTTTGTAGAATCTGCAAGTGGAGATTTGGACCGCTTTGAGGCCTGTGGTAGTGAAGGAAAGAACTTCATATAAAAACCAGACGGTAGCACTCTCAGAAAATTCTTTGTGACGATGGAGTTTAACTCAGGGAGCTGAACATTCGTTATGATGGAGCAGTTTCCAAACACACGTTTTGTAGAATCTGCAAGGGGATATTTGGACCTCTCTGAGGATTTCGTTGGAAACGGGATCAACTTCCCATAACTGAACGGAAGCAAACTCAGAACATTCTTTGTGATGTTTGTATTCAACTCACAGAGTTGAACCTTCCTTTGATAGTTCAGGTTTGCAACACCCTTGTAGTAGAATCTGCAAGTGTATATTTTGACCACTTTGTAGCCTTCGTTTGAAACGTCTATATCTTCACATCAAACCTAGACAGAAGCATTCTCAGAAAGTTTTCTGCGATGACTGCATTCAACTCACAGAGTTGAACAATCCTTCTGATGGAGCAGTTTTGAAACCCTCTTTCTTTGGAATCTGCAAGGGGATATGTGGACCTCTTTGAAGATTTCACTGGAAACGGGATCATCTTCACATAAAACTAAACAGAAGCATTCTCGGAAACTACTTTGTGATGTTTGTATTCAACTCCCAGAGTTGAACTTTCCTTTTGAAAGAGCAGCTATGAAACACTCTTTTTCGAGAATCTGCAAGTGGACGTTTGGAGGGCTTTGAGGCCTGTGGTGGAAAAGGAAATATCTTCACATAAAAACTAGATAGAAGCATTCTCAGAAACGACTTTGTGAGGATGGCATTCAACTCATGGAGTTGAACAGTCCTATTGATAGAGCAGATTGGAATCACTCTTTTTGTAGAATCTGCAAATGGAGATTTGGACTGCTTTGAGGCCTACGGTAGTATAGGAAGGAACTTCATATAAAAGGCAAACGGAAGCATTCTCAGAATATTCTTTGTGATGATGGAGTTTCACTCACAGAGCTGAACATGCCTTTTGATGGAGCAGTTTCCAAATACACTTTTGGTAGAATCTGCAGGTGGATATTTGGAGCTCTCTGAGGATTTCGTTGGAAAAGGGAATAATTTCCCATAACTAAACACAAACACTCTGAGAAAGTTCTTCATGATGAATGCATTTAACTCGCAGAGATGAACCTGCCTTTGAGAGTTCAGGTTCGAAACACTCTTTCTGTAGAATCTGCAAGTGGATATTTGGACCACTGGCTGGCCTTCGTTCGAAACGGGTATACGCTCACGTAAAAATTAAAGAGAAGCGTTCTCAGAAACTTCTGAGTGATGATTGCATTCAAGTCACACAGTTGAACCCTCCTTTTGATTGAGCAGTTTTGAAACTGTCTTTTTGTAGAATCTGTAAGTGGATGCGTGGACCTCTTTGAAGATTTCTTTGGAAACGGGAATATTTCCACAGAAAAACTAAACTGAAGCATTCTCAGAAACTGCTTTGTGATGTTTGTGTTCGAGCCACAGAGTTTAACATTGCTTTTCATAGAGCAGTTTTGAAATATTCTTTTGGCAGAATCTGCAAGTGGACATTTGGAGCGCTTTCAGGCCTGTGGTGGAAAAGGCCTGAAAGCCTTTTCCTTTATCTTCACAGAAAGACGAGAGAGAAGCATTGTCAGAAACTTCTTTGTGATGATTGCATTCAACTCACAGAGTTGAAGATTCCTTTTGAAACAGCAGTTTCGAAACACTCTTTCTGGGGGATCCGCAAGGGGATATTTGGACCTCTTTGAAGATTTCGTTGGAAACGGGATAATCTTCACCTAAAAGCTAAACGGAAGCATTCTCAGAAACTTCTTTGGGATGTTCGCATTCACCTCACAGAGTTGAACTTTCCCTTTGATAGCGCAGCTTCGACACACTTTTTCTAAAATGTGCAAGTGGATATTTAGCGGGCTTGCAGGACTGTGTTGGAAAAGGAAATATCTTCTCCTAAAAACCACATAGAAGCATTCTCAGAAACTGCTCTGTGATGATTGCATTCAACTCCCAGAGTTGAACATTCCTTTTGATAGAGCAGTTTGCAAACACTCTTTTTGTAGAATCTGCAAGTGGAGATTTGGACCGCTTTGAGGCCTGTGGTAGTAAAGGAAAGAACTTCATATAAAAACTAGACGGTAGCACTCTCAGAAAATTTTTTGTGACGATGGAGTTTAACTCAGAGAGCTGAACATTCGTTATGATGGAGCAGTTTCCAAACACACGTTTTGTAGAATCTGCAAGGGGATATTTGGACCTCTCTGAGGATTTCGTTGGAAACGGGATCAACTTCCCATAACTGAACGGAAGCAAACTCAGAACATTCTTTGTGATGTTTGTATTCAACTCACAGAGTTGAACCTTCCTTTGATTGTTCAGGTTTGCAACACCCTTGTAGTAGAATCTGCAAGTGTATATTTTGACCACTTTGTAGCCTTCGTTTGAAACGTCTATATCTTCACCTCAAACCTAGACAGAAGCATTCTCAGAAAGTTTTCTGCGATGACTGCATTCAACTCACAGAGTTGAACAATCCTTTTGATGGAGCAGTTTTGAAACCCTCTTTCTTTGGAATCTGCAAGGGGATATGTGGACCTCTTTGAAGATTTCACTGGAAACGGGATCATCTTCACATAAGAACTAAACAGAAGCATTCTCGGAAACTACTTTGTGATGTTTGTATTCAAC
This sequence comes from Homo sapiens, assembly GCF_000001405.40. Classification (NCBI taxonomy): domain Eukaryota; kingdom Metazoa; phylum Chordata; class Mammalia; order Primates; family Hominidae; genus Homo; species Homo sapiens. The sequence continues at coordinate 60,767,768 of NC_000023.11, forward strand.
TCCCAGAGTTGAACTTTCCTTTTGAAAGAGCAGCTATGAAACACTCTTTTTCGAGAATCTGCAAGTGGACGTTTGGAGGGCTTTGAGGCCTGTGGTGGAAAAGGAAATATCTTCACATAAAAACTAGATAGAAGCATTCTCAGAAACGACTTTGTGAGGATGGCATTCAACTCATGGAGTTGAACAATCCTATTGATAGAGCAGATTGGAATCACTCTTTTTGTAGAATCTGCAAAGGGAGATTTGGACTGCTTTGAGGCCTACGGTAGTATAGGAAGGAACTTCATATAAAAGGCAAACGGACGCATTCTCAGAATATTCTTTGTGATGATGGAGTTTCACTCACAGAGCTGAACATGCCTTTTGATGGAGCAGTTTCCAAATACACTTCTGGTAGAATCTGCAGGTGGATATTTGGAGCTCTCTGAGGATTTCGTTGGATAAGGGAATAATTTCCCATAACTAAACACAAACACGCTGAGAATGTTCTTCATGATGAATGCATTTAACTCGCAGAGATGAACCTGCCTTTGAGAGTTCAGGTTCGAAACACTCTTTCTGTAGAATCTGCAAGTGGATATTTGGACCACTGGGTGGCCTTCGTTCGAAACGGGTATATGTTCACGTAAAAACTAAAGAGAAGCATTCTCAGAAACTTCTGAGTGATGATTGCATTCAAGTCACACAGTTGAACCCTCCTTTTGATGGAGCAGTTTTGAAACTGTCTTTTTGTAGAATCTGTAAGTGGATACGTGGACCTCTTTGAAGATTTCTTTGGAAACGGGAATATTTCCACAGAAAAACTAAACTGAAGCATTCTCAGAAACCGCTTTGTGATGTTTGTGTTCGAGCCACAGAGTTTAACATTGCTTTTCATAGAGCAGTTTTGAAATATTCTTTTCGCAGAATCTGCAAGTGGACATTTGGAGCGCTTTCAGGCCTGTGGTGGAAAAGGCCTGAAAGCCTTTTCCTTTATCTTCACAGAAAGACGAGAGAGAAGCATTGTCAGAAACTTCTTTGTGATGATTGCATTCAACTCACAGAGTTGAAGATTCCTTTTGAAACAGCAGTTTCGAAACACTCTTTCTGTGGGATCCGCAAGGGGATATTTGGACCTCTTTGAAGGTTTCGTTGGAAACGGGATAATCCTCACCTAAAAGCTAAACGGGAAGCATTCTCAGAAACTTCTTTGGGATGTTTGCATTCACCTCACAGAGTTGAACTTTCCCTTTGATAGCGCAGCTTTGACACACTTTTTCTACAATGTGCAAGTGGCTATTTAGCGGGCTTGGAGGACTGTGTTGGAAAAGGAAATATCTTCTCCTAAAAACGACATAGAAGCATTCTCAGAAACTGCTCTGTGATGATTGCATTCAACTCCCAGAGTTGAACATTCCTTTTGATAGAGCAGTTTGCAAACACTCTTTTTGTAGAATCTGCAAGTGGAGATTTGGACCGCTTTGAGGCCTGTGGTAGTGAAGGAAAGAGCATCATATAAAAACCAGACGGTAGCACTCTCAGAAAATTCTTTGTGACGATGGAGTTTAACTCAGGGAGCTGAACATTCGTTATGATGGAGCAGTTTCCAAACACACGTTTTGTAGAATCTGCAAGGGGATATTTGGACCTCTCTGAGGATTTCGTTGGAAACGGGATCAACTTCCCATAACTGAACGGAAGCAAACTCAGAACATTCTTTGTGATGTTTGTATTCAACTCACAGAGTTGAACCTTCCTTTGATAGTTCAGGTTTGCAACACCCTTGTAGTAGAATCTGCAAGTGTATATTTTGACCACTTTGTAGCCTTCGTTTGAAACGTATATATCTTCACATCAAACCTAGACAGAAGCATTCTCAGAAAGTTTTCTGCGATGACTGCATTCAACTCACAGAGTTGAACAATCCTTCTGATGGAGCAGTTTTGAAACCCTCTTTCTTTGGAATCTGCAAGGGGATATGTGGACCTCTTTGAAGATTTCACTGGAAACGGGATCATCTTCACATAAAAACTAAACAGAAGCATTCTCGGAAACTACTTTGTGATGTTTGTATTCAACTCCCAGAGTTGAACTTTCCTTTTGAAAGAGCAGCTATGAAACACTCTTTTTCGAGAATCTGCAAGTGGACGTTTGGAGGGCTTTGAGGCCTGTGGTGGAAAAGGAAATATCTTCACATAAAAACTAGATAGAAGCATTCTCAGAAACGACTTTGTGAGGATGGCATTCAACTCATGGAGTTGAACAATCCTATTGATAGAGCAGATTGGAATCACTCTTTTTGTAGAATCTGCAAATGGAGATTTGGACTGCTTTGAGGCCTCCGGTCGTATAGGAAGGAACTTCATATAAAAGGCAAACGGAAGCATTCTCAGAATATTCTTTGTGATGATGGAGTTTCACTCACAGAGCTGAACATGCCTTTTGATGGAGCAGTTTCCAAATACACTTTTGGTAGAATCTGCAGGTGGATATTTGGAGCTCTCTGAGGATTTCGTTGGAAACGGGAATAATTTCCCATAACTAAACACAAACACTCTGAGAAAGTTCTTCATGATGAATGCATTTAACTCGCAGAGATGAACCTGCCTTTGAGAGTTCAGGTTCGAAATACTCTTTCTGTATAATCTGCAAGTGGATATTTGGACCACTGGGTGGCCTTCGTTCGAAACGGGTATATGTTCACGTAAAAACTAAAGAGAAGCATTCTCAGAAACTTCTGAGTGATGATTGCATTCAAGTCACACAGTTGAACCCTCCTTTTGATGGAGCAGTTTTGAAACTGTCTTTTTGTAGAATCTGTAAGTGGATACGTGGACCTCTTTGAAGATTTCTTTGGAAACGGGAATATTTCCACAGAAAAACTAAACTGAAGCATTCTCAGAAACCGCTTTGTGATGTTTGTGTTCGAGCCACAGAGTTTAACATTGCTTTTCATAGAGCAGTTTTGAAATATTCTTTTGGCAGAATCTGCAAGTGGACATTTGGAGCGCTTTCAGGCCTGTGGTGGAAAAGGCCTGAAAGCCTTTTCCATTATCTTCACAGAAAGACGAGAGAGAAGCATTGTCAGAAACTTCTTTGTGATGATTGCATTCAACTCACAGAGTTGAAGATTCCTTTTGAAACAGCAGTTTCGAAACACTCTTTCTGTGGGATCCGCAAGGGGATATTTGGACCTCTTTGAAGGTTTCGTTGGAAACGGGATAATCTTCACCTAAAAGCTAAACGGAAGCATTCTCAGAAACTTCTTTGGGATGTTTGCATTCACCTCACAGAGTTGAACTTTCCCTTTGATAGCGCAGCTTTGACACACTTTTTCTACAATGTGCAAGTGGCTATTTAGCGGGCTTGGAGGACTGTGTTGGAAAAGGAAATATCTTCTCCTAAAAACGACATAGAAGCATTCTCAGAAACTGCTCTGTGATGATTGCATTCAACTCCCAGAGTTGAACATTCCTTTTGATAGAGCAGTTTGCAAACACTCTTTTTGTAGAATCTGCAAGTGGAGATTTGGACCGCTTTGAGGCCTGTGGTAGTGAAGGAAAGAACTTCATATAAAAACCAGACGGTAGCACTCTCAGAAAATTCTTTGTGACGATGGAGTTTAACTCAGGGAGCTGAACATTCGTTATGATGGAGCAGTTTCCAAACACACGTTTTGTAGAATCTGCGAGGGGATATTTGGACCTCTCTGAGGATTTCGTTGGAAACGGGATCAACTTCCCATAACTGAACGGAAGCAAACTCAGAACATTCTTTGTGATGTTTGTATTCAATTCACAGAGTTGAACCTTCCTTTGATAGTTCAGGTTTGCAACACCCTTGTAGTAGAATCTGCAAGTGTATATTTTGACCACTTTGTAGCCTTCGTTTGAAACGTCTATATCTTCACATCAAACCTAGACAGAAGCATTCTCAGAAAGTTTTCTGCGATGACTGCATTCAACTCACACAGTTGAACAATCCTTCTGATGGAGCAGTTTTGAAACCCTCTTTCTTTGGAATCTGCAAGGGGATATGTGGACCTCTTTGAAGATTTCACTGGAAACGGGATCATCTTCACATAAAAACTAAACAGAAGCATTCTCGGAAACTACTTTGTGATGTTTGTATTCAACTGCCAGAGTTGAACTTTCCTTTTGAAAGAGCAGCTATGAAACACTCTTTTTCGAGAATCTGCAAGTGGACGTTTGGAGGGCTTGGAGGCCTGTGGTGGAAAAGGAAATATCTTCACATAAAAACTAGATAGAAGCATTCTCAGAAACTACTTTGTGAGGATGGCATTCAACTCATGGAGTTGAACAATCCTATTGATAGAGCAGATTGGAATCACTCTTTTTGTAGAATCTGCAAATGGAGATTTGGACTGCTTTGAGGCCTACGGTCGTATAGGAAGGAACTTCATATAAAAGGCAAACGGAAGCATTCTCAGAATATTCTTTGTGATGATGGAGTTTCACTCACAGAGCTGAACATGCCTTTTGATGGAGCAGTTTCCAAATACACTTTTGGTAGAATCTGCAGGTGGATATTTGGACCACTCTGAGGATTTCGTTGGAAACGGGAATAATTTCCCATAACTAAACACAAACACTCTGAGAAAGTTCTTCATGATGAATGCATTTAACTCGCAGAGATGAACCTGCCTTTGAGAGTTCAGGTTCGAAACACTCTTTCTGTATAATCTGCAAGTGGATATTTGGACCACTGGGTGGCCTTCGTTCGAAACGGGTATATGTTCACGTAAAAACTAAAGAGAAGCATTCTCAGAAACTTCTGAGTGATGATTGCATTCAAGTCACACAGTTGAACCCTCCTTTTGATGGAGCAGTTTTGAAACTGTCTTTTTGTAGAATCTGTAAGTGGATACGTGGACCTCTTTGAAGATTTCTTTGGAAACGGGAATATTTCCACAGAAAAACTAAACTGAAGCATTCTCAGAAACTGCTTTGTGATGTTTGTGTTCGAGCCACAGAGTTTAACATTGCTTTTCATAGAGCAGTTTTGAAATATTCTTTTGGCAGAATCTGCAAGTGGACATTTGGAGCGCTTTCAGGCCTGTGGTGGAAAAGGCCTGAAAGCCTTTTCCTTTATTTTCACAGAAAGACGAGAGAGAAGCATTGTCAGAAACTTCTTTGTGATGATTGCATTCAACTCACAGAGTTGAAGATTCCTTTTGAAACAGCAGTTTCGAAACACTCTTTCTGTGGGATCCGCAAGGGGATATTTGGACCTCTTTGAAGGTTTCGTTGGAAACGGGATAATCTTCACCTAAAAGCTAAACGGAAGCATTCTCAGAAACTTCTTTGGGATGTTTGCATTCACCTCACAGAGTTGAACTTTCCCTTTGATAGCGCAGCTTTGACACACTTTTTCTAAAATGTGCAAGTGGCTATTTAGCGGGCTTGGAGGACTGTGTTGGAAAAGGAAATATCTTCTCCTAAAAACGACATAGAAGCATTCTCAGAAACTGCTCTGTGATGATTGCATTCAACTCCCAGAGTTGAACATTCCTTTTGATAGAGCAGTTTGCAAACACTCTTTTTGTAGAATCTGCAAGTGGAGATTTGGACCGCTTTGAGGCCTGTGGTAGTGAAGGAAAGAACTTCATATAAAAACCAGACGGTAGCACTCTCAGAAAATTCTTTGTGACGATGGAGTTTAACTCAGGGAGCTGAACATTCGTTATGATGGAGCAGTTTCCAAACACACGTTTTGTAGAATCTGCGAGGGGATATTTGGACCTCTCTGAGGATTTCGTTGGAAACGGGATCAACTTCCCATAACTGAACGGAAGCAAACTCAGAACATTCTTTGTGATGTTTGTATTCAACTCACAGAGTTGAACCTTCCTTTGATAGTTCAGGTTTGCAACACCCTTGTAGTAGAATCTGCAAGTGTATATTTTGAACACTTTGTAGCCTTCGTTTGAAACGTCTATATCTTCACATCAAACCTAGACAGAAGCATTCTCAGAAAGTTTTCTGCGATGACTGCATTCAACTCACAGAGTTGAACAATCCTTCTGATGGAGCAGTTTTGAAACCCTCTTTCTTTGGAATCTGCAAGGGGATATGTGGACCTCTTTGAAGATTTCACTGGAAACGGGATCATCTTCACATAAAAACTAAACAGAAGCATTCTCGGAAACTACTTTGTGATGTTTGTATTCAACTGCCAGAGTTGAACTTTCCTTTTGAAAGAGCAGCTATGAAACACTCTTTTTCGAGAATCTGCAAGTGGACGTTTGGAGGGCTTTGAGGCCTGTGGTGGAAAAGGAAATATCTTCACACAAAAACCAGATAGAAGCATTCTCAGAAACTGCTTTGTGAGGATGGCATTCAACTCATGGAGTTGAACAATCCTATTGATAGAGCAGATTGGAATCACTCTTTTTGTAGAATCTGCAAATGGAGATTTGGACTGCTTTGAGGCCTACGGTAGTACAGGAAGGAACTTCATATAAAAGGCAAACGGAAGCATTCTCAGAATATTCTTTGTGATGATGGAGTTTCACTCACAGAGCTGAACATGCCTTTTGATGGAGCAGTTTCCAAATACACTTTTGGTAGAATCTGCAGGTGGATATTTGGAGCTCTCTGAGGATTTCGTTGGAAAGGGGAATAATTTCCCATAACTAAACACAAACACTCTGAGAAAGTTCTTCATGATGAATGCATTTAACTCGCAGAGATGAACCTGCCTTTGAGAGTTCAGGTTCGAAACACTCTTTCTGTATAATCTGCAAGTGGATATTTGGACCACTGGGTGGCCTTCGTTCGAAACGGGTATATGTTCACGTAAAAACTAAAGAGAAGCATTCTCAGAAATTTCTGAGTGATGATTGCATTCAAGTCACACGGTTGAACCCTCCTTTTGATGGAGCAGTTTGAAACTGTCTTTTTGTAGAATCTGTAAGTGGATACGTGGACCTCTTTGAAGATTTCTTTCGAAACGGGAATATTTCCACAGAAAAACTAAACTGAAGCATTCTCAGAAACCGCTTTGTGATGTTTGTGTTCGAGCCACAGAGTTTAACATTGCTTTTCATAGAGCAGTTTTGAAATATTCTTTTCGCAGAATCTGCAAGTGGACATTTGGAGCGCTTTCAGGCCTGTGGTGGAAAAGGCCTGAAAGCCTTTTCCTTTATCTTCACAGAAAGACGAGAGAGAAGCATTGTCAGAAACTTCTTTGTGATGATTGCATTCAACTCACAGAGTTGAAGATTCCTTTTGAAACAGCAGTTTCGAAACACTCTTTCTGTGGGATCCGCAAGGGGATATTTGGACCTCTTTGAAGGTTTCGTTGGAAACGGGATAATCCTCACCTAAAAGCTAAACGGGAAGCACTCTCAGAAACTTCTTTGGGATGTTTGCATTCACCTCACAGAGTTGAACTTTCCCTTTGATAGCGCAGCTTTGACACACTTTTTCTACAATGTGCAAGTGGCTATTTAGCGGGCTTGGAGGACTGTGTTGGAAAAGGAAATATCTTCTCCTAAAAACGACATAGAAGCATTCTCAGAAACTGCTCTGTGATGATTGCATTCAACTCCCAGAGTTGAACATTCCTTTTGATAGAGCAGTTTGCAAACACTCTTTTTGTAGAATCTGCAAGTGGAGATTTGGACCGCTTTGAGGCCTGGGGGTAGTGAAGGAAAGAGCTTCATATAAAAACCAGACGGTAGCACTCTCAGAAAATTCTTTGTGACGATGGAGTTTATCTCAGGGAGCTGAACATTCGTTATGATGGAGCAGTTTCCAAACACACGTTTTGTAGTATCTGCAAGGGGATATTTGGACCTCTCTGAGGATTTCGTTGGAAACGGGATCAACTTCCCATAACTGAACGGAAGCAAACTCAGAACATTCTTTGTGATGTTTGTATTCAACTCACAGAGTTGAACCTTCCTTTGATAGTTCAGGTTTGCAACACCCTTGTAGTAGAATCTGCAAGTGTATATTTTGACCACTTTGTAGCCTTCGTTTGAAACGTCTATATCTTCACATCAAACCTAGAAAGAAGCATTCTTAGAAAGTTTTCTGCGATGACTGCATTCAACTCACAGAGTTGAACAATCCTTCTGATGGAGCAGTTTTGAAACCCTCTTTCTTTGGAATCTGCAAGGGGATATGTGGACCTCTTTGAAGATTTCACTGGAAACGGGATCATCTTCACATAAAAACTAAATATAAGCATTCTCGGAAACTACTTTGTGATGTTTGTATTCAACTCCCAGAGTTGAACTTTCCTTTTGAAAGAGCAGCTATGAAACACTCTTTTTCGAGAATCTGCAAGTGGACGTTTGGAGGGCTTTGAGGCCTGTGGTGGAAAAGGAAATATCTTCACATAAAAACTAGATAGAAGCATTCTCAGAAACGACTTGGTGAGGATGGCATTCAACTCATGGAGTTGAACAATCCTATTGATAGAGCAGATTGGAATCACTCTTTTTGTAGAATCTGCAAATGGAGATTTGGACTGCTTTGAGGCCTACGGTCGTATAGGAAGGAACTTCATATAAAAGGCAAACGGAAGCATTCTCAGAATATTCTTTGTGATGATGGAGTTTCACTCACAGAGCTGAACATGCCTTTTGATGGAGCAGTTTCCAAATACACTTTTGGTAGAATCTGCAGGTGGATATTTGGAGCTCTCTGAGGATTTCGTTGGAAACGGGAATAATTTCCCATAACTAAACACAAAACACTCTGAGAAAGTTCTTCATTTAGAATGCATTGAACTCGCAGAGATGAACCTGCCTTTGAGAGTTCAGGTTCGAAACACTCTTTCTGTAGAATCTGCAAGTGGATATTTGGACCACTGGCTGGCCTTCGTTCGAAACGGGTATATGTTCACGTAAAAACTAAAGAGAAGCATTCTCAGAAACTTCTGAGTGATGATTGCATTCAAGTCACACGGTTGAACCCTCCTTTTGATGGAGCAGTTTTGAAACTGTCTTTTTGTAGAATCTGTAAGTGGATACGTGGACCTCTTTGAAGATTTCTTTGGAAACGGGAATATTTCCACAGAAAAACTAAACTGAAGCATTCTCAGAAACCGCTTTGTGATGTTTGTGTTCGAGCCACAGAGTTTAACATTGCTTTTCATAGAGCAGTTTTGAAATATTCTTTTGGCAGAATCTGCAAGTGGACATTTGGACCGCTTTCAGGCCTGTGGTGGCAAAGGCCTGAAAGCCTTTTCCTTTATCTTCACAGAAAGACGAGAGAGAAGCATTGTCAGAAACTTCTTTGTGATGATTGCATTCAACTCACAGAGTTGAAGATTCCTTTTGAAACAGCAGTTTCGAAACACTCTTTCTGTGGGATCCGCAAGGGGATATTTGGACCTCTTTGAAGGTTTCGTTGGAAACGGGATAATCTTCACCTAAAAGCTAAACGGAAGCATTCTCAGAAACTTCTTTGGGATGTTTGCATTCACCTCACAGAGTTGAACTTTCCCTTTGATAGCGCAGCTTTGACACACTTTTTCTACAATGTGCAAGTGGCTATTTAGCGGGCTTGGAGGACTGTGTTGGAAAAGGAAGTATCTTCTCCTAAAAACGACATAGAAGCCTTCTCAGAAACTGCTCTGTGATGATTGCATTCAACTCCCAGAGTTGAACATTCCTTTTGATAGAGCAGTTTGCAGACACTCTTTTTGTAGAATCTGCAAGTGGAGATTTGGACCGCTTTGAGGCCTGTGGTAGTAAAGGAAAGAACTTCATATAAAAACTAGACGGTAGCACTCTCAGAAAATTCTTTGTGACGATGGAGTTTAACTCAGGGAGCTGAACATTCGTTATGATGGAGCAGTTTCCAAACACACGTTTTGTAGAATCTGCAAGGGGATATTTGGACCTCTCTGAGGATTTCGTTGGAAACGGGATCAACTTCCCATAACTGAACGGAAGCAAACTCAGAACATTCTTTGTGATGTTTGTATTCAACTCACAGAGTTGAACCTTCCTTTGATAGTTCAGGTTTGCAACACCCTTGTAGTAGAATCTGAAAGTGTATATTTTGACCACTTTGTAGCCTTCGTTTGAAACATCTATATCTTCACATCAAACCTAGACAGAAGCATTCTCAGAAAGTTTTCTGCGATGACTGCATTCAACTCACAGAGTTGAACAATCCTTCTGATGGAGCAGTTTTGAAACCCTCTTTCTTTGGAATCTGCAAGGGGATATGTGGACCTCTTTGAAGATTTCACTGGAAACGGGATCATCTTCACATAAAAACTAAACTGAAGCATTCTCGGAAACTACTTTGTGATGTTTGTATTCAACTCCCAGAGTTGAACTTTCCTTTTGAAAGAGCAGCTATGAAACACTCTTTTTCGAGAATCTGCAAGTGGACGTTTGGAAGGCTTTGAGGCCTGTGGTGGAAAAGGAAATATCTTCACATAAAAACTAGATAGAAGCATTCTCAGAAACGACTTTGTGAGGATGGCATTCAACTCATGGAGTTGAACAATCCTATTGATAGAGCAGATTGGAATCACTCTTTTTGTAGAATCTGCAAAAGGAGATTTGGACTGCTTTGAGGCCTACGGTAGTATAGGAAGGAGCTTCATATAAAAGGCAAACGGAAGCATTCTCAGAATATTCTTTGTGATGATGGTGTTTCACTCACATAGCTGAACATGCCTTTTGATGGAGCAGTTTCCAAATACACTTTTGGTAGAATCTGCAGGTGGATATTTGGAGCTCTCTGAGGATTTCGTTGGAAACGGGAATAATTTCCCACAACTAAACACAAACACTCTGAGAAGGTTCTTCATGATGAATGCATTTAACTCGCAGAGATGAACCTGCCTTTGAGAGTTCAGGTTCGAAACACTCTTTCTGTAGAATCTGCAAGTGGATATTTGGACCACTGGGTGGCCTTCGTTCGAAACGGGTATATGTTCACGTAAAAACTAAAGAGAAGCATTCTCAGAAACTTCTGAGTGATGATTGCATTCAAGTCACACAGTTGAACCCTCCTTTTGATGGAGCAGTTTTGAAACTGTCTTTTTGTAGAATCTGTAAGTGGATACGTGGACCTCTTTGAAGATTTCTTTGGAAACGGGAATATTTCCACAGAAAAACTAAACTGAAGCATTCTCAGAAACCTCTTTGTGATGTTTGTGTTCGAGCCACAGAGTTTAACATTGCTTTTCATAGAGCAGTTTTGAAATATTCTTTTCGCAGAATCTGCAAGTGGACACTTGGAGCGCTTTCAGGCCTGTGGTGGCAAAGGCCTGAAAGCCTTTTCCTTTATCTTCACAGAAAGACGAGAGAGAAGCATTGTCAGAAACTTCTTTGTGATGATTGCATTCAACTCACAGAGTTGAAGATTCCTTTTGAAACAGCAGTTTCGAAACACTCTTTCTGTGGGATCCGCAAGGGGATATTTGGACCTCTTTGAAGGTTTCGTTGGAAACGGGATAATCTTCACCTAAAAGCTAAACGGAAGCATTCTCAGAAACTTCTTTGGGATGTTTGCATTCACCTCACAGAGTTGAACTTTCCCTTTGATAGCGCAGCTTTGACACACTTTTTCTACAATGTGCAAGTGGCTATTTAGCGGGCTTGGAGGACTGTGTTGGAAAAGGAAATATCTTCTCCTAAAAACGACATAGAAGCATTCTCAGAAACTGCTCTGTGATGATTGCATTCAACTCCCAGAGTTGAACATTCCTTTTGATAGAGCAGTTTGCAAACACTCTTTTTGTAGAATCTGCAAGTGGAGATTTGGACCGCTTTGAGGCCTGTGGTAGTGAAGGAAAGAGCTTCATATAAAAACCAGACGGTAGCACTCTCAGAAAATTCTTTGTGACGATGGAGTTTAACTCAGGGAGCTGAACATTCGTTATGATGGAGCAGTTTCCAAACACACGTTTTGTAGAATCTGCAAGGGGATATTTGGACCTCTCTGAGGATTTCGTTGGAAACGGGATCAACATCCCATAACTGAACAGAAGCAAACTCAGAGCATTCTTTGTGATGTTTGTATTCAACTCACAGAGTTGAACCTTCCTTTGATAGTTCAGGTTTGCAACACCCTTGTAGTAGAATCTGCAAGTGTATATTTTGACCACTTTGTAGCCTTCGTTTGAAACGTCTATATCTTCACATCAAACCTAGACAGAAGCATTCTCAGAAAGTTTTCTGCGATGACTGCATTCAACTCACAGAGTTGAACAATCATTTTGATGGAGCAGTTTTGAAACCCTCTTTCTTTGGAATCTGCAAGGGGATATGTGGACCTCGTTGAAGATTTCACTGGAAACGGGATCATCTTCACATAAGAACTAAACAGAAGCATTCTCGGAAACGACTTTGTGATGTTTGTATTCAACTCCCAGAGTTGAACTTTCCTTTTGAAAGAGCAGCTATGAAACAATCTTTTTCGAGAATCTGCAAGTGGACGTTTGGAGGGCTTTGAGGCCTGTGGTGGAAAAGGAAATATCTTCACATAAAAACTAGATAGAAGCATTCTCAGAAACGACTTTGTGAGGACGGCATTCAACTCATGGAGTTGAACAATCCTAATGATAGAGCACATTGGAATCACTCTTTTTGTAGAATCGGCAAATGGAGATTTGGACTGCTTTGAGGCCTACGGTAGTACAGGAAGGAACTTCATATAAAAGGCAAACGGACGCATTCTCAGAATATTCTTTGTGATGATGGAGTTTCACTCACAGAGCTGAACATGCCTTTTGATGGAGCAGTTTCCAAATACACTTCTGGTAGAATCTGCAGGTGGATATTTGGAGCTCTCTGAGGATTTCGTTGGATAAGGGAATAATTTCCCATAACTAAACACAAACACTCTGAGAAAGTTCTTCATGATGAATGCATTTAACTCGCAGAGATGAACCTGCCTTTGAGAGTTCAGGTTCGAAACACTCTTTCTGTAGAATCTGCAAGTGGATATTTGGACCACTGGCTGGCCTTCGTTCGAAACGGGTATATGTTCACGTAAAAACTAAAGAGAAGCATTCTCAGAAACTTCTGAGTGATGATTGCATTCAAGTCACACAGTTGAACCCTCCTTTTGATGGAGCAGTTTTGAAACTGTCTTTTTGTAGAATCTGTAAGTGGATACGTGGACCTCTTTGAAGATTTCTTTGGAAACGGGAATATTTCCACAGAAAAACTAAACTGAAGCATTCTCAGAAACCGCTTTGTGATGTTTGTGTTCGAGCCACAGAGTTTAACATTGCTTTTCATAGAGCAGTTTTGAAATATTCTTTTCGCAGAATCTGCAAGTGGACATTTGGAGCGCTTTCAGGCCTGTGGTGGAAAAGGCCTGAAAGCCTTTTCCTTTATCTTCACAGAAAGACGAGAGAGAAGCATTGTCAGAAACTTCTTTGTGATGATTGCATTCAACTCACAGAGTTGAAGATTCCTTTTGAAACAGCAGTTTCGAAACACTCTTTCTGTGGGATCCGCAAGGGGATATTTGGACCTCTTTGAAGGTTTCGTTGGAAACGGGATAATCCTCACCTAAAAGCTAAACGGAAGCATTCTCAGAAACTTCTTTGGGATGTTTGCATTCACCTCACAGAGTTGAACTTTCCCTTTGATAGCGCAGCTTTGACACACTTTTTCTACAATGTGCAAGTGGCTATTTAGCAGGCTTGGAGGATTGTGTTGGAAAAGGAAATATCTTCTCCTAAAAACGACATAGAAGCATTCTCAGAAACTGCTCTGTGATGATTGCATTCAACTCCCAGAGTTGAACATTCCTTTTGATAGAGCAGTTTGCAAACACTCTTTTTGTAGAATCTGCAAGTGGAGATTTGGACCGCTTTGAGGCCTGTGGTAGTGAAGGAAAGAACTTCATATAAAAACCAGACGGTAGCACTCTCAGAAAATTCTTTGTGACGATGGAGTTTAACTCAGGGAGCTGAACATTCGTTATGATGGAGCAGTTTCCAAACACACGTTTTGTAGAATCTGCAAGGGGATATTTGGACCTCTCTGAGGATTTCGTTGGAAACGGGATCAACTTCCCATAACTGAACGGAAGCAAACTCAGAACATTCTTTGTGATGTTTGTATTCAACTCACAGAGTTGAACCTTCCTTTGATAGTTCAGGTTTGCAACACCCTTGTAGTAGAATCTGCAAGTGTATATTTTGACCACTTTGTAGCCTTCGTTTGAAACGTCTATATCTTCACATCAAACCTAGAAAGAAGCATTCTCAGAAAGTTTTCTGCGATGACTGCATTCAACTCACAGAGTTGAACAATCCTTCTGATGGAGCAGTTTTGAAACCCTCTTTCTTTGGAATCTGCAAGGGGATATGTGGACCTCTTTGAAGATTTCACTGGAAACGGGATCATCTTCACATAAAAACTAAACAGAAGCATTCTCGGAAACTACTTTGTGATGTTTGTATTCAACTCCCAGAGTTGAACTTTCCTTTTGAAAGAGCAGCTATGAAACACTCTTTTTCGAGAATCTGCAAGTGGACGTTTGGAAGGCTTTGAGGCCTGTGGTGGAAAAGGAAATATCTTCACATAAAAACTAGATAGAAGCATTCTCAGAAACGACTTTGTGAGGATGGCATTCAACTCATGGAGTTGAACAATCCTATTGATAGAGCAGATTGGAATCACTCTTTTTGTAGAATCTGCAAATGGAGATTTGGACTGCTTTGAGGCCTACGGTCGTATAGGAAGGAACTTCATATAAAAGGCAAACGGAAGCATTCTCAGAATATTCTTTGTGACGATGGAGTTTCACGCACAGAGCTGAACATGCCTTTTGATGGAGCAGTTTCCAAATACACTTTTGGTAGAATCTGCAGGTGGATATTTGGAGCTCTCTGAGGATTTCGTTGGAAACGGGAATAATTTCCCATAACTAAACACAAACACTCTGAGAAAGTTCTTCATGATGAATGCATTTAACTCGCAGAGATGAACCTGCCTTTGAGAGTTCAGGTTCGAAACACTCTTTCTGTAGAATCTGCAAGTGGATATTTGGACCACTGGGTGGCCTTCGTTCGAAACGGGTATATGTTCACGTAAAAACTAAAGAGAAGCATTCTCAGAAACTTCTGAGTGATGATTGCATTCAAGTCACACAGTTGAACCCTCCTTTTGATGGAGCAGTTTTGAAACTGTCTTTTTGTAGAATCTGTAAGTGGATACGTGGACCTCTTTGAAGATTTCTTTGGAAACGGGAATATTTCCACAGAAAAACTAAACTGAAGCATTCTCAGAAACCGCTTTGTGATGTTTGTGTTCGAGCCACAGAGTTTAACATTGCTTTTCATAGAGCAGTTTTGAAATATTCTTTTCGCAGAATCTGCAAGTGGACATTTGGAGCGCTTTCAGGCCTGTGGTGGCAAAGGCCTGAAAGCCTTTTCCTTTATCTTCACAGAAAGACGAGAGAGAAGCATTGTCAGAAACTTCTTTGTGATGATTGCATTCAACTCACAGAGTTGAAGATTCCTTTTGAAACAGCAGTTTCGAAACACTCTTTCTGTGGGATCCGCAAGGGGATATTTGGACCTCTTTGAAGGTTTCGTTGGAAACGGGATAATCCTCACCTAAAAGCTAAACGGAAGCATTCTCAGAAACTTCTTTGGGATGTTTGCATTCACCTCACAGAGTTGAACTTTCCCTTTGATAGCGCAGCTTTGACACACTTTTTCTACAATGTGCAAGTGGCTATTTAGCGGGCTTGGAGGACTGTGTTGGAAAAGGAAATATCTTCTCCTAAAAACGACATAGAAGCATTCTCAGAAACTGCTCTGTGATGATTGCATTCAACTCCCAGAGTTGAACATTCCTTTTGATAGAGCAGTTTGCAAACACTCTTTTTGTAGAATCTGGAAGTGGAGATTTGGACCGCTTTGAGGCCTGTGGTAGTGAAGGAAAGAGCTTCATATAAAAACCAGACGGTAGCACTCTCAGAAAA
The DNA here is from genome assembly GCF_000001405.40 of Homo sapiens. Classification (NCBI taxonomy): domain Eukaryota; kingdom Metazoa; phylum Chordata; class Mammalia; order Primates; family Hominidae; genus Homo; species Homo sapiens. Next base: position 60,783,694 of record NC_000023.11, read on the forward strand.
TTCTTTGTGACGATGGAGTTTAACTCAGGGAGCTGAACATTCGTTATGATGGAGCAGTTTCCAAACACACGTTTTGTAGAATCTGCAAGGGGATATTTGGACCTCTCTGAGGATTTCGTTGGAAACGGGATCAACATCCCATAACTGAACGGAAGCAAACTCAGAACATTCTTTGTGATGTTTGTATTCAATTCACAGAGTTGAACCTTCCTTTGATAGTTCAGGTTTGCAACACCCTTGTAGTAGAATCTGCAAGTGTATATTTTGACCACTTTGTAGCCTTCGTTTGAAACGTCTATATCTTCACATCAAACCTAGACAGAAGCATTCTCAGAAAGTTTTCTGCGATGACTGCATTCAACTCACAGAGTTGAACAATCCTTCTGATGGAGCAGTTTTGAAACCCTCTTTCTTTGGAATCTGCAAGGGGATATGTGGACCTCTTTGAAGATTTCACTGGAAACGGGATCATCTTCACATAAAAACTAAACAGAAGCATTCTCGGAAACTACTTTGTGATGTTTGTATTCAACTCCCAGAGTTGAACTTTCCTTTTGAAAGAGCAGCTATGAAACACTCTTTCTCGAGAATCTGCAAGTGGACGTTTGGAGGGCTTTGAGGCCTGTGGTGGAAAAGGAAATATCTTCACATAAAAACTAGATAGAAGCATTCTCAGAAACGACTTTGTGAGGACGGCATTCAACTCATGGAGTTGAACAATCCTATTGATAGAGCAGATTGGAATCACTCTTTTTGTAGAATCTGCAAATGGAGATTTGGACTGCTTTGAGGCCTACGGTCGTATAGGAAGGAACTTCAGATAAAAGGCAAACGGAAGCATTCTCAGAATATTCTTTGTGATGATGGAGTTTCACTCACAGAGCTGAACATGCCTTTTGATGGAGCAGTTTCCAAATACACTTTTGGTAGAATCTGCAGGTGGATATTTGGAGCTCTCTGAGGATTTCTTTGGAAACGGGAATAATTTCCCATAACTAAACACAAACACGCTGAGAAAGTTCTTCATGATGAATGCATTTAACTCGCAGAGATGAACCTTCCTTTGAGAGTTCAGGTTCGAAACACTCTTTCTGTAGAATCTGCAAGTGGATATTTGGTCCACTGGGTGGCCTTCGTTCGAAACGGGTATATGTTCACGTAAAAACTAAAGAGAAGCATTCTCAGAAACTTCTGAGTGATGATTGCATTCAAGTCACACAGTTGAACCCTCCTTTTGATGGAGCAGTTTTGAAACTGTCTTTTTGTAGAATCTGTAAGTGGATACGTGGACCTCTTTGAAGATTTCTTTGGAAACGGGAATATTTCCACAGAAAAACTAAACTGAAGCATTCTCAGAAACTGCTTTGTGATGTTTGTGTTCGAGCCACAGAGTTTAACATTGCTTTTCATAGAGCAGTTTTGAAATATTCTTTTCGCAGAATCTGCAAGTGGACATTTGGAGCGCTTTCAGGCCTGTGGTGGAAAAGGCCTGAAAGCCTTTTCCTTTATCTTCACAGAAAGACGAGAGAGAAGCATTGTCAGAAACTTCTTTGTGATGATTGCATTCAACTCACAGAGTTGAAGATTCCTTTTGAAACAGCAGTTTCGAAACACTCTTTCTGTGGGATCCGCAAGGGGATATTTGGACCTCTTTGAAGGTTTCGTTGGAAACGGGATAATCCTCACCTAAAAGCTAAACGGAAGCATTCTCAGAAACTTCTTTGGGATGTTTGCATTCACCTCACAGAGTTGAACTTTCCCTTTGATAGCGCAGCTTTGACACACTTTTTCTACAATGTGCAAGTGGCTATTTAGCGGGCTTGGAGGACTGTGTTGGAAAAGGAAATATCTTCTCCTAAAAACGACATAGAAGCATTCTCAGAAACTGCTCTGTGATGATTGCATTCAACTCCCAGAGTTGAACATTCCTTTTGATAGAGCAGTTTGCAAACACTCTTTTTGTAGAATCTGCAAGTGGAGATTTGGCCCGCTTTGAGGCCTGTGGTAATAAAGGAAAGAACTTCATATAAAAACTAGACGGTAGCACTCTCAGAAAATTTTTTGTGACGATGGAGTTTAACTCAGAGAGCTGAACATTCGTTATGATGGAGCAGTTTCCAAACACACGTTTTGTAGAATCTGCAAGGGGATATTTGGACCTCTCTGAGGATTTCGTTGGAAACGGGATCAACTTCCCATAACTGAACGGAAGCAAACTCAGAACATTCTTTATGACGTTTGAATTCAACTCACAGAGTTGAACATTCCTTTGATAGTTCAGGTTTGCAACACCCTTGCAGTAGAATCTGCAAGTGTATATTTTGACCACTTTGTAGCCTTCGTTTGAAAGGTCTATATCTTCACATCAAACCTAGACAGAAGCATTCTCAGAAAATTTTCTGCGATGACTGCATTCAACTCACAGAGTTGAACAATCCTTTTGATGGAGCAGTTTTGAAACCCTCTTTCTTTGGAATCTGCAATGGGATATGTGGACCTCTTTGAAGATTTCACTGGAAACGGGATCATCTTCACATAAGAACTAAACAGAAGCATTCTCGGAAACTACTTTGTGATGTTTGTATTCAACTCCCAGAGTTGAACTTTCCTTTTGAAAGAGCAGCTATGAAACACTCTTTTTCGAGAATCTGCAAGTGGACGTTTGGAGGGCTTTGAGGCCTGTGGTGGAAAAGGAAATATCTTCACATAAAAACTAGATAGAAGCATTCTCAGAAACGACTTTGTGAGGATGGCATTCAACTCATGGAGTTGAACAATCCTATTGATAGAGCAGATTGGAATCACTCTTTTTGTAGAATCTGCAAATGGAGATTTGGACTGCTTTGAGGCCTACGGTCGTATAGGAAGGAACTTCATATAAAAGGCAAACGGAAGCATTCTCAGAATATTCTTTGTGATGATGGAGTTTCACTCACAGAGCTGAACATGCCTTTTGATGGAGCAGTTTCCAAATACACTTTTGGTAGAATCTGCAGGTGGATATTTGGAGCTCTCTGAGGATTTCGTTGGAAAGGGGAATAATTTCCCATAACTAAACACAAACACTCTGAGAAAGTTCTTCATGATGAATGCATTTAACTCGCAGAGATGAACCTGCCTTTGAGAGTTCAGGTTCGAAACACTCTTTCTGTAGAATCTGCAAGTGGATATTTGGACCACTGGGTGGCCTTCGTTCGAAACGGGTATATGTTCACGTAAAAACTAAAGAGAAGCATTCTTAGAAACTTCTCTGTGATGATTGCATTCAACTCACAGAGTTGAACACTCATTTTGATTGAGCAGTTTGGAAATTCCCTTTTTATAGAATCTGCAAGTGGATATGTGCACCTCTTTGAAGATGTCCTTGGAAACAGGAATATCTTCACATAAAAACTAAACAGAAGCATTCTCAGAAACTTCATTGTGATGTTTGTGTTAAAGTCACAGAGTATAACATTGCTTATCATAGAGCAGTTTTGAAACATTCTTTTCGTTGAATCTGCAAGTCGACATTTGGAGCACTTTCAGGCCTGTGGTGGAAAAGGAAATATCTTCACATAAAAACGAGAGAAGCATTGTCAGAAATTTCTTTGTGATGATTGCATTCAACTCACAGAGTTGAAGATTCCTTTTGAAACAGCAGTTTCGAAACACTCTTTCTGTGGAATCCGCAAGTGGATATTTGCACCTCTTTGAAGATTTCATTGGAAACGGGATAATCTTCACATAAAAGCTAAACTGAAGCATTCTCAGAAACTTCTTTGTGATGTTTGCATTCACCTCACAGAGCTGAACTTTCCCTTTGATAGAGTGACTTTGAAAAACTCTTTTTCTAGAGTCTGCAGTTGGACAATTGGAGGGCTTTGAGTACTGTGGTGGAAAAGGAAATATCTTCTCATAAAAACTAGATGGAAGCATTCTCAGTAAACGACTTTGTGAGGATGGCATTCAACTCATGGAGTTGAACAATCCTATTGATAGAGCAGATTGGAATCACTCTTTTTGTAGAATCTGCAAATGGAGATTTGGACTGCTTTGAGGCCTACGGTCGTATAGGAAGGAACTTCAGATAAAAGGCAAACGGAAGCATTCTCAGAATATTCTTTGTGATGATGGAGTTTCACTCACAGAGCTGAACATGCCTTTTGATGGAGCAGTTTCCAAATACACTTTTGGTAGAATCTGCAGGTGGATATTTGGACCACTCTGAGGATTTCGTTGGAAACGGGAATAATTTCCCATAACTAAGCACAAACACGCTGAGAAAGTTCTTCATGTTGAATGCATTGAACTCGCAGAGATGAACCTGCCTTTGAGAGTTCAGGTTCGAAACACTCTTTCTGTAGAATCTGCAAGTGGATATTTGGACCACTGGGTGGCCTTCGTTCGAAACGGGTATATGTTCACGTAAAAACTAAAGAGAAGCGTTCTCAGAAACTTCTGAGTGATGATTGCATTCAAGTCACACGGTTGAACCCTCCTTTTGATTGAGCAGTTTTGAAACTGTCTTTTTGTAGAATCTGTAAGTGGATGCGTGGACCTCTTTGAAGATTTCTTTCGAAACGGGAATATTTCCACAGAAAAACTAAACTGAAGCATTCTCAGAAACTGCTTTGTGATGTTTGTGTTCGAGCCACAGAGTTTAACATTGCTTTTCATAGAGCAGTTTTGAAATATTCTTTTCGCAGAATCTGCAAGTGGACATTTGGAGCGCTTTCAGGCCTGTGGTGGAAAAGGCCTGAAAGCCTTTTCTTTATCTTCACAGAAAGACGAGAGAGAAGCATTGTCAGAAACTTCTTTGTGATGATTGCATTCAACTCACAGAGTTGAAGATTCCTTTTGAAACAGCAGTTTCGAAACACTCTTTCTGTGGGATCCGCAAGGGGATATTTGGACCTCTTTGAAGCTTTCGTTGGAAACGGGATAATCTTCACCTAAAAGCTAAACGGAAGCATTCTCAGAAACTTCTTTGGGATGTTTGCATTCACCTGACAGAGTTGAACTTTCCCTTTGATAGCGCAGCTTTGACACACTTTTTCTACAATGTGCAAGTGGCTATTTAGCGGGCTTGGAGGACTGTGTTGGAAAAGGAAATATCTTCTCCTAAAAACGACATAGAAGCATTCTCAGAAACTGCTCTGTGATGATTGCATTCAACTCCCAGAGTTGAACATTCCTTTTGATAGAGCAGTTTGCAAACACTCTTTTTGTAGAATCTGCAAGTGGAGATTTGGACCGCTTTGAGGCCTGTGGTAGTGAAGGAAAGAACTTCATATAAAAACCAGACGGTAGCACTCTCAGAAAATTCTTTGTGACGATGGAGTTTAACTCAGGGAGCTGAACATTCGTTATGATGGAGCAGTTTCCAAACACACGTTTTGTAGAATCTGTGAGGGGATATTTGGACCTCTCTGAGGATTTCGTTGGAAACGGGATCAACTTCCCATAACTGAACGGAAGCAAACTCAGAACATTCTTTGTGATGTTTGTATTCAACTCACAGAGTTGAACCTTCCTTTGATAGTTCAGGTTTGCAACACCCTTGTAGTAGAATCTGCAAGTGTATATTTTGACCACTTTGTAGCCTTCGTTTGAAACGTCTATATCTTCACATCAAACCTAGACAGAAGCATTCTCAGAAAGTTTTCTGCGATGACTGCATTCAACTCACAGAGTTGAACAATCCTTCTGATGGAGCAGTTTTGAAACCCTCTTTCTTTGGAATCTGCAAGGGGATATGTGGACCTCTTTGAAGATTTCACTGGAAACGGGATCATCTTCACATAAAAACTAAACAGAAGCATTCTCGGAAACTACTTTGTGATGTTTGTATTCAACTCCCAGAGTTGAACTTTCCTTTTGAAAGAGCAGCTATGAAACACTCTTTTTCGAGAATCTGCAAGTGGACGTTTGGAGGGCTTTGAGGCCTGTGGTGGAAAAGGAAATATCTTCACATAAAACTAGATAGAAGCATTCTCAGAAACTACTTTGTGAGGATGGCATTCAACTCATGGAGTTGAACAATCCTATTGATAGAGCAGATTGGAATCACTCTTTTTGTGGAATCTGCAAATGGAGATTTGGACTGCTTTGAGGCCTACGGTCGTATAGGAAGGAACTTCATATAAAAGGCAAACGGAAGCATTCTCAGAATATTCTTTGTGATGATGGAGTTTCACTCACAGAGCTGAACATGCCTTTTGATGGAGCAGTTTCCAAATACACTTTTGGTAGAATCAGCAGGTGGATATTTGGAGCTCTCTGAGGATTTCGTTGGAAAAGGGAATAATTTCCCATAACTAAACACAAACACTCTGAGAAAGTTCTTCATGATGAATGCATTTAACTTGCAGAGATGAACCTGCCTTTGAGAGTTCAGGTTCGAAACACTCTTTCTGTAGAATCTGCAAGTGGATATTTGGACCACTGGGTGGCCTTCGTTCGAAACGGGTATATGTTCACGTAAAAACTAAAGAGAAGCATTCTCAGAAACTTCTGAGTGATGATTGCATTCAAGTCACACAGTTGAACCCTCCTTTTGATGGAGCAGTTTTGAAACTGTCTTTTTGTAGAATCTGTAAGTGGATACGTGGACCTCTTTGAAGATTTCTTTGGAAACGGGAATATTTCCACAGAAAAACTAAACTGAAACATTCTCAGAAACCGCTTTGTGATGTTTGTGTTCCAGCCACAGAGTTTAACATTGCTTTTCATAGAGCAGTTTTGAAATATTCTTTTCGCAGAATCTGCAAGTGGACATTTGGAGCGCTTTCAGGCCTGTGGTGGAAAAGGCCTGAAAGCCTTTTCCTTTATCTTGACAGAAAGACGAGAGAGAAGCATTGTCAGAAACTTCTTTGTGATGATTGCATTCAACTCACAGAGTTGAAGATTCCTTTTGAAACAGCAGTTTCGAAACACTCTTTCTGTGGGATCCGCAAGGGGATATTTGGACCTCTTAGAAGGTTTCGTTGGAAACGGGATTATCTTCACCTAAAAGCTAAACGGAAGCATTCTCAGAAACTTCTTTGGGATGTTTGCATTCACCTCACAGAGTTGAACTTTCCCTTTGATAGCGCAGCTTTGACACACTTTTTCTACAATGTGCAAGTGGCTATTTAGCGGGCTTGGAGGACTGTGTTGGAAAAGGAAATATCTTCTCCTAAAAACGACATAGAAGCATTCTCAGAAACTGCTCTGTGATGATTGCATTCAACTCCCAGAGTTGAACATTCCTTTTGATAGAGCAGTTTGCAAACACTCTTTTTGTAGAATCTGCAAGTGGAGATTTGGACCGCGTTGAGGCCTGTGGTAGTGAAGGAAAGAACTTCATATAAAAACCAGACGGTAGCACTCTCAGAAAATTCTTTGTGACGATGGAGTTTAACTCAGGGAGCTGAACATTCGTTATGATGGAGCAGTTTCCAAACACACGTTTTGTAGAATCTGCAAGGGGATATTTGGACCTCTCTGAGGATTTCGTTGGAAACGGGATCAACTTCCCATAACTGAACGGAAGCAAACTCAGAACATTCTTTGTGATGTTTGTATTCAACTCACAGAGTTGAACCTTCCTTTGATAGTTCAGGTTTGCAACACCCTTGTAGTAGAATCTGCAAGTGTATATTTTGACCACTTTGTAGCCTTCGTTTGAAACGTCTATATCTTCACATCAAACCTAGACAGAAGCATTCTCAGAAAGTTTTCTGCGATGACTGCATTCAACTCACAGAGTTGAACAATCCTTCTGATGGAGCAGTTTTGAAACCCTCTTTCTTTGGAATCTGCAAGGGGATATGTGGACCTCTTTGAAGATTTCACTGGAAACGGGATCATCTTCACATAAAAACTAAACTGAAGCATTCTCGGAAACTATTTTGTGATGTTTCTATTCAACTCCCAGAGTTGAACTTTCCTTTTGAAAGAGCAGCTATGAAACACTCTTTTTCGAGAATCTGCAAGTGGACGTTTGGAGGGCTTTGAGGCCTGTGGTGGAAAAGGAAATATCTTCACACAAAAACCAGATAGAAGCATTCTCAGAAACTACTTTGTGAGGATGGCATTCAACTCATGGAGTTGAACAATCCTATTGATAGAGCAGATTGGAATCACTCTTTTTGTAGAATCTGCAAATGGAGATTTGGACTGCTTTGAGGCCTACGGTAGTACAGGAAGGAACTTCATATAAAAGGCAAACGGAAGCATTCTCAGAATATTCTTTGTGATGATGGAGTTTCACTCACAGAGCTGAACATGCCTTTTGATGGAGCAGTTTCCAAATACACTTTTGGTAGAATCTGCAGGTGGATATTTGGAGCTCTCTGAGGATTTCTTTGGAAACGGGAATAATTTCCCATAACTAAACACAAACACTCTGAGAAAGTTCTTCATGATGAATGCATTTAACTCGCAGAGATGAACCTGCCTTTGAGAGTTCAGGTTCGAAACACTCTTTCTGTAGAATCTGCAAGTGGATATTTGGACCACTGGGTGGCCTTCGTTCGAAACGGGTATATGTTCACGTAAAAACTAAAGAGAAGCATTCTCAGAAACTTCTGAGTGATGATTGCATTCAAGTCACACAGTTGAACCCTCCTATTGATGGAGCAGTTTTGAAACTGTCTTTTTGTAGAATCTGTAAGTGGATACGTGGACCTCTTTGAAGATTTCTTTGGAAACGGGAATATTTCCACAGAAAAACTAAACTGAAGCATTCTCAGAAACCGCTTTGTGATGTTTGTGTTCGAGCCGCAGAGTTTAACATTGCTTTTCATAGAGCAGTTTTGAAATATTCTTTTCGCAGAATCTGCAAGTGGACATTTGGAGCGCTTTCAGGCCTGTGGTGGCAAAGGCCTGAAAGCCTTTTCCTTTATCTTCACAGAAAGACGAGAGAGAAGCATTGTCAGAAACTTCTTTGTGATGATTGCATTCAACTCACAGAGTTGAAGATTCCTTTTGAAACAGCAGTTTCGGAACACTCTTTCTGTGGGATCCGCAAGGGGATATTTGGACCTCTTTGAAGGTTTCGTTGGAAACGGGATAATCTTCACCTAAAAGCTAAACGGAAGCATTCTCAGAAACTTCTTTGGGATGTTTGCATTCACCTCACAGAGTTGAACTTTCCCTTTGATAGCGCAGCTTTGACACACTTTTTCTACAATGTGCAAGTGGCTATTTAGCGGGCTTGGAGGATTGTGTTGGAAAAGGAAATATCTTCTCCTAAAAACGACATAGAAGCATTCTCAGAAACTGCTCTGTGATGATTGCATTCAACTCCCAGAGTTGAACATTCCTTTTGATAGAGCAGTTTGCAAACACTCTTTTTGTAGAATCTGCAAGTGGAGATTTGGACCGCTTTGAGGCCTGTGGTAGTGAAGGAAAGAACTTCATATAAAAACCAGACGGTAGCACTCTCAGAAAATTCTTTGTGACGATGGAGTTTAACTCAGGGAGCTGAACATTCGTTATGATGGAGCAGTTTCCAAACACACGTTTTGTAGAATCTGCAAGGGGATATTTGGACCTCTCTGAGGATTTCGTTGGAAACGGGATCAACTTCCCATAACTGAACGGAAGCAAACTCAGAACATTCTTTGTGATGTTTGTATTCAACTCACAGAGTTGAACCTTCCTTTGATAGTTCAGGTTTGCAACACCCTTGTAGTAGAATCTGCAAGTGTATATTTTGACCACTTTGTAGCCTTCGTTTGAAACGTCTATATCTTCACATCAAACCTAGAAAGAAGCATTCTCAGAAAGTTTTCTGCGATGACTGCATTCAACTCACAGAGTTGAACAATCCTTTTGATGGAGCAGTTTTGAAACCCTCTTTCTTTGGAATCTGCAAGGGGATATGTGGACCTCTTTGAAGATTTCACTGGAAACGGGATCATCTTCACATAAAAACTAAACAGAAGCATTCTCGGAAACTATTTTGTGATGTTTGTATTCAACTCCCAGAGTTGAACTTTCCTTTTGAAAGAGCAGCTATGAAACACTCTTTTTCGAGAATCTGCAAGTGGACGTTTGGAGGGCTTTGAGGCCTGTGGTGGAAAAGGAAATATCTTCACACAAAAACCAGATAGAAGCATTCTCAGAAACTACTTTGTGAGGATGGCATTCAACTCATGGAGTTGAACAATCCTATTGATAGAGCAGATTGGAATCACTCTTTTTATAGAATCTGCAAATGGAGATTTGGACTGCTTTGAGGCCTACGGTAGTACAGGAAGGAACTTCATATAAAAGGCAAACGGAAGCATTCTCAGAATATTCTTTGTGATGATGGAGTTTCACTCACAGAGCTGAACATGCCTTTTGATGGAGCAGTTTCCAAATACACTTTTGGTAGAATCTGCAGGTGGATATTTGGAGCTCTCTGAGGATTTCGTTGGAAACGGGAATAATTTCCCATAACTAAACACAAACACTCTGAGAAAGTTCTTCATGATGAATGCATTTAACTCGCAGAGATGAACCTGCCTTTGAGAGTTCAGGTTCGAAACACTCTTTCTGTATAATCTGCAAGTGGATATTTGGACCACTGGGTGGCCTTCGTTCGAAACGGGTATATGTTCACGTAAAAACTAAAGAGAAGCATTCTCAGAAACTTCTGAGTGATGATTGCATTCAAGTCACACAGTTGAACCCTCCTTTTGATGGAGCAGTTTTGAAACTGTCTTTTTGTAGAATCTGTAAGTGGATACGTGGACCTCTTTGAAGATTTCTTTGGAAACGGGAATATTTCCACAGAAAAACTAAACTGAAACATTCTCAGAAACCGCTTTGTGATGTTTGTGTTCCAGCCACAGAGTTTAACATTGCTTTTCATAGAGCAGTTTTGAAATATTCTTTTCGCAGAATCTGCAAGTGGACATTTGGAGCGCTTTCAGGCCTGTGGGTGGAAAAGGCCTGAAAGCCTTTTCCTTTATCTTCACAGAAAGACGAGAGAGAAGCATTGTCAGAAACTTCTTTGCGATGATTGCATTCAACTCACAGAGTTGAAGATTCCTTTTGAAACAGCAGTTTCGAAACACTCTTTCTGTGGGATCCGCAAGGGGATATTTGGACCTCTTTGAAGGTTTCGTTGGAAACGGGATAATCTTCACCTAAAAGCTAAACGGAAGCATTCTCAGAAACTTCTTTGGGATGTTTGCATTCACCTCACAGAGTTGAACTTTCCCTTTGATAGCGCAGCTTTGACACACTTTTTCTACAATGTGCAAGTGGCTATTTAGCGGGCTTGGAGGACTGTGTTGGAAAAGGAAATATCTTCTCCTAAAAACGACATAGAAGCATTCTCAGAAACTGCTCTGTGATGATTGCATTCAACTCCCAGAGTTGAACATTCCTTTTGATAGAGCAGTTTGCAAACACTCTTTTTGTAGAATCTGCAAGTGGAGATTTGGACCGCTTTGAGGCCTGTGGTAGTGAAGGAAAGAACTTCATATAAAAACCAGACGGTAGCACTCTCAGAAAATTCTTTGTGACGATGGAGTTTAACTCAGGGAGCTGAACATTCGTTATGATGGAGCAGTTTCCAAACACACGTTTTGTAGAATCTGCGAGGGGATATTTGGACCTCTCTGAGGATTTCGTTGGAAACGGGATCAACTTCCCATAACTGAACGGAAGCAAACTCAGAACATTCTTTGTGATGTTTGTATTCAACTCACAGAGTTGAACCTTCCTTTGATAGTTCAGGTTTGCAACACCCTTGTAGTAGAATCTGCAAGTGTATATTTTGAACACTTTGTAGCCTTCGTTTGAAACGTCTATATCTTCACATCAAACCTAGACAGAAGCATTCTCAGAAAGTTTTCTGCGATGACTGCATTCAACTCACAGAGTTGAACAATCCTTCTGATGGAGCAGTTTTGAAACCCTCTTTCTTTGGAATCTGCAAGGGGATATGTGGACCTCTTTGAAGATTTCACTGGAAACGGGATCATCTTCACATAAAAACTAAACAGAAGCATTCTCGGAAACTACTTTGTGATGTTTGTATTCAACTCCCAGAGTTGAACTTTCCTTTTGAAAGAGCAGCTATGAAACACTCTTTTTCGAGAATCTGAAAGTGGACGTTTGGAGGGCTTTGAGGCCTGTGGTGGAAAAGGAAATATCTTCACATAAAAACTAGATAGAAGCATTCTCAGAAACGACATTGTGAGGATGGCATTCAACACATGGAGTTGAACAATCCTATTGATAGAGCAGATTGGAATCACTCTTTTTGTAGAATCTGCAAATGGAGATTTGGACTGCTTTGAGGCCTACGGTAGTATAGGAAGGAACTTCATATAAAAGGCAAACGGAAGCATTCTCAGAATATTCTTTGTGATGATGGAGTTTCACTCACAGAGCTGAACATGCCTTTTGATGGAGCAGTTTCCAAATACACTTTTGGTAGAATCTGCAGGTGGATATTTGGAGCTCTCTGAGGATTTCGTTGGAAACGGGAATAATTTCCCATAACTAAGCACAAACACGCTGAGAAAGTTCTTCATGATGAATGCATTTAACTCGCAGAGATGAACCTGCCTTTGAGAGTTCAGGTTCGAAACACTCTTTCTGTATAATCTGCAAGTGGATATTTGGACCACTGGGTGGCCTTCGTTCGAAACGGGTATATGTTCACGTAAAAACTAAAGAGAAGCATTCTCAGAAACTTCTGAGTGATGATTGCATTCAAGTCACACAGTTGAACCCTCCTTTTGATGGAGCAGTTTTGAAACTGTCTTTTTGTAGAATCTGTAAGTGGATACGTGGACCTCTTTGAAGATTTCTTTGGAAACGGGAATATTTCCACAGAAAAACTAAACTGAAGCATTCTCAGAAACCGCTTTGTGATGTTTGTGTTCGAGCCGCAGAGTTTAACATTGCTTTTCATAGAGCAGTTTTGAAATATTCTTTTGGCAGAATCTGCAAGTGGACATTTGGAGCGCTTTCAGGCCTGTGGTGGCAAAGGCCTGAAAGCCTTTTCCTTTATCTTCACAGAAAGACGAGAGAGAAGCATTGTCAGAAACTTCTTTGTGATGATTGCATTCAACTCACAGAGTTGAAGATTCCTTTTGAAACAGCAGTTTCGAAACACTCTTTCTGTGGGATCCGCAAGGGGATATTTGGACCTCTTTGAAGGTTTCGTTGGAAACGGGATAATCTTCACCTAAAAGCTAAACGGAAGCATTCTCAGAAACTTCTTTGGGATGTTTGCATTCACCTCACAGAGTTGAACTTTCCCTTTGATAGCGCAGCTTTGACACACTTTTTCTACAATGTGCAAGTGGCTATTTAGCGGGCTTGGAGGACTGTGTTGGAAAAGGAAATATCTTCTCCTAAAAACGACATAGAAGCATTCTCAGAAACTGCTCTGTGATGATTGCATTCAACTCCCAGAGTTGAACATTCCTTTTGATAGAGCAGTTTGCAAACACTCTTTTTGTAGAATCTGCAAGTGGAGATTTGGACCGCTTTGAGGCCTGTGGTAGTGAAGGAAAGAACTTCATATAAAAACCAGACGGTAGCACTCTCAGAAAATTCTTTGTGACGATGGAGTTTAACTCAGGGAGCTGAACATTCGTTATGATGGAGCAGTTTCCAAACACACGTTTTGTAGAATCTGCGAGGGGATATTTGGACCTCTCTGAGGATTTCGTTGGAAACGGGATCAACTTCCCATAACTGAACGGAAGCAAACTCAGAACATTCTTTGTGATGTTTGTATTCAACTCACAGAGTTGAACCTTCCTTTGATAGTTCAGGTTTGCAACACCCTTGTAGTAGAATCTGCAAGTGTATATTTTGACCACTTTGTAGCCTTCGTTTGAAACGTCTATATCTTCACATCAAACCTAGACAGAAGCATTCTCAGAAAGTTTTCTGCGATGACTGCATTCAACTCACAGAGTTGAACAATCCTTCTGATGGAGCAGTTTTGAAACCCTCTTTCTTTGGAATCTGCAAGGGGATATGTGGACCTCTTTGAAGATTTCACTGGAAACGGGATCGATCATCTTCACATAAAAACTAAACAGAAGCATTCTCGGAAACTACTTTGTGATGTTTGTATTCAACTCCCAGAGTTGAACTTTCCTTTTGAAAGAGCAGCTATGAAACACTCTTTTTCGAGAATCTGCAAGTGGACGTTTGGAAGGCTTTGAGGCCTGTGGTGGAAAAGGAAATATCTTCACATAAAAACTAGATAGAAGCATTCTCAGAAACTACTTTGTGAGGATGGCATTCAACTCATGGAGTTGAACAATCCTATTGATAGAGCAGATTGGAATCACTCTTTTTGTAGAATCTGCAAATGGAGATTTGGACTGCTTTGAGGCCTACGGTCGTATAGGAAGGAACTTCATATAAAAGGCAAACGGAAGCATTCTCAGAATATTCTTTGTGATGATGGAGTTTCACTCACAGAGCTGAACATGCCTTTTGATGGAGCAGTTTCCAAATACACTTTTGGTAGAATCTGCAGGTGGATATTTGGAGCTCTCTGAGGATTTCGTTGGAAACGGGAATAATTTCCCATAACTAAACACAAACACTCTGAGAAAGTTCTTCATGATGAATGCATTTAACTCGCAGAGATGAACCTGCCTTTGAGAGTTCAGGTTCGAAACACTCTTTCTGTATAATCTGCAAGTGGATATTTGGACCACTGGGTGGCCTTCGTTCGAAACGGGTATATGTTCACGTAAAAACTAAAGAGAAGCATTCTCAGAAACTTCTGAGTGATGATTGCATTCAAGTCACACGGTTGAACCCTCCTTTTGATGGAGCAGTTTTGAAACTGTCTTTTTGTAGAATCTGTAAGTGGATACGTGGACCTCTTTGAAGATTTCTTTGGAAACGGGAATATTTCCACAGAAAAACTAAACTGAAGCATTCTCAGAAACCGCTTTGTGATGTTTGTGTTCGAGCCACAGAGTTTAACATTGCTTTTCATAGAGCAGTTTTGAAATATTCTTTTGGCAGAATCTGCAAGTGGACATTTGGAGCGCTTTCAGGCCTGTGGTGGAAAAGGCCTGAAAGCCTTTTCCTTTATCTTCACAGAAAGACGAGAGAGAAGAAGCATTGTCAGAAACTTCTTTGGGATGATTGCATTCAACTCACAGAGTTGAAGATTCCTTTTGAAACAGCAGTTTCGAAACACTCTTTCTGTGGGATCCGCAAGGGGATATTTGGACCTCTTTGAAGGTTTCGTTGGAAACGGGATAATCTTCACCTAAAAGCTAAACGGAAGCATTCTCAGAAACTTCTTTGGGATGTTTGCATTCACCTCACAGAGTTGAACTTTCCCTTTGATAGCGCAGCTTTGACACACTTTTTCTACAATGTGCAAGTGGCTATTTAGCGGGCTTGGAGGACTGTGTTGGAAAAGGAAATATCTTCTCCTAAAAACGACATAGAAGCATTCTCAGAAACTGCTCTGTGATGATTGCATTCAACTCCCAGAGTTGAACATTCCTTTTGATAGAGCAGTTTGCAAACACTCTTTTTGTAGAATCTGCAAGTGGAGATTTGGACCGCTTTGAGGCCTGTGGTAGTGAAGGAAAGAACTTCATATAAAAACCAGACGGTAGCACTCTCAGAAAATTCTTTGTGACGATGGAGTTTAACTCAGGGAGCTGAACATTCGTTATGATGGAGCAGTTTCCAAACACACGTTTTGTAGAATCTGCAAGGGGATATTTGGACCTCTCTGAGGATTTCGTTGGAAACGGGATCAACTTCCCATAACTGAACGGAAGCAAACTCAGAACATTCTTTGTGATGTTTGTATTCAACTCACAGAGTTGAACCTTCCTTTGATAGTTCAGGTTTGCAACACCCTTGTAGTAGAATCTGCAAGTGTATATTTTGACCACTTTGTAGCCTTCATTTGAAACGTCTATATCTTCACATCAAACCTAGACAGAAGCATTCTCAGAAAGTTTTCTGCGATGACTGCATTCAACTCACAGAGTTGAACAATCCTTCTGATGGAGCAGTTTTGAAACCCTCTTTCTTTGGAATCTGCAAGGGGATATGTGGACCTCTTTGAAGATTTCACTGGAAACGGGATCATCTTCACATAAAAACTAAACAGAAGCATTCTCGGAAACTACTTTGTGATGTTTGTATTCAACTCCCAGAGTTGAACTTTCCTTTTGAAAGAGCAGCTATGAAACACTCTTTTTCGAGAATCTGCAAGTGGACGTTTGGAGGGCTTGGAGGCCTGTGGTGGAAAAGGAAATACCTTCACATAAAAACTAGATAGAAGCATTCTCAGAAACTACTTTGTGAGGATGGCATTCAACTCATGGAGTTGAACAATCCTATTGATAGAGCAGATTGGAATCACTCTTTTTGTAGAATCTGCAAATGGAGATTTGGACTGCTTTGAGGCCTACGGTCGTATAGGAAGGAACTTCAGATAAAAGGCAAACGGAAGCATTCTCAGAATATTCTTTGTGATGATGGAGTTTCACTCACAGAGCTGAACATGCCTTTTGATGGAGCAGTTTCCAAATACACTTTTGGTAGAATCTGCAGGTGGATATTTGGACCACTCTGAGGATTTCGTTGGAAACGGGAATAATTTCCCATAACTAAACACAAACACTCTGAGAAAGTTCTTCATGATGAATGCATTTAACTCGCAGAGATGAACCTGCCTTTGAGAGTTCAGGTTCGAAACACTCTTTCTGTATAATCTGCAAGTGGATATTTGGACCACTGGGTGGCCTTCGTTCGAAACGGGTATATGTTCACGTAAAAACTAAAGAGAAGCATTCTCAGAAACTTCTGAGTGATGATTGCATTCAAGTCACACAGTTGAACCCTCCTTTTGATGGAGCAGTTTTGAAACTGTCTTTTTGTAGAATCTGTAAGTGGATACGTGGACCTCTTTGAAGATTTCTTTGGAAACGGGAATATTTCCACAGAAAAACTAAACTGAAACATTCTCAGAAACCGCTTTGTGATGTTTGTGTTCCAGCCACAGAGTTTAACATTGCTTTTCATAGAGCAGTTTTGAAATATTCTTTTGGCAGAATCTGCAAGTGGACATTTGGAGCGCTTTCAGGCCTGTGGTGGGAAAAGGCCTGAAAGCCTTTTCCTTTATCTTCACAGAAAGACGAGAGAGAAGCATTGTCAGAAACTTCTTTGTGATGATTGCATTCAACTCACAGAGTTGAAGATTCCTTTTGAAACAGCAGTTTCGAAACACTCTTTCTGTGGGATCCGCAAGGGGATATTTGGACCTCTTTGAAGGTTTCGTTGGAAACGGGATAATCTTCACCTAAAAGCTAAACGGAAGAATTCTCAGAAACTTCTTTGGGATGTTTGCATTCACCTCACAGAGTTGAACTTTCCCTTTGATAGCGCAGCTTTGACACACTTTTTCTACAATGTGCAAGTGGCTATTTAGCGGGCTTGGAGGACTGTGTTGGAAAAGGAAATATCTTCTCCTAAAAACGACATAGAAGCATTCTCAGAAACTGCTCTGTGATGATTGCATTCAACTCCCAGAGTTGAACATTCCTTTTGATAGAGCAGTTTGCAAACACTCTTTTTGTAGAATCTGCAAGTGGAGATTTGGACCGCTTTGAGGCCTGTGGTAGTGAAGGAAAGAACTTCATATAAAAACCAGACGGTAGCACTCTCAGAAAATTCTTTGTGACGATGGAGTTTAACTCAGGGAGCTGAACATTCGTTATGATGGAGCAGTTTCCAAACACACGTTTTGTAGAATCTGCGAGGGGATATTTGGACCTCTCTGAGGATTTCGTTGGAAACGGGATCAACTTCCCATAACTGAACGGAAGCAAACTCAGAACATTCTTTGTGATGTTTGTATTCAACTCACAGAGTTGAACCTTCCTTTGATAGTTCAGGTTTGCAACACCCTTGTAGTAGAATCTGCAAGTGTATATTTTGACCACTTTGTAGCCTTCGTTTGAAACGTCTATATCTTCACATCAAACCTAGACAGAAGCTTTCTCAGAAAGTTTTCTGCGATGACTGCATTCAACTCACAGAGTTGAACAATCCTTCTGATGGAGCAGTTTTGAAACCCTCTTTCTTTGGAATCTGCAAGGGGATATGTGGACCTCTTTGAAGATTTCACTGGAAACGGGATCATCTTCACATAAAAACTAAACAGAAGCATTCTCGGAAACTACTTTGTGATGTTTGTATTCAACTCCCAGAGTTGAACTTTCCTTTGGAAAGAGCAGCTATGAAACACTCTTTTTCGAGAATCTGCAAGTGGACGTTTGGAGGGCTTTGAGGCCTGTGGTGGAAAAGGAAATATCTTCACACAAAAACCAGATAGAAGCATTCTCAGAAACTACTTTGTGAGGATGGCATTCAACTCATGGAGTTGAACAATCCTATTGATAGAGCAGATTGGAATCACTCTTTTTATAGAATCTGCAAATGGAGATTTGGACTGCTTTGAGGCCTACGGTAGTACAGGAAGGAACTTCATATAAAAGGCAAACGGAAGCATTCTCAGAATATTCTTTGTGATGATGGAGTTTCACTCACAGAGCTGAACATGCCTTTTGATTGAGCAGTTTCCAAATACACTTTTGGTAGAATCTGCAGGTGGATATTTGGAGCTCTCTGAGGATTTCGTTGGAAACGGGAATAATTTCCCATAACTAAACACAAACACTCTGAGAAAGTTCTTCATGATGAATGCATTTAACTCGCAGAGATGAACCTGCCTTTGAGAGTTCAGGTTCGAAACACTCTTTCTGTATAATCTGCAAGTGGA
The DNA here is from genome assembly GCF_000001405.40 of Homo sapiens. NCBI lineage: Eukaryota > Metazoa > Chordata > Mammalia > Primates > Hominidae > Homo > Homo sapiens. Next base: position 60,802,460 of record NC_000023.11, read on the forward strand.
TATTTGGACCACTGGGTGGCCTTCGTTCGAAACGGGTATATGTTCACGTAAAAACTAAAGAGAAGCATTCTCAGAAACTTCTGAGTGATGATTGCATTCAAGTCACACGGTTGAACCCTCCTTTTGATGGAGCAGTTTTGAAACTGTCTTTTTGTAGAATCTGTAAGTGGATACGTGGACCTCTTTGAAGATTTCTTTGGAAACGGGAATATTTCCACAGAAAAACTAAACTGAAGCATTCTCAGAAACCGCTTTGTGATGTTTGTGTTCCAGCCACAGAGTTTAACATTGCTTTTCATAGAGCAGTTTTGAAATATTCTTTTCGCAGAATCTGCAAGTGGACATTTGGAGCGCTTTCAGGCCTGTGGTGGCAAAGGCCTGAAAGCCTTTTCCTTTATCTTCACAGAAAGACGAGAGAGAAGCATTGTCAGAAACTTCTTTGTGATGATTGCATTCAACTCACAGAGTTGAAGATTCCTTTTGAAACAGCAGTTTCGAAACACTCTTTCTGTGGGATCCGCAAGGGGATATTTGGACCTCTTTGAAGGTTTCGTTGGAAACGGGATAATCTTCACCTAAAAGCTAAACGGAAGCACTCTCAGAAACTTCTTTGGGATGTTTGCATTCACCTCTCAGAGTTGAACTTTCCCTTTGATAGCGCAGCTTTGACACACTTTTTCTACAATGTGCAAGTGGCTATTTAGCGGGCTTGGAGGACTGTGTTGGAAAAGGAAATATCTTCTCCTAAAAACGACATAGAAGCATTCTCAGAAACTGCTCTGTGATGATTGCATTCAACTCCCAGAGTTGAACATTCCTTTTGATAGAGCAGTTTGCAAACACTCTTTTTGTAGAATCTGCAAGTGGAGATTTGGACCGCTTTGAGGACTGGGGTAGTAAAGGAAAAAGCTTCATATAAAAACCAGACGGTAGCACTCTCAGTAAAATTCTTTGTGACGATAGAGTTTAACTCAGAGAGCTGAACATTCGTTATGATGGAGCAGTTTCCAAACACACATTTTGTAGAATCTGCAAAGGGATATTTGGACCTCTCTGAGGATTTCGTTGGAAATGGGATCAACTTCCCATAACTGAACGGAAGCAAACTCAGAACATTCTTTGTGATGTTTGTATTCAACTCACAGAGTTGAACCTTCCTTTGATAGTTCAGGTTTGCAACACCCTTGTAGTAGAATCTGCAAGTGTATATTTTGACCACTTTGTAGCCTTCGTTTGAAACGTCTATATCTTCACATCAAACCTAGCCAGAAGCATTCTCAGAAAGTTTTCTGCGATGACTGCATTCAACTCACAGAGTTGAACAATCCTTCTGATGGAGCAGTTTTGAAACCCTCTTTCTTTGGAATCTGCAAGGGGATATGTGGACCTCTTTGAAGATTTCACTGGAAACGGGATCATCTTCACATAAAAACTAAACAGGAAGCATTCTCGGAAACTACTTTGGGATGTTTGTATTCAACTCCCAGAGTTGAACTTTCCTTTTGAAAGAGCAGCTATGAAACACTCTTTTTCGAGAATCTGCAAGTGGACGTTTGGAGGGCTTTGAGGCCTGTGGTGGAAAAGGAAATATCTTCACATAAAAACTAGATAGAAGCATTCTCAGAAACTACTTTGTGAGGATGGCATTCAACTCATGGAGTTGAACAATCCTATTGATAGAGCAGATTGGAATCACTCTTTTTGTAGAATCTGCAAATGGAGATTTGGACTGCTTTGAGGCCTACGGTAGTATAGGAAGGAACTTCATATAAAAGGCAAACGGAAGCATTCTCAGAATATTCTTTGTGATGATGGAGTTTCACTCACAGAGCTGAACATGCCTTTTGATGGAGCAGTTTCCAAATACACTTTTGGTAGAATCTGCAGGTGGATATTTGGAGCTCTCTGAGGATTTCGTTGGAAACGGGAATAATTTCCCATAACTAAACACAAACACTCTGAGAAAGTTCTTCATGATGAATGCATTTAACTCGCAGAGATGAACCTGCCTTTGAGAGTTCAGGTTCGAAACACTCTTTCTGTAGAATCTGCAAGTGGATATTTGGACCACTGGCTGGCCTTCGTTCGAAACGGGTATATGTTCACGTAAAAACTAAAGAGAAGCATTCTCAGAAACTTCTGAGTGATGATTGCATTCAAGTCACACAGTTGAACCCTCCTTTTGATGGAGCAGTTTTGAAACTGTCTTTTTGTAGAATCTGTAAGTGGATACGTGGACCTCTTTGAAGATTTCTTTGGAAACGGGAATATTTCCACAGAAAAACTAAACTGAAACATTCTCAGAAACCGCTTTGTGATGTTTGTGTTCCAGCCACAGAGTTTAACATTGCTTTTCATAGAGCAGTTTTGAAATATTCTTTTGGCAGAATCTGCAAGTGGACATTTGGAGCGCTTTCAGGCCTGTGGTGGCAAAGGCCTGAAAGCCTTTTCCTTTATCTTCACAGAAAGACGAGAGAGAAGCATTGTCAGAAACTTCTTTGTGATGATTGCATTCAACTCACAGAGTTGAAGATTCCTTTTGAAACAGCAGTTTCGAAACACTCTTTCTGTGGGATCCGCAAGGGGATATTTGGACCTCTTTGAAGGTTTCGTTGGAAACGGGATAATCTTCACCTAAAAGCTAAACGGAAGCATTCTCAGAAACTTCTTTGGGATGTTTGCATTCACCTCACAGAGTTGAACTTTCCCTTTGATAGCGCAGCTTTGACACACTTTTTCTACAATGTGCAAGTGGCTATTTAGCGGGCTAGGAGGACTGTGTTGGAAAAGGAAATATCTTCTCCTAAAAACGACATAGAAGCATTCTCAGAAACTGCTCTGTGATGATTGCATTCAACTCCCAGAGTTGAACATTCCTTTTGATAGAGCAGTTTGCAAACACTCTTTTTGTAGAATCTGCAAGTGGAGATTTGGACCGCTTTGAGGCCTGTGGTAGTGAAGGAAAGAACTTCATATAAAAACCAGACGGTAGCACTCTCAGAAAATTCTTTGTGACGATGGAGTTTAACTCAGGGAGCTGAACATTCGTTATGATGGAGCAGTTTCCAAACACACGTTTTGTAGAATCTGCAAGGGGATATTTGGACCTCTCTGAGGATTTCGTTGGAAACGGGATCAACATCCCATAACTGAACAGAAGCAAACTCAGAACATTCTTTGTGATGTTTGTATTCAACTCACAGAGTTGAACCTTCCTTTGATAGTTCAGGTTTGCAACACCCTTGTAGTAGAATCTGCAAGTGTATATTTTGACCACTTTGTAGCCTTCGTTTGAAACGTCTATATCTTCACATCAAACCTAGACAGAAGCATTCTCAGAAAGTTTTCTGCGATGACTGCATTCAACTCACAGAGTTGAACAATCCTTCTGATGGAGCAGTTTTGAAACCCTCTTTCTTTGGAATCTGCAAGGGGATATGTGGACCTCTTTGAAGATTTCACTGGAAACGGGATCATCTTCACATAAAAACTAAACAGAAGCATTCTCGGAAACTACTTTGTGATGTTTGTATTCAACTCCCAGAGTTGAACTTTCCTTTTGAAAGAGCAGCTATGAAACACTCTTTTTCGAGAATCTGCAAGTGGACGTTTGGAGGGCTTTGAGGCCTGTGGTGGAAAAGGAAATATCTTCACATAAAAACTAGATAGAAGCATTCTCAGCAAACGACTTTGTGAGGATGGCATTCAACTCATGGAGTTGAACAATCCTATTGATAGAGCAGATTGGAATCACTCTTTTTGTAGAATCTGCAAATGGAGATTTGGACTGCTTTGAGGCCTACGGTCGTATAGGAAGGAACTTCATATAAAAGGCAAACGGAAGCATTCTCAGAATATTCTTTGTGATGATGGAGTTTCACTCACAGAGCTGAACATGCCTTTTGATGGAGCAGTTTCCAAATACACTTTTGGTAGAATCTGCAGGTGGATATTTGGAGCTCTCTGAGGATTTCGTTGGAAACGGGAATAATTTCCCATAACTAAACACAAACACTCTGAGAAAGTTCTTCATGATGAATGCATTTAACTCGCAGAGATGAACCTGCCTTTGAGAGTTCAGGTTCGAAACACTCTTTCTGTATAATCTGCAAGTGGATATTTGGACCACTGGGTGGCCTTCGTTCGAAACGGGTATATGTTCACGTAAAAACTAAAGAGAAGCATTCTCAGAAACTTCTGAGTGATGATTGCATTCAAGTCACACGGTTGAACCCTCCTTTTGATGGAGCAGTTTTGAAACTGTCTTTTTGTAGAATCTGTAAGTGGATACGTGGACCTCTTTGAAGATTTCTTTGGAAACGGGAATATTTCCACAGAAAAACTAAACTGAAGCATTCTCAGAAACCGCTTTGTGATGTTTGTGTTCGAGCCGCAGAGTTTAACATTGCTTTTCATAGAGCAGTTTTGAAATATTCTTTTGGCAGAATCTGCAAGTGGACATTTGGAGCGCTTTCAGGCCTGTGGTGGAAAAGGCCTGAAAGCCTTTTCCTTTATCTTCACAGAAAGACGAGAGAGAAGCATTGTCAGAAACTTCTTTGTGATGATTGCATTCAACTCACAGAGTTGAAGATTCCTTTTGAAACAGCAGTTTCGAAACACTCTTTCTGTGGGATCCGCAAGGGGATATTTGGACCTACTTTGAAGGTTTCGTTGGAAACGGGATAATCTTCACCTAAAAGCTAAACGGAAGCATTCTCAGAAAACTTCTTTGGGATGTTTGCATTCACCTCTCAGAGTTGAACTTTCCCTTTGATAGCGCAGCTTTGACACACTTTTTCTACAATGTGCAAGTGGCTATTTAGCGGGCTTGGAGGACTGTGTTGGAAAAGGAAATATCTTCTCCTAAAAACGACATAGAAGCATTCTCAGAAACTGCTCTGTGATGATTGCATTCAACTCCCAGAGTTGAACATTCCTTTTGATAGAGCAGTTTGCAAACACTCTTTTTGTAGAATCTGCAAGTGGAGATTTGGACCGCTTTGAGGCCTGTGGTAGTGAAGGAAAGAACTTCATATAAAAACCAGACGGTAGCACTCTCAGAAAATTCTTTGTGACGATGGAGTTTAACTCAGGGAGCTGAACATTCGTTATGATGGAGCAGTTTCCCAACACACGTTTTGTAGAATCTGCAAGGGGATATTTGGACCTCTCTGAGGATTTCGTTGGAAACGGGATCAACTTCCCATAACTGGACGGAAGCAAACTCAGAACATTCTTTGTGATGTTTGTATTCAACTCACAGAGTTGAACCTTCCTTTGATAGTTCAGGTTTGCATCACCCTTGTAGTAGAATCTGCAAGTGTATATTTTGACCACTTTGTAGCCTTCGTTTGAAACGTCTATATCTTCCCATCTAACCTAGACAGAAGCATTCTCAGAAAGTTTTCTGCGATGACTGCATTCAACTCACAGAGTTGAACAATCCTTTTGATGGAGCAGTTTTGAAACCCTCTTTCTTTGGAATCTGCAAGGGGATATGTGGACCTCTTTGAAGATTTCACTGGAAACGGGATCATCTTCACATAAGAACTAAACAGAAGCATTCTCGGAAACTACTTTGTGATGTTTGTATTCAGCTCCCAGAGTTGAACTTTCCTTTTGAAAGAGCAGCTATGAAACACTCTTTTTCGAGAATCTGCAAGTGGACGTTTGGAGGGCTTTGAGGCCTGTGGTGGAAAAGGAAATATCTTCACATAAAAACTAGATAGAAGCATTCTCAGAAACGACTTTGTGAGGATGGCATTCAACTCATGGAGTTGAACAGTCCTATTGATAGAGGAGATTGGAATCACTATTTTTGTAGAATCTGCAAATGGAGATTTGGACTGCTTTGAGGCCTACGGTAGTATAGGAAGGAACTTCATATAAAAGGCAAACGGAAGCATTCTGAGAATATTTTGTGTGATGATGGAGTTTCACTCACAGAGCTGAACATGCCTTTTGATGGAGCAGTTTCCAAATACACTTTTGGTAGAATCTGCAGGTGGATATTTGAGCTCTCTGAGGATTTCGTTGGAAACGGGAATAATTTCCCATAACTAAACACAAACACGCTGAGAAAGTTCTTCATGATGAATGCATTGAACTCGCAGAGATGAACCTGCCTTTGAGAGTTCAGATTCGAAACACTCTTTCTGTAGAATCTGCAAGTGGATATTTGGACCACTGGCTGGCCTTCGTTCGAAACGGGTATATGTTCACGTAAAAACTAAAGAGAAGCGTTCTCAGAAACTTCTGAGTGATGATTGCATTCAAGTCACACAGTTGAACCCTCCTTTTGATTGACCAGTTTTGAAACTGTCTTTTTGTAGAATCTGTAAGTGGATACGTGGACCTCTTTGAAGATTTCTTTGGAAACGGGAATATATCCACAGAAAAACTAAACTGAAGCATTCTCAGAAACTGCTTTGTGATGTTTGTGTTCGAGCCGCAGAGTTTAACATTGCTTTTCATAGAGCAGTTTTGAAATATTCTTTTGGCAGAATCTGCAAGTGGACATTTGGAGCGCTTTCAGGCCTGTGGTGGAAAAGGCCTGAAAGCCTTTTCCTTTATCTTCACAGAAAGACGAGAGAGAAGCATTGTCAGAAACTTCTTTGTGATGATTGCATTCAACTCACAGAGTTGAAGATTCCTTTTGAAACAGCAGTTTCGAAACACTCTTTCTGTGGGATCCGCAAGGGGATATTTGGACCTCTTTGAAGGTTTCGTTGGAAACGGGATAATCCTCACCTAAAAGCTAAACGGGAAGCATTCTCAGAAACTTCTTTGGGATGTTTGCATTCACCTCACAGAGTTGAACTTTCCCTTTGATAGCGCAGCTTTGACACACTTTTTCTACAATGTGCAAGTGGCTATTTAGCGGGCTTGGAGGACTGTGTTGGAAAAGGAAATATCTTCTCCTAAAAACGACATAGAAGCATTCTCAGAAACTGCTCTGTGATGATTGCATTCAACTCCCAGGGTTGAACATTCCTTTTGATAGAGCAGTTTGCAAACACTCTTTTTGTAGAATCTGCAAGTGGAGATTTGGACCGCTTTGAGGCCTATGGTAGTAAAGGAAAGAACTTCATATAAAAACCAGACGGTAGCACTCTCAGAAAATTCTTTGTGACGATGGAGTTTAACTCAGGGAGCTGAACATTCGTTATGATGGAGCAGTTTCCAAACACACGTTTTGTAGAATCTGCAAGGGGATATATGGACCTCTCTGAGGATTTCGCTGGAAACGGGATCAACTTCCCATAACTGAACGGAAGCAAACTCAGAACATTCTTTGTGATGTTTGTATTCAACTCACAGAGTTGAACCTTCCTTTGATAGTTCAGGTTTGCAACACCCTTGTAGTAGAATCTGCAAGTGTATATTTTGACCACTGTGTAGCCTTCGTTTGAAACGTCTATATCTTCACATCAAACCTAGACAGAAGCATTCTCAGAAAGTTTTCTGCGATGACTGCATTCAACTCACAGAGTTGAACAATCCTTTTGATGGAGCAGTTTTGAAACCCTCTTTCTTTGGAATCTGCAAGGGGATATGTGGACCTCTTTGAAGATTTCACTGGAAACGGGATCATCTTCACATAAAAACTAAACAGAAGCATTCTCGGAAACTAGTTTGTGATGTTTGTATTCAACTCCCAGAGTTGAACTTTCCTTTTGAAAGAGCAGCTATGAAACACTCTTTTTCGAGAATCTGCAAGTGGACGTTTGGAGGGCTTTGAGGTCTGTGGTGGAAAAGGAAATATCTTCACACAAAAACCAGATAGAAGCATTCTCAGAAACTACTTTGTGAGGATGGCATTCAACTCATGGAGTTGAACAATCCTATTGATAGAGCAGATTGGAATCACTCTTTTTGTAGAATCTGCAAATGGAGATTTGGACTGCTTTGAGGCCTACGGTAGTACAGGAAGGAACTTCATATAAAAGGCAAACGGAAGCATTCTCAGAATATTCTTTGTGATGATGGAGTTTCACTCACAGAGCTGAACATGCCTTTTGATGGAGCAGTTTCCAAATACACTTTTGGTAGAATCTGCAGGTGGATATTTGGAGCTCTCTGAGGATTTCGTTGGAAACGGGAATAATTTCCCATAACTAAACACAAACACTCTGAGAAAGTTCTTCATGATGAATGCATTTAACTCGCAGAGATGAACCTGCCTTTGAGAGTTCAGGTTCGAAACACTCTTTCTGTAGAATCTGCAAGTGGATATTTGGACCACTGGCTGGCCTTCGTTCGAAACGGGTATATGTTCACGTAAAAACTAAAGAGAAGCATTCTCAGAAACTTCTGAGTGATGATTGCATTCAAGTCACACAGTTGAACCCTCCTTTTGATGGAGCAGTTTTGAAACTGTCTTTTTGTAGAATCTGTAAGTGGATACGTGGACCTCTTTGAAGATTTCTTTGAAACGGGAATATTTCCACAGAAAAACTAAACTGAAGCATTCTCAGAAACTGCTTTGTGATGTTTGTGTTCGAGCCACAGAGTTTAACATTGCTTTTCATAGATCAGTTTTGAAATATTCTTTTCGCAGAATCTGCAAGTGGACATTTGGAGCGCTTTCAGGCCTGTGGTGGAAAAGGCCTGAAAGCCTTTTCCTTTATCTTCACAGAAAGACGAGAGAGAAGCATTGTCAGAAACTTCTTTGTGATGATTGCATTCAACTCACAGAGTTGAAGATTCCTTTTGAAACAGCAGTTTCGAAACACTCTTTCTGTGGGATCCGCAAGGGGATATTTGGACCTCTTTGAAGGTTTCGTTGGAAACGGGATAATCCTCACCTAAAAGCTAAACGGGAAGCATTCTCAGAAACTTCTTTGGGATGTTTGCATTCACCTCACAGAGTTGAACTTTCCCTTTGATAGCGCAGCTTTGACACACTTTTTCTACAATGTGCAAGTGGCTATTTAGCGGGCTTGGAGGACTGTGTTGGAAAAGGAAATATCTTCTCCTAAAAACGACATAGAAGCATTCTCAGAAACTGCTCTGTGATGATTGCATTCAACTCCCAGAGTTGAACATTCCTTTTGATAGAGCAGTTTGCAAACACTCTTTTTGTAGAATCTGCAAGTGGAGATTTGGAACGCTTTGAGGCCTGTGGTAGTGAAGGAAAGAGCTTCATATAAAAACCAGACGGTTAGCACTCTCAGAAAATTCTTTGTGACGATGGAGTTTAACTCAGGGAGCTGAACATTCGTTATGATGGAGCAGTTTCCAAACACACGTTTTGTAGAATCTGCGAGGGGATATTTGGACCTCTCTGAGGATTTCGTTGGAAACGGGATCAACTTCCCATAACTGAACGGAAGCAAACTCAGAACATTCTTTGTGATGTTTGTATTCAACTCACAGAGTTGAACCTTCCTTTGATAGTTCAGGTTTGCAACACCCTTGTAGTAGAATCTGCAAGTGTATATTTTGACCACTTTGTAGCCTTCGTTTGAAACGTCTATATCTTCACATCAAACCTAGACAGAAGCATTCTCAGAAAGTTTTCTGCGATGACTGCATTCAACTCACAGAGTTGAACAATCCTTCTGATGGAGCAGTTTTGAAACCCTCTTTCTTTGGAATCTGCAAGGGGATATGTGGACCTCTTTGAAGATTTCACTGGAAACGGGATCATCTTCACATAAAAACTAAACAGAAGCATTCTCGGAAACTACTTTGTGATGTTTGTATTCAACTGCCAGAGTTGAACTTTCCTTTTGAAAGAGCAGCTATGAAACACTCTTTTTCGAGAATCTGCAAGTGGACGTTTGGAGGGCTTTGAGGCCTGTGGTGGAAAAGGAAATATCTTCACACAAAAACCAGATAGAAGCATTCTCAGAAACTGCTTTGTGAGGATGGCATTCAACTCATGGAGTTGAACAATCCTATTGATAGAGCAGATTGGAATCACTCTTTTTGTAGAATCTGCAAATGGAGATTTGGACTGCTTTGAGGCCTACGGTAGTACAGGAAGGAACTTCATATAAAAGGCAAACGGAAGCATTCTCAGAATATTCTTTGTGATGATGGAGTTTCACTCACAGAGCTGAACATGCCTTTTGATGGAGCAGTTTCCAAATACACTTTTGGTAGAATCTGCAGGTGGATATTTGGAGCTCTCTGAGGATTTCGTTGGAAAGGGGAATAATTTCCCATAACTAAACACAAACACTCTGAGAAAGTTCTTCATGATGAATGCATTTAACTCGCAGAGATGAACCTGCCTTTGAGAGTTCAGGTTCGAAACACTCTTTCTGTATAATCTGCAAGTGGATATTTGGACCACTGGGTGGCCTTCGTTCGAAACGGGTATATGTTCACGTAAAAACTAAAGAGAAGCATTCTCAGAAATTTCTGAGTGATGATTGCATTCAAGTCACACGGTTGAACCCTCCTTTTGATGGAGCAGTTTGAAACTGTCTTTTTGTAGAATCTGTAAGTGGATACGTGGACCTCTTTGAAGATTTCTTTCGAAACGGGAATATTTCCACAGAAAAACTAAACTGAAGCATTCTCAGAAACCGCTTTGTGATGTTTGTGTTCGAGCCACAGAGTTTAACATTGCTTTTCATAGAGCAGTTTTGAAATATTCTTTTCGCAGAATCTGCAAGTGGACATTTGGAGCGCTTTCAGGCCTGTGGTGGAAAAGGCCTGAAAGCCTTTTCCTTTATCTTCACAGAAAGACGAGAGAGAAGCATTGTCAGAAACTTCTTTGTGATGATTGCATTCAACTCACAGAGTTGAAGATTCCTTTTGAAACAGCAGTTTCGAAACACTCTTTCTGTGGGATCCGCAAGGGGATATTTGGACCTCTTTGAAGGTTTCGTTGGAAACGGGATAATCTTCACCTAAAAGCTAAACGGAAGCATTCTCAGAAACTTCTTTGGGATGTTTGCATTCACCTCACAGAGTTGAACTTTCCCTTTGATAGCGCAGCTTTGACACACGTTTTCTACAATGTGCAAGTGGCTATTTAGCGGGCTTGGAGGACTGTGTTGGAAAAGGAAATATCTTCTCCTAAAAACGACATAGAAGCATTCTCAGAAACTGCTCTGTGATGATTGCATTCAACTCCCAGAGTTGAACATTCCTTTTGATAGAGCAGTTTGCAAACACTCTTTTTGTAGAATCTGGAAGTGGAGATTTGGACCGCTTTGAGGCCTGTGGTAGTGAAGGAAAGAGCTTCATATAAAAACCAGACGGTAGCACTCTCAGAAAATTCTTCGTGACGATGGAGTTTAACTCAGGGAGCTGAACATTCGTTATGATGGAGCAGTCTCCAAACACACGTTTTGTAGAATCTGCAAGGGGATATTTGGACCTCTCTGAGGATTTCGTTGGAAACGGGATCAACTTCCCATAACTGAACGGAAGCAAACTCAGAACATTCTTTGTGATGTTTGTATTCAACTCACAGAGTTGAACCTTCCTTTGATAGTTCAGGTTTGCAACACCCTTGTAGTAGAATCTGCAAGTGTATATTTTGACCACTTTGTAGCCTTCGTTTGAACGTCTATATCTTCACATCAAACCTAGACAGAAGCATTCTCAGAAAGTTTTCTGCGATGACTGCATTCAACTCACAGAGTTGAACAATCCTTTTGATGGAGCAGTTTTGAAACCCTCTTTCTTTGGAATCTGCAAGGGGATATGTGGACCTCTTTGAAGATTTCACTGGAAACGGGATCATCTTCACATAAGAACTAAACAGAAGCATTCTCAGAAACTACTTTGTGATGTTTGTATTCACCTCCCAGAGTTGAACTTTCCTTTTGAAAGAGCAGCTATGAAACACCCTTTTTCGAGAATCTGCAAGTGGACGTTTGGAGGGCTTTGAGGCCTGTGGGGGAAAAGGAAATATCTTCACATAAAAACTAGATAGAAGCATTCTCAGAAACGACTTTGTGAGGATGGCATTCAACTCATGGAGTTGAACAGTCCTATTGATAGAGCAGATTGGAATCACTTTTTTTGTAGAATCTGCAAATGGAGATTTGGACTGCTTTGAGGCCTACGGTAGTATAGGAAGGAACTTCATATAAAAGGCAAACGGAAGCATTCTCAGAATATTCTTTGTGATGATGGAGTTTCACTCACAGAGCTGAACATGCCTTTTGATGGAGCAGTTTCCAAATACACTTTTGGTAGAATCTGCAGGTGGATATTTGGAGCTCTCTGAGGATTTCGTTGGAAACGGGAATAATTTCCCATAACTAAACACAAACACGCTGAGAAAGTTCTTCATGATGAATGCATTTAACTCGCAGAGATGAACCTGCCTTTGAGAGTTCAGGTTCGAAACACTCTTTCTGTAGAATCTGCAAGTGGATATTTGGACCACTGGCTGGCCTTCGTTCGAAACGGGTATATGTTCACGTAAAAACTAAAGAGAAGCATTCTCAGAAACTTCTGAGTGATGATTGCATTCAAGTCACACAGTTGAACCCTCCTTTTGATTGAGCAGTTTTGAAACTGTCTTTTTGTAGAATCTGTAAGTGGATGCGTGGACCTCTTTGAAGATTTCTTTGGAAACGGGAATATTTCCACAGAAAAACTAAACTGAATCATTCTCAGAAACTGCTTTGTGATGTTTGTGTTCGAGCCACAGAGTTTAACATTGCTTTTCATAGAGCAGTTTTGAAATATTCTTTTGGCAGAATCTGCAAGTGGACATTTGGAGCGCTTTCAGGCCTGTGGTGGAAAAGGCCTGAAAGCCTTTTCCTTTATCTTCACAGAAAGACGAGAGAGAAGCATTGTCAGAAACTTCTTTGTGATGATTGCATTCAACTCACAGAGTTGAAGATTCCTTTTGAAACAGCAGTTTCGAAACACTCTTTCTGTGGGATCCGCAAGGGGATATTTGGACCTCTTTGAAGGTTTCGTTGGAAACGGGATAATCTTCACCTAAAAGCTAAATGGAAGCATTCTCAGAAACTTCTTTGGGATGTTTGCATTCACCTCACAGAGTTGAACTTTCCCTTTGATAGCGCAGCTTTGACACACTTTTTCTACAATGTGCAAGTGGCTATTTAGCGGGCTTGGAGGACTGTGTTGGAAAAGGAAATATCTTCTAAAAACGACATAGAAGCATTCTCAGAAACTGCTCTGTGATGATTGCATTCAACTCCCAGAGTTGAACATTCCTTTTGATAGAGCAGTTTGCAAACACTCTTTTTGTAGAATCTGCAAGTGGAGATTTGGACCGCTTTGAGGCCTGTGGTAGTGAAGGAAAGAACTTCATATAAAAACCAGACGGTAGCACTCTCAGAAAATTCTTTGTGACGATGGAGTTTAACTCAGGGAGCTGAACATTCGTTATGATGGAGCAGTTTCCAAACACACGTTTTGTAGAATCTGCAAGGGGATATTTGGACCTCTCTGAGGATTTCGTTGGAAACGGGATCAACTTCCCATAACTGAACGGAAGCAAACTCAGAACATTCTTTGTGATGTTTGTATTCAACTCACAGAGTTGAACCTTCCTTTGATAGTTCAGGTTTGCAACACCCTTGTAGTAGAATCTGCAAGTGTATATTTTGACCACTTTGTAGCCTTCGTTTGAAACGTCTATATCTTCACATCAAACCTAGACAGAAGCATTCTCAGAAAGTTTTCTGCGATGACTGCATTCAACTCACAGAGTTGAACAATCCTTCTGATGGAGCAGTTTTGAAACCCTCTTTCTTTGGAATCTGCAAGGGGATATGTGGACCTCTTTGAAGATTTCACTGGAAACGGGATCATCTTCACATAAAAACTAAACAGAAGCATTCTCGGAAACTACTTTGTGATGTTTGTATTCAACTCCCAGAGTTGAACTTTCCTTTTGAAAGAGCAGCTATGAAACACTCCTTTTCGAGAATCTGCAAGTGGACGTTTGGAGGGCTTTGAGGCCTGTGGTGGAAAAGGAAATATCTTCACATAAAAACTAGATAGAAGCATTCTCAGAAACGACTTTGTGAGGATGGCATTCAACTCATGGAGTTGAACAATCCTATTGATAGAGCAGATTGGAATCACTCTTTTTGTAGAATCTGGAAATGGAGATTTGGACTGCTTTGAGGCCTACGGTCGTATAGGAAGGAACTTCAGATAAAAGGCAAACGGAAGCATTCTCAGAATATTCTTTGTGATGATGGAGTTTCACTCACAGAGCTGAACATGCCTTTTGACGGAGCAGTTTCCAAATACACTTTTGGTAGAATCTGCAGGTGGATATTTGGAGCTCTCTGAGGATTTCGTTGGAAACGGGAATAATTTCCCATAACTAAACACAAACACTCTGAGAAAGTTCTTCATGATGAATGCATTTAACTCGCAGAGATGAACCTGCCTTTGAGAGTTCAGGTTCGAAACACTCTTTCTGTATAATCTGCAAGTGGATATTTGGACCACTGGGTGGCCTTCGTTCGAAACGCGTATATGTTCACGTAAAAACTAAAGAGAAGCATTCTCAGAAACTTCTGAGTGATGATTGCATTCAAGTCACACAGTTGAACCCTCCTTTTGATGGAGCAGTTTTGAAACTGTCTTTTTTAGAATCTGTAAGTGGATACGTGGACCTCTTTGAAGATTTCTTTGGAAACGGGAATACTTCCACAGAAAAACTAAACTGAAGCATTCTCAGAAACCGCTTTGTGATGTTTGTGTTCGAGCCGCAGAGTTTAACATTGCTTTTCATAGAGCAGTTTTGAAATATTCTTTTCGCAGAATCTGCAAGTGGACATTTGGAGCGCTTTCAGGCCTGTGGTGGCAAAGGCCTGAAAGCCTTTTCCTTTATCTTCACAGAAAGACGAGAGAGAAGCATTGTCAGAAACTTCTTTGTGATGATTGCATTCAACTCACAGAGTTGAAGATTCCTTTTGAAACAGCAGTTTCGAAACACTCTTTCTGTGGGATCCGCAAGGGGATATTTGGACCTCTTTGAAGGTTTCGTTGGAAACGGGATAATCTTCACCTAAAAGCTAAACGGAAGCATTCTCAGAAACTTCTTTGGGATGTTTGCATTCACCTCACAGAGTTGAACTTTCCCTTTGATAGCGCAGCTTTGACACACTTTTTCTACAATGTGCAAGTGGCTATTTAGCGGGCTTGGAGGACTGTGTTGGAAAAGGAAATATCTTCTCCTAAAAACGACATAGAAGCATTCTCAGAAACTGCTCTGTGATGATTGCATTCAACTCCCAGAGTTGAACATTCCTTTTGATAGAGCAGTTTGCAAACACTCTTTTTGTAGAATCTGCAAGTGGAGATTTGGACCGCTTTGAGGCCTGTGGTAGTGAAGGAAAGAACTTCATATAAAAACCAGACGGTAGCACTCTCAGAAAATTCTTTGTGACGATGGAGTTTAACTCAGGGAGCTGAACATTCGTTATGATGGAGCAGTTTCCAAACACACGTTTTGTAGAATCTGCGAGGGGATATTTGGACCTCTCTGAGGATTTCGTTGGAAACGGGATCAACTTCCCATAACTGAACGGAAGCAAACTCAGAACATTCTTTGTGATGTTTGTATTCAACTCACAGAGTTGAACCTTCCTTTGATAGTTCAGGTTTGCAACACCCTTGTAGTAGAATCTGCAAGTGTATATTTTGACCACTTTGTAGCCTTCGTTTGAAACGTCTATATCTTCACATCAAACCTAGACAGAAGCATTCTCAGAAAGTTTTCTGCGATGACTGCATTCAACTCACAGAGTTGAACAATCCTTCTGATGGAGCAGTTTTGAAACCCTCTTTCTTTGGAATCTGCAATGGGATATGTGGACCTCTTTGAAGATTTCACTGGAAACGGGATCATCTTCACATAAAAACTAAACAGAAGCATTCTCGGAAACTATTTTGTGATGTTTGTATTCAACTCCCAGAGTTGAACTTTCCTTTTGAAAGAGCAGCTATGAAACACTCTTTTTCGAGAATCTGCAAGTGGACGTTTGGAGGGCTTTGAGGCCTGTGGTGGAAAAGGAAATATCTTCACACAAAAACCAGATAGAAGCATTCTCAGAAACGACTTTGTGAGGATGGCATTCAACTCATGGAGTTGAACAATCCTATTGATAGAGCAGATTGGAATCACTCTTTTTGTAGAATCTGCAAATGGAGATTTGGACTGCTTTGAGGCCTACGGTAGTACAGGAAGGAACTTCATATAAAAGGCAAACGGAAGCATTCTCAGAATATTCTTTGTGATGATGGAGTTTCACTCACAGAGCTGAACATGCCTTTTGATGGAGCAGTTTCCAAATACACTTTTGGTAGAATCTGCAGGTGGATATTTGGAGCTCTCTGAGGATTTCGTTGGAAACGGGAATAATTTCCCATAACTAAACACAAACACTCTGAGAAAGTTCTTCATGATGAATGCATTTAACTCGCAGAGATGAACCTGCCTTTGAGAGTTCAGGTTCGAAACACTCTTTCTGTAGAATCTGCAAGTGGATATTTGGACCACTGGCTGGCCTTCGTTCGAAACGGGTATATGTTCACGTAAAAACTAAAGAGAAGCATTCTCAGAAACTTCTGAGTGATGATTGCATTCAAGTCACACAGTTGAACCCTCCTTTTGATGGAGCAGTTTTGAAACTGTCTTTTTGTAGAATCTGTAAGTGGATACGTGGACCTCTTTGAAGATTTCTTTGGAAACGGGAATATTTCCACAGAAAAACTAAACTGAAGCATTCTCAGAAACCGCTTTGTGATGTTTGTGTTCGAGCCACAGAGTTTAACATTGCTTTTCATAGAGCAGATTTGAAATATTCTTTTCGCAGAATCTGCAAGTGGACATTTGGAGCGCTTTCAGGCCTGTGGTGGAAAAGGCCTGAAAGCCTTTTCCTTTATCTTCACAGAAAGACGAGAGAGAAGCATTGTCAGAAACTTCTTTGCGATGATTGCATTCAACTCACAGAGTTGAAGATTCCTTTTGAAACAGCAGTTTCGAAACACTCTTTCTGTGGGATCCGCAAGGGGATATTTGGACCTCTTTGAAGGTTTCGTTGGAAACGGGATAATCTTCACCTAAAAGCTAAACGGAAGCATTCTCAGAAACTTCTTTGGGATGTTTGCATTCACCTCACAGAGTTGAACTTTCCCTTTGATAGCGCAGCTTCGACACACTTTTTCTACAATGTGCAAGTGGATATTTAGCGGGCTTGGAGGACTGTGTTGGAAAAGGAAATATCTTCTCCTAAAAACGACATAGAAGCATTCTCAGAAACTGCTCTGTGATGATTGCATTCAACTCCCAGAGTTGAACATTCTTTTTGATAGAGCAGTTTGCAAACACTCTTTTTGTAGAATCTGCAAGTGGAGATTTGGACCGCTTTGAGGCCTGTGGTAGTAAAGGAAAGAACTTCATATAAAAACTAGACGGTAGCACTCTCAGAAAATTCTTTGTGACGATGGAGTTCAACTCAGAGAGCTGAACATTCGTTATGATGGAGCAGTTTCCAAACACACGTTTTGTAGAATCTGCAAGGGGATATTTGGACCTCTCTGAGGATTTCGTAGGAAACGGGATCAACTTCCCATAACTGAACGGAAGCAAACTCAGAACATTCTTTGTGATGTTTGTATTCAACTCACAGAGTTGAACTTTCCTTTGATAGTTGAGGTTTGCATCACCCTTGTAGTAGAATCTGCAAGTGTATATTTTGAACACTTTGTAGCCTTCATTTGAAACGTCTATATCTTCACATCAAACCTAGACAGAAGCATTCTCAGAAAGTTTTCTGCGATGACTGCATTCAACTCACAGAGTTGAACAATCCTTTTGATGGAGCAGTTTTGAAACCCTCTTTCTTTGGAATCTGCAAGGGGATATGTGGACCTCTTTGAAGATTTCACTGGAAACGGGATCATCTTCACATAAGAACTAAACAGAAGCATTCTCAGAAACTACTTTGTGATGTTTGTATTCAGCTCCCAGAGTTGAACTTTCCTTTTGAAAGAGCAGCTATGAAACACCCTTTTTCGAGAATCTGCAAGTGGACGTTTGGAGGGCTTTGAGGCCTGTGGGGGAAAAGGAAATATCTTCACATAAAAACTAGATAGAAGCATTCTCAGAAACTACTTTGTGAGGATGGCATTCAACTCATGGAGTTGAACAGTCCTATTGATAGAGCAGATTGGAATCACTTTTTTTGTAGAATCTGCAAATGGAGATTTGGACTGCTTTGAGGCCTACGGTCGTATAGGAAGGAACTTCATATAAAAGGCAAACGGAAGCATTCTCAGAATATTCTTTGTGATGATGGAGTTTCACTCACAGAGCTGAACATGCCTTTTGATGGAGCAGTTTCCAAATACACTTTTGGTAGAATCTGCAGGTGGATATTTGGAGCTCTCTGAGGATTTCGTTGGAAACGGGAATAATTTCCCATAACTAAACACAAACACTCTGAGAAAGTTCTTCATGATGAATGCATTTAACTCGCAGAGATGAACCTGCCTTTGAGAGTTCAGGTTCGAAACACTCTTTCTGTAGAATCTGCAAGTGGATATTTGGACCACTGGGTGGCCTTCGTTCGAAACGGGTATATGTTCACGTAAAAACTAAAGAGAAGCATTCTCAGAAACTTCTGAGTGATGATTGCATTCAAGTCACACAGTTGAACCCTCCTTTTGATGGAGCAGTTTTGAAACTGTCTTTTTGTAGAATCTGTAAGTGGATACGTGGACCTCTTTGAAGATTTCTTTGGAAACGGGAATATTTCCACAGAAAAACTAAACTGAAGCATTCTCAGAAACTGCTTTGTGATGTTTGTGTTCGAGCCACAGAGTTTAACATTGCTTTTCATAGAGCAGTTTTGAAATATTCTTTTCGCAGAATCTGCAAGTGGACATTTGGAGCGCTTTCAGGCCTGTGGTGGAAAAGGCCTGAAAGCCTTTTCCTTTATCTTCACAGAAAGACGAGAGAGAAGCATTGTCAGAAACTTCTTTGTGATGATTGCATTCAACTCACAGAGTTGAAGATTCCTTTTGAAACAGCAGTTTCGAAACACTCTTTCTGTGGGATCCGCAAGGGGATATTTGGACCTCTTTGAAGGTTTCGTTGGAAACGGGATAATCTTCACCTAAAAGCTAAACGGAAGCATTCTCAGAAACTTCTTTGGGATGTTTGCATTCACCTCACAGAGTTGAACTTTCCCTTTGATAGCGCAGCTTCGACACACTTTTTCTACAATGTGCAAGTGGCTATTTAGCGGGCTTGGAGGACTGTGTTGGAAAAGGAAATATCTTCTCCTAAAAACGACATAGAAGCATTCTCAGAAACTGCTCTGTGATGATTGCATTCAACTCCCAGAGTTGAACATTCCTTTTGATAGAGCAGTTTGCAAACACTCTTTTTGTAGAATCTGCAAGTGGAGATTTGGACCGCTTTGAGGCCTGTGGTAGTGAAGGAAAGAACTTCATATAAAAACCAGACGGTAGCACTCTCAGAAAATTCTTTGTGACGATGGAGTTTAACTCAGGGAGCTGAACATTCGTTATGATGGAGCAGTTTCCAAACACACGTTTTGTAGAATCTGCGAGGGGATATTTGGACCTCTCTGAGGATTTCGTTGGAAACGGGATCAACTTCCCATAACTGAACGGAAGCAAACTCAGAACATTCTTTGTGATGTTTGTATTCAACTCACAGAGTTGAACCTTCCTTTGATAGTTCAGGTTTGCAACACCCTTGTAGTAGAATCTGCAAGTGTATATTTTGACCACTTTGTAGCCTTCGTTTGAAACGTCTATATCTTCACATCAAACCTAGACAGAAGCATTCTCAGAAAGTTTTCTGCGATGACTGCATTCAACTCACAGAGTTGAACAATCCTTCTGATGGAGCAGTTTTGAAACCCTCTTTCTTTGGAATCTGCAAGGGGATATGTGGACCTCTTTGAAGATTTCACTGGAAACGGGATCATCTTCACATAGAAACTAAACAGAAGCATTCTCGGAAACTATTTTGTGATGTTTGTATTCAACTCCCAGAGTTGAACTTTCCTTTTGAAAGAGCAGCTATGAAACACTCTTTTTCGAGAATCTGCAAGTGGACGTTTGGAGGGCTTTGAGGCCTGTGGTGGAAAAGGAAATATCTTCACACAAAAACCAGATAGAAGCATTCTCAGAAACGACTTTGTGAGGATGGCATTCAACTCATGGAGTTGAACAATCCTATTGATAGAGCAGATTGGAATCACTCTTTTTGTAGAATCTGCAAATGGAGATTTGGACTGCTTTGAGGCCTACGGTAGTACAGGAAGGAACTTCATATAAAAGGCAAACGGAAGCATTCTCAGAATATTCTTTGTGATGATGGAGTTTCACTCACAGAGCTGAACATGCCTTTTGATGGAGCAGTTTCCAAATACACTTTTGGTAGAATCTGCAGGTGGATATTTGGAGCTCTTTGAGGATTTCGTTGGAAACGGGAATAATTTCCTATACCTAAACACAAACACGCTGAGAAAGTTCTTCATGATGAATGCATTTAACTCGCAGAGATGAACCTGCCTTTGAGAGTTCAGGTTCGAAACACTCTTTCTGTAGAATCTGCAAGTGGATATTTGGACCACTGGGTGGCCTTCGTTCGAAACGGGTATATGTTCACGTAAAAACTAAAGAGAAGCATTCTCAGAAACTTCTGAGTGATGATTGCATTCAAGTCACACAGTTGAACCCTCCTTTTGATGGAGCAGTTTTGAAACTGTCTTTTTGTAGAATCTGTAAGTGGATACGTGGACCTCTTTGAAGATTTCTTTGGAAACGGGAATATTTCCACAGAAAAACTAAACTGAAGCATTCTCAGAAACCGCTTTGTGATGTTTGTGTTCCAGCCACAGAGTTTAACATTGCTTTTCATAGAGCAGTTTTGAAATATTCTTTTCGCAGAATCTGCAAGTGGACATTTGGAGCGCTTTCAGGCCTGTGGTGGCAAAGGCCTGAAAGCCTTTTCCTTTATCTTCACAGAAAGACGAGAGAGAAGCATTGTCAGAAACTTCTTTGTGATGATTGCATTCAACTCACAGAGTTGAAGATTCCTTTTGAAACAGCAGTTTCGAAACACTCTTTCTGTGGGATCCGCAAGGGGATATTTGGACCTCTTTGAAGGTTTCGTTGGAAACGGGATAATCTTCACCTAAAAGCTAAACGGAAACATTCTCAGAAACTTCTTTGGGATGTTTGCATTCACCTCACAGAGTTGAACTTTCCCTTTGATAGCGCAGCTTTGACACACTTTTTCTACAATGTGCAAGTGGCTATTTAGCGGGCTTGGAGGACTGTGTTGGAAAACGAAATATCTTCTCCTAAAAACGACATAGAAGCATTCTCAGAAACTGCTCTGTGATGATTGCATTCAACTCCCAGAGTTGAACATTCCTTTTGATAGAGCAGTTTGCAAACACTCTTTTTGTAGAATCTGCAAGTGGAGATTTGGACCGCTTTGAGGCCTGTGGTAGTGAAGGAAAGAACTTCATATAAAAACCAGACGGTAGCACTCTCAGAAAATTCTTTGTGACGATGGAGTTTAACTCAGGGAGCTGAACATTCGTTATGATGGAGCAGTTTCCAAACACACGTTTTGTAGAATCTGCAAGGGGATATTTGGACCTCTCTGAGGATTTCGTTGGAAACGGGATCAACTTCCCATAACTGAACGGAAGCAAACTCAGAACATTCTTTGTGATGTTTGTATTCAACTCACAGAGTTGAACCTTCCTTTGATAGTTCAGGTTTGCAACACCCTTGTAGTAGAATCTGCAAGTGTATATTTTGACCACTTTGTAGCCTTCATTTGAAACGTCTATATCTTCACATCAAACCTAGACAGAAGCATTCTCAGAAAGTTTTCTGCGATGACTGCATTCAACTCACAGAGTTGAACAATCCTTCTGATGGAGCAGTTTTGAAACCCTCTTTCTTTGGAATCTGCAAGGGGATATGTGGACCTCTTTGAAGATTTCACTGGAAACGGGATCATCTTCACATAAAAACTAAACAGAAGCATTCTCGGAAACTATTTTGTGATGTTTGTATTCAACTCCCAGAGTTGAACTTTCCTTTTGAAAGAGCAGCTATGAAACACTCTTTTTCGAGAATCTGCAAGTGGACGTTTAGAGGGCTTTGAGGCCTGTGGTGGAAAAGGAAATATCTTCACACAAAAACCAGATAGAAGCATTCTCAGAAACTACTTTGTGAGGATGGCATTCAACTCATGGAGTTGAACAATCCTATTGATAGAGCAGATTGGAATCACTCTTTTTGTAGAATCTGCAAATGGAGATTTGGACTGCTTTGAGGCCTACGGTCGTATAGGAAGGAACTTCAGATAAAAGGCAAACGGAAGCATTCTCAGAATATTCTTTGTGATGATGGAGTTTCACTCACAGAGCTGAACATGCCTTTTGATGGAGCAGTTTCCAAATACACTTTTGGTAGAATCTGCAGGTGGATATTTGGACCTCTCTGAGGATTTCGTTGGAAACGGGAATAATTTCCCATAACTAAACACAAACACGCTGAGAAAGTTCTTCATGATGAATGCATTTAACTCGCAGAGATGAACCTGCCTTTGAGAGTTCAGGTTCGAAACACTCTTTCTGTAGAATCTGCAAGTGGATATTTGGACCACTGGCTGGCTTTCGTTCGAAACGGGTATATGTTCACGTGAAAACTAAAGAGAAGCTTTCTCAGAAACTTCTGAGTGATGATTGCATTCAAGTCACACAGTTGAACCCTCCTTTTGATTGAGCAGTTTTGAAACTGTCTTTTTGTAGAATCTGTAAGTGGATGCGTGGACCTCTTTGAAGATTTCTTTGGAAACGGGAATATTTCCACAGAAAAACTAAACTGAAGCATTCTCAGAAACTGCTTTGTGATGTTTGTGTTCGAGCCACAGAGTTTAACATTGCTTTTCATAGAGCAGTTTTGAAATATTCTTTTGGCAGAATCTGCAAGTGGACATTTGGAGCGCTTTCAGGCCTGTGGTGGAAAAGGCCTGAAAGCCTTTTCCTTTATCTTCACAGAAAGACGAGAGAGAAGCATTGTCAGAAACTTCTTTGTGATGATTGCATTCAACTCACAGAGTTGAAGATTCCTTTTGAAACAGCAGTTTCGAAACACTCTTTCTGTGGGATCCGCAAGGGGATATTTGGACCTCTTTGAAGATTTCGTTGGAAACGGGATAATCTTCACCTAAAAGCTAAACGGAAGCATTCTCAGAAACTTCTTTGGGATGTTTGCATTCACCTCACAGAGTTGAACTTTCCCTTTGATAGCGCAGCTTCGACACACTTTTTCTACAATGTGCAAGTGGATATTTAGCGGGCTTGGAGGACTGTGTTGGAAAAGGAAATATCTTCTCCTAAAAACCACATAGAAGCCTTCTCAGAAACTGCTCTGTGATGATTGCATTCAACTCCCAGAGTTGAACATTCCTTTTGATAGAGCAGTTTGCAAACACTCTTTTTGTAGAATTTGCAAGTGGAGATTTGGACCGCTTTGAGGCCTGTGGTAGTAAAGGAAAGAACTTCATATAAAAACTAGACGGTAGCACCCTCAGAAAATTCTTTGTGACGATGGAGTTTAACTCAGAGAGCTGAACATTCGTTATGATGGAGCAGTTTCCAAACACACGTTTTGTAGAATCTGCAAGGGGATATTTGGACCTCTCTGAGGATTTCGTTGGAAACGGGATCAACTTCCCATAACTGAACGGAAGCAAACTCAGAACATTCTTTGTGATGTTTGTATTCAACTCACAGAGTTGAACCTTCCTTTGATAGTTCAGGTTTGCAACACCCTTGTAATAGAATCTGCAAGTGTATATTTTGACCACTTTGTAGCCTTCGTTTGAAACGTCTATATCTTCACATCAAACCTAGACAGAAGCATTCTCAGAAAGTTTTCTGCGATGACTGCATTCAACTCACAGAGTTGAACAATCCTTCTGATGGAGCAGTTATTAAACCCTCTTTCTTTGGAATCTGCAAGGGGATATGTGGACCTCTTTGAAGATTTCACTGGAAACGGGATCATCTTCACATAAAAACTAAACAGAAGCATTCTCGGAAACTACTTTGTGATGTTTGTATTCAACTCCCAGAGTTGAACTTTCCTTTTGAAAGAGCAGCTATGAAACACTCTTTTTCAAGAATCTGCAAGTGGACGTTTGGAGGGCTTTGAGGCCTGTGGTGGAAAAGGAAATATCTTCACACAAAAACCAGATAGAAGCATTCTCAGAAACTGCTTTGTGAGGATGGCATTCAACTCATGGAGTTGAACAATCCTATTGATAGAGCAGATTGGAATCACTCTTTTTGTAGAATCTGCAAATGGAGATTTGGACTGCTTTGAGGCCTACGGTAGTACAGGAAGGAACTTCATATAAAAGGCAAACGGAAGCATTCTCAGAATATTCTTTGTGATGATGGAGTTTCACTCACAGAGCTGAACATGCCTTTTGATGGAGCAGTTTCCAAATACACTTTTGGTAGAATCTGCAGGTGGATATTTGGAGCTCTCCTGAGGATTTCGTTGGAAACGGGAATAATTTCCCATAACTAAACACAAAACACGCTGAGAAATTTCTTCATGTTGAATGCATTGAACTCGCAGAGATGAACCTGCCTTTGAGAGTTCAGGTTCGAAACACTCTTTCTGTAGAATCTGCAAGTGGATATTTGGACCACTGGGTGGCCTTCGTTCGAAACGGGTATATGTTCACGTAAAAACTAAAGAGAAGCATTCTCAGAAACTTCTGACTGATGATTGCATTCAAGTCACACGGTTGAACCCTCCTTTTGATTGAGCAGTTTTGAAACTGTCTTTTTGTAGAATCTGTAAATGGATACGTGGACCTCTTTGAAGATTTCTTTGGAAACGGGAATATTTCCACAGAAAAACTAAACTGAAGCATTCTCAGAAACCGCTTTGTGATGTTTGTGTTCGAGCCGCAGAGTTTAACATTGCTTTTCATAGAGCAGTTTTGAAATATTGTTTTGGCAGAATCTGCAAGTGGACATTTGGAGTGCTTTCAGGCCTGTGGTGGAAAAGGCCTGAAAGCCTTTTCCTTTATCTTCACAGAAAGACGAGAGAGAAGCATTGTCAGAAACTTCTTTGTGATGATTGCATTCAACTCACAGAGTTGAAGAGTCCTTTTGAAACAGCAGTTTCGAAACACTCTTTCTGTGGGATCCGCAAGGGGATATTTGGACCTCTTTGAAGGTTTCTTTGGAAACGGGATAATCTTCACCTAAAAGCTAAACGGAAGCATTCTCAGAAACTTCTTTGGGATGTTTGCATTCACCTCACAGAGTTGAACTTTCCCTTTGATAGCGCAGCTTCGACACACTTTTTCTACAATGTGCAAGTGGATATTTAGCGGGCTTGGAGGACTGTGTTGGAAAAGGAAATATCTTCTCCTAAAAACGACATAGAAGCATTCTCAGAAACTGCTCTGTGATGATTGCATTCAACTCCCAGAGTTGAACATTCCTAATGATAGAGCAGTTTGCAAACACTGTTTTTGTAGAATCTGCAAGTGGAGATTTGGACCGCTTTGAGGCCTGTGGTAGTAAAGGAAAGAACTTCATATAAAAACCAGACGGTAGCACTCTCAGAAAATTCTTTGTGACGATGGAGTTTAACTCAGAGAGCTGAACATTCTTTATGATGGAGCAGTTTCCAAACACACGTTTTGTAGAATCTGCAAGGGGATATTTGGACCTCTCTGAGGATTTCGTTGGAAATGGGATCAACTTCCCATAACTGAACGGAAGCAAACTCAGAACATTCTTTGTGATGTTTGTATTCAACTCACAGAGTTGAACCTTCCTTTGATAGTTCAGGTTTGCATCACCCTTGTAGTAGAATCTGCAAGTGTATATTTTGACCACTTTGTAGCCTTCGTTTGAAACGTCTATATGCTTCACATCAAACCTAGACAGAAGCATTCTCAGAAAGTTTTCTGCGATGACTGCATTCAACTCACAGAGTTGAACAATCCTTTTGATGGAGCAGTTTTGAAACCCTCTTTCTTTGGAATCTGCAAGGGGATATGTGGACCTCTTTGAAGATTTCACTGGAAACGGGATCATCTTCACAGAAGAACTAAACAGAAGCATTCTCGGAAACTACTTTGTGATGTTTGTATTCAACTCCCAGAGTTGAACTTTCCTTTTGAAAGAGCAGCTATGAAACACTCTTTTTCGAGAATCTGCAAGTGGACGTTTGGAGGGCTTTGAGGCCTGTGGTGGAAAAGGAAATATCTTCACATAAAAACTAGAATAGAAGCATTCTCAGAAACGACTTGGTGAGGATGGCATTCAACTCATGGAGTTGAACAATCCTATTGATAGAGCAGATTGGAATCACTCTTTTTGTAGAATCTGCAAATGGAGATTTGGACTGCTTTGAGGCCTACGGTCGTATAGGAAGGAACTTCATATAAAAGGCAAACGGAAGCATTCTCAGAATATTCTTTGTGACGATGGAGTTTCACGCACAGAGCTGAACATGCCTTTTGATGGAGCAGTTTCCAAATACACTTTTGGTAGAATCTGCAGGTGGATATTTGGAGCTCTCTGAGGATTTCGTTGGAAACGGGAATAATTTCCCATAACTAAACACAAACACTCTGAGAAAGTTCTTCATGATGAATGCATTTAACTCGCAGAGATGAACCTGCCTTTGAGAGTTCAGGTTCGAAACACTCTTTCTGTAGAATCTGCAAGTGGATATTTGGACCACTGGGTGGCCTTCGTTCGAAACGGGTATATGTTCACGTAAAAACTAAAGAGAAGCATTCTCAGAAACTTCTGAGTGATGATTGCATTCAAGTCACACAGTTGAACCCTCCTTTTGATGGAGCAGTTTTGAAACTGTCTTTTTGTAGAATCTGTAAGTGGATACGTGGACCTCTTTGAAGATTTCTTTGGAAACGGGAATATTTCCACAGAAAAACTAAACTGAAGCATTCTCAGAAACCTCTTTGTGATGTTTGTGTTCGAGCCACAGAGTTTAACATTGCTTTTCATAGAGCAGTTTTGAAATATTCTTTTCGCAGAATCTGCAAGTGGACACTTGGAGCGCTTTCAGGCCTGTGGTGGCAAAGGCCTGAAAGCCTTTTCCTTTATCTTCACAGAAAGACGAGAGAGAAGCATTGTCAGAAACTTCTTTGTGATGATTGCATTCAACTCACAGAGTTGAAGATTCCTTTTGAAACAGCAGTTTCGAAACACTCTTTCTGTGGGATCCGCAAGGGGATATTTGGACCTCTTTGAAGGTTTCGTTGGAAACGGGATAATCTTCACCTAAAAGCTAAACGGAAGCATTCTCAGAAACTTCTTTGGGATGTTTGCATTCACCTCACAGAGTTGAACTTTCCCTTTGATAGCGCAGCTTTGACACACTTTTTCTACAATGTGCAAGTGGCTATTTAGCGGGCTTGGAGGACTGTGTTGGAAAAGGAAATATCTTCTCCTAAAAACGACATAGAAGCATTCTCAGAAACTGCTCTGTGATGATTGCATTCAACTCCCAGAGTTGAACATTCCTTTTGATAGAGCAGTTTGCAAACACTCTTTTTGTAGAATCTGCAAGTGGAGATTTGGACCGCTTTGAGGCCTGTGGTAGTGAAGGAAAGAACTTCATATAAAAACCAGACGGTAGCACTCTCAGAAAATTCTTTGTGACGATGGAGTTTAACTCAGGGAGCTGAACATTCGTTATGATGGAGCAGTTTCCAAACACACGTTTTGTAGAATCTGCAAGGGGATATTTGGACCTCTCTGAGGATTTCGTTGGAAACGGGATCAACTTCCCATAACTGAACGGAAGCAAACTCAGAACATTCTTTGTGATGTTTGTATTCAACTCACAGAGTTGAACCTTCCTTTGATAGTTCAGGTTTGCAACACCCTTGTAGTAGAATCTGCAAGTGTATATTTTGACCACTTTGTAGCCTTCATTTGAAACGTCTATACCTTCACATCAAACCTAGACAGAAGCATTCTCAGAAAGTTTTCTGCGATGACTGCATTCAACTCACAGAGTTGAACAATCCTTCTGATGGAGCAGTTTTGAAACCCTCTTTCTTTGGAATCTGCAAGGGGATATGTGGACCTCTTTGAAGATTTCACTGGAAACGGGATCATCTTCAAATAAAAACTAAACAGAAGCATTCTCGGAAACTACTTTGTGATGTTTGTATTCAACTGCCAGAGTTGAACTTTCCTTTTGAAAGAGCAGCTATGAAACACTCTTTTTCGAGAATCTGCAAGTGGACGTTTGGAGGGCTTTGAGGCCTGTGGTGGAAAAGGAAATATCTTCACATAAAAACTAGATAGAAAGCATTCTCAGAAACGACTTTGTGAGGATGGCATTCAACTCATGGAGTTGAACAATCCTATTGATAGAGCAGATTGGAATCACTCTTTTTGTAGAATCTGCAAATGGAGATTTGGACTGCTTTGAGGCCTACGGTCGTATAGGAAGGAACTTCAGATAAAAGGCAAACGGAAGCATTCTCAGAATATTCTTTGTGATGATGGAGTTTCACTCACAGAGCTGAACATGCCTTTTGATGGAGCAGTTTCCAAATACACTTTTGGTAGAATCTGCAGGTGGATATTTGGAGCTCTCTGAGGATTTCGTTGGAAACGGGAATAATTTCCCATAACTAAACACAAACACTCTGAGAAAGTTCTTCATGATGAATGCATTTAACTCGCAGAGATGAACCTGCCTTTGAGAGTTCAGGTTCGAAACACTCTTTCTGTAGAATCTGCAAGTGGATATTTGGACCACTGGGTGGCCTTCGTTCGAAACGGGTATATGTTCACGTAAAAACTAAAGAGAAGCATTCTCAGAAACTTCTGAGTGATGATTGCATTCAAGTCACACAGTTGAACCCTCCTTTTGATGGAGCAGTTTTGAAACTGTCTTTTTGTAGAATCTGTAAGTGGATACGTGGACCTCTTTGAAGATTTCTTTGGAAACGGGAATATTTCCACAGAAAAACTAAACTGAAGCATTCTCAGAAACCGCTTTGTGATGTTTGTGTTCGAGCCACAGAGTTTAACATTGCTTTTCATAGAGCAGTTTTGAAATATTCTTTTGGCAGAATCTGCAAGTGGACATTTGGAGCGCTTTCAGGCCTGTGGTGGAAAAGGCCTGAAAGCCTTTTCCTTTATCTTCACAGAAAGACGAGAGAGAAGCATTGTCAGAAACTTCTTTGTGATGATTGCATTCAACTCACAGAGTTGAAGATTCCTTTTGAAACAGCAGTTTCGAAACACTCTTTCTGTGGGATCCGCAAGGGGATATTTGGACCTCTTTGAAGGTTTCGTTGGAAACGGGATAATCTTCACCTAAAAGCTAAACGGAAGCATTCTCAGAAACTTCTTTGGGATGTTTGCATTCACCTCACAGAGTTGAACTTTCCCTTTGATAGCGCAGCTTCGACACACTTTTTCTACAATGTGCAAGTGGCTATTTAGCGGGCTTGGAGGACTGTGTTGGAAAAGGAAATATCTTCTCCTAAAAACGACATAGAAGCATTCTCAGAAACTGCTCTGTGATGATTGCATTCAACTCCCAGAGTTGAACATTCCTTTTGATAGAGCAGTTTGCAAACACTCTTTATGTAGAATCTGGAAGTGGAGATTTGGACCGCTTTGAGGCCTGGGGTAGTGAAGGAAAGAGCTTCATATAAAAACCAGACGGTAGCACTCTCAGAAAATTCTTTGTGACGATGGAGTTTAACTCAGGGAGCTGAACATTCGTTATGATGGAGCAGTTTCCAAACACACGTTTTGTAGAATCTGCAAGGGGATATTTGGACCTCTCTGAGGATTTCGTTGGAAACGGGATCAACTTCCCATAACTGAACGGAAGCAAACTCAGAACATTCTTTGTGATGTTTGTATTCAACTCACAGAGTTGAACCTTCCTTTGATAGTTCAGGTTTGCAACACCCTTGTAGTAGAATCTGCAAGTGTATATTTTGACCACTTTGTAGCCTTCGTTTGAAACGTCTATATCTTCACATCAAACCTAGACAGAAGCATTCTCAGAAAGTTTTCTGCGATGACTGCATTCAACTCACAGAGTTGAACAATCCTTCTGATGGAGCAGTTTTGAAACCCTCTTTCTTTGGAATCTGCAAGGGGATATGTGGACCTCTTTGAAGATTTCACTGGAAACGGGATCATCTTCACATAAAAACTAAACAGAAGCATTCTCGGAAACTACTTTGTGATGTTTGTATTCAACTGCCAGAGTTGAACTTTCCTTTTGAAAGAGCAGCTATGAAACACTCTTTTTCGAGAATCTGCAAGTGGACGTTTGGAGGGCTTTGAGGCCTGTGGTGGAAAAGGAAATATCTTCACATAAAAACTAGATAGAAGCATTCTCAGAAACTACTTTGTGAGGATGGCATTCAACTCATGGAGTTGAACAATCCTATTGATAGAGCAGATTGGAATCACTCTTTTTGTAGAATCTGCAAATGGAGATTTGGACTGCTTTGAGGCCTACGGTAGTACAGGAAGGAACTTCATATAAAAGGCAAACGGAAGCATTCTCAGAATATTCTTTGTGATGATGGAGTTTCACTCACAGAGCTGAACATGCCTTTTGATGGAGCAGTTTCCAAATACACTTTTGGTAGAATCTGCAGGTGGATATTTGGAGCTCTCTGAGGATTTCGTTGGAAACGGGAATAATTTCCCATAACTAAACACAAACACTCTGAAGAAAGTTCTTCATGATGAATGCATTTAACTCGCAGAGATGAACCTGCCTTTGAGAGTTCAGGTTCGAAACACTCTTTCTGTAGAATCTGCAAGTGGATATTTGGACCACTGGGTGGCCTTCGTTCGAAACGGGTATATGTTCACGTAAAAACTAAAGAGAAGCATTCTCAGAAACTTCTGAGTGATGATTGCATTCAAGTCACACAGTTGAACCCTCCTTTTGATGGAGCAGTTTTGAAACTGTCTTTTTGTAGAATCTGTAAGTGGATACGTGGACCTCTTTGAAGATTTCTTTGGAAACGGGAATATTTCCACAGAAAAACTAAACTGAAACATTCTCAGAAACCGCTTTGTGATGTTTGTGTTCCAGCCACAGAGTTTAACATTGCTTTTCATAGAGCAGTTTTGAAATATTCTTTTGGCAGAATCTGCAAGTGGACATTTGGAGCGCTTTCAGGCCTGTGGTGGAAAAGGCCTGAAAGCCTTTTCCTTTATCTTCACAGAAAGACGAGAGAGAAGCATTGTCAGAAACTTCTTTGTGATGATTGCATTCAACTCACAGAGTTGAAGATTCCTTTTGAAACAGCAGTTTCGAAACACTCTTTCTGTGGGATCCGCAAGGGGATATTTGGACCTCTTTGAAGGTTTCGTTGGAAACGGGATAATCTTCACCTAAAAGCTAAACGGAAGCATTCTCAGAAACTTCTTTGGGATGTTTGCATTCACCTCACAGAGTTGAACTTTCCCTTTGATAGCGCAGCTTTGACACACTTTTTCTACAATGTGCAAGTGGCTATTTAGCGGGCTTGGAGGACTGTGTTGGAAAAGGAAATATCTTCTCCTAAAAACGACATAGAAGCATTCTCAGAAACTGCTCTGTGATGATTGCATTCAACTCCCAGAGTTGAACATTCCTTTTGATAGAGCAGTTTGCAAACACTCTTTTTGTAGAATCTGCAAGTGGAGATTTGGACCGCTTTGAGGCCTGTGGTAGTGAAGGAAAGAACTTCATATAAAAACCAGACGGTAGCACTCTCAGAAAATTCTTTGTGACGATGGAGTTTAACTCAGGGAGCTGAACATTCGTTATGATGGAGCAGTTTCCAAACACACGTTTTGTAGAATCTGCGAGGGGATATTTGGACCTCTCTGAGGATTTCGTTGGAAACGGGATCAACTTCCCATAACTGAACGGAAGCAAACTCAGAACATTCTTTGTGATGTTTGTATTCAACTCACAGAGTTGAACCTTCCTTTGATAGTTCAGGTTTGCAACACCCTTGTAGTAGAATCTGCAAGTGTATATTTTGACCACTTTGTAGCCTTCGTTTGAACGTCTATATCTTCACATCAAACCTAGACAGAAGCATTCTCAGAAAGTTTTCTGCGATGACTGCATTCAACTCACAGAGTTGAACAATCCTTTTGATGGAGCAGTTTTGAAACCCTCTTTCTTTGGAATCTGCAAGGGGATATGTGGACCTCTTTGAAGATTTCACTGGAAACGGGATCATCTTCACATAAGAACTAAACAGAAGCATTCTCACAAACTACTTTGTGATGTTTGTATTCAACTCCCAGAGTTGAACTTTCCTTGTGAAAGAGCAGCTATGAAACACTCTTTTTCGAGAATCTGCAAGTGGACGTTTGGAGGGCTTTGAGGCCTGTGGTGGAAAAGGAAATATCTTCACATAAAAACTAGATAGAAGCATTCTCAGAAACGACTTTGTGAGGATGGCATTCAATTCATGGCAGTTGAACAATCCTATTGATAGAGCAGATTGGAATCACTCTTTTTGTAGAATCTGCAAATGGAGATTTGGACTGCTTTGAGGCCTACGGTAGTATAGGAAGGAACTTCATATAAAAGGCAAACGGAAGCATTCTCAGAATATTCTTTGTGATGATGGAGTTTCACTCACAGAGCTGAACATGCCTTTTGATGGAGCAGTTTCCAAATACACTTTTGGTAGAATCTGCAGGTGGATATTTGGAGCTCTCTGAGGATTTCGTTGGAAACGGGAATAATTTCCCATAACTAAACACAAACACTCTGAGAAAGTTCTTCATGATGAATGCATTTAACTCGCAGAGATGAACCTGCCTTTGAGAGTTCAGGTTCGAAACACTCTTTCTGTAGAATCTGCAAGTGGATATTTGGACCACTGGCTGGCCTTCGTTCGAAACGGGTATATGTTCACGTAAAAACTAAAGAGAAGCATTCTCAGAAACTTCTGAGTGATGATTGCATTCAAGTCACACGGTTGAACCCTCCTTTTGATGGAGCAGTTTTGAAACTGTCTTTTTGTAGAATCTGTAAGTGGATACGTGGACCTCTTTGAAGATTTCTTTGGAAACGGGAATATTTCCACAGAAAAACTAAACTGAAGCATTCTCAGAAACCGCTTTGTGATGTTTGTGTTCGAGCCGCAGAGTTTAACATTGCTTTTCATAGAGCAGTTTTGAAATATTCTTTTCGCAGAATCTGCAAGTGGACATTTGGAGCGCTTTCAGGCCTGTGGTGGAAAAGGCCTGAAAGCCTTTTCCTTTATCTTCACAGAAAGACGAGAGAGAAGCATTGTCAGAAACTTCTTTGTGATGATTGCATTCAACTCACAGAGTTGAAGATTCCTTTTGAAACAGCAGTTTCGAAACACTCTTTCTGTGGGATCCGCAAGGGGATATTTGGACCTCTTTGAAGGTTTCGTTGGAAACGGGATAATCTTCACCTAAAAGGTAAACGGAAGCATTCTCAGAAACTTCTTTGGGATGTTTTCACTCTCCTCACAGAGTTGAACTTTCCCTTTGATAGCGCAGCTTTGACACACTTTTTCTACAATGTGCAAGTGGATATTTAGCGGGCTTGGAGGACTGTGTTGGAAAAGGAAATATCTTCTCCTAAAAACGACATAGAAGCATTCTCAGAAACTGCTCTGTGATGATTGCATTCAACTCCCAGAGTTGAACATTCCTTTTGATAGAGCGGTTTGGAAACACTCTTTTTGTAGAATCTGCAAGTGGAGATTTGGACCGCTTTGAGGCCTGTGTTAGTAAAGGAAACAACTTCATATAAAAACTAGACGGTAGCACTCTCAGAAAATTCTTTGTGACGATGGAGTTTAACTCAGGGAGCTGAACATTCGTTATGATGGAGCAGTTTCCAAACACACGTTTTGTAGAATCTGCAAGGGGATATTTGGACCTCTCTGAGGATTTCGTTGGAAACGGGATCAACTTCCCATAACTGAACGGAAGCAAACTCAGAACATTCTCTGCGATGTTTGTATTCAACCCACAGAGTTGAACCTTCCTTTGATAGTTCAGGTTTGCAACACCCTTTTAGTACAATCTGCAAGTGTATATTTTGACCACTTTGTAGCCTTCGTTTGAAACGTCTATATCTTCACATCAAACCTAGACAGAAGCATTCTCAGAAAGTTTTCTGCGATGACTGCATTCAACTCACAGAGTTGTACAATCCTTTTGATGGAGCAGTTTTGAAACCCTCTTTCTTTGGAATCTGCAAGGGGATATGTGGACCTCTTTGAAGATTTCCCTGGAAACGGGATCATCTTCACATAAGAACTAAACAGAAGCATTCTCGGAAACTACTTTGTGATGTTTGTATTCAACTCCCAGAGTTGAACTTTCCTTTTGAAAGAGCAGCTAGGAAACACTCTTTTTCGAGAATCTGCAAGTGGACGTTTGGAGAGCTTTGAGGCCTGTGGTGGAAAAGGAAATATCTTCACATAAAAACTAGATAGAAGCATTCTCAGAAACGACTTTGTGAGGATGGCATTCAACTCATGGAGTTGAACAATCCTATTGATAAAGCAGATTGGAATCACTCTTTTTGTAGAATCTGCAAATGGAGATTTGGACTGCTTTGAGGCCTATGGTAGTATAGGAAGGAACTTCATATAAAAGGCAAACGGAAGCATTCTCAGAATATCTCCTTTGTGATGATGGAGTTTCACTCACAGAGCTGAACATGCCTTTTGATGGAGCAGTTTCCAAATACACTTTTGGTAGAATCTGCAGGTGGATATTTGGACCTCTCTGAGGATTTCGTTGGAAACGGGAATAATTTCCCATAACTAAACACAAACACTCTGAGAAAGTTCTTCATGATGAATGCATTTAACTCGCAGAGATGAACCTGCCTTTGAGAGTTCAGGTTCGAAACACTCTTTCTGTATAATCTGCAAGTGGATATTTGGACCACTGGGTGGCCTTCGTTCGAAACGGGTATATGTTCACGTAAAAACTAAAGAGAAGCATTCTCAGAAACTTCTGAGTGATGATTGCATTCAAGTCACACGGTTGAACCCTCCTTTTGATGGAGCAGTTTTGAAACTGTCTTTTTGTAGAATCTGTAAGTGGATACGTGGACCTCTTTGAAGATTTCTTTGGAAACGGGAATATTTCCACAGAAAAACTAAACTGAAGCATTCTCAGAAACCGCTTTGTGATGTTTGTGTTCGAGCCACAGAGTTTAACATTGCTTTTCATAGAGCAGTTTTGAAATATTCTTTTCGCAGAATCTGCAAGTGGACATTTGGAGCGCTTTCAGGCCTGTGGTGGAAAAGGCCTGAAAGCCTTTTCCTTTATCTTCTCAGAAAGACGAGAGAGAAGCATTGTCAGAAACTTCTTTGTGATGATTGCATTCAACTCACAGAGTTGAAGATTCCTTTTGAAACAGCAGTTTCGAAACACTCTTTCTGTGGGATCCGCAAGGGGATATTTGGACCTCTTTGAAGGTTTCGTTGGAAACGGGATAATCTTCACCTAAAAGCTAAACGGAAGCATTCTCAGAAACTTCTTTGGGATGTTTGCATTCACCTCACAGAGTTGAACTTTCCCTTTGATAGCGCAGCTTTGACACACTTTTTCTACAATGTGCAAGTGGCTATTTAGCGGGCTTGGAGGACTGTGTTGGAAAAGGAAATATCTTCTCCTAAAAACGACATAGAAGCATTCTCAGAAACTGCTCTGTGATGATTGCATTCAACTCCCAGAGTTGAACATTCCTTTTGATAGAGCAGTTTGCAAACACTCTTTTTGTAGAATCTGCAAGTGGAGATTTGGACCGCTTTGAGGCCTGTGGTAGTGAAGGAAAGAACTTCATATAAAAACCAGACGGTAGCACTCTCAGAAAATTCTTTGTGACGATGGAGTTTAACTCAGGGAGCTGAACATTCGTTATGATGGAGCAGTTTCCAAACACACGTTTTGTAGAATCTGCGAGGGAATATTTGGACCTCTCTGAGGATTTCGTTGGAAACGGGATCAACTTCCCATAACTGAACGGAAGCAAACTCAGAACATTCTTTGTGATGTTTGTATTCAACTCACAGAGTTGAACCTTCCTTTGATAGTTCAGGTTTGCAACACCCTTGTAGTAGAATCTGCAAGTGTATATTTTGACCACTTTGTAGCCTTCGTTTGAAACGTCTATATCTTCACATCAAACCTAGACAGAAGCATTCTCAGAAAGTTTTCTGCGATGACTGCATTCAACTCACAGAGTTGAACAATCCTTCTGATGGAGCAGTTTTGAAACCCTCTTTCTTTGGAATCTGCAAGGGGATATGTGGACCTCTTTGAAGATTTCACTGGAAACGGGATCATCTTCACATAAAAACTAAACAGAAGCATTCTCGGAAACTACTTTGTGATGTTTGTATTCAACTCCCAGAGTTGAACTTTCCTTTTGAAAGAGCAGCTATGAAACACTCTTTTTCGAGAATCTGCAAGTGGACGTTTGGAGGGCTTTGAGGCCTGTGGTGGAAAAGGAAATATCTTCACATAAAAACTAGATAGAAGCATTCTCAGAAACTACTTTGTGAGGATGGCATTCAACTCATGGAGTTGAACAATCCTATTGATAGAGCAGATTGGAATCACTCTTTTTGTAGAATCTGCAAATGGAGATTTGGACTGCTTTGAGGCCTACAGTAGTACAGGAAGGAACTTCATATAAAAGGCAAACGGAAGCATTCTCAGAATATTCTTTGTGATGATGGAGTTTCACTCACAGAGCTGAACATGCCTTTTGATGGAGCAGTTTCCAAATACACTTTTGGTAGTATCTGCAGGTGGATATTTGGAGCTCTCTGAGGATTTCGTTGGAAACGGGAATAATTTCCCATAACTAAACACAAACACTCTGAGAAAGTTCTTCATGATGAATGCATTTAACTCGCAGAGATGAACCTGCCTTTGAGAGTTCAGGTTCGAAACACTCTTTCTGTAGAATCTGCAAGTGGATATTTGGACCACTGGGTGGCCTTCGTTCGAAACGGGTATATGTTCACGTAAAAACTAAAGAGAAGCATTCTCAGAAACTTCTGAGTGATGATTGCATTCAAGTCACACAGTTGAACCCTCCTTTTGATGGAGCAGTTTTGAAACTGTCTTTTTGTAGAATCTGTAAGTGGATACGTGGACCTCTTTGAAGATTTCTTTGGAAACGGGAATATTTCCACAGAAAAACTAAACTGAAGCATTCTCAGAAACCGCTTTGTGATGTTTGTGTTCGAGCCACAGAGTTTACCATTGCTTTTCATAGAGCAGTTTTGAAATATTCTTTTCGCAGAATCTGCAAGTGGACATTTGGAGCGCTTTCAGGCCTGTGGTGGAAAAGGCCTGAAAGCCTTTTCCTTTATCTTCACAGAAAGACGAGAGAGAAGCATTGTCAGAAACTTCTTTGTGATGATTGCATTCAACTCACAGAGTTGAAGATTCCTTTTGAAACAGCAGTTTCGAAACACTCTTTCTGTGGGATCCGCAAGGGGATATTTGGACCTCTTTGAAGGTTTCGTTGGAAACGGGATAATCTTCACCTAAAAGCTAAACGGAAGCATTCTCAGAAACTTCTTTGGGATGTTTGCATTCACCTCACAGAGTTGAACTTTCCCTTTGATAGCGCAGCTTTGACACACTTTTTCTACAATGTGCAAGTGGCTATTTAGCGGGCTTGGAGGACTGTGTTGGAAAAGGAAATATCTTCTCCTAAAAACGACATAGAAGCATTCTCAGAAACTGCTCTGTGATGATTGCATTCAACTCCCAGAGTTGAACATTCCTTTTGATAGAGCAGTTTGCAAACACTCTTTTTGTAGAATCTGCAAGTGGAGATTTGGACCGCTTTGAGGTCTGTGGTAGTGAAGGAAAGAGCTTCATATAAAAACCAGACGGTAGCACTCTCAGAAAATTCTTTGTGACGATGGAGTTTAACTCAGGGAGCTGAACATTCGTTATGATGGAGCAGTTTCCAAACACACGTTTTGTAGAATCTGCAAGGGGATATTTGGACCTCTCTGAGGATTTCGTTGGAAACGGGATCAACATCCCATAACTGAACAGAAGCAAACTCAGAACATTCTTTGTGATGTTTGTATTCAACTCACAGAGTTGAACCTTCCTTTGATAGTTCAGGTTTGCAACACCCTTGTAGTAGAATCTGCAAGTGTATATTTTGACCACTTTGTAGCCTTCGTTTGAAACGTCTATATCTTCACATCAAACCTAGACAGAAGCATTCTCAGAAAGTTTTCTGCGATGACTGCATTCAACTCACAGAGTTGAACAATCCTTCTGATGGAGCAGTTTTGAAACCCTCTTTCTTTGGAATCTGCAAGGGGATATGTGGACCTCTTTGAAGATTTCACTGGAAATGGGATCATCTTCACATAAAAACTAAACAGAAGCATTCTCGGAAACTACTTTGTGATGTTTGTATTCAACTCCCAGAGTTGAACTTTCCTTTTGAAAGAGCAGCTATGAAACACTCTTTTTCGAGAATCTGCAAGTGGACGTTTGGAGGGATTTGAGGCCTGTGGTGGAAAAGGAAATATCTTCACATAAAAACTAGATAGAAGCATTCTCAGAAACGACTTTGTGAGGATGGCATTCAACTCATGGAGTTGAACAATCCTATTGATAGAGCAGATTGGAATCACTCTTTTTGTAGAATCTGCAAATGGAGATTTGGACTGCTTTGAGGCCTACGGTAGTATAGGAAGGAACTTCATATAAAAGGCAAACGGAAGCATTCTCAGAATATTCTTTGTGATGATGGAGTTTCACTCACAGAGCTGAACATGCCTTTTGATGGAGCAGTTTCCAAATACGCTTTTGGTAGAATCTGCAGGTGGATATTTGGAGCTCTCTGAGGATTTCGTTGGAAACGGGAATAATTTCCCATAACTAAACACAAACACTCTGAGAAAGTTCTTCATGATGAATGCATTTAACTCGCAGAGATGAACCTGCCTTTGAGAGTTCAGGTTCGAAACACTCTTTCTGTAGAATCTGCAAGTGGATATTTGGACCACTGGGTGGCCTTCGTTCGAAACGGGTATATGTTCACGTAAAAACTAAAGAGAAGCATTCTCAGAAACTTCTGAGTGATGATTGCATTCAAGTCACACAGTTGAACCCTCCTTTTGATGGAGCAGTTTTGAAACTGTCTTTTTGTAGAATCTGTAAGTGGACACGTGGACCTCTTTGAAGATTTCTTTGGAAACGGGAATATTTCCACAGAAAAACTAAACTGAAGCATTCTCAGAAACTGCTTTGTGATGTTTGTGTTCGAGCCACAGAGTTTAACATTGCTTTTCATAGAGCAGTTTTGCAATATTCTTTTCACAGAATCTGCAAGTGGACATTTGGAGCGCTTTCAGGCCTGTGGTGGAAAAGGCCTGAAAGCCTTTTCCTTTATCTTCACAGAAAGACGAGAGAGAAGCATTGTCAGAAACTTCTTTGTGATGATTGCATTCAACTCACAGAGTTGAAGATTCCTTTTGAAACAGCAGTTTCGAAACACTCTTTCTGTGGGATCCGCAAGGGGATATTTGGACCTCTTTGAAGGTTTCGTTGGAAACGGGATAATCTTCACCTAAAAGCTAAACGGAAGCATTCTCAGAAACTTCTTTGGGATGTTTGCATTCACCTCACAGAGTTGAACTTTCCCTTTGATAGCGCAGCTTTGACACACTTTTTCTACAATGTGCAAGTGGCTATTTAGCGGGCTAGGAGGACTGTGTTGGAAAAGGAAATATCTTCTCCTAAAAACGACATAGAAGCATTCTCAGAAACTGCTCTGTGATGATTGCATTCAACTCCCAGAGTTGAACATTCCTTTTGATAGAGCAGTTTGCAAACACTCTTTTTGTAGAATCTGCAAGTGGAGATTTGGACCGCTTTGAGGCCTGTGGTAGTGAAGGAAAGAACTTCATATAAAAACCAGACGGTAGCACTCTCAGAA
The DNA here is from genome assembly GCF_000001405.40 of Homo sapiens. Classification (NCBI taxonomy): domain Eukaryota; kingdom Metazoa; phylum Chordata; class Mammalia; order Primates; family Hominidae; genus Homo; species Homo sapiens. Next base: position 60,842,495 of record NC_000023.11, read on the forward strand.
AATTCTTTGTGACGATGGAGTTTAACTCAGGGAGCTGAACATTCGTTATGATGGAGCAGTTTCCAAACACACGTTTTGTAGAATCTGCAAGGGGATATTTGGACCTCTCTGAGGATTTCGTTGGAAACGGGATCAACTTCCCATAACTGAACGGAAGCAAACTCAGAACATTCTTTGTGATGTTTGTATTCAACTCACAGAGTTGAACCTTCCTTTTATAGTTCAGGTTTGCAACACCCTTGTAGTAGAATCTGCAAGTGTATATTTTGACCACTTTGTAGCCTTCATTTGAAACGTCTATATCTTCACATCAAACCTAGACAGAAGCATTCTCAGAAAGTTTTCTGCGATGACTGCATTCAACTCACAGAGTTGAACAATCCTTTTGATGGAGCAGTTTTGAAACCCTCTTTCTTTGCAATCTGCAAGGGGATATGTGGACCTCTTTGAAGATTTCACTGGAAACGGGATCATCTTCACATAAAAACTAAACAGAAGCATTCTCGGAAACTACTTTGTGATGTTTGTATTCAACTCCCAGAGTTGAACTTTCCTTTTGAAAGAGCAGCTATGAAACACTCTTTTTCGAGAATCTGCAAGTGGACGTTTGGAGGGCTTTGAGGCCTGTGGTGGAAAAGGAAATATCTTCACATAAAAACTAGATAGAAGCATTCTCAGAAACGACTTTGTGAGGATGGCATTCAACTCATGGAGTTGAACAATCCTATTGATAGAGCAGATTGGAATCACTCTTTTTGTAGAATCTGCAAATGGAGATTTGGACTGCTTTGAGGCCTACGGTCGTATAGGAAGGAACTTCATATAAAAGGCAAACGGAAGCATTCTCAGAATATTCTTTGTGATGATGGAGTTTCACTCACAGAGCTGAACATGCCTTTTGATGGAGCAGTTTCCAAAAACACTTTTGGTAGAATCTGCAGGTGGATATTTGGAGCTCTCTGAGGATTTCGTTGGAAACGGGAATAATTTCCCATAACTAAACACAAACACTCTGAGAAAGTTCTTCATGATGAATGCATTTAACTCGCAGAGATGAACCTGCCTTTGAGAGTTCAGGTTCGAAACACTCTTTCTGTAGAATCTGCAAGTGGATATTTGGACCACTGGCTGGCCTTCGTTCGAAACGGGTATATGTTCACGTAAAAACTAAAGAGAATCATTCTCAGAAACTTCTGAGTGATGATTGCATTCAAGTCACACAGTTGAACCCTCCTTTTGATGGAGCAGTTTTGAAACTGTCTTTTTGTAGAATCTGTAAGTGGATACGTGGACCTCTTTGAAGATTTCTTTGGAAACGGGAATATTTCCAAAGAAAAACTAAACTGAAGCATTCTCAGAAACCGCTTTGTGATGTTTGTGTTCGAGCCACAGAGTTTAACATTGCTTTTCATAGAGCAGTTTTGAAATATTCTTTTGGCAGAATCTGCAAGTGGACATTTGGAGCGCTTTCAGGCCTGTGGTGGAAAAGGCCTGAAAGCCTTTTCCTTTATCTTCACAGAAAGACGAGAGAGAAGCATTGTCAGAAACTTCTTTGTGATGATTGCATTCAACTCACAGAGTTGAAGATTCCTTTTGAAACAGCAGTTTCGAAACACTCTTTCTGTGGGATCCGCAAGGGGATATTTGGACCTCTTTGAAGGTTTCGTTGGAAACGGGATAATCTTCACCTAAAAGCTAAACGGAAGCATTCTCAGAAACTTCTTTGGGATGTTTGCATTCACCTCACAGAGTTGAACTTTCCCTTTGATAGCGCAGCTTTGACACACTTTTTCTACAATGTGCAAGTGGCTATTTAGCGGGCTTGGAGGACTGTGTTGGAAAAGGAAATATACTTCTCCTAAAAACGACATAGAAGCATTCTCAGAAACTGCTCTGTGATGATTGCATTCAACTCCCAGAGTTGAACATTCCTTTTGATAGAGCAGTTTGCAAACACTCTTTTTGTAGAATCTGCAAGTGGAGATTTGGACCGCTTTGAGGCCTGTGGTAGTGAAGGAAAGAACTTCATATAAAAACCAGACGGTAGCACTCTCAGAAAATTCTTTGTGACGATGGAGTTTAACTCAGGGAGCTGAACATTCGTTACGATGGAGCAGTTTCCAAACACACGTTTTGTAGAATCTGCAAGGGGATATTTGGACCTCTCTGAGGATTTCGTTGGAAACGGGATCAACTTCCCATAACTGAACGGAAGCAAACTCAGAACATTCTTTGTGATGTTTGTATTCAACTCACAGAGTTGAACCTTCCTTTGATAGTTCAGGTTTGCAACACCCTTGTAGTAGAATCTGCAAGTGTATATTTTGACCACTTTGTAGCCTTCGTTTGAAACATCTATATCTTCACATCAAACCTAGACAGAAGCATTCTCAGAAAGTTTTCTGCGATGACTGCATTCAACTCACAGAGTTGAACAATCCTTCTGATGGAGCAGTTTTGAAACCCTCTTTCTTTGGAATCTGCAAGGGGATATGTGGACCTCTTTGAAGATTTCACTGGAAACGGGATCATCTTCACATAAAAAGTAAACAGAAGCATTCTCGGAAACTACTTTGTGATGTTTGTATTCAACTCCCAGAGTTGAACTTTCCTTTTGAAAGAGCAGCTATGAAACACTCTTTTTCGAGAATCTGCAAGTGGACGTTTGGAAGGCTTTGAGGCCTGTGGTGGAAAAGGAAATATCTTCACATAAAAACTAGATAGAAGCATTCTCAGAAACGACTTTGTGAGGATGGCATTCAACTCATGGAGTTGAACAATCCTATTGATAGAGCAGATTGGAATCACTCTTTTTGTAGAATCTGCAAATGGAGATTTGGACTGCTTTGAGGCCTACGGTCGTATAGGAAGGAACTTCATATAACAGGCAAACGGAAGCATTCTCAGAATATTCTTTGTGATGATGGAGTTTCACTCACAGAGCTGAACATGCCTTTTGATGGAGCAGTTTCCAAATACACTTTTGGTAGAATCTGCAGGTGGATATTTGGAGCTCTCTGAGGATTTCGTTGGAAACGGGAATAATTTCCCATAACTAAACACAAACACTCTGAGAAAGTTCTTCATGATGAATGCATTCAACTCGCAGAGATGAACCTGCCTTTGAGAGTTCAGGTTCGAAACACTCTTTCTGTAGAATCTGCAAGTGGATATTTGGACCACTGGCTGGCCTTCGTTCGAAACGGGTATATGTTCACGTAAAAACTAAAGAGAAGCATTCTCAGAAACTTCTGAGTGATGATTGCATTCAAGTCACACAGTTGAACCCTCCTTTTGATGGAGCAGTTTTGAAACTGTCTTTTTGTAGAATCTGTAAGTGGATACGTGGACCTCTTTGAAGATTTCTTTGGAAACGGGAATATTTCCACAGAAAAACTAAACTGAAGCATTCTCAGAAACCGCTTTGTGATGTTTGTGTTCGAGCCACAGAGTTTAACATTGCTTTTCATAGATCAGTTTTGAAATATTCTTTTCGCAGAATCTGCAAGTGGACATTTGGAGCGCTTTCAGGCCTGTGGTGGAAAAGGCCTGAAAGCCTTTTCCTTTATCTTCACAGAAAGACGAGAGAGAAGCATTGTCAGAAACTTCTTTGTGATGATTGCATTCAACTCACAGAGTTGAAGATTCCTTTTGAAACAGCAGTTTCGAAACACTCTTTCTGTGGGATCCGCAAGGGGATATTTGGACCTCTTTGAAGGTTTCGTTGGAAACGGGATAATCTTCACCTAAAAGCTAAACGGAAGCATTCTCAGAAACTTCTTTGGGATGTTTGCATTCACCTCACAGAGTTGAACTTTCCCTTTGATAGCGCAGCTTTGACACACTTTTTCTACAATGTGCAAGTGGCTATTTAGCGGGCTTGGAGGACTGTGTTGGAAAAGGAAATATCTTCTCCTAAAAACGACATAGAAGCATTCTCAGAAACTGCTCTGTGATGATTGCATTCAACTCCCAGAGTTGAACATTCCTTTTGATAGAGCAGTTTGCAAACACTCTTTTTGTAGAATCTGCAAGTGGAGATTTGGACCGCTTTGAGGCCTGTGGTAGTGAAGGAAAGAACTTCATATAAAAACCAGACGGTAGCACTCTCAGAAAATTCTTTGTGACGATGGAGTTTAACTCAGGGAGCTGAACATTCGTTATGATGGAGCAGTTTCCAAACACACGTTTTGTAGAATCTGCAAGGGGATATTTGGACCTCTCTGAGGATTTCGTTGGAAACGGGATCAACTTCCCATAACTGAACGGAAGCAAACTCAGAACATTCTTTGTGATGTTTGTATTCAACTCACAGAGTTGAACCTTCCTTTGATAGTTCAGGTTTGCAACACCCTTGTAGTAGAATCTGCAAGTGTATATTTTGACCACTTTGTAGCCTTCGTTTGAACGTCTATATCTTCACATCAAACCTAGACAGAAGCATTCTCAGAAAGTTTTCTGCGATGACTGCATTCAACTCACAGAGTTGAACAATCCTTCTGATGGAGCAGTTTTGAAACCCTCTTTCTTTGGAATCTGCAAGGGGATATGTGGACCTCTTTGAAGATTTCACTGGAAACGGGATCATCTTCACATAAAAACTAAACAGAAGCATTCTCGGAAACTACTTTGTGATGTTTGTATTCAACTCCCAGAGTTGAACTTTCCTTTTGAAAGAGCAGCTATGAAACACTCTTTTTCGAGAATCTGCAAGTGGACGTTTGGAGGGCTTGGAGGCCTGTGGTGGAAAAGGAAATACCTAAACATAAAAACTAGATAGAAGCATTCTCAGAAACTACTTTGTGAGGATGGCATTCAACTCATGGAGTTGAACAATCCTATTGATAGAGCAGATTGGAATCACTCTTTTTGTAGAATCTGCAAATGGAGATTTGGACTGCTTTGAGGCCTACGGTCGTATAGGAAGGAACTTCAGATAAAAGGCAAACGGAAGCATTCTCAGAATATTCTTTGTGATGATGGAGTTTCACTCACAGAGCTGAACATGCCTTTTGATGGAGCAGTTTCCAAATACACTTTTGGTAGAATCTGCAGGTGGATATTTGGAGCTCTTTGAGGATTTCGTTGGAAACGGGAATAATTTCCCATAACTAAACACAAACACGCTGAGAAAGTTCTTCATGATGAATGCATTTAACTCGCAGTGATGAACCTGCCTTTGAGAGTTCAGGTTCGAAACACTCTTTCTGTAGAATCTGCAAGTGGATATTTGGACCACTGGGTGGCCTTCGTTCGAAACGGGTATATGTTCACGTAAAAACTAAAGAGAAGCATTCTCAGAAACTTCTGAGTGATGATTGCATTCAAGTCACACAGTTGAACCCTCGTTTTGATGGAGCAGTTTTGAAACTGTCTTTTTGTAGAATCTGTAAGTGGATACGTGGACCTCTTTGAAGATTTCTTTGGAAACGGGAATATTTCCACAGAAAAACTAAACTGAAGCATTCTCAGAAACCGCTTTGTGATGTTTGTGTTTGAGCCGCAGAGTTTAACATTGCTTTTCATAGAGCAGTTTTGAAATATTCTTTTGGCAGAATCTGCAAGTGGACATTTGGAGCGCTTTCAGGCCTGTGGTGGAAAAGGCCTGAAAGCCTTTTCCTTTATCTTCACAGAAAGACGAGAGAGAAGCATTGTCAGAAACTTCTTTGTGATGATTGCATTCAACTCACAGAGTTGAAGATTCCTTTTGAAACAGCAGTTTCGAAACACTCTTTCTGTGGGATCCGCAAGGGGATATTTGGACCTCTTTGAAGGTTTCGTTGGAAACGGGATAATCTTCACCTAAAAGCTAAACGGAAGCATTCTCAGAAACTTCTTTGGGATGTTTGCATTCACCTCACAGAGTTGAACTTTCCCTTTGATAGCGCAGCTTTGACACACTTTTTCTACAATGTGCAAGTGGCTATTTAGCGGGCTTGGAGGACTGTGTTGGAAAAGGAAATATCTTCTCCTAAAAACGACATAGAAGCATTCTCAGAAACTGCTCTGTGATGATTGCATTCAACTCCCAGAGTTGAACATTCCTTTTGATAGAGCAGTTTGCAAACACTCTTTTTGTAGAATCTGCAAGTGGAGATTTGGACCGCTTTGAGGCCTGTGGTAGTGAAGGAAAGAACTTCATATAAAAACCAGACGGTAGCACTCTCAGAAAATTCTTTGTGACGATGGAGTTTAACTCAGGGAGCTGAACATTCGTTATGATGGAGCAGTTTCCAAACACACGTTTTGTAGAATCTGCGAGGGGATATTTGGACCTCTCTGAGGATTTCGTTGGAAACGGGATCAACTTCCCATAACTGAACGGAAGCAAACTCAGAACATTCTTTGTGATGTTTGTATTCAATTCACAGAGTTGAACCTTCCTTTGATAGTTCAGGTTTGCAACACCCTTGTAGTAGAATCTGCAAGTGTATATTTTGACCACTTTGTAGCCTTCGTTTGAAACGTCTATATCTTCACATCAAACCTAGACAGAAGCATTCTCAGAAAGTTTTCTGCGATGACTGCATTCAACTCACAGAGTTGAACAATCCTTCTGATGGAGCAGTTTTTAAACCCTCTTTCTTTGGAATCTGCAAGGGGATATGTGGACCTCTTTGAAGATTTCACTGGAAACGGGATCATCTTCACATAAAAACTAAACAGAAGCATTCTCGGAAACTACTTTGTGATGTTTGTATTCAACTCCCAGAGTTGAACTTTCCTTTTGAAAGAGCAGCTATGAAACACTCTTTTTCGAGAATCTGCAAGTGGACGTTTGGAGGGCTTTGAGGCCTGTGGTGGAAAAGGAAATATCTTCACATAAAAACTAGATAGAAGCATTCTCAGAAACGACTTTGTGAGGATGGCATTCAACTCATGGAGTTGAACAATCCTATTGATAGAGCAGATTGGAATCACTCTTTTTGTAGAATCTGCAAATGGAGATTTGGACTGCTTTGGGGCCTACGGTCGTATAGGAAGGAACTTCATATAAAAGGCAAACGGAAGCATTCTCAGAATATTCTTTGTGATGATGGAGTTTCACTCACAGAGCTGAACATGCCTTTTGATGGAGCAGTTTCCAAATACACTTTTGGTAGAATCTGCAGGTGGATATTTGGAGCTCTCTGAGGATTTCGTTGGAAACGGGAATAATTTCCCATAACTAAACACAAACACGCTGAGAAAGTTCTTCATGATGAATGCATTTAACTCGCAGAGATGAACCTGCCTTTGAGAGTTCAGGTTCAAAACACTCTTTCTGCAGAATCTGCAAGTGGATATTTGGACCACTGGCTGGCCTTCATTCGAAACGGGTATATGTTCACGGAAAAACTAAAGAGAAGCGTTCTCAGAAACTTCTGAGTGATGATTGCATTCAAGTCACACAGTTGAACCCTCCTTTTGATTGAGCAGTTTTGAAACTGTCTTTTTGTAGAATCTGTAAGTGTATGCGTCGACCTCTTTGAAGATTTCTTTGGAAACGGGAATATTTCCACAGAAAAACTAAACTGAAGCATTCTGAGAAACTGCTTTGTGATGTTTGTGTTCGAGCCACAGAGTTTAACATTGCTTTTCATAGAGCAGTTTTGAAATATTCTTTTGGCAGAATCTGCAAGTGGACATTTGGAGCGCTTTCAGGCCTGTGGTGGAAAAGGCCTGAAAGCCTTTTCCTTTATCTTCACAGAAAGACGAGAGAGAAGCATTGTCAGAAACTTCTTTGTGATGATTGCATTCAACTCACAGAGTTGAAGATTCCTTTTGAAACAGCAGTTTCGAAACACTCTTTCTGTGGGATCCGCAAGGGGATATTTGGACCTCTTTGAAGATTTCGTTGCAAACGGGATAATCTTCACCTAAAAGCTAAACGGAAGCATTCTCAGAAACTTCTTTGGGATGTTTGCATTCACCTCACAGAGTTGAACTTTCCCTTTGATAGCGCAGCTTCGACACACTTTTTCTAAAATGTGCAAGTGGATATTTAGCGGGCTTGCAGGACTGTGTTGGAAAAGGAAATATCTTCTCCTAAAAACCACATAGAAGCATTCTCAGAAACTGCTCTGTGATGATTGCATTCAACTCCCAGAGTTGAACATTCCTTTTGATAGAGCAGTTTGCAAACACTCTTTTTGTAGAATCTGCAAGTGGAGATTTGGAAAAGCTTTGAGGCCTGTGGTAGTAAAGGAAACAACTTCATATAAAAACTAGACGGTAGCACTCTCAGAAAATTCTTTGTGACGATGGAGTTTAACTCAGAGAGCTGAACATTCGTTATGATGGAGCAGTTTCCAAACACACGTTTTGTAGAATCTGCAAGGGGATATTTGGACCTCTCTGAGGATTTCGTTGGAAACGGGATCAACTTCCCATAACTGAACGGAAGCAAACTCAGAACATTCTTTGTGATGTTTGTATTCAACTCACAGAGTTGAACCTTCCTTTGATAGTTCAGGTTTGCATCACCCTTGTAGTAGAATCTGCAAGTGTATATTTTGACCACTTTGTAGCCTTCGTTTGAAACGTCTATATCTTCACATCAAACCTAGACAGAAGCATTCTCAGAAAGTTTTCTGCGATGACTGCATTCAACTCACAGAGTTGAACAATCCTTTTGATGGAGCAGTTTTGAAACCCTCTTTCTTTGGAATCTGCAAGGGGATATGTGGAACTCTTTGAAGATTTCACTGGAAACGGGATCATCTTCACATAAGAACTAAACAGAAGCATTCTCGGAAACTACTTTGTGATGTTTGTATTCAACTCCCAGAGTTGAACTTTCCTTTTGAAAGAGCAGCTATGAAACACTCTTTTTCGAGAATCTGCAAGTGGACGTTTGGAGGGCTTTGATGCCTGTGGTGGAAAAGGAAATATCTTCACATAAAAACTAGATAGAAGCATTCTCAGAAACGACTTTGTGAGGATGGCATTCAACTCATGGAGTTGAACAGTCCTATTGATAGAGCAGATTGGAATCACTCTTTTTGTAGAATCTGCAAATGGAGATTTGGACTGCTTTGAGGCCTACGGTAGTATACGAAGGAACTTCATATAAAAGGCAAACGGAAGCATTCTCAGAATATTCTTTGTGATGATGGAGTTTCACTCACAGAGCTGAACATGCCTTTTGATGGAGCAGTTTCCAAATACACTTTTGGTAGAATCTGCAGGTGGATATTTGGAGCTCTCTGAGGATTTCGTTGGAAACGGGAATAATTTCCCATAACTAAACACAAACACTCTGAGAAAGTTCTTCATGATGAATGCATTTAACTCGCAGAGATGAACCTGCCTTTGAGAGTTCAGGTTCGAAACACTCTTTCTGTATAATCTGCAAGTGGATATTTGGACCACTGGGTGGCCTTCGTTCGAAACGGGTATATGTTCACGTAAAAACTAAAGAGAAGCATTCTCAGAAACTTCTGAGTGATGATTGCATTCAAGTCACACAGTTGAACCCTCCTTTTGATGGAGCAGTTTTGAAACTGTCTTTTTGTAGAATCTGTAAGTGGATACGTGGACCTCTTTGAAGATTTCTTTGGAAACGGGAATATTTCCACAGAAAAACTAAACTGAAGCATTCTCAGAAACTGCTTTGTGATGTTTGTGTTCGAGCCACAGAGTTTAACATTGCTTTTCATAGAGCAGTTTTGAAATATTCTTTTGGCAGAATCTGCAAGTGGACATTTGGAGCGCTTTCAGGCCTGTGGTGGAAAAGGCCTGAAAGCCTTTTCCTTTATGTTCACAGAAAGACGAGAGAGAAGCATTGTCAGAAACTTCTTTGTGATGATTGCATTCAACTCACAGAGTTGAAGATTCCTTTTGAAACAGCAGTTTCGAAACACTCTTTCTGTGGGATCCGCAAGGGGATATTTGGACCTCTTTGAAGGTTTCGTTGGAAACGGGATAATCTTCACCTAAAAGCTAAACGGAAGCACTCTCAGAAACTTCTTTGGGATGCTTGCATTCACCTCACAGAGTTGAACTTTCCCTTTGATAGCACAGCTTTGAAACACTTTTTCTACCATCTGCAAGTGGATATTTAGCGGGCTTGGAGGACTGTGGTGGAAAAGGAAATATCTTCTCCTAAAAACCACATAGAAGCATTCTCAGAAACTGCTCTGTGATGATTGCATTCAACTCCCAGAGTTGAACATTCCTCTTGATAGAGCAGTTTGCAAACACTCTTTTTGTAGAATCTGCAAGTGGAGATTTGGACCGCTTTGAGGCCTGTGGTAGTAAAGGAAAGAACTTCATATAAAAACTAGACGGTAGCACTCTCAGAAAATTCTTTGTGACGATGGAGTTTAACTCAGAGAGCTGAACATTCGTTATGATGGAGCAGTTTCCAAACACACGTTTTGTAGAATCTGCAAGGGGATATTTGGACCTCTCTGAGGATTTCGTTGGAAACGGTATCAATTTCCCATAACTAAACGGAAGCAAACTCAGAACATTTTTTGTGATGGTTGCATTCATCTCACAGAGTTGAACCTTCCTTTGATAGTTGAGGTTTGCATCACCCTTGTAGTAGAATCTGCAAGTGTATATTTTGACCACTTTGTAGCCTTCGTTTGAAACGTCTATATCTTCACATCAAACCTAGACAGAAGCATTCTCAGAAAGTTTTCTGCGATGACTGCATTCAACTCACAGAGTTGAACAATCCTTTTGATGGAGCAGTTTTGAAACCCTCTTTCTTTGGAATCTGCAAGGGGATATGTGGACCTCTTTGAAGATTTCACTGGAAACGGGATCATCTTCACATAAGAACTAAACAGAAGCATTCTCGGAAACTACTTTGTGATGTTTGTATTCAACTCCCAGAGTTGAACTTTCCTTTTGAAAGAGCAGCTATGAAACACTCTTTTTCGAGAATCTGCAAGTGGACTGTTTGGAGGGCTTTGAGGCCTGTGGTGGAAAAGGAAATATCTTCACATAAAAACTAGATAGAAGCATTCTCAGAAACTACTTTGTGAGGATGGCATTCAACTCATGGAGTTGAACAATCCTATTGATAGAGCAGATTGGAATCACTCTTTTTGTAGAATCTGCAAATGGAGATTTGGACTGCTTTGAGGCCTACAGTAGTACAGGAAGGAACTTCATATAAAAGGCAAACGGAAGCATTCTCAGAATATTCTTTGTGATGATGGAGTTTCACTCACAGAGCTGAACATGCCTTTTGATGGAGCAGTTTCCAAATACACTTTTGGTAGTATCTGCAGGTGGATATTTGGAGCTCTCTGAGGATTTCGTTGGAAACGGGAATAATTTCCCATAACTAAACACAAACACTCTGAGAAAGTTCTTCATGATGAATGCATTTAACTCGCAGAGATGAACCTGCCTTTGAGAGTTCAGGTTCGAAACACTCTTTCTGTAGAATCTGCAAGTGGATATTTGGACCACTGGGTGGCCTTCGTTCGAAACGGGTATATGTTCACGTAAAAACTAAAGAGAAGCATTCTCAGAAACTTCTGAGTGATGATTGCATTCAAGTCACACGGTTGAACCCTCCTTTTGATGGAGCAGTTTTGAAACTGTCTTTTTGTAGAATCTGTAAGTGGATACGTGGACCTCTTTGAAGATTTCTTTGGAAACGGGAATATTTCCACAGAAAAACTAAACTGAAGTATTCTCAGAAACTGCTTTGTGATGTTTGTGTTCGAGCCACAGAGTTTAACATTGCTTTTCATAGAGCAGTTTTGAAATATTCTTTTCACAGAATCTGCAAGTGGACATTTGGAGCGCTTTCAGGCCTGTGGTGGAAAAGGCCTGAAAGCCTTTTCCTTTATCTTCACAGAAAGACGAGAGAGAAGCATTGTCAGAAACTTCTTTGTGATGATTGCATTCAACTCACAGAGTTGAAGATTCCTTTTGAAACAGCAGTTTCGAAACACTCTTTCTGTGGGATCCGCAAGGGGATATTTGGACCTCTTTGAAGGTTTCGTTGGAAACGGGATAATCTTCACCTAAAAGCTAAACGGAAGCATTCTCAGAAACTTCTTTGGGATGTTTGCATTCACCTCACAGAGTTGAACTTTCCCTTTGATAGCGCAGCTTCGACACACTTTTTCTACAATGTGCAAGTGGATATTTAGCGGGCTTGGAGGACTGTGTTGGAAAAGGAAATATCTTCTCCTAAAAACGACATAGAAGCATTCTCAGAAACTGCTCTGTGATGATTGCATTCAACTCCCAGAGTTGAACATTCCTTTTGATAGAGCAGTTTGCAAACACTCTTTTTGTAGAATCTGCAAGTGGAGATTTGGACCGCTTTGAGGCCTGTGGTAGTAAAGGAAAGAACTTCATATAAAAACTAGACGGTAGCACCCTCAGAAAATTCTTTGTGACGATGGAGTTTAACTCAGAGAGCTGAACATTCGTTATGATGGAGCAGTTTCCAAACACACGTTTTGTAGAATCTGCAAGGGGATATTTGGACCTCTCTGAGGATTTCGTTGGAAACGGGATCAACTTCCCATAACTGAACGGAAGCAAACTCAGAACATTCTTTGTGATGTTTGTATTCAACTCACAGAGTTGAACCTTCCTTTGATAGTTCAAGTTTGCATCACCCTTGTAGTAGAATCTGTAAGTGTATATTTTGACCACTTTGTAGCCTTCGTTTGAAACGTCTATATCTTCACATCAAACCTAGACAGAAGCATTCTCAGAAAGTTTTCTGCGATGACTGCATTCAACTCACAGAGTTGAACAATCCTTCTGATGGAGCAGTTTTGAAACCCTCTTTCTTTGGAATCTGCAAGGGGATATGTGGACTTCTTTGAAGATTTCACTGGAAACGGGATCATCTTCACATAAAAACTAAACAGAAGCATTCTCGGAAACTACTTTGTGATGTTTGTATTCAACTCCCAGAGTTGAACTTTCCTTTTGAAAGAGCAGCTATGAAACACTCTTTTTCGAGAATCTGCAAGTGGACGTTTGGAGGGCTTTGAGGCCTGTGGTGGAAAAGGAAATATCTTCACATAAAAACTAGATAGAAGCATTCTCAGAAACGACTTTGTGAGGATGGCATTCAACACATGGAGTTGAACAATCCTATTGATAGAGCAGATTGGAATCACTCTTTTTGTAGAATCTGCAAATGGAGATTTGGACTGCTTTGAGGCCTACGGTCGTATAGGAAGGAACTTCGTATAAAAGGCAAACGGAAGCATTCTCAGAATATTCTTTGTGATGATGGAGTTTCACTCACAGAGCTGAACATGCCTTTTGATGGAGCAGTTTCCAAATACACTTTTGGTAGAATCTGCAGGTGGATATTTGGACCTCTCTGAGGATTTCGTTGGAAACGGGAATAATTTCCCATAACTAAACACAAACACTCTGAGAAAGTTCTTCATGATGAATGCATTTAACTCGCAGAGATGAACCTGCCTTTGAGAGTTCATGTTCGAAACACTCTTTCTGTAGAATCTGCAAGTGGATATTTGGACCACTGGCTGGCCTTCGTTCGAAACGGGTATATGTTCACGTAAAAACTAAAGAGAAGCATTCTCAGAAACTTCTGAGTGATGATTGCATTCAAGTCACACAGTTGAACCTTCCTTTTGATGGAGCAGTTTTGAAACTGTCTTTTTGTAGAATCTGTAAGTGGATACTTGGACCTCTTTGAAGATTTCTTTGGAAACGGGAATATTTCCACAGAAAAACTAAACTGAAGCATTCTCAGAAACTGCTTTGTGATGTTTGTGTTCGAGCCACAGAGTTTAACATTGCTTTTCATAGAGCAGTTTTGAAATATTCTTTTGGCAGAATCTGCAAGTGGACATTTGGAGCGCTTTCAGGCCTGTGGTGGAAAAGGCCTGAAAGCCTTTTCCTTTATCTTCACAGAAAGACGAGAGAGAAGCATTGTCAGAAACTTCTTTGTGATGATTGCATTCAACTCACAGAGTTGAAGATTCCTTTTGAAACAGCAGTTTCGAAACACTCTTTCTGTGGGATCCGCAAGGGGATATTTGGACTTCTTTGAAGATTTCGTTGGAAACGGGATAATCTTCACCTAAAAGCTAAACGGAAGCATTCTCAGAAACTTCGTTGGGATGTTTGCATTCACCTCACAGAGTTGAACTTTCCCTTTGATAGCGCAGCTTCGACACTCTTTTTCTACAATGTGCAAGTGGCTATTTAGCGGGCTTGGAGGACTGTGTTGGAAAAGGAAATATCTTCTCCTAAAAACGACATAGAAAGCATTCTCAGAAACTGCTCTGTGATGATTGCATTCAACTCCCAGAGTTGAACATTCCTTTTGATAGAGCAGTTTGCAAACACTCTTTTTGTAGAATCTGCAAGTGGAGATTTGGACCGCTTTGAGGCCTGTGGTAGTGAAGGAAAGAACTTCATATAAAAACCAGACGGAGCACTCTCAGAAAATTCTTTGTGACGATGGAGTTTAACTCAGGGAGCTGAACATTCGTTATGATGGAGCAGTTTCCAAACACACGTTTTGTAGAATCTGCGAGGGGATATTTGGACCTCTCTGAGGATTTCTTTGGAAACGGGATCAACTTCCCATAACTGAACGGAAGCAAACTCAGAACATTCTTTGTGATGTTTGTATTCAACTCACAGAGTTGAACCTTCCTTTGATAGTTCAGGTTTGCAACACCCTTGTAGTAGAATCTGCAAGTGTATATTTTGACCACTTTGTAGCCTTCGTTTGAAACGTCTATATCTTCACATCAAACCTAGAAAGAAGCATTCTCAGAAAGTTTTCTGCGATGACTGCATTCAACTCACAGAGTTGAACAATCCTTCTGATGGAGCAGTTTTGAAACCCTCTTTCTTTGGAATCTGCAAGGGGATATGTGGACCTCTTTGAAGATTTCACTGGAAACGGGATCATCTTCACATAAAAACTAAACAGAAGCATTCTCGGAAACTACTTTGTGATGTTTGTATTCAACTCCCAGAGTTGAACTTTCCTTTTGAAAGAGCAGCTATGAAACACTCTTTTTCGAGGATCTGCAAGTGGACGTTTGGAGGGCTTTGAGGCCTGTGGTGGAAAAGGAAATATCTTCACATAAAAACTAGATAGAAGCATTCTCAGAAACGACTTTGTGAGGATGGCATTCAACTCATGGAGTTGAACAATCCTATTGATAGAGCAGATTGGAATCACTCTTTTTGTAGAATCTGCAAATGGAGATTTGGACTGCTTTGAGGCCTACGGTCGTATAGGAAGGAACTTCATATAAAAGGCAAACGGAAGCATTCTCAGAATATTCTTTGTGATGATGGAGTTTCACTCACAGAGCTGAACATGCCTTTTGATGGAGCAGTTTCCAAATACACTTTTGGTAGAATCTGCAGGTGGATATTTGGAGCTCTCTGAGGATTTCGTTGGAAACGGGAATAATTTCCCATAACTAAACACAAACACTCTGAGAAAGTTCTTCATGATGAATGCATTTAACTCGCAGAGATGAACCTGCCTTTGAGAGTTCAGGTTCGAAACACTCTTTCTGTAGAATCTGCAAGTGGATATTTGGACCACTGGCTGGCCTTCGTTCGAAACGGGTATATGTTCACGTAAAAACTAAAGAGAAGCATTCTCAGAAACTTCTGAGTGATGATTGCATTCAAGTCACACAGTTGAACCCTCCTTTTGATGGAGCAGTTTTGAAACTGTCTTTTTGTAGAATCTGTAAGTGGATACGTGGACCTCTTTGAAGATTTCTTTGGAAACGGGAATATTTCCACAGAAAAACTAAACTGAAGCATTCTCAGAAACTGCTTTGTGATGTTTGTGTTCGAGCCACAGAGTTTAACATTGCTTTTCATAGAGCAGTTTTGAAATATTCTTTTCGCAGAATCTGCAAGTGGACATTTGGAGCGCTTTCAGGCCTGTGGTGGAAAAGGCCTGAAAGCCTTTTCCTTTATCTTCACAGAAAGACGAGAGAGAAGCATTGTCAGAAACTTCTTTGTGATGATTGCATTCAACTCACAGAGTTGAAGATTCCTTTTGAAACAGCAGTTTCGAAACACTCTTTCTGTGGGATCCGCAAGGGGATATTTGGACCTCTTTGAAGGTTTCGTTGGAAACGGGATAATCCTCACCTAAAAGCTAAACGGAAGCATTCTCAGAAACTTCTTTGGGATGTTTGCATTCACCTCACAGAGTTGAACTTTCCCTTTGATAGCGCAGCTTTGACACACTTTTTCTACAATGTGCAAGTGGCTATTTAGCGGGCTTGGAGGACTGTGTTGGAAAAGGAAATATCTTCTCCTAAAAACGACATAGAAGCATTCTCAGAAACTGCTCTGTGACGATTGCATTCAACTCCCAGAGTTGAACATTCCTTTTGATAGAGCAGTTTGCAAACACTCTTTTTGTAGAATCTGCAAGTGGAGATTTGGACCGCTTTGAGGCCTGTGGTAGTGAAGGAAAGAACTTCATATAAAAACCAGACGGTAGCACTCTCAGAAAATTCTTTGTGACGATGGAGTTTAACTCAGGGAGCTGAACATTCGTTATGATGGAGCAGTTTCCAAACACACGTTTTGTAGAATCTGCAAGGGGATATTTGGACCTCTCTGAGGATTTCGTTGGAAACGGGATCAACTTCCCATAACTGAACGGAAGCAAACTCAGAACATTCTTTGTGATGTTTGTATTCAACTCACAGAGTTGAACCTTCCTTTGATAGTTCAGGTTTGCAACACCCTTGTAGTAGAATCTGCAAGTGTATATTTTGACCACTTTGTAGCCTTCGTTTGAAACGTCTATATCTTCACATCAAACCTAGACAGAAGCATTCTCAGAAAGTTTTCTGCGATGACTGCATTCAACTCACAGAGTTGAACAATCCTTCTGATGGAGCAGTTTTGAAACCCTCTTTCTTTGGAATCTGCAAGGGGATATGTGGACCTCTTTGAAGATTTCACTGGAAACGGGATCATCTTCACATAAAAACTAAACAGAAGCATTCTCGGAAACTACTTTGTGATGTTTGTATTCAACTCCCAGAGTTGAACTTTCCTTTTGAAAGAGCAGCTATGAAACACTCTTTTTCGAGAATCTGCAAGTGGACGTTTGGAGGGCTTTGAGGCCTGTGGTGGAAAAGGAAATATCTTCACATAAAAACTAGATAGAAGCATTCTCAGAAACGACTTTGTGAGGATGGCATTCAACTCATGGAGTTGAACAATCCTATTGATAGAGCAGATTGGAATCACTCTTTTTGTAGAATCTGCAAATGGAGATTTGGACTGCTTTGAGGCCTACGGTCGTATAGGAAGGAACTTCATATAAAAGGCAAACGGAAGCATTCTCAGAATATTCTTTGTGATGATGGAGTTTCACTCACAGAGCTGAACATGCCTTTTGATGGAGCAGTTTCCAAATACACTTTTGGTAGAATCTGCAGGTGGATATTTGGAGCTCTCTGAGGATTTCGTTGGAAACGGGAATAATTTCCCATAACTAAACACAAACACTCTGTGAAAGTTCTTCATGATGAATGCATTTAACTCGCAGAGATGAACCTGCCTTTGAGAGTTCAGGTTCGAAACACTCTTTCTGTAGAATCTGCAAGTGGATATTTGGACCACTGGCTGGCCTTCGTTCGAAACGGGTATATGTTCACGTAAAAACTAAAGAGAAGCGTTCTCAGAAACTTCTGAGTGATGATTGCATTCAAGTCACACAGTTGAACCCTCCTTTTGATTGACCAGTTTTGAAACTGTCTTTTTGTAGAATCTGTAAGTGGATACGTGGACCTCTTTGAAGATTTCTTTGGAAACGGGAATATATCCACAGAAAAACTAAACTGAAGCATTCTCAGAAACTGCTTTGTGATGTTTGTGTTCGAGCCGCAGAGTTTAACATTGCTTTTCATAGAGCAGTTTTGAAATATTCTTTTGGCAGAATCTGCAAGTGGACATTTGGAGCGCTTTCAGGCCTGTGGTGGAAAAGGCCTGAAAGCCTTTTCCTTTATCTTCACAGAAAGACGAGAGAGAAGCATTGTCAGAAACTTCTTTGTGATGATTGCATTCAACTCACAGAGTTGAAGATTCCTTTTGAAACAGCAGTTTCGAAACACTCTTTCTGTGGGATCCGCAGGGGGATATTTGGACCTCTTTGAAGATTTCGTTGGAAACGGGATAATCTTCACCTAAAAGCTAAACGGAAGTATTCTCAGAAACTTCTTTGGGATGTTTGCATTCACCTCACAGAGTTGAACTTTCCCTTTGATAGCGCAGCTTCGACACACTTTTTCTACAATGTGCAAGTGGATATTTAGCGGGCTTGGAGGACTGTGTTGGAAAAGGAAATATCTTCTCCTAAAAACGACATAGAAGCATTCTCAGAAACTGCTCTGTGATGATTGCTTTCAACTCCCAGAGTTGAACATTCCTTTTGATAGAGCAGTTTGCAAACACTCTTTTTGTAGAATCTGCAAGTGGAGATTTGGACCGCTTTGAGGTCTGTGGTAGTAAAGGAAAGAACTTCATATAAAAACTAGACGGTAGCACTCTCAGAAAATTCTTTGTGACGATGGAGTTTAACTCAGAGAGCTGAACATTCGTTATGATGGAGCAGTTTCCAAACACACGTTTTGTAGAATCTGCAAGGGGATATTTGGACCTCTCTGAGGATTTCGTTGGAAACGGTATCAATTTCCCATAACTGAACGGAAGCAAACTCAGAACATTTTTTGTGATGGTTGCATTCATCTCACAGAGTTGAACCTTCCTTTGATAGTTGAGGTTTGCATCACCCTTGTAGTAGAATCTGCAAGTGTATATTTTGACCACTTTGTAGCCTTCGTTTGAAACGTCTATATCTTCACATCAAACCTAGACAGAAGCATTCTCAGAAAGTTTTCTGCGATGACTGCATTCAACTCACAGAGTTGAACAATCCTTTTGATGGAGCAGTTTTGAAACCCTCTTTCTTTGGAATCTGCAAGGGGATATATGGACCTCTTTGAAGATTTCACTGGAAACGGGATCATCTTCACATAACAACTAAACAGAAGCATTCTCGGAAACTACTTTGTGATGTTTGTATTCAACTCCCAGAGTTGAACTTTCCTTTTGAAAGAGCAGCTATGAAACACTCTTTTTCGAGAATCTGCAAGTGGACGTTTGGAGGGCTTTGAGGCCTGTGGTGGAAAAGGAAATATCTTCACATAAAAACTAGATAGAAGCATTCTCAGAAACTACTTTGTGAGGATGGCATTCAACTCATGGAGTTGAACAATCCTATTGATAGAGCAGATTGGAATCACTCTTTTTGTAGAATCTGCAAATGGAGATTTGGACTGCTTTGAGGCCTACGGTCGTATAGGAAGGAACTTCATATAAAAGGCAAACGGAAGCATTCTCAGAATATTCTTTGTGATGATGGAGTTTCACTCACAGAGCTGAACATGCCTTTTGATGGAGCAGTTTCCAAATACACTTTTGGTAGAATCTGCAGGTGGATATTTGGAGCTCTCTGAGGATTTCGTTGGAAACGGGAATAATTTCCCATAACTAAACACAAACACTCTGAGAAAGTTCTTCATGATGAATGCATTTAACTCGCAGAGATGAACCTGCCTTTGAGAGTTCAGGTTCGAAACACTCTTTCTGTATAATCTGCAAGTGGATATTTGGACCACTGGGTGGCCTTCGATCGAAACGGGTATATGTTCACGTAAAAACTAAAGAGAAGCATTCTCAGAAACTTCTGAGTGATGATTGCATTCAAGTCACACAGTTGAACCCTCCTTTTGATGGAGCAGTTTTGAAACTGTCTTTTTGTAGAATCTGTAAGTGGATACGTGGACCTCTTTGAAGATTTCTTTGGAAACGGGAATATTTCCACAGAAAAACTAAACTGAAGCATTCTCAGAAACTGCTTTGTGATGTTTGTGTTCGAGCCACAGAGTTTAACATTGCTTTTCATAGAGCAGTTTTGAAATATTCTTTTCACAGAATCTGCAAGTGGACATTTGGAGCGCTTTCAGGCCTGTGGTGGAAAAGGCCTGAAAGCCTTTTCCTTTATCTTCACAGAAAGACGAGAGAGAAGCATTGTCAGAAACTTCTTTGTGATGATTGCATTCAACTCACAGAGTTGAAGATTCCTTTTGAAACAGCAGTTTCGAAACACTCTTTCTGTGGGATCCGCAAGGGGATATTTGGACCTCTTTGAAGGTTTCGTTGGAAACGGGATAATCTTCACCTAAAAGCTAAACGGAAGCATTCTCAGAAACTTCTTTGGGATGTTTGCATTCACCTCACAGAGTTGAACTTTCCCTTTGATAGCGCAGCTTTGACACACTTTTTCTACAATGTGCAAGTGGCTATTTAGCGGGCTTGGAGGACTGTGTTGGAAAAGGAAATATCTTCTCCTAAAAACGACATAGAAGCATTCTCAGAAACTGCTCTGTGATGATTGCATTCAACTCCCAGAGTTGAACATTCCTTTTGATAGAGCAGTTTGCAAACACTCTTTTTGTAGAATCTGCAAGTGGAGATTTGGACCGCTTTGAGGCCTGTGGTAGTGAAGGAAAGAACTTCATATAAAAACCAGACGGTAGCACTCTCAGAAAATTCTTTGTGACGATGGAGTTTAACTCAGGGAGCTGAACATTCGTTATGATGGAGCAGTTTCCAAACACACGTTTTGTAGAATCTGCAAGGGGATATTTGGACCTCTCTGAGGATTTCGTTGGAAACGGGATCAACTTCCCATAACTGAACGGAAGCAAACTCAGAACATTCTTTGTGATGTTTGTATTCAACTCACAGAGTTGAACCTTCCTTTGATAGTTCAGGTTTGCAACACCCTTGTAGTAGAATCTGCAAGTGTATATTTTGACCACTTTGTAGCCTTCGTTTGAAACGTCTATATCTTCACATCAAACCTAGACAGAAGCATTCTCAGAAAGTTTTCTGCGATGACTGCATTCAACTCACAGAGTTGAACAATCCTTCTGATGGAGCAGTTTTGAAACCCTCTTTCTTTGGAATCTGCAAGGGGATATGTGGACCTCTTTGAAGATTTCACTGGAAACGGGATCATCTTCACATAAAAACTAAACAGAAGCATTCTCGGAAACTACTTTGTGATGTTTGTATTCAACTCCCAGAGTTGAACTTTCCTTTTGAAAGAGCAGCTATGAAACACTCTTTTTCGAGAATCTGCAAGTGGACGTTTGGAGGGCTTTGAGGCCTGTGGTGGAAAAGGAAATATCTTCACATAAAAACTAGATAGAAGCATTCTCAGAAACGACTTTGTGAGGATGGCATTCAACTCATGGAGTTGAACAATCCTATTGATAGAGCAGATTGGAATCACTCTTTTTGTAGAATCTGCAAATGGAGATTTGCACTGCTTTGAGGCCTACGGTCGTATAGGAAGGAACTTCATATAAAAGGCAAACGGAAGCATTCTCAGAATATTCTTTGTGATGATGGAGTTTCACTCACAGGGCTGAACATGCCTTTTGATGGAGCAGTTTCCAAATACACTTTTGGTAGAATCTGCAGGTGGATATTTGGAGCTCTCTGAGGATTTCGTTGGAAACGGGAATAATTTCCCATAACTAAACACAAACACGCTGAGAAAGTTCTTCATGATGAATGCATTGAACTCGCAGAGATGAACCTGCCTTTGAGAGTTCAGGTTCGAAACACTCTTTCTGTAGAATCTGCAAGTGGATATTTGGACCACTGGCTGGCCTTCGTTCGAAACGGGTATATGTTCACGTAAAAACTAAAGAGAAGCGTTCTCAGAAACTTCTGAGTGATGATTGCATTCAAGTCACACAGTTGAACCCTCCTTTTGATTGAGCAGTTTTGAAACTGTCTTTTTGTAGAATCTGTAAGTGGATGCGTGGACCTCTTTGAAGATTTCTTTGGAAACGGGAATATTTCCACAGAAAAACTAAACTGAAGCATTCTCAGAAACTGCTTTGTGATGTTTGTGTTCGAGTCACAGAGTTTAACATTGCTTTTCACAGAGCAGTTTTGAAATATTCTTTTGGCAGAATCTGCAAGTGGACATTTGGAGCGCATTCAGGCCTGTGGTGGAAAAGGCCTGAAAGCCTTTTCCTTTATCTTCACAGAAAGACGAGAGAGAAGCATTGTCAGAAACTTCTTTGTGATGATTGCATTCAACTCACAGAGTTGAAGATTCCTTTTGAAACAGCAGTTTCGAAACACTCTTTCTGTGGGATCCGCAAGGGGATATTTGGACCTCTTTGAAGATTTCGTTGGAAACGGGATAATCTTCACTTAAAGCTAAACGGAAGCATTCTCAGAAACTTCTTTGGGATGTTTGCATTCACCTCACAGAGTTGAACTTTCCCTTTGATAGCGCAGCTTCGACACACTTTTTCTACAATGTGCAAGTGGATATTTAGCGGGCTTGGAGGACTGTGTTGGAAAAGGAAATATCTTCTCCTAAAAACGACATAGAAGCATTCTCAGAAACTGCTCTGTGATGATTGCATTCAACTCCCAGAGTTGAACATTCCTTTTGATAGAGCAATTTGCAAACACTCTTTTTGTAGAATCTGCAAGTGGAGATTTGGACCGCTTTGAGGCCTGTGGTAGTAAAGGAAAGAACTTCATATAAAAAGTAGACGGTAGCACTCTCAAAAAATTCTTTGTGACGATGGAGTTTAACTCAGAGAGCTGAACATTCGTTATGATGGAGCAGTTTCCAAACACACGTTTTGTAGAATCTGCAAGGGGATATTTGGACCTCTCTGAGGATTTCGTTGGAAACGGGATCAACTTCCCATAACTGAACGGAAGCAAACTCAGAACATTCTTTGTGATGTTTGCATTCATCTCACAGAGTTGAACCTTCCTTTGATAGTTGAGGTTTGCAACACCCTTGTAGTAGAATCTGCAAGTGTATATTTTGACCACTTTGTAGCCTTCGTTTGAAACGTCTATATCTTCACATCAAACCTAGACAGAAGCATTCTCAGAAAGTTTTCTGCGATGACTGCATTCAACTCACAGAGTTGAACAATCCTTTTGATGGAGCAGTTTTGAAACCCTCTTTCTTTGGAATCTGCAAGGGGATATGTGGACCTCTTTGAAGATTTCACTGGAAACGGGATCATCTTCACATAAGAACTAAACAGAAGCATTCTCGGAAACTACTTTGTGATGTTTGTATTCAACTCCCAGAGTTGAACTTTCCTTTTGAAAGAGCGGCTATGAAACACTCTTTTTCGAGAATCTGCAAGTGGACGTTTGGAGGGCTTTGAGGCCTGTGGTGGAAAAGGAAATATCTTCACATAAAAACTAGATAGAAGCATTCTCAGAAACGACTTTGTGAGGATGGCATTCAACTCATGGATTTGAACAATCCTATTGATAGAGCAGATTGGAATCACTCTTTTGGTAGAATCTGCAAATGGAGATTTGGACTGCTTTGAGGCCTACGGTAGTATAGGAAGGAACTTCATATAAAAGGCAAACGGAAGCATTCTCAGAATATTCTTTGTGATGATGGAGTTTCACTCACAGAGCTGAACATGCCTTTTGATGGAGCAGTTTCCAAATACACTTTTGGTAGAATCTGCAGGTGGATATTTGGACCTCTCTGAGGATTTCGTTGGAAACGGGAATAATTTCCCATACCTAAACACAAACACTCTGAGAAAGTTCTTCATGATGAATGCATTGAACTCGCAGAGATGAACCTGCCTTTGAGAGTTCAGGTTCGAAACACTCTTTCTGTAGAATCTGCAAGTGGATATTTGGACCACTGGGTGGCCTTCGTTCGAAACGGGTATATGTTCACGTAAAAACTAAAGAGAAGCATTCTCAGAAACTTCTGAGTGATGATTGCATTCAAGTCACACGGTTGAACCCTCCTTTTGATGGAGCAGTTTTGAAACTGTCTTTTTGTAGAATCTGTAAGTGGATACGTGGACCTCTTTGAAGATTTCTTTGGAAACGGGAATATTTCCACAGAAAAACTAAACTGAAACATTCTCAGAAACCGCTTTGTGATGTTTGTGTTCCAGCCACAGAGTTTAACATTGCTTTTCATAGAGCAGTTTTGAAATATTCTTTTGGCAGAATCTGCAAGTGGACATTTGGAGCGCTTTCAGGCCTGTGGTGGAAAAGGCCTGAAAGCCTTTTCCTTTATCTTCACAGAAAGACGAGAGAGAAGCATTGTCAGAAACTTCTTTGTGATGATTGCATTCAACTCACAGAGTTGAAGATTCCTTTTGAAACAGCAGTTTCGAAACACTCTTTCTGTGGGATCCGCAAGGGGATATTTGGACCTCTTTGAAGGTTTCGTTGGAAACGGGATAATCCTCACCTAAAAGCTAAACGGAAGCATTCTCAGAAACTTCTTTGGGATGTTTGCATTCACCTCACAGAGTTGAACTTTCCCTTTGATAGCGCAGCTTTGACACACTTTTTCTACAATGTGCAAGTGGCTATTTAGCGGGCTTGGAGGACTGTGTTGGAAAAGGAAATATCTTCTCCTAAAAACGACATAGAAGCATTCTCAGAAACTGCTCTGTGTTGATTGCATTCAACTCCCAGAGTTGAACATTCCTTTTGATAGAGCAGTTTGCAAACACTCTTTTTGTAGAATCTGCAAGTGGAGGTTTGGACCGCTTTGAGGCCTGTGGTAGTGAAGGAAAGAACTTCATATAAAAACCAGACGGTAGCACTCTCAGAAAATTCTTTGTGACGATGGAGTTTAACTCAGGGAGCTGAACATTCGTTATGATGGAGCAGTTTCCCAACACACGTTTTGTAGAATCTGCAAGGGGATATTTGGACCTCTCTGAGGATTTTGTTGGAAAAGGGATCAACTTCCCATAACTGAACGGAAGCAAACTCAGAACATTCTTTGTGATGTTTGTATTCAACTCACAGAGTTGAACCTTCCTTTGATAGTTCAGGTTTGCAACACCCTTGTAGTAGAATCTGCAAGTGTATATTTTGACCACTTTGTAGCCTTCGTTTGAAACGTCTATATCTTCACATCAAACCTAGACAGAAGCATTCTCAGAAAGTTTTCTGCGATGACTGCATTCAACTCACAGAGTTGAACAATCCTTCTGATGGAGCAGTTTTGAAACCCTCTTTCTTTGGAATCTGCAAGGGGATATGTGGACCTCTTTGAAGATTTCACTGGAAACGGGATCATCTTCACATAAAAACTAAACAGAAGCATTCTCGGAAACTACTTTGTGATGTTTGTATTCAACTCCCAGAGTTGAACTTTCCTTTTGAAAGAGCAGCTATGAAACACTCTTTTTCGAGAATCTGCAAGTGGACGTTTGGAGGGCTTTGAGGCCTGTGGTGGAAAAGGAAATATCTTCACATAAAAACTAGATAGAAGCATTCTCAGAAACGACTTTGTGAGGATGGCATTCAACTCATGGAGTTGAACAATCCTATTGATAGAGCAGATTGGAATCACTCTTTTTGTAGAATCTGCAAATGGAGATTTGGACTGCTTTGAGGCCTACGGTCGTATAGGAAGGAACTTCATATAAAAGGCAAACGGAAGCATTCTCAGAATATTCTTTGTGATGATGGAGTTTCACTCACAGAGCTGAACATGCCTTTTGATGGAGCAGTTTCCAAATACACTTTTGGTAGAATCTGCAGGTGGATATTTGGAGCTCTCTGAGGATTTCGTTGGAAACGGGAATAATTTCCCATAACTAAACACAAACACTCTGAGAAAGTTCTTCATGATGAATGCATTTAACTCGCAGAGATGAACCTGCCTTTGAGAGTTCAGGTTCGAAACACTCTTTCTGTAGAATCTGCAAGTGGATATTTGGACCACTGGCTGGCCTTCGTTCGAAACGGGTATATGTTCACGTAAAAACTAAAGAGAAGCATTCTCAGAAACTTCTGAGTGATGATTGCATTCAAGTCACACAGTTGAACCCTCCTTTTGATGGAGCAGTTTTGAAACTGTCTTTTTGTAGAATCTGTAAGTGGATACGTGGACCTCTTTGAAGATTTCTTTGGAAACGGGAATATTTCCACAGAAAAACTAAACTGAAGCATTCTCAGAAACTGCTTTGTGATGTTTGTGTTCGAGCCACAGAGTTTAACATTGCTTTTCATAGAGCAGTTTTGAAATATTCTTTTCGCAGAATCTGCAAGTGGACATTTGGAGCGCTTTCAGGCCTGTGGTGGAAAAGGCCTGAAAGCCTTTTCCTTTATCTTCACAGAAAGACGAGAGAGAAGCATTGTCAGAAACTTCTTTGTGATGATTGCATTCAACTCACAGAGTTGAAGATTCCTTTTGAAACAGCAGTTTCGAAACACTCTTTCTGTGGGATCCGCAAGGGGATATTTGGACCTCTTTGAAGCTTTCGTTGGAAACGGGATAATCTTCACCTAAAAGCTAAACGGAAGCATTCTCAGAAACTTCTTTGGGATGTTTGCATTCACCTGACAGAGTTGAACTTTCCCTTTGATAGCGCAGCTTTGACACACTTTTTCTACAATGTGCAAGTGGCTATTTAGCGGGCTTGGAGGACTGTGTTGGAAAAGGAAATATCTTCTCCTAAAAACGACATAGAAGCATTCTCAGAAACTGCTCTGTGATGATTGCATTCAACTCCCAGAGTTGAACATTCCTTTTGATAGAGCAGTTTGCAAACACTCTTTTTGTAGAATCTGCAAGTGGAGATTTGGACCGCTTTGAGGCCTGTGGTAGTGAAGGAAAGAACTTCATATAAAAACCAGACGGTAGCACTCTCAGAAAATTCTTTGTGACGATGGAGTTTAACTCAGGGAGCTGAACATTCGTTATGATGGAGCAGTTTCCAAACACACGTTTTGTAGAATCTGCGAGGGGATATTTGGACCTCTCTGAGGATTTCGTTGGAAACGGGATCAACTTCCCATAACTGAACGGAAGCAAACTCAGAACATTCTTTGTGATGTTTGTATTCAACTCACAGAGTTGAACCTTCCTTTGATAGTTCAGGTTTGCAACACCCTTGTAGTAGAATCTGCAAGTGTATATTTTGACCACTTTGTAGCCTTCGTTTGAAACGTCTATATCTTCACATCAAACCTAGAAAGAAGCATTCTCAGAAAGTTTTCTGCGATGACTGCATTCAACTCACAGAGTTGAACAATCCTTCTGATGGAGCAGTTTTGAAACCCTCTTTCTTTGGAATCTGCAAGGGGATATGTGGACCTCTTTGATGATTTCACTGGAAACGGGGTCATCTTCACATAAAAACTAAACAGAAGCATTCTCGGAAACTATTTTGTGATGTTTGTATTCAACTCCCAGAGTTGAACTTTCCTTTTGAAAGAGCAGCTATGAAACACTCTTTTTCGAGAATCTGCAAGTGGACGTTTGGAGGGCTTTGAGGCCTGTGGTGGAAAAGGAAATATCTTCACACAAAAACCAGATAGAAGCATTCTCAGAAACTGCTTTGTGAGGATGGCATTCAACTCATGGAGTTGAACAATCCTATTGATAGAGCAGATTGGAATCACTCTTTTTGTAGAATCTGCAAATGGAGATTTGGACTGCTTTGAGGCCTACGGTAGTACAGGAAGGAACTTCATATAAAAGGCAAACGGAAGCATTCTCAGAATATTCTTTGTGATGATGGAGTTTCACTCACAGAGCTGAACATGCCTTTTGATGGAGCAGTTTCCAAATACACTTTTGGTAGAATCTGCAGGTGGATATTTGGAGCTCTCCTGAGGATTTCGTTGGAAACGGGAATAATTTCCCATAACTAAACACAAAACACGCTGAGAAATTTCTTCATGTTGAATGCATTGAACTCGCAGAGATGAACCTGCCTTTGAGAGTTCAGGTTCGAAACACTCTTTCTGTAGAATCTGCAAGTGGATATTTGGACCACTGGGTGGCCTTCGTTCGAAACGGGTATATGTTCACGTAAAAACTAAAGAGAAGCATTCTCAGAAACTTCTGACTGATGATTGCATTCAAGTCACACGGTTGAACCCTCCTTTTGATTGAGCAGTTTTGAAACTGTCTTTTTGTAGAATCTGTAAATGGATACGTGGACCTCTTTGAAGATTTCTTTGGAAACGGGAATATTTCCACAGAAAAACTAAACTGAAGCATTCTCAGAAACCGCTTTGTGATGTTTGTGTTCGAGCCGCAGAGTTTAACATTGCTTTTCATAGAGCAGTTTTGAAATATTGTTTTGGCAGAATCTGCAAGTGGACATTTGGAGTGCTTTCAGGCCTGTGGTGGAAAAGGCCTGAAAGCCTTTTCCTTTATCTTCACAGAAAGACGAGAGAGAAGCATTGTCAGAAACTTCTTTGTGATGATTGCATTCAACTCACAGAGTTGAAGATTCCTTTTGAAACAGCAGTTTCGAAACACTCTTTCTGTGGGATCCGCAAGGGGATATTTGGACCTCTTTGAAGGTTTCGTTGGAAACGGGATAATCTTCACCTAAAAGCTAAATGGAAGCATTCTCAGAAACTTCTTTGGGATGTTTGCATTCACCTCACAGAGTTGAACTTTCCCTTTGATAGCGCAGCTTTGACACACTTTTTCTACAATGTGCAAGTGGC
This sequence comes from Homo sapiens, assembly GCF_000001405.40. NCBI lineage: Eukaryota > Metazoa > Chordata > Mammalia > Primates > Hominidae > Homo > Homo sapiens. Next base: position 60,871,049 of record NC_000023.11, read on the forward strand.
TATTTAGCGGGCTTGGAGGACTGTGTTGGAAAAGGAAATATCTTCTCCTAAAAACGACATAGAAGCATTCTCAGAAACTGCTCTGTGATGATTGCATTCAACTCCCAGAGTTGAACATTCCTTTTGATAGAGCAGTTTGCAAACACTCTTTTTGTAGAATCTGCAAGTGGAGATTTGGACCGCTTTGAGGCCTGTCGTAGTGAAGGAAAGAACTTCATATAAAAACCAGACGGTAGCACTCTCAGAAAATTCTTTGTGACGATGGAGTTTAACTCAGGGAGCTGAACATTCGTTATGATGGAGCAGTTTCCAAACACACGTTTTGTAGAATCTGCGAGGGGATATTTGGACCTCTCTGAGGATTTCGTTGGAAACGGGATCAACTTCCCATAACTGAACGGAAGCAAACTCAGAACATTCTTTGTGATGTTTGTATTCAACTCACAGAGTTGAACCTTCCTTTGATAGTTCAGGTTTGCAACACCCTTGTAGTAGAATCTGCAAGTGTATATTTTGACCACTTTGTAGCCTTCGTTTGAAACGTCTATATCTTCACATCAAACCTAGACAGGAAGCATTCTCAGCAAAGTTTTCTGCGATGACTGCATTCAACTCACAGAGTTGAACAATCCTTTTGATGGAGCAGTTTTGAAACCCTCTTTCTTTGGAATCTGCAAGGGGATATGTGGACCTCTTTCAAGATTTCACTGGAAACGGGATCATCTTCACATAAGAACTAAACAGAAGCATTCTCGGAAACTACTTTGTGATGTTTGTATTCAACTCCCAGAGTTGAACTTTCCTTTTGAAAGAGCAGCTATGAAACCCTCTTTTTCGAGAATCTGCAAGTGGACGTTTGGAGGGCTTTGAGGCCTGTGGTGGAAAAGGAAATATCTTCACATAAAAACTAGATAGAAGCATTCTCAGAAACTACTTTGTGAGGATGGCATTCAACTCACGGAGTTGAACAATCCTATTGATAGAGCAGATTGGAAACACTCTTTTTGTAGAATCTGTAAATGGAGATTTGGACTGCTTTGAGGCCTACGGTAGTATAGGAAGGAACTTCATATAAAAAGCAAACGGAAGCATTCTCAGAATATTCTTTGTGATGATGGAGTTTCACTCACAGAGCTGAACATGCCTTTTGATGGAGCAGTTTCCAAATACACTTTTGGTAGAATCTGCAGGTGGATATTTGGAGCTCTCTGAGGATTTCGTTGGAAACGGGAATAATTTCCCATAACTAAACACAAACACTCTGAGAAAGTTCTTCATGATGAATGCATTTAACTCGCAGAGATGAACCTGCCTTTGAGAGTTCAGGTTCGAAACACTCTTTCTGTATAATCTGCAAGTGGATATTTGGACCACTGGGTGGCCTTCGTTCGAAACGGGTATATGTTCACGTAAAAACTAAAGAGAAGCATTCTCAGAAACTTCTGAGTGATGATTGCATTCAAGTCACACAGTTGAACCCTCCTTTTGATGGAGCAGTTTTGAAACTGTCTTTTTGTAGAATCTGTAAGTGGATACGTGGACCTCTTTGAAGATTTCTTTGGAAACGGGAATATTTCCACAGAAAAACTAAACTGAAACATTCTCAGAAACCGCTTTGTGATGTTTGTGTTCCAGCCACAGAGTTTAACATTGCTTTTCATAGAGCAGTTTTGAAATATTCTTTTGGCAGAATCTGCAAGTGGACATTTGGAGCGCTTTCAGGCCTGTGGTGGGAAAAGGCCTGAAAGCCTTTTCCTTTATCTTCACAGAAAGACGAGAGAGAAGCATTGTCAGAAACTTCTTTGTGATGATTGCATTCAACTCACAGAGTTGAAGATTCCTTTTGAAACAGCAGTTTCGAAACACTCTTTCTGTGGGATCCGCAAGGGGATATTTGGACCTCTTTGAAGGTTTCGTTGGAAACGGGATAATCTTCACCTAAAAGCTAAACGGAAGCATTCTCAGAAACTTCTTTGGGATGTTTGCATTCACCTCACAGAGTTGAACTTTCCCTTTGATAGCGCAGCTTTGACACACTTTTTCTACAATGTGCAAGTGGCTATTTAGCGGGCTTGGAGGACTGTGTTGGAAAAGGAAATATCTTCTCCTAAAAACGACATAGAAGCATTCTCAGAAACTGCTCTGTGATGATTGCATTCAACTCCCAGAGTTGAACATTCCTTTTGATAGAGCAGTTTGCAAACTCTCTTTTTGTAGAATCTGCAAGTGGAGATTTGGACCGCTTTGAGGCCTGTGGTAGTGAAGGAAAGAACTTCATATAAAAACCAGACGGTAGCACTCTCAGAAAATTCTTTGTGACGATGGAGTTTAACTCAGGGAGCTGAACATTCGTTATGATGGAGCAGTTTCCAAACACACGTTTTGTAGAATCTGCAAGGGGATATTTGGACCTCTCTGAGGATTTCGTTGGAAACGGGATCAACTTCCCATAACTGAACGGAAGCAAACTCAGAACATTCTTTGTGATGTTTGTATTCAACTCACAGAGTTGAACCTTCCTTTGATAGTTCAGGTTTGCAACACCCTTGTAGTAGAATCTGCAAGTGTATATTTTGACCACTTTGTAGCCTTCGTTTGAAACGTCTATATCTTCACATCAAACCTAGACAGAAGCATTCTCAGAAAGTTTTCTGCGATGACTGCATTCAACTCACAGAGTTGAACAATCCTTCTGATGGAGCAGTTTTGATACCCTCTTTCTTTGGAATCTGCAAGGGGATATGTGGACCTCTTTGAAGATTTCACTGGAAACGGGATCATCTTCACATAAAAACTAAACAGAAGCATTCTCGGAAACTACTTTGTGATGTTTGTATTCAACTCCCAGAGTTGAACTTTCCTTTTGAAAGAGCAGCTATGAAACACTCTTTTTCGAGAATCTGCAAGTGGACGTTTGGAGGGCTTTGAGGCCTGTGGTGGAAAAGGAAATATCTTCACATAAAAACTAGATAGAAGCATTCTCAGAAACTACTTCGTGAGGATGGCTTTCAACTCATGGAGTTGAACAATCCTATTGATACAGCAGATTGGAATCACTCTTTTTGTAGAATCTGCAAATGGAGATTTGGACTGCTTTGAGGCCTACGGTCGTATAGGAAGGAACTTCATATAAAAGGCAAACGGAAGCATTCTCAGAATATTCTTTGTGATGATGGAGTTTCACTCACAGAGCTGAACATGCCTTTTGATGGAGCAGTTTCCAAATACACTTTTGGTAGAATCTGCAGGTGGATATTTGGAGCTCTCTGAGGATTTCGTTGGAAACGGGAATAATTTCCCATAACTAAACACAAACACTCTGAGAAAGTTCTTCATGATGAATGCATTTAACTCGCAGAGATGAACCTGCCTTTGAGAGTTCAGGTTCGAAACACTCTTTCTGTAGAATCTGCAAGTGGATATTTGGACCACTGGGTGGCCTTCGTTCAAAACGGGTATATGTTCACGTAAAAACTAAAGAGAAGCATTCTCAGAAACTTCTGAGTGATGATTGCATTCAAGTCACACAGTTGAACCCTCCTTTTGATGGAGCAGTTTTGAAACTGTCTTTTTGTAGAATCTGTAAGTGGATACGTGGACCTCTTTGAAGATTTCTTTGGAAACGGGAATATTTCCACAGAAAAACTAAACTGAAGCATTCTCAGAAACTGCTTTGTGATGTTTGTGTTCGAGCCACAGAGTTTAACATTGCTTTTCATAGAGCAGTTTTGAAATATTCTTTTGGCAGAATCTACAAGTGGACATTTGGAGCGCTTTCAGGCCTGTGGTGGAAAAGGCCTGAAAGCCTTTTCCTTTATCTTCACAGAAAGACGAGAGAGAAGCATTGTCAGAAACTTCTTTGTGATGATTGCATTCAACTCACAGAGTTGAAGATTCCTTTTGAAACAGCAGTTTCGAAACACTCTTTCTGTGGGATCCGCAAGGGGATATTTGGACCTCTTTGAAGGTTTCGTTGGAAACGGGATAATCTTCACCTAAAAGCTAAACGGAAGCATTCTCAGAAACTTCTTTGGGATGTTTGCATTCACCTCACAGAGTTGAACTTTCCCTTTGATAGCGCAGCTTTGACACACTGTTTCTACAATGTGCAAGTGGCTATTTAGCGGGCTTGGAGGACTGTGTTGGAAAAGGAAATATCTTCTCCTAAAAACGACATAGAAGCATTCTCAGAAACTGCTCTGTGATGATTGCATTCAACTCCCAGAGTTGAACATTCCTTTTGATAGAGCAGTTTGCAAACACTCTTTTTGTAGAATCTGCAAGTGGAGATTTGGACCGCTTTGAGGTCTGTGGTAGTGAAGGAAAGAACTTCATATAAAAACCACACGGTAGCACTCTCAGAAAATTCTTTGTGACGATGGAGTTTAACTCAGGGAGCTGAACATTCGTTATGATGGAGCAGTTTCCAAACACACGTTTTGTAGAATCTGCGAGGGGATATTTGGACCTCTCTGAGGATTTCGTTGGAAACGGGATCAACTTCCCATAACTGAACGGAAGCAAACTCAGAACATTCTTTGTGATGTTTGTATTCAACTCACAGAGTTGAACCTTCCTTTGATAGTTCAGGTTTGCAACACCCTTGTAGTAGATTCTGCAAGTGTATATTTTGACCACTTTGTAGCCTTCGTTTGAAACGTCTATATCTTCACCTGAAACCTAGACAGAAGCATTCTCAGAAAGTTTTCTGCGATGACTGCATTCAACTCACAGGAGTTGAACAATCCTTCTGATGGAGCAGTTTTGAAACCCTCTTTCTTTGGAATCTGCAAGGGGATATGTGGACCTCTTTGAAGATTTCACTGGAAACGGGATCATCTTCACATAAAAACTAAACAGAAGCATTCTCGGAAACTATTTTGTGATGTTTGTATTCAACTCCCAGAGTTGAACTTTCCTTTTGAAAGAGCAGCTATGAAACACTCTTTTTCGAGAATCTGCAAGTGGACGTTTGGAGGGCTTTGAGGCCTGTGGTGGAAAAGGAAATATCTTCACACAAAAACCAGATAGAAGCATTCTCAGAAACGACTTTGTGAGGATGGCATTCAACTCATGGAGTTGAACAATCCTATTGATAGAGCAGATTGGAATCACTCTTTTTGTAGAATCTGCAAATGGAGATTTGGACTGCTTTGAGGCCTACGGTAGTATAGGAAGGAACTTCATATAAAAGGCAAACGGAAGCATTCTCAGAATATTCTTTGTGATGATGGAGTTTCACTCACAGAGCTGAACATGCCTTTTGATGGAGCAGTTTCCAAATACACTTTTGGTAGAATCTGCAGGTGGATATTTGGAGCTCTCTGAGGATTTCGTTGGAAACGGGAATAATTTCCCATAACTAAACACAAACACTCTGAGAAAGTTCTTCATGATGAATGCATTTAACTCGCAGAGATGAACCTGCCTTTGAGAGTTCAGGTTCGAAACACTCTTTCTGTAGAATCTGCAAGTGGATATTTGGACCACTGGGTGGCCTTCGTTCGAAACGGGTATATGTTCACGTAAAAACTAAAGAGAAGCATTCTCAGAAACTTCTGAGTGATGATTGCATTCAAGTCACACAGTTGAACCCTCCTTTTGATGGAGCAGTTTTGAAACTGTCTTTTTGTAGAATCTGTAAGTGGATACGTGGACCTCTTTGAAGATTTCTTTGGAAACGGGAATATTTCCACAGAAAAACTAAACTGAAGCATTCTCAGAAACCGCTTTGTGATGTGTTTGTTCGAGCCACAGAGTTTAACATTGCTTTTCACAAAGCAGTTTTGAAATATTCTTTTCGCAGAATCTGCAAGTGGACATTTGGAGCGCTTTCAGGCCTGTGGTGGCAAAGGCCTGAAAGCATTTATTTATCTTCACAGAAAGACGAGAGAGAAGCATTGTCAGAAACTTCTTTGTGATGATTGCATTCAACTCACAGAGTTGAAGATTCCTTTTGAAACAGCAGTTTCGAAACACTCTTTCTGTGGGATCCGCAAGGGGATATTTGGACTTCTTTGAAGGTTTCGTTGGAAACGGGATAATCTTCACCTAAAAGCTAAACGGAAGCACTCTCAGAAACTTCTTTGGGATGTTTGCATTCACCTCTCAGAGTTGAACTTTCCCTTTGATAGCGCAGCTTTGACACACTTTTTCTACAATGTGCAAGTGGCTATTTAGCGGACTTGGAGGACTGTGTTGGAAAAGGAAATATCTTCTCCTAAAAACGACATAGAAGCATTCTCAGAAACTGCTCTGTGATGATTGCATTCAACTCCCAGAGTTGAACATTCCTTTTGATAGAGCAGTTTGCAAACACTCTTTTTGTAGAATCTGCAAGTGGAGATTTGGACCGCTTTGAGGCCTGTGGTAGTGAAGGAAAGAACTTCATATAAAAACCAGACGGTAGCACTCTCAGAAAATTCTTTGTGACGATGGAGTTTAACTCAGGGAGCTGAACATTCGTTATGATGGAGCAGTTTCCAAACACACGTTTTGTAGAATCTGCAAGGGGATATTTGGACCTCTCTGAGGATTTCGTTGGAAACGGGATCAACTTCCCATAACTGAACGGAAGCAAACTCAGAACATTCTTTGTGATGTTTGTATTCAACTCACAGAGTTGAACCTTCCTTTGATAGTTCAGGTTTGCAACACCCTTGTAGTAGAATCTGCAAGTGTATATTTTGACCACTTTGTAGCCTTCGTTTGAAACGTCTATATCTTCACATCAAACCTAGACAGAAGCATTCTCAGAAAGTTTTCTGCGATGACTGCATTCAACTCACAGAGTTGAACAATCCTTCTGATGGAGCAGTTTTGAAACCCTCTTTCTTTGGAATCTGCAAGGGGATATGTGGACCTCTTTGAAGATTTCACTGGAAACGGGATCATCTTCACATAAAAACTAAACAGAAGCATTCTCGGAAACTACTTTGTGATGTTTGTATTCAACTGCCAGAGTTGAACTTTCCTTTTGAAAGAGCAGCTATGAAACACTCTTTTTCGAGAATCTGCAAGTGGACGTTTGGAGGGCTTTGAGGCCTGTGGTGGAAAAGGAAATATCTTCACACAAAAACCAGATAGAAGCATTCTCAGAAACTGCTTTGTGAGGATGGCATTCAACTCATGGAGTTGAACAATCCTATTGATAGAGCAGATTGGAATCACTCTTTTTGTAGAATCTGCAAATGGAGATTTGGACTGCTTTGAGGCCTACGGTAGTACAGGAAGGAACTTCATATAAAAGGCAAACGGAAGCATTCTCAGAATATTCTTTGTGATGATGGAGTTTCACTCACAGAGCTGAACATGCCTTTTGATGGAGCCGTTTCCAAATACACTTTTGGTAGAATCTGCAGGTGGATATTTGGAGCTCTCTGAGGATTTCGTTGGAAACGGGAATAATTTCCCATAACTAAACACAAACACTCTGAGAAAGTTCTTCATGATGAATGCATTTAACTCGCAGAGATGAACCTGCCTTTGAGAGTTCAGGTTCGAAACACTCTTTCTGTATAATCTGCAAGTGGATATTTGGACCACTGGGTGGCCTTCGTTCGAAACGGGTATATGTTCACGTAAAAACTAAAGAGAAGCATTCTCAGAAACTTCTGAGTGCTGATTGCATTCAAGTCACACGGTTGAACCCTCCTTTTGATGGAGCAGTTTTGAAACTGTCTTTTTGTAGAATCTGTAAGTGGATACGTGGACCTCTTTGAAGATTTCTTTGGAAACGGGAATATTTCCACAGAAAAACTAAACTGAAGCATTCTCAGAAACCGCTTTGTGATGTTTGTGTTCGAGCCACAGAGTTTAACATTGCTTTTCATAGAGCAGTTTTGAAATATTCTTTTGGCAGAATCTGCAAGTGGACATTTGGAGCGCTTTCAGGCCTGTGGTGGCAAAGGCCTGAAAGCCTTTTCCTTTATCTTCACAGAAAGACGAGAGAGAAGCATTGTCAGAAACTTCTTTGTGATGATTGCATTCAACTCACAGAGTTGAAGATTCCTTTTGAAACAGCAGTTTCGAAACACTCTTTCTGTGGGATCCGCAAGGGGATATTTGGACCTCTTTGAAGGTTTCGTTGGAAACGGGATAATCTTCACCTAAAAGCTAAACGGAAGCATTCTCAGAAACTTCTTTGGGATGTTTGCATTCACCTCACAGAGTTGAACTTTCCCTTTGATAGCGCAGCTTTGACACACTTTTTCTACAATGTGCAAGTGGCTATTTAGCGGGCTTGGAGGACTGTGTTGGAAAAGGAAATATCTTCTCCTAAAAACGACATAGAAGCATTCTCAGAAACTGCTCTGTGATGATTGCATTCAACTCCCAGAGTTGAACATTCCTTTTGATAGAGCAGTTTGCAAACACTCTTTTTGTAGAATCTGCAAGTGGAGATTTGGACCGCTTTGAGGCCTGTGGTAGTGAAGGAAAGAACTTCATATAAAAACCAGACGGTAGCACTCTCAGAAAATTCTTTGTGACGATGGAGTTTAACTCAGGGAGCTGAACATTCGTTATGATGGAGCAGTTTCCAAACACACGTTTTGTAGAATCTGCGAGGGGATATTTGGACCTCTCTGAGGATTTCGTTGGAAACGGGATCAACTTCCCATAACTGAACGGAAGCAAACTCAGAACATTCTTTGTGATGTTTGTATTCAACTCACAGAGTTGAACCTTCCTTTGATAGTTCAGGTTTGCAACACCCTTGTAGTAGAATCTGCAAGTGTATATTTTGACCACTTTGTAGCCTTCGTTTGAAACGTCTATATCTTCACATCAAACCTAGAAAGAAGCATTCTCAGAAAGTTTTCTGCGATGACTGCATTCAACTCACAGAGTTGAACAATCCTTCTGATGGAGCAGTTTTGAAACCCTCTTTCTTTGGAATCTGCAAGGGGATATGTGGACCTCTTTGATGATTTCACTGGAAACGGGGTCATCTTCACATAAAAACTAAACAGAAAGCATTCTCGGAAACTACTTTGTGATGTTTGTATTCAACTCCCAGAGTTGAACTTTCCTTTTGAAAGAGCAGCTATGAAACACTCTTTTTCGAGAATCTGAAAGTGGACGTTTGGAGGGCTTTGAGGCCTGTGGTGGAAAAGGAAATATCTTCACATAAAAACTAGATAGAAGCATTCTCAGAAACGACATTGAGGATGGCATTCAACACATGGAGTTGGACAATCCTATTGATAGAGCAGATTGGAATCACTCTTTTTGTAGAATCTGCAAATGGAGATTTGGACTGCTTTGAGGCCTACGGTAGTATAGGAAGGAACTTCATATAAACGGCAAACGGAAGCATTCTCAGAATATTCTTTGTGATGATGGAGTTTCACTCACAGAGCTGAACATGCCTTTTGATGGAGCAGTTTCCAAATACACTTTTGGTAGAATCTGCAGGTGGATATTTGGAGCTCTCTGAGGATTTCGTTGGAAACGGGAATAATTTCCCATAACTAAACACAAACACTCCGAGAAAGTTCTTCATGATGAATGCATTTAACTCGCAGAGATGAACCTTCCTTTGAGAGTTCAGGTTCGAAACACTCTTTCTGTAGAATCTGCAAGTGGATATTTGGACCACTGGGTGGCCTTCGTTCGAAACGGGTATATGTTCACGTAAAAACTAAAGAGAAGCATTCTCAGAAACTTCTGAGTGATGATTGCATTCAAGTCACACAGTTGAACCCTCCTTTTGATGGAGCAGTTTTGAAACTGTCTTTTTGTAGAATCTGTAAGTGGATACGTGGACCTCTTTGAAGATTTCTTTGGAAACGGGAATATTTCCACAGAAAAACTAAACTGAAACATTCTCAGAAACCGCTTTGTGATGTTTGTGTTCCAGCCACAGAGTTTAACATTGCTTTTCATAGAGCAGTTTTGAAATATTCTTTTGGCAGAATCTGCAAGTGGACATTTGGAGCGCTTTCAGGCCTGTGGTGGAAAAGGCCTGAAAGCCTTTTCCTTTATCTTCACAGAAAGACGAGAGAGAAGCATTGTCAGAAACTTCTTTGTGATGATTGCATTCAACTCACAGAGTTGAAGATTCCTTTTGAAACAGCAGTTTCGAAACACTCTTTCTGTGGGATCCGCAAGGGGATATTTGGACCTCTTTGAAGGTTTCGTTGGAAACGGGATAATCTTCACCTAAAAGCTAAACGGAAGCATTCTCAGAAACTTCTTTGGGATGTTTGCATTCACCTCACAGAGTTGAACTTTCCCTTTGATAGCGCAGCTTTGACACACTTTTTCTTCAATGTGCAAGTGGCTATTTAGCGGGCTTGGAGGACTGTGTTGGAAAAGGAAATATCTTCTCCTAAAAACGACATAGAAGCATTCTCAGAAACTGCTCTGTGATGATTGCATTCAACTCCCAGAGTTGAACATTCCTTTTGATAGAGCAGTTTGCAAACACTCTTTTTGTAGAATCTGCAAGTGGAGATTTGGACCGCTTTGAGGCCTGTGGTAGTGAAGGAAAGAACTTCATATAAAAACCAGACGGTAGCACTCTCAGAAAATTCTTTGTGACGATGGAGTTTAACTCAGGGAGCTGAACATTCGTTATGATGGAGCAGTTTCCAAACACACGTTTTGTAGAATCTGCAAGGGGATATTTGGACCTCTCTGAGGATTTCGTTGGAAACGGGATCAACTTCCCATAACTGAACGGAAGCAAACTCAGAACATTCTTTGTGATGTTTGTATTCAACTCACAGAGTTGAACCTTCCTTTGATAGTTCAGGTTTGCAACACCCTTGTAGTAGAATCTGCAAGTGTATATTTTGACCACTTTGTAGCCTTCGTTTGAAACGTCTATATCTTCACATCAAACCTAGAAAGAAGCATTCTCAGAAAGTTTTCTGCGATGACTGCATTCAACTCACAGAGTTGAACAATCCTTTTGATGGAGCAGTTTTGAAACCCTCTTTCTTTGGAATCTGCAAGGGGATATGTGGACCTCTTTGAAGATTTCACTGGAAACGGGATCATCTTCACATAAAAACTAAACAGAAGCAATCTCGGAAGCTATTTTGTGATGTTTGTATTCAACTCCCAGAGTTGAACTTTCCTTTTGAAAGAGCAGCTATGAAACACTCTTTTTCGAGAATCTGCAAGTGGACGTTTGGAGGGCTTTGAGGCCTGTGGTGGAAAAGGAAATATCTTCACACAAAAACCAGATAGAAGCATTCTCAGAAACGACTTTGTGAGGATGGCATTCAACTCATGGAGTTGAACAATCCTATTGATAGAGCAGATTGGAATCACTCTTTTTGTAGAATCTGCAAATGGAGATTTGGACTGCTTTGAGGCCTACGGTAGTATAGGAAGGAACTTCATATAAAAGGCAAACGGAAGCATTCTCAGAATATTCTTTGTGATGATGGAGTTTCACTCACAGAGCTGAACATGCCTTTTGATGGAGCAGTTTCCAAATACACTTTTGGTAGAATCTGCAGGTGGATATTTGGACCTCTCTGAGGATTTCGTTGGAAACGGGAATAATTTCCCATAACTAAACTCAAACACGCTGAGAACGTTCTTCATGATGAATGCATTTAACTCACAGAGATGAACCTTCCTTTGAGAGTTCAGGTTCGAAACACTCTTTCTGTAGAATCTGCAAGTGGATATTTGGACCACTGGGTGGCCTTCTTTCGAAACAGGTATATGTTCACGTAAAAACTAAAGAGAAGCATTCTCAGAAACTTCTGAGTGATGATTGCATTCAAGTCACACAGTTGAACCCTCCTTTTGATGGAGCAGTTTTGAAACTGTCTTTTTGTAGAATCTGTAAGTGGATACGTGGACCTCTTTGAAGATTTCTTTGGAAACGGGAATATTTCCACAGAAAAACTAAACTGAAACATTCTCAGAAACCGCTTTGTGATGTTTGTGTTCCAGCCACAGAGTTTAACATTGCTTTTCATAGAGCAGTTTTGAAATATTCTTTTGGCAGAATCTGCAAGTGGACATTTGGAGCGCTTTCAGGCCTGTGGTGGAAAAGGCCTGAAAGCCTTTTCCTTTATCTTCACAGAAAGACGAGAGAGAAGCATTGTCAGAAACTTCTTTGTGATGATTGCATTCAACTCACAGAGTTGAAGATTCCTTTTGAAACAGCAGTTTCGAAACACTCTTTCTGTGGGATCCGCAAGGGGATATTTGGACCTCTTTGAAGGTTTCGTTGGAAACGGGATAATCTTCACCTAAAAGCTAAACGGAAGCATTCTCAGAAACTTCTTTGGGATGTTTGCATTCACCTCACAGAGTTGAACTTTCCCTTTGATAGCGCAGCTTTGACACACTTTTTCTACAATGTGCAAGTGGCTATTTAGCGGGCTTGGAGGACTGTGTTGGAAAAGGAAATATCTTCTCCTAAAAACGACATAGAAGCATTCTCAGAAACTGCTCTGTGATGATTGCATTCAACTCCCAGAGTTGAACATTCCTTTTGATAGAGCAGTTTGCAAACACTCTTTTTGTAGAATCTGCAAGTGGAGATTTGGACCGCTTTGAGGCCTGTGGTAGTGAAGGAAAGAACTTCATATAAAAACCAGACGGTAGCACTCTCAGAAAATTCTTTGTGACGATGGAGTTTAACTCAGGGAGCTGAACATTCGTTATGATGGAGCAGTTTCCAAACACACGTTTTGTAGAATCTGCAAGGGGATATTTGGACCTCTCTGAGGATTTCGTTGGAAACGGGATCAACTTCCCATAACTGAACGGAAGCAAACTCAGAACATTCTTTGTGATGTTTGTATTCAACTCACAGAGTTGAACCTTCCTTTGATAGTTCAGGTTTGCAACACCCTTGTAGTAGAATCTGCAAGTGTATATTTTGACCACTTTGTAGCCTTCGTTTGAAACGTCTATACCTTCACATCAAACCTAGACAGAAGCATTCTCAGAAAGTTTTCTGCGATGACTGCATTCAACTCACAGAGTTGAACAATCCTTCTGATGGAGCAGTTTTGAAACCCTCTTTCTTTGGAATCTGCAAGGGGATATGTGGACCTCTTTGAAGATTTCACTGGAAACGGGATCATCTTCACATAAAAACTAAACAGAAGCATTCTCGGAAACTACTTTGTGATGTTTGTATTCAACTCCCAGAGTTGAACTTTCCTTTTGAAAGAGCAGCTATGAAACACTCTTTTTCGAGAATCTGCAAGTGGACGTTTGGAGGGCTTTGAGGCCTGTGGTGGAAAAGGAAATATCTTCACATAAAAACTAGATAGAAGCATTCTCACAAACGACATTGTGAGGATGGAATTCAACTCATGGAGTTGAACAATCCTATTGATAGAGCAGATTGGAATCACTCTTTTTGTAGAATCTGCAAATGGAGATTTGGACTGCTTTGAGGCCTACGGTAGTATAGGAAGGAACTTCATATAAAAGGGAAACGGAAGCATTCTCAGAATATTCTTTGTGATGATGGAGTTTCACTCACAGAGCTGAACATGCCTTTTGATGGAGCAGTTTCCAAATACACTTTTGGTAGAATCTGCAGGTGGATATTTGGAGCTCTCTGAGGATTTCGTTGGAAACGGGAATAATTTCCCATAACTAAACACAAACACTCTGAGAAAGTTCTTCATGATGAATGCATTTAACTCGCAGAGATGAACCTGCCTTTGAGAGTTCAGGTTCGAAACACTCTTTCTGTAGAATCTGCAAGTGGATATTTGGACCACTGGGTGGCCTTCGTTCGAAACGGGTATATGTTCACATAAAAACTAAAAAGAAGCATTCTCAGAAACTTCTGAGTGATGATTGCATTCAAGTCACATAGTTGAACCCTCCTTTTGATGGAGCAGTTTTGAAACTGTCTTTTTGTAGAATCTGTAAGTGGATACGTGGACCTCTTTGAAGATTTCTTTGGAAACGGGAATATTTCCACGGAAAAACTAAACTGAAGCATTCTCAGAAACTGCTTTGTGATGTTTGTGTTCGAGCCACAGAGTTTAACATTGCTTTTCATAGAGCAGTTTTGAAATATTCTTTTCACAGAATCTGCAAGTGGACATTTGGAGCGCTTTCAGGCCTGTGGTGGAAAAGGCCTGAAAGCCTTTTCCTTTATCTTCACAGAAAGACGAGAGAGAAGCATTGTCAGAAACTTCTTTGTGATGATTGCATTCAACTCACAGAGTTGAAGATTCCTTTTGAAACAGCAGTTTCGAAACACTCTTTCTGTGGGATCCGCAAGGGGATATTTGGACCTCTTTGAAGGTTTCGTTGGAAACGGGATAATCTTCACCTAAAAGCTAAACGGAAGCATTCTCAGAAACTTCTTTGGGATGTTTGCATTCACCTGACAGAGTTGAACTTTCCCTTTGATAGCGCAGCTTTGACACACTTTTTCTACAATGTGCAAGTGGCTATTTAGCGGGCTTGGAGGACTGTGTTGGAAAAGGAAATATCTTCTCCTAAAAACGACATAGAAGCATTCTCAGAAACTGCTCTGTGATGATTGCATTCAACTCCCAGAGTTGAACATTCCTTTTGATAGAGCAGTTTGCAAACACTCTTTTTGTAGAATCTGCAAGTGGAGATTTGGACCGCTTTGAGGCCTGTGGTAGTGAAGGAAAGAACTTCATATAAAAACCAGACGGTAGCACTCTCAGAAAATTCTTTGTGACGATGGAGTTTAACTCAGGGAGCTGAACATTCGTTATGATGGAGCAGTTTCCAAACACACGTTTTGTAGAATCTGTGAGGGGATATTTGGACCTCTCTGAGGATTTCGTTGGAAACGGGATCAACTTCCCATAACTGAACGGAAGCAAACTCAGAACATTCTTTGTGATGTTTGTATTCAACTCACAGAGTTGAACCTTCCTTTGATAGTTCAGGTTTGCAACACCCTTGTAGTAGAATCTGCAAGTGTATATTTTGACCACTTTGTAGCCTTCGTTTGAAACGTCTATATCTTCACATCAAACCTAGACAGAAGCATTCTCAGAAAGTTTTCTGCGATGACTGCATTCAACTCACAGAGTTGAACAATCCTTCTGATGGAGCAGTTTTGAAACCCTCTTTCTTTGGAATCTGCAAGGGGATATGTGGACCTCTTTGAAGATTTCACTGGAAACGGGATCATCTTCACATAAAAACTAAACAGAAGCATTCTCGGAAACTACTTTGTGATGTTTGTATTCAACTCCCAGAGTTGAACTTTCCTTTTGAAAGAGCAGCTATGAAACACTCTTTTTCGAGAATCTGCAAGTGGACGTTTGGAGGGCTTTGAGGCCTGTGGTGGAAAAGGAAATATCTTCACATAAAAACTAGATAGAAGCATTCTCAGAAACTACTTTGTGAGGATGGCATTCAACTCATGGAGTTGAACAATCCTATTGATAGAGCAGATTGGAATCACTCTTTTTGTAGAATCTGCAAATGGAGATTTGGACTGCTTTGAGGCCTACGGTAGTATAGGAAGGAACTTCATATAAAAGGCAAACGGAAGCATTCTCAGAATATTCTTTGTGATGATGGAGTTTCACTCACAGAGCTGAACATGCCTTTTGATGGAGCAGTTTCCAAATACACTTTTGGTAGAATCTGCAGGTGGATATTTGGAGCTCTCTGAGGATTTCGTTGGAAACGGGAATAATTTCCCATAACTAAACACAAACACTCTGAGAAAGTTCTTCATGATGAATGCATTTAACTCGCAGAGATGAACCTGCCTTTGAGAGTTCAGGTTCGAAACACTCTTTCTGTAGAATCTGCAAGTGGATATTTGGACCACTGGGTGGCCTTCGTTCGAAACGGGTATATGTTCACGTAAAAACTAAAGAGAAGCATTCTCAGAAACTTCTGAGTGATGATTGCATTCAATTCACACAGTTGAACCCTCCTTTTGATGGAGCAGTTTTGAAACTGTCTTTCTGTAGAATCTGTAAGTGGATACGTGGACCTCTTTGAAGATTTCTTTGGAAACGGGAATATTTCCACAGAAAAACTAAACTGAAGCATTCTCAGAAACTGCTTTGTGATGTTTGTGTTCGAGCCACAGAGTTTAACAATGCTTTTCATAGAGCAGTTTTGAAATATTCTTTTGGCAGAATCTGCAAGTGGACATTTGGAGCGCTTTCAGGCCTGTGGTGGAAAAGGCCTGAAAGCCTTTTCCTTTATTTTCACAGAAAGACGAGAGAGAAGCATTGTCAGAAACTTCTTTGTGATGATTGCATTCAACTCACAGAGTTGAAGATTCCTTTTGAAACAGCAGTTTCGAAACACTCTTTCTGTGGGATCCGCAAGGGGATATTTGGACCTCTTTGAAGGTTTCGTTGGAAACGGGATAATCTTCACCTAAAAGCTAAACGGAAGCATTCTCAGAAACTTCTTTGGGATGTTTGCATTCACCTCACAGAGTTGAACTTTCCCTTTGATAGCGCAGCTTTGACACACGTTTTCTACAATGTGCAAGTGGCTATTTAGCGGGCTTGGAGGACTGTGTTGGAAAAGGAAATATCTTCTCCTAAAAACGACATAGAAGCATTCTCAGAAACTGCTCTGTGATGATTGCATTCAACTCCCAGAGTTGAACATTCCTTTTGATAGAGCAGTTTGCAAACACTCTTTTTGTAGAATCTGGAAGTGGAGATTTGGACCGCTTTGAGGCCTATGGTAGTGAAGGAAAGAGCTTCATATAAAAACCAGACGGTAGCACTCTCAGAAAATTCTTTGTGACGATGGAGTTTAACTCAGGGAGCTGAACATTCGTTATGATGGAGCAGTTTCCAAACACACGTTTTGTAGAATCTGCAAGGGGATATTTGGACCTCTCTGAGGATTTGGTTGGAAACGGGATCAACTTCCCATAACTGAACGGAAGCAAACTCAGAACATTCTTTGTGATGTTTGTATTCAACTCACAGAGTTGAACCTTCCTTTGATAGTTCAGGTTTGCAACACCCTTGTAGTAGAATCTGCAAGTGTATATTTTGACCACTTTGTAGCCTTCGTTTGAAACGTCTATATCTTC
Organism: Homo sapiens; assembly: GCF_000001405.40. Lineage (NCBI taxonomy): Eukaryota > Metazoa > Chordata > Mammalia > Primates > Hominidae > Homo > Homo sapiens. Next base: position 60,888,060 of record NC_000023.11, read on the forward strand.
ACATCAAACCTAGACAGAAGCATTCTCAGAAAGTTTTCTGCGATGACTGCATTCAACTCACAGAGTTGAACAATCCTTCTGATGGAGCAGTTTTGAAACCCTCTTTCGTTGGAATCTGAAAGGGGATATGTGGACCTCTTTGAAGATTTCACTGGAAACGGGATCATCTTCACATAAAAACTAAACAGAAGCATTCTCGGAAACTACTTTGTGATGTTTGTATTCAACTCCCAGAGTTGAACTTTCCTTTTGAAAGAGCAGCTATGAAACACTCTTTTTCGAGAATCTGCAAGTGGACGTTTGGAGGGCTTTGAGGCCTGTGGTGGAAAAGGAAATATCTTCACATAAAAACTAGATAGAAGCATTCTCAGAAACTACTTCGTGAGGATGGCATTCAACTCATGGAGTTGAACAATCCTATTGATAGAGCAGATTGGAATCACTCTTTTTGTAGAATCTGCAAATGGAGATTTGGACTGCTTTGAGGCCTACGGTAGTATAGGAAGGAACTTCATATAAAAGGCAAACGGAAGCATTCTCAGAATATTCTTTGTGATGATGGAGTTTCACTCACAGAGCTGAACATGCCTTTTGATGGAGCAGTTTCCAAATACACTTTTGGTAGAATCTGCAGGTGGATATTTGGACCTCTCTGAGGATTTCGTTGGAAACGGCAATAATTTCCCATACCTAAACACAAACACTCTGAGAAAGTTCTTCATGATGAATGCATTGAACTCGCAGAGATGAACCTGCCTTTGAGAGTTCAGGTTCGAAACACTCTTTCTGTAGAATCTGCAAGTGGATATTTGGACCACTGGGTGGCCTTCGTTCGAAACGGGTATATGTTCACGTAAAAACTAAAGAGAAGCATTCTCAGAAACTTCTGAGTGATGATTGCATTCAAGTCACACGGTTGAACACTCCTTTTGATTGAGCAGTTTTGAAACTGTCTTTTTGTAGAATCTGTAAGTGGATACGTGGACCTCTTTGAAGATTTCTTTCGAAACGGGAATATTTCCACAGAAAAACTAAACTGAAGCATTCTCAGAAACTGCTTTGTGATGTTTGCGTTCGAGCCGCAGAGTTTAACATTGCTTTTCATAGAGCAGTTTTGAAATATTCTTTTGGCAGAATCTGCAAGTGGACATTTGGAGCGCTTTCAGGCCTGTGGTGGAAAAGGCCTGAAAGCCTTTTCCTTTATCTTCACAGAAAGACGAGAGAGAAGCATTGTCAGAAACTTCTTTGTGATGATTGCATTCAACCCACAGAGTTGAAGATTCCTTTTGAAACAGCAGTTTCGAAACACTCTTTCTGTGGGATCCGCAAGGGGATATTTGGACCTCTTTGAAGATTTCGTTGGAAACGGGATAATCTTCACCTAAAAGCTAAACGGAAGCATTCTCAGAAACTTCTTTGGGATGTTTGCATTCACCTCACAGAGTTGAACTTTCCCTTTGATAGCGCAGCTTCGACACACTTTTTCTCCAATGTGCAAGTGGATATTTAGCGGGCTTGGAGGACTGTGTTGGAAAAGGAAATATCTTCTCCTAAAAACCACATAGAAGCATTCTAAGAAACTGCTCTGTGATGATTGCATTCAACTCCCAGAGTTGAACATTCCTTTTGATAGAGCAGTTTGCAGACACTCTTTTTGTAGAATCTGCAAGTGGAGATTTGGACCGCTTTGAGGCCTGTGGTAGTAAAGGAAAGAACTTCCTATAAAAACTAGACGGTAGCACTCTCAGAAAATTCTTTGTGACGATGGAGTTTAACTCAGGGAGCTGAACATTCGTTATGATGGAGCAGTTTCCAAACACACGTTTTGTAGAATCTGCAAGGGGATATTTGGACCTCTCTGAGGATTTCGTTGGAAACGGGATCAACTTCCCATAACTGAACGGAAGCAAACTCAGAACATTCTTTGTGATGTTTGTATTCAACTCACAGAGTTGAACCTTCCTTTGATAGTTCAGGTTTGCAACACCCTTGTAGTAGAATCTGCAAGTGTATATTTTGACCACTTTGTAGCCTTCGTTTGAAACGTCTATATCTTCACATCAAACCTAGACAGAAGCATTCTCAGAAAGTTTTCTGCGATGACTGCATTCAACTCACAGAGTTGAACAATCCTTCTGATGGAGCAGTTTTGATACCCTCTTTCTTTGGAATCTGCAAGGGGATATGTGGACCTCTTTGAAGATTTCACTGGAAACGGGATCATCTTCACATAAAAACTAAACAGAAGCATTCTCGGAAACTACTTTGTGATGTTTGTATTCAACTCCCAGAGTTGAACTTTCCTTTTGAAAGAGCAGCTATGAAACACTCTTTTTCGAGAATCTGCAAGTGGACGTTTGGAAGGCTTTGAGGCCTGTGGTGGAAAAGGAAATATCTTCACATAAAAACTAGATAGAAGCATTCTCAGAAACGACTTTGTGAGGATGGCATTCAACTCATGGAGTTGAACAATCCTATTGATAGAGCAGATTGGAATCACTCTTTTTGTAGAATCTGCAAATGGAGATTTGGACTGCTTTGAGGCCTACGGTCGTATAGGAAGGAACTTCATATAAAAGGCAAACGGAAGCATTCTCAGAATATTCTTTGTGATGATGGAGTTTCACTCACAGAGCTGAACATGCCTTTTGATGGAGCAGTTTCCAAATACACTTTTGGTAGAATCTGCAGGTGGATATTTGGACCTCTCTGAGGATTTCGTTGGAAACGGGAATAATTTCCCATAACTAAACACAAAACACTCTGAGAAAGTTCTTCATGATGAATGCATTTAACTCGCAGAGATGAACCTGCCTTTGAGAGTTCAGGTTCGAAACACTCTTTCTGTAGAATCTGCAAGTGGACATTTGGACCACTGGGTGGCGTTCGTTCGAAACGGGTATATGTTCACGTAAAAACTAAAGAGAAGCATTCTCAGAAACTTCTGAGTGATGATTGCATTCAAGTCACACAGTTGAACCCTCCTTTTGATGGAGCAGTTTTGAAACTGTCTTTTTGTAGAATCTGTAAGTGGATACGTGGACCTCTTTGAAGATTTCTTTGGAAACGGGAATATTTCCACAGAAAAACTAAACTGAAGCATTCTCAGAAACCGCTTTGTGATGTTTGTGTTCGAGCCACAGAGTTTAACATTGCTTTTCATAGAGCAGTTTTGAAATATTCTTTTCACAGAATCTGCAAGTGGACATTTGGAGCGCTTTCAGGCCTGTGGTGGAAAAGGCCTGAAAGCCTTTTCCTTTATCTTCACAGAAAGACGAGAGAGAAGCATTGTCAGAAACTTCTTTGTGATGATTGCATTCAACTCACAGAGTTGAAGATTCCTTTTGAAACAGCAGTTTCGAAACACTCTTTCTGTGGGATCCGCAAGGGGATATTTGGACCTCTTTGAAGGTTTCGTTGGAAACGGGATAATCTTCACCTAAAAGCTAAACGGAAGCATTCTCAGAAACTTCTTTGGGATGTTTGCATTCACCTCACAGAGTTGAACTTTCCCTTTGATAGCGCAGCTTTGACACACTTTTTCTACAATGTGCAAGTGGCTATTTAGCGGGCTTGGAGGACTGTGTTGGAAAAGGAAATATCTTCTCCTAAAAACGACATAGAAGCATTCTCAGAAACTGCTCTGTGATGATTGCATTCAACTCCCAGAGTTGAACATTCCTTTTGATAGAGCAGTTTGCAAACACTCTTTTTGTAGAATCTGCAAGTGGAGATTTGGACCGCTTTCAGGCCTGTGGTAGTGAAGGAAAGAGCTTCATATAAAAACCAGACGGTAGCACTCTCAGAAAATTCTTTGTGACGATGGAGTTTAACTCAGGGAGCTGAACATTCGTTATGATGGAGCAGTTTCCAAACACACGTTTTGTAGAATCTGCAAGGGGATATTTGGACCTCTCTGAGGATTTCGTTGGAAACGGGATCAACTTCCCATAACTGAACGGAAGCAAACTCAGAACATTCTTTGTGATGTTTGTATTCAACTCACAGAGTTGAACCTTCCTTTGATAGTTCAGGTTTGCAACACCCTTGTAGTAGAATCTGCAAGTGTATATTTTGACCACTTTGTAGCCTTCGTTTGAAACGTCTATATCTTCACATCAAACCTAGACAGAAGCATTCTCAGAAAGTTTTCTGCGATGACTGCATTCAACTCACAGAGTTGAACAATCCTTCTGATGGAGCAGTTTTGAAACCCTCTTTCTTTGGAATCTGCAAGGGGATATGTGGACCTCTTTGAAGCTTTCACTGGAAACGGGATCATCTTCACATAAAAACTAAACAGAAGCATTCTCGGAAACTATTTTGTGATGTTTGTATTCAACTCCCAGAGTTGAACTTTCCTTTTGAAAGAGCAGCTATGAAACACTCTTTTTCGAGAATCTGCAAGTGGACGTTTGGAGGGCTTTGAGGCCTGTGGTGGAAAAGGAAATATCTTCACACAAAAACCAGATAGAAGCATTCTCAGAAACTACTTTGTGAGGATGGCATTCAACTCATGGAGTTGAACAATCCTATTGATAGAGCAGATTGGAATCACTCTTTTTGTAGAATCTGCAAATGGAGATTTGGACTGCTTTGAGGCCTACAGTAGTACAGGAAGGAACTTCATATAAAAGGCAAACGGAAGCATTCTCAGAATATTCTTTGTGATGATGGAGTTTCACTCACAGAGCTGAACATGCCTTTTGATGGAGCAGTTTCCAAATACACTTTTGGTAGAATCTGCAGGTGGATATTTGGAGCTCCCTGAGGATTTCGTTGGAAACGGGAATAATTTCCCATAACTAAACACAAACACTCTGAGAAAGTTCTTCATGATGAATGCATTTAACTCGCAGAGATGAACCTGCCTTTGAGAGTTCAGGTTCGAAACACTCTTTCTGTAGAATCTGCAAGTGGATATTTGGACCACTGGGTGGCCTTCGTTCGAAACGGGTATATGTTCACGTAAAAACTAAAGAGAAGCATTCTCAGAAACTTCTGAGTGATGATTGCATTCAAGTCACACAGTTGAACCCTCCTTTTGATGGAGCAGTTTTGAAACTGTCTTTTTGTAGAATCTGTAAGTGGATACGTGGACCTCTTTGAAGATTTCTTTGGAAACGGGAATATTTCCACAGAAAAACTAAACTGAAGCATTCTCAGAAACTGCTTTGTGATGTTTGTGTTCGAGCCACAGAGTTTAACATTGCTTTTCATAGAGCAGTTTTGAAATATTCTTTTCGCAGAATCTGCAAGTGGACATTTGGAGCGCTTTCAGGCCTGTGGTGGAAAAGGCCTGAAAGCCTTTTCCTTTATCTTCACAGAAAGACGAGAGAGAAGCATTGTCAGAAACTTCTTTGTGATGATTGCATTCAACTCACAGAGTTGAAGATTCCTTTTGAAACAGCAGTTTCAAAACACTCTTTCTGTGGGATCCGCAAGGGGATATTTGGACCTCTTTGAAGATTTCGTTGGAAACGGGATAATCTTCACCTAAAAGCTAAACGGAAGCATTCTCAGAAACTTCTTTGGGATGTTTGCATTCACCTCACAGACTTGAACTTTCCCTTTGATAGCGCAGCTTCGACACACTTTTTCTACAATGTGCAAGTGGATATTTAGCGGGCTTGGAGGACTGTGTTGGAAAAGGAAATATCTTCTCCTAAAAACGACATAGAAGCATTCTCAGAAACTGCTCTGTGATGATTGCATTCAACTCCCAGAGTTGAACATTCCTTTTGATAGAGCAGTTTGCAAACACTCTTTTTGTAGAATCTGCAAGTGGAGATTTGGACCGCTTTGAGGCCTGTGGTAGTAAAGGAAAGAACTTCATATAAAAACTAGACGGTAGCACTCTCAGAAAATTCTTTGTGACGATGGAGTTTAACTCAGAGAGCTGAACATTCGTTATGATGGAGCAGTTTCCAAACACACGTTTTGTAGAATCTGCAAGGGGATATTTGGACCTCTCTGAGGATTTCGTTGGAAACGGGATCAACTTCCCATAAGTGAACGGAAGCAAACTCAGAACATTCTTTGTGATGTTTGTATTCAACTCACAGAGTTGAACCTACCTTTGATAGTTCAGGTTTGCAACACCCTTGTAGTAGAATCTGCAAGTGTATATTTTGACCACTTTGTAGCCTTCGTTTGAAACGTCTATATCTTCACATCAAACCTAGACAGAAGCATTCTCAGAAAGTTTTCTGCGATGACTGCATTCAACTCACAGAGTTGAACAATCCTTTTGATGGAGCAGTTTTGAAACCCTCTTTCTTTGGAATCTGCAAGGGGATATGTGGACCTCTTTGAAGATTTCACTGGAAACGGGATCATCTTCACATAAGAACTAAACAGAAGCATTCTCGGAAACTACTTTGTGATGTTTGTATTCACCTCCCAGAGTTGAACTTTCCTTTTGAAAGAGCAGCTATGAAACACTCTTTTTCTAGAATCTGCAAGTGGACGTTTGGAGGGCTTTGAGGCCTGTGGTGGAAAAGGAAATATCTTCACATAAAAACTAGATAGAAGCATTCTCAGAAACTACTTTGTGAGGATGGCATTCAACTCATGGAGTTGAACAATCCTATTGATAGAGCAGATTGGAATCACTCTTTTTGTAGAATCTGCAAATGGAGATTTGGACTGCTTTGAGGCCTACGGTAGTATAGGAAGGAACTTCATATAAAAGGCAAACGGAAGCATTCTCAGAATATTCTTTGTGATGATGGAGTTTCCCTCACAGAGCTGAACATGCCTTTTGATGGAGCAGTTTCCAAATACACTTTTGGTAGAATCTGCAGGTGGATATTTGGACCTCTCTGAGGATTTCGTTGGAAACGGGAATAATTTCCCATAATTAAACACAAACACTCTGAGAAAGTTCTTCATGATGAATGCATTTAACTCGCAGAGATGAACCTGCCTTTGAGAGTTCAGGTTCGAAACACTCTTTCTGTAGAATCTGCAAGTGGATATTTGGACCACTGGCTGGCCTTCGTTCGAAACGGGTATATGTTCACGTAAAAACTAAAGAGAAGCATTCTCAGAAACTTCTGAGTGATGATTGCATTCAAGTCACACAGTTGAACCCTCCTTTTGATGGAGCAGTTTTGAAACTGTCTTTTTGTAGAATCTGTAAGTGGATACGTGGACCTCTTTGAAGATTTCTTTGGAAACGGGAATATTTCCACAGAAAAACTAAACTGAAGCATTCTCAGAAACTGCTTTGTGATGTTTGTGTTCGAGCCACAGAGTTTAACATTGCTTTTCATAGAGCAGTTTTGAAATATTCTTTTGGCAGAATCTGCAAGTGGACATTTGGAGCGATTTCAGGCCTGTGGTGGAAAAGGCCTGAAAGCCTTTTCCTTTATCTTCACAGAAAGACGAGAGAGAAGCATTGTCAGAAACTTCTTTGTGATGATTGCATTCAACTCACAGAGTTGAAGATTCCTTTTGAAACAGCAGTTTCGAAACACTCTTTCTGTGGGATCCGCAAGGGGATATTTGGACCTCTTTGAAGATTTCGTTGGAAACGGGATAATCTTCACCTAAAAGCTAAACGGAAGCATTCTCAGAAACTTCTTTGGGATGTTTGCATTCACCTCACAGAGTTGAACTTTCCCTTTGATAGCGCAGCTTTGACACACTTTTTCTACAATGTGCAAGTGGCTATTTAGCGGGCTTGGAGGACTGTGTTGGAAAAGGAAATATCTTCTCCTAAAAACGACATAGAAGGATTCTCAGAAACTGCTCTGTGATGATTGCATTCAACTCCCAGAGTTGAACATTCCTTTTGATAGAGCAGTTTGCAAACACTCTTTTTGTAGAATCTGCAAGTGGAGATTTGGACCGCTTTGAGGCCTGTGGTAGTGAAGGAAAGAACTTCATATAAAAACCAGACGGTAGCACTCTCAGAAAATTCTTTGTGACGATGGAGTTTAACTCAGGGAGCTGAACATTCGTTACGATGGAGCAGATTCCAAACACACGTTTTGTAGAATCTGCAAGGGGATATTTGGACCTCTCTGAGGATTTCGTTGGAAACGGGATCAACTTCCCATAACTGAACGGAAGCAAACTCAGAACATTCTTTGTGATGTTTGTATTCAACTCACAGAGTTGAACCTTCCTTTGATAGTTCAGGTTTGCAACACCCTTGTAGTAGAATCTGCAAGTGTATATTTTGACCACTTTGTAGCCTTCGTTTGAAACGTCTATATCTTCACATCAAACCTAGACAGAAGCATTCTCAGAAAGTTTTCTGCGATGACTGCATTCAACTCACAGAGTTGAACAATCCTCTGATGGAGCAGTTTTGAAACCCTCTTTCTTTGGAATCTGCAAGGGGATATGTGGACCTCTTTGAAGATTTCACTGGAAACGGGATCATCTTCACATAAAAACTAAACAGAAGCATTCTCGGAAACTACTTTGTGATGTTTGTATTCAACTCCCAGAGTTGAACTTTCCTTTTGAAAGAGCAGCTATGAAACACTCTTTTTCGAAAATCTGCAAGTGGACGTTTGGAGGGCTTTGAGGCCTGTGGTGGAAAAGGAAATATCTTCACACAAAAACCAGATAGAAGCATTCTCAGAAACTACTTTGTGAGGATGGCATTCAACTCATGGAGTTGAACAATCCTATTGATAGAGCAGATTGGAATCACTCTTTTTATAGAATCTGCAAATGGAGATTTGGACTGCTTTGAGGCCTACGGTAGTACAGGAAGGAACTTCATATAAAAGGCAAACGGAAGCATTCTCAGAATATTCTTTGTGATGATGGAGTTTCACTCACAGAGCTGAACATGCCTTTTGAGATGGGAGCAGTTTCCAAATACACTTTTGGTAGAATCTGCAGGTGGATATTTGGAGCTCTCTGAGGATTTCGTTGGAAACGGGAATAATTTCCCATAACTAAACACAAACACGCTGAGAAAGTTCTTCATGATGAATGCATTTAACTCGCAGAGATGAACCTGCCTTTGAGAGTTCAGGTTCGAAACACTCTTTCTGTAGAATCTGCAAGTGGATATTTGGACCACTGGGTGGCCTTCATTCGAAACGGGTATATGTTCACGTAAAAACTAAAGAGAAGCGTTCTCAGAAACTTCTGAGTGATGATTGCATTCAAGTCACAGAGTTGAACCCTCGTTTTGATTGAGCAGTTTTGAAACTGTCTATTTGTAGAATCTGTAAGTGGATGCGTGGACCTCTTTGAAGATTTCTTTGGAAACGGGAATATTTCCACAGAAAAACTAAACTGAAGCATTCTTAGAAACTGCTTTGTGATGTTTGTGTTCGAGCCACAGAGTTTAACATTGCTTTTCATAGAGCAGTTTTGAAATATTCTTTTGGCAGAATCTGCAAGTGGACATTTGGAGCGCTTTCAGGCCTGTGGTGGAAAAGGCCTGAAAGCCTTTTCCTTTATCTTCACAGAAAGACGAGAGAGAAGCATTGTCAGAAACTTCTTTGTGATGATTGCATTCAACTCACAGAGTTGAAGATTCCTTTTGAAACAGCAGTTTCGAAACACTCTTTCTGTGGGATCCGCAAGGGGATATTTGGACCTCTTTGAAGGTTTCGTTGGAAACGGGATAATCTTCACCTAAAAGCTAAACGGAAGCATTCTCAGAAACTTCTTTGGGATGTTTGCATTCACCTCACAGAGTTGAACTTTCCCTTTGATAGCGCAGCTTCGACACACTTTTTCTACAATGTGCAAGTGGCTATTTAGCGGGCTTGGAGGACTGTGTTGGAAAAGGAAATATCTTCTCCTAAAAACGACATAGAAGCATTCTCAGAAACTGCTCTGTGATGATTGCATTCAACTCCCAGAGTTGAACATTCCTTTTGATAGAGCAGTTTGCAAACACTCTTTTTGTAGAATCTGCAAGTGGAGATTTGGACCGCTTTGAGGCCTGTGGTAGTGAAGGAAAGAACTTCATATAAAAACCAGACGGTAGCACTCTCAGAAAATTCTTTGTGACGATGGAGTTTAACTCAGGGAGCTGAACATTCGTTATGATGGAGCAGTTTCCAAACACACGTTTTGTAGAATCTGCAAGGGGATATTTAGACCTCTCTGAGGATTTCGTTGGAAACGGGATCAACTTCCCATAACTGAACGGAAGCAAACTCAGAACATTCTTTGTGATGTTTGTATTCAACTCACAGAGTTGAACCTTCCTTTGATAGTTCAGGTTTGCAACACCCTTGTAGTAGAATCTGCAAGTGTATATTTTGACCACTTTGTAGCCTTCGTTTGAAACGTCTATATCTTCACATCAAACCTAGACAGAAGCATTCTCAGAAAGTTTTCTGCGATGACTGCATTCAACTCACAGAGTTGAACAATCCTTCTGATGGAGCAGTTTTGAAACCCTCTTTCTTTGGAATCTGCAAGGGGATATGTGGACCTCTTTGAAGATTTCACTGGAAACGGGATCATCTTCACATAAAAACTAAACAGAAGCATTCTCGGAAACTATTTTGTGATGTTTGCATTCAACTCCCAGAGTTGAACTTTCCTTTTGAAAGAGCAGCTATGAAACACTCTTTTTCGAGAATCTGCAAGTGGACGTTTGGAGGGCTTTGAGGCCTGTGGTGGAAAAGGAAATATCTTCACACAAAAACCAGATAGAAGCATTCTCAGAAACTACTTTGTGAGGATGGCATTCAACTCACGGAGTTGAACAATCCTATTGATAGAGCAGATTGGAAACACTCTTTTTGTAGAATCTGTAAATGGAGATTTGGACTGCTTTGAGGCCTACGGTAGTATAGGAAGGAACTTCATATAAAAAGCAAACGGAAGCATTCTCAGAATATTCTTTGTGATGATGGAGTTTCACTCACAGAGCTGAACATGCCTTTTGATGGAGCAGTTTCCAAATACACTTTTGGTAGAATCTGCAGGTGGATATTTGGAGCTCTCTGAGGATTTCGTTGGAAACGGGAATAATTTCCCATAACTAAACACAAACACTCTGAGAAAGTTCTTCATGATGAATGCATTTAACTCGCAGAGATGAACCTGCCTTTGAGAGTTCAGGTTCGAAACACTCTTTCTGTAGAATCTGCAAGTGGATATTTGGACCACTGGCTGGCCTTCGTTCGAAACGGGTATATGTTCACGTAAAAACTAAAGAGAAGCATTCTCAGAAACTTCTGAGTGATGATTGCATTCAAGTCACACAGTTGAACCCTCCTTTTGATGGAGCAGTTTTGAAACTGTCTTTTTGTAGAATCTGTAAGTGGATACGTGGACCTCTTTGAAGATTTCTTTGGAAACGGGAATATTTCCACAGAAAAACTAAACTGAAGCATTCTCAGAAACTGCTTTGTGATGTTTGTGTTCGAGCCACAGAGTTTAACATTGCTTTTCATAGAGCAGTTTTGAAATATTCTTTTGGCAGAATCTGCAAGTGGACATTTGGAGCGCTTTCAGGCCTGTGGTGGCAAAGGCCTGAAAGCCTTTTCCTTTATCTTCACAGAAAGACGAGAGAGAAGCATTGTCAGAAACTTCTTTGTGATGATTGCATTCAACTCACAGAGTTGAAGATTCCTTTTGAAACAGCAGTTTCGAAACACTCTTTCTGTGGGATCCGCAAGGGGATATTTGGACCTCTTTGAAGGTTTCGTTGGAAACGGGATAATCTTCACCTAAAAGCTAAACGGAAGCATTCTCAGAAACTTCTTTGGGATGTTTGCATTCACCTCACAGAGTTGAACTTTCCCTTTGATAGCGCAGCTTCGACACACTTTTTCTACAATGTGCAAGTGGCTATTTAGCGGGCTTGGAGGACTGTGTTGGAAAAGGAAATATCTTCTCCTAAAAACGACATAGAAGCATTCTCAGAAACTGCTCTGTGATGATTGCATTCAACTCCCAGAGTTGAACATTCCTAATGATAGAGCAGTTTGCAAACACTGTTTTTGTAGAATCTGCAAGTGGAGATTTGGACCGCTTTGAGGCCTGTGGTAGTAAAGGAAAGAACTTCATATAAAAACCAGACGGTAGCACTCTCAGAAAATTCTTTGTGACGATGGAGTTTAACTCAGAGAGCTGAACATTCTTTATGATGGAGCAGTTTCCAAACACACGTTTTGTAGAATCTGCAAGGGGATATTTGGACCTCTCTGAGGATTTCGTTGGAAATGGGATCAACTTCCCATAACTGAACGGAAGCAAACTCAGAACATTCTTTGTGATGTTTGTATTCAACTCACAGAGTTGAACCTTCCTTTGATAGTTCAGGTTTGCATCACCCTTGTAGTAGAATCTGCAAGTGTATATTTTGACCACTTTGTAGCCTTCGTTTGAAACGTCTATATGCTTCACATCAAACCTAGACAGAAGCATTCTCAGAAAGTTTTCTGCGATGACTGCATTCAACTCACAGAGTTGAACAATCCTTCTGATGGAGCAGTTTTGAAACCCTCTTTCTTTGGAATCTGCAAGGGGATATGTGGACCTCTTTGAAGATTTCACTGGAAACGGGATCATCTTCACATAAAAACTAAACAGAAGCATTCTCGGAAACTACTTTGTGATGTTTGTATTCAACTGCCAGAGTTGAACTTTCCTTTTGAAAGAGCAGCTATGAAACACTCTTTTTCGAGAATCTGCAAGTGGACGTTTGGAGGGCTTTGAGGCCTGTGGTGGAAAAGGAAATATCTTCACATAAAAACTAGATAGAAGCATTCTCAGAAACTACTTTGTGAGGATGGCATTCAACTCATGGAGTTGAACAATCCTATTGATAGAGCAGATTGGAATCACTCTTTTTGTAGAATCTGCAAATGGAGATTTGGACTGCTTTGAGGCCTACGGTCGTATAGGAAGGAACTTCATATAAAAGGCAAACGGAAGCATTCTCAGAATATTCTTTGTGATGATGGAGTTTCACTCACAGAGCTGAACATGCCTTTTGATGGAGCAGTTTCCAAATACACTTTTGGTAGAATCTGCAGGTGGATATTTGGAGCTCTTTGAGGATTTCGTTGGAAACGGGAATAATTTCCCATAACTAAACACAAACACTCTGAGAAAGTTCTTCATGATGAATGCATTTAACTCGCAGAGATGAACCTGCCTTTGAGAGTTCAGGTTCGAAACACTCTTTCTGTATAATCTGCAAGTGGATATTTGGACCACTGGGTGGCCTTCGTTCGAAACGGGTATATGTTCACGTAAAAACTAAAGAGAAGCATTCTCAGAAACTTCTGAGTGATGATTGCATTCAAGTCACACAGTTGAACCCTCCTTTTGATGGAGCAGTTTTGAAACTGTCTTTTTGTAGAATCTGTAAGTGGATACGTGGACCTCTTTGAAGATTTCTTTGGAAACGGGAATATTTCCACAGAAAAACTAAACTGAAGCATTCTCAGAAACCGCTTTGTGATGTTTGTGTTCGAGCCACAGAGTTTACCATTGCTTTTCATAGAGCAGTTTTGAAATATTCTTTTCGCAGAATCTGCAAGTGGACATTTGGAGCGCTTTCAGGCCTGTGGTGGAAAAGGCCTGAAAGCCTTTTCCTTTATCTTCACAGAAAGACGAGAGAGAAGCATTGTCAGAAACTTCTTTGTGATGATTGCATTCAACTCACAGAGTTGAAGATTCCTTTTGAAACAGCAGTTTCGAAACACTCTTTCTGTGGGATCCGCAAGGGGATATTTGGACCTCTTTGAAGGTTTCGTTGGAAACGGGATAATCTTCACCTAAAAGCTAAACGGAAGCATTCTCAGAAACTTCTTTGGGATGTTTGCATTCACCTCACAGAGTTGAACTTTCCCTTTGATAGCGCAGCTTTGACACACTTTTTCTACAATGTGCAAGTGGCTATTTAGCGGGCTTGGAGGACTGTGTTGGAAAAGGAAATATCTTCTCCTAAAAACGACATAGAAGCATTCTCAGAAACTGCTCTGTGATGATTGCATTCAACTCCCAGAGTTGAACATTCCTTTTGATAGAGCAGTTTGCAAACACTCTTTTTGTAGAATCTGCAAGTGGAGATTTGGACCGCTTTGAGGCCTGTGGTAGTGAAGGAAAGAGCTTCATATAAAAACCAGACGGTAGCACTCTCAGAAAATTCTTTGTGACGATGGAGTTTAACTCAGGGAGCTGAACATTCGTTATGATGGAGCAGTTTCCAAACACACGTTTTGTAGAATCTGCAAGGGGATATTTGGACCTCTCTGAGGATTTCGTTGGAAACGGGATCAACATCCCATAACTGAACAGAAGCAAACTCAGAACATTCTTTGTGATGTTTGTATTCAACTCACAGAGTTGAACCTTCCTTTGATAGTTCAGGTTTGCATCACCCTTGTAGTAGAATCTGCAAGTGTATATGTTGACCACTATGTAGCCTTCGTTTGAAACGTCTATATCTTCACATCAAACCTAGACAGAAGCATTCTCAGAAAGTTTTCTGCGATGACTGCATTCAACTCACAGAGTTGAACAATCTTTTTGATGGAGCAGTTTTGAAACCCTCTTTCTTTGGAATCTGCAAGGGGATATGTGGACCTCTTTGAAGATTTCACTGGAAACGGGATCATCTTCACATAAGAACTAAACAGAAGCATTCTCGGAAACTACTTTGTGATGTTTGTATTCAGCTCCCAGAGTTGAACTTCCCTTTTGAAAGAGCAGCTATGAAGCACTCTTTTTCGAGAATCTGCAAGTGGACGTTTGGAGGGCTTTGAGGCCTGTGGTGGAAAAGGAAATATCTTCACATAAAAACTAGATAGAAGCATTCTCAGAAACTACTTTGTGAGGATGGCATTCAACTCATGGAGTTGAACAGTCCTATTGATAGAGCAGATTGGAATCACTCTTTTTGTAGAATCTGCAAATGGAGATTTGGACTGCTTTGAGGCCTACGGTAGTATAGGAAGGAACTTCATATAAAAGGCAAACGGAAGCATTCTCAGAATATTCTTTGTGATGATGGAGTTTCACCCACAGAGCTGAACATGCCTTTTGATGGAGCAGTTTCCAAATACACTTTTGGTAGAATCTGCAGGTGGATATTTGGAGCTCTCTGAGGATTTCGTTGGAAACGGGAATAATTTCCCATAACTAAACACAAACACGCTGAGAAAGTTCTTCATGATGAATGCATTGAACTCGCAGAGATGAACCTGCCTTTGAGAGTTCAGGTTCGAAACACTCTTTCTGTAGAATCTGCAAGTGGATATTTGGACCACTGGCTGGCCTTCGTTCGATACGGGTATATGTTCACGTAAAAACTAAAGAGAAGCGTTCTCAGAAACTTCTGAGTGATGATTGCATTCAAGTCACACAGTTGAACCCTCCTTTTGATTGAGCAGTTTTGAAACTGTCTTTTTGTAGAATCTGTAAGTGGATGCGTGGACCTCTTTGAAGATTTCTTTGGAAACAGGAATATTTCCACAGAAAAACTAAACTGAAGCATTCTCTGAAACTGCTTTGTGATGTTTGTGTTCGAGCCGCAGAGTTTAACATTGCTTTTCATAGAGCAGTTTTGAAATATTCTTTTGGCAGAATCTGCAAGTGGACATTTGGAGCGCTTTCAGGCCTGTGGTGGAAAAGGCCTGAAAGCCTTTTCCTTTATCTTCACAGAAAGACGAGAGAGAAGCATTGTCAGAAACTTCTTTGTGATGATTGCATTCAACTCACAGAGTTGAAGATTCCTTTTGAAACAGCAGTTTCGAAACACTCTTTCTGTGGGATCCGCAAGGGGATATTTGGACCTCTTTGAAGGTTTCGTTGGAAACGGGATAATCTTCACCTAAAAGCTAAACGGAAGCATTCTCAGAAACTTCTTTGGGATGTTTGCATTCACCTCACAGAGTTGAACTTTCCCTTTGATAGCGCAGCTTTGACACACTTTTTCTACAATGTGCAAGTGGCTATTTAGCGGGCTTGGAGGACTGTGTTGGAAAAGGAAATATCTTCTCCTAAAAACGACATAGAAGCATTCTCAGAAACTGCTCTGTGATGATTGCATTCAACTCCCAGAGTTGAACATTCCTTTTGATAGAGCAGTTTGCAAACACTCTTTTTGTAGAATCTGCAAGTGGAGATTTAGACCGCTTTGAGGCCTGTGGTAGTGAAGGAAAGAACTTCATATAAAAACCAGACGGTAGCACTCTCAGAAAATTCTTTGTGACGATGTAGTTTAACTCAGGGAGCTGAACATTCGTTATGATGGAGCAGTTTCCAAACACACGTTTTGTAGAATCTGCGAGGGGATATTTGGACCTCTCTGAGGATTTCGTTGGAAACGGGATCAACTTCCCATAACTGAACGGAAGCAAACTCAGAACATTCTTTGTGATGTTTGTATTCAACTCACAGAGTTGAACCTTCCTTTGATAGTTCAGGTTTGCAACACCCTTGTAGTAGAATCTGCAAGTGTATATTTTGACCACTTTGTAGCCTTCGTTTGAAACGTCTATATCTTCACATCAAACCTAGACAGAAGCATTCTCAGAAAGTTTTCTGCGATGACTGCATTCTACTCACAGAGTTGAGCAATCCTTTTGATGGAGCAGTTTTGAAACCCACTTTCTTTGGAATCTGCAAGGGCATATGTGGACCTCTTTGAAGATTTCACTGGAAACGGGATCATCTTCACATAAGAACTAAACAGAAGCATTCTCGGAAACTACTTTGTGATGTTTGTATTCAACTCCCAGAGTTGAACTTTCCTTTTGAAAGAGCAGCTATGAAACACTCTTTTTCGAGAATCTGCAAGTGGATGTTTGGAGGGCTTTGAGGCCTGTGGTGGAAAAGGAAATATCTTCACATAAAAACTAGATAGAAGCATTCTCAGAAACGACTTTGTGAGGAAGGCATTCAACTCATGGAGTTGAACAATCCTATTGATAGAGCAGATTGGAATCACTCTTTTTGTAGAATCTGCAAATGGAGATTTGGACTGCTTTGAGGCCTACGGTAGTATAGGAAGGAACTTCATGTAAAAGGCAAACGGAAGCATTCTCAGAATATTCTTTGTGATGATGGAGTTTCACTCACAGAGCTGAACATGCCTTTTGATGGAGCAGTTTCCAAATACACTTTTGGTAGAATCTGCAGGTGGATATTTGGACCTCTCGGAGGATTTCGTTGGAAACGGGAATAATTTCCCATAACTAAACACAAACACTCTGAGAAAGTTCTTCATGATGAATGCATTTAACTCGCAGAGATGAACCTGCCTTTGAGAGTTCAGGTTCGAAACACTCTTTCTGTAGAATCTGCAAGTGGATATTTGGACCACTGGGTGGCCTTCGTTCGAAACGGGTATATGTTCACGTAAAAACTAAAGAGAAGCATTCTCAGAAACTTCTGAGTGATGATTGCATTAAAGTCACACGGTTGAACCCTCCTTTTGATTGAGCAGTTTTGAATCTGTCTTTTTGTAGGATCTGTAAGTGGATACGTGGACCTCTTTGAAGATTTCTTTGGAAACAGGAATATTTCCACAGAAAAACTAAACTGAAGCATTCTCAGAAACGGCTTTGTGATGTTTGTGTTCGAGCCGCAGAGTTTAACATTGCTTTTCACAGAGCAGTTTTGAAATATTCTTTTGGCAGAATCTGCAAGTGGACATTTGGAGCGCTTTCAGGCCTGTGGTGGAAAAGGCCTGAAAGCCTTTTCCTTTATCTTCACAGAAAGACGAGAGAGAAGCATTGTCAGAAACTTCTTTGTGATGATTGCATTCAACTCACAGAGTTGAAGATTCCTTTTGAAACAGCAGTTTCGAAACACTCTTTCTGTGGGATCCGCAAGGGGATATTTGGACCTCTTTGAAGATTTCGTTGGAAACGGGATAATCTTCACCTAAAAGCTAAACGGAAGCATTCTCAGAAACTTCTTTGGGATGTCTGCATTCACCTCACAGAGTTGAACTTTCCCTTTGATAGCGCAGCTTCGACACACTTTTTCTACAATGTGCAAGTGGATATTTAGCGGGCTTGGAGGACTGTGTTGGAAAAGGAAATATCTTCTCCTAAAAACGACATAGAAGCATTCTCAGAAACTGCTCTGTGATGATTGCATTCAACTCCCAGAGTTGAACATTCCTTTTGATAGAGCAGTTTGCAAACACTCTTTTTGTAGAATCTGCAAGTGGAGATTTGGACCGCTTTGAGGCCTGTGGTAGTAAAGGAAAGAACTTCATATAAAAACCAGACGGTAGCACTCTCAGAAAATTCTTTGTGACGATGGAGTTTAACTCAGAGAGCTGAACATTCGTTATGATGGAGCAGTTTCCAAACACACGTTTTGTAGAATCTGCAAGGGGATATTTGGACCTCTCTGAGGATTTCGTTGGAAACGGGATCAACTTCCCATAACTGAACGGTAGCAAACTCAGAACATTCTTTGTGATGTTTGTATTCAACTCACAGAGTTGAACCTTCCTTTGATAGTTCAGGTTTGCAACACCCTTGTAGTAGAATCTGCAAGTGTATATTTTGACCACTTTGTAGCCTTCGTTTGAAACGTCTATATCTTCACCTCAAACCTAGACAGAAGCATTCTCAGAAAGTTTTCTGCGATGACTGCATTCAACTCACAGAGTTGAACAATCCTTTCGATGGAGCAGTTTTGAAACCCTCTTTCTTTGGAATCTGCAAGGGGATATGTGGACCTCTTTGAAGATTTCACTGGAAACGGGATCATCTTCACATAAGAACTAAACAGAAGCATTCTCGGAAACTACTTTGTGATGTTTGTATTCAACTCCCAGAGTTGAACTTTCCTTTTGAAAGAGCGGCTATGAAACACTCTTTTTCGAGAATCTGCAAGTTGACGTTTGGAGGGCTTTGAGGCCTGTGGTGGAAAAGGAAATATCTTCACATAAAAACTAGATAGAAGCATTCTCAGAAACTACTTTGTGAGGATGGCATTCAAATCATGGAGTTGAACAATCCTATTGATAGAGCAGATTGGAATCACTCTTTTTATAGAATCTGCAAATGGAGATTTGGACTGCTTTGAGGCCTACGGTAGTACAGGAAGGAACTTCATATAAAAGGCAAACGGAAGCATTCTCAGAATATTCTTTGTGATGATGGAGTTTCACTCACAGAGCTGAACATGCCTTTTGATGGAGCAGTTTCCAAATACACTTTTGGTAGAATCTGCAGGTGGATATTTGGAGCTCTCTGAGGATTTCGTTGGAAACGGGAACAATTCCCCATAACTAAACACAAACACTCTGAGAAAGTTCTTCATGATGAATGCATTTAACTCGCAGAGATGAACCTGCCTTTGAGAGTTCAGGTTCGAAACACTCTTTCTGTATAATCTGCAAGTGGATATTTGGACCACTGGGTGGCCTTCGTTCGAAACGGGTATATGTTCACGTAAAAACTAAAGAGAAGCATTCTCAGAAACTTCTGAGTGATGATTGCATTCAAGTCACACAGTTGAACCCTCCTTTTGATGGAGCAGTTTTGAAACTGTCTTTTTGTAGAATCTGTAAGTGGATGCGTGGACCTCTTTGAAGATTTCTTTGGAAACGGGAATATTTCCACAGAAAAACTAAACTGAAGCATTCTCAGAAACCGCGTTGTGATGTTTGTGTTCGAGCCACTGAGTTTAACATTGCTTTTCACAAAGCAGTTTTGAAATATTCTTTTCGCAGAATCTGCAAGTGGACATTTGGAGCGCTTTCAGGCCTGTGGTGGAAAAGGCCTGAAAGCCTTTTCCTTTATCTTCACAGAAAGACGAGAGAGAAGCATTGTCAGAAACTTCTTTGTGATGATTGCATTCAACTCACAGAGTTGAAGATTCCTTTTGAAACAGCAGTTTCGAAACACTCTTTCTGTGGGATCCGCAAGGGGATATTTGGACCTCTTTGAAGGTTTCGTTGGAAACGGGATAATCTTCACCTAAAAGCTAAACGGAAGCATTCTCAGAAACTTCTTTGGGATGTTTGCATTCACCTCACAGAGTTGAACTTTCCCTTTGATAGCGCAGCTTTGACACACTTTTTCTACAATGTGCAAGTGGCTATTTAGCGGGCTTGGAGGACTGTGTTGGAAAAGGAAATATCTTCTCCTAAAAACGACATAGAAGCATTCTCAGAAACTGCTCTGTGATGATTGCATTCAACTCCCAGAGTTGAACATTCCTTTTGATAGAGCAGTTTGCAAACACTCTTTTTGTAGAATCTGCAAGTGGAGATTTGGACCGCTTTGAGGCCTGTGGTAGTGAAGGAAAGAACTTCATATAAAAACCAGACGGTAGCACTCTCAGAAAATTCTTTGTGACGATGGAGTTTAACTCAGGGAGCTGAACATTCGTTATGATGGAGCAGTTTCCAAACACACGTTTTGTAGAATCTGTGAGGGGATATTTGGACCTCTCTGAGGATTTCGTTGGAAACGGGATCAACTTCCCATAACTGAACGGAAGCAAACTCAGAACATTCTTTGTGATGTTTGTATTCAATTCACAGAGTTGAACCTTCCTTTGATAGTTCAGGTTTGCAACACCCTTGTAGTAGAATCTGCAAGTGTATATTTTGACCACTTTGTAGCCTTCGTTTGAAACGTCTATATCTTCACATCAAACCTAGACAGAAGCATTCTCAGAAAGTTTTCTGCGATGACTGCATTCAACTCACAGAGTTGAACAATCCTTCTGATGGAGCAGTTTTTAAACCCTCTTTCTTTGGAATCTGCAAGGGGATATGTGGACCTCTTTGAAGATTTCACTGGAAACGGGATCATCTTCACATAAAAACTAAACAGAAGCATTCTCGGAAACTATTTTGTGATGTTTGTATTCAACTCCCAGAGTTGAACTTTCCTTTTGAAAGAGCAGCTATGAAACACTCTTTTTCGAGAATCTGCAAGTGGACGTTTGGAGGGCTTTGAGGCCTGTGGTGGAAAAGGAAATATCTTCACACAAAAACCAGATAGAAGCATTCTCAGAAACGACTTTGTGAGGATGGCATTCAACTCATGGAGTTGAACAATCCTATTGATAGAGCAGATTGGAATCACTCTTTTTGTAGAATCTGCAAATGGAGATTTGGACTGCTTTGAGGCCTACGGTAGTATAGGAAGGAACTTCATATAAAAGGCAAACGGAAGCATTCTCAGAATATTCTTTGTGATGATGGAGTTTCACTCACAGAGCTGAACATGCCTTTTGATGGAGCAGTTTCCAAATACACTTTTGGTAGAATCTGCAGGTGGATATTTGGAGCTCTCTGAGGATTTCGTTGGAAACGGGAATAATTTCCCATAACTAAACACAAACACTCTGAGAAAGTTCTTCATGATGAATGCATTTAACTCGCAGAGATGAACCTGCCTTTGAGAGTTCAGGTTCGAAACACTCTTTCTGTAGAATCTGCAAGTGGATATTTGGACCACTGGGTGGCCTTCGTTCGAAACGGGTATATGTTCACGTAAAAACTAAAGAGAAGCATTCTCAGAAACTTCTGAGTGATGATTGCATTCAATTCACACAGTTGAACCCTCCTTTTGATGGAGCAGTTTTGAAACTGTCTTTTTGTAGAATCTGTAAGTGGATACGTGGACCTCTTTGAAGATTTCTTTGGAAACGGGAATATTTCCACAGAAAAACTAAACTGAAGCATTCTCAGAAACCGCTTTGTGATGTTTGTGTTCGAGCCACAGAGTTTAACATTGCTTTTCACAAAGCAGTTTTGAAATATTCTTTTCGCAGAATCTGCAAGTGGACATTTGGAGCGCTTTCAGGCCTGTGGTGGCAAAGGCCTGAAAGCATTTATTTATCTTCACAGAAAGACGAGAGAGAAGCATTGTCAGAAACTTCTTTGTGATGATTGCATTCAACTCACAGAGTTGAAGATTCCTTTTGAAACAGCAGTTTCGAAACACTCTTTCTGTGGGATCCGCAAGGGGATATTTGGACTTCTTTGAAGGTTTCGTTGGAAACGGGATAATCTTCACCTAAAAGCTAAACGGAAGCACTCTCAGAAACTTCTTTGGGATGTTTGCATTCACCTCTCAGAGTTGAACTTTCCCTTTGATAGCGCAGCTTTGACACACTTTTTCTACAATGTGCAAGTGGCTATTTAGCGGACTTGGAGGACTGTGTTGGAAAAGGAAATATCTTCTCCTAAAAACGACATAGAAGCATTCTCAGAAACTGCTCTGTGATGATTGCATTCAACTCCCAGAGTTGAACATTCCTTTTGATAGAGCAGTTTGCAAACACTCTTTTTGTAGAATCTGCAAGTGGAGATTTGGACCGCTTTGAGGCCTGTGGTAGTGAAGGAAAGAACTTCATATAAAAACCAGACGGTAGCACTCTCAGAAAATTCTTTGTGACGATGGAGTTTAACTCAGGGAGCTGAACATTCGTTATGATGGAGCAGTTTCCAAACACACGTTTTGTAGAATCTGCAAGGGGATATTTGGACCTCTCTGAGGATTTCGTTGGAAACGGGATCAACTTCCCATAACTGAACGGAAGCAAACTCAGAACATTCTTTGTGATGTTTGTATTCAATTCACAGAGTTGAACCTTCCTTTGATAGTTCAGGTTTGCAACACCCTTGTAGTAGAATCTGCAAGTGTATATTTTGACCACTTTGTAGCCTTCGTTTGAAACGTCTATATCTTCACATCAAACCTAGACAGAAGCATTCTCAGAAAGTTTTCTGCGATGACTGCATTCAACTCACAGAGTTGAACAATCCTTCTGATGGAGCAGTTTTGAAACCCTCTTTCTTTGGAATCTGCAAGGGGATATGTGGACCTCTTTGAAGATTTCACTGGAAACGGGATCATCTTCACATAAAAACTAAACAGAAGCATTCTCGGAAACTACTTTGTGATGTTTGTATTCAACTCCCAGAGTTGAACTTTCCTTTTGAAAGAGCAGCTATGAAACACTCTTTTTCGAGAATCTGCAAGTGGACGTTTGGAGGGCTTTGAGGCCTGTGGTGGAAAAGGAAATATCTTCACATAAAAACTAGATAGAAGCATTCTCACAAACGACATTGTGAGGATGGAATTCAACTCATGGAGTTGAACAATCCTATTGATAGAGCAGATTGGAATCACTCTTTTTGTAGAATCTGCAAATGGAGATTTGGACTGCTTTGAGGCCTACGGTAGTATAGGAAGGAACTTCATATAAAAGGCAAACGGAAGCATTCTCAGAATATTCTTTGTGATGATGGAGTTTCACTCACAGAGCTGAACATGCCTTTTGATGGAGCAGTTTCCAAATACACTTTTGGTAGAATCTGCAGGTGGATATTTGGAGCTCTCTGAGGATTTCGTTGGAAACGGGAATAATTTCCCATAACTAAACACAAACACTCTGAGAAAGTTCTTCATGATGAATGCATTTAACTCGCAGAGATGAACCTGCCTTTGAGAGTTCATGTTCGAAACACTCTTTCTGTAGAATCTGCAAGTGGATATTTGGACCACTGGCTGGCCTTCGTTCGAAACGGGTATATGTTCACGTAAAAACTAAAGAGAAGCATTCTCAGAAACTTCTGAGTGATGATTGCATTCAAGTCACACAGTTGAACCTTCCTTTTGATGGAGCAGTTTTGAAACTGTCTTTTTGTAGAATCTGTAAGTGGATAAGTGGACCTCTTTGAAGATTTCTTTGGAAACGGGAATATTTCCACAGAAAAACTAAACTGAAGCATTCTCAGAAACCGCTTTGTGATGTTTGTGTTCGAGCCACAGAGTTTAACATTGCTTTTCATAGAGCAGTTTTGAAATATTCTTTTGGCAGAATCTGCAAGTGGACATTTGGAGCGCTTTCAGGCCTGTGGTGGAAAAGGCCTGAAAGCCTTTTCCTTTATCTTCACAGAAAGACGAGAGAGAAGCATTGTCAGAAACTTCTTTGTGATGATTGCATTCAACTCACAGAGTTGAAGATTCCTTTTGAAACAGCAGTTTCGAAACACTCTTTCTGTGGGATCCGCAAGGGGATATTTGGACCTCTTTGAAGGTTTCGTTGGAAACGGGATAATCCTCACCTAAAAGCTAAACGGGAAGCATTCTCAGAAACTTCTTTGGGATGTTTGCATTCACCTCACAGAGTTGAACTTTCCCTTTGATAGCGCAGCTTTGACACACTTTTTCTACAATGTGCAAGTGGCTATTTAGCGGGCTTGGAGGACTGTGTTGGAAAAGGAAATATCTTCTCCTAAAAACGACATAGAAGCATTCTCAGAAACTGCTCTGTGATGATTGCATTCAACTCCTAGAGTTGAACATTCCTTTTGATAGAGCAGTTTGCAAACACTCTTTTTGTAGAATCTGCAAGTGGAGATTTGGACCGCTTTGAGGCCTGTCGTAGTGAAGGAAAGAACTTCATATAAAAACCAGACGGTAGCACTCTCAGAAAATTCTTTGTGACGATGGAGTTTAACTCAGGGAGCTGAACATTCTTTATGATGGAGCAGTTTCCAAACACACGTTTTGTAGAATCTGCGAGGGGATATTTGGACCTCTCTGAGGATTTCGTTGGAAACGGGATCAACTTCCCATAACTGAACGGAAGCAAACTCAGAACATTCTTTGTGATGTTTGTATTCAACTCACAGAGTTGAACCTTCCTTTGATAGTTCAGGTTTGCAACACCCTTGTAGTAGAATCTGCAAGTGTATATTTTGACCACTTTGTAGCCTTCGTTTGAAACGTCTATATCTTCACATCAAACCTAGACAGAAGCATTCTCAGAAAGTTTTCTGCGATGACTGCATTCAACTCACAGAGTTGAACAATCCTTCTGATGGAGCAGTTTTGAAACCCTCTTTCTTTGGAATCTGCAAGGCGATATGTGCACCTCTTTGAAGATTTCACTGGAAACGGGATCATCTTCATATAAAAACTAAACAGAAGCAGTCTCGGAAACTATTTTGTGATGTTTGTATTCAACTCCCAGAGTTGAACTTTCCTTTTGAAAGAGCAGCTATGAAACACTCTTTTTCGAGAATCTGCAAGTGGACGTTTGGAGGGCTTTGAGGCCTGTGGTGGAAAAGGAAATATCTTCACATAAAAACTAGATAGAAGCATTCTCAGAAACGACATTGTGAGGATGACATTCAACTCATGGAGTTGAACAATCCTATTGATAGAGCAGATTGGAATCACTCTTTTTGTAGAATCTGCAAATGGAGATTTGGACTGCTTTGAGGCCTACGGTAGTACAGGAAGGAACTTCATATAAAAGGCAAACGGAAGCATTCTCAGAATATTCTTTGTGATGATGGAGTTTCACTCACAGAGCTGAACATGCCTTTTGATGGAGCAGTTTCCAAATACACTTTTGGTAGAATCTGCAGGTGGATATTTGGAGCTCTCTGAGGATTTCGTTGGAAACGGGAATAATTTCCCATAACTAAACACAAACACTCTGAGAAAGTTCTTCATGATGAATGCATTTAACTCGCAGAGATGAACCTGCCTTTGAGAGTTCAGGTTCGAAACACTCTTTCTGTAGAATCTGCAAGTGGATATTTGGACCACTGGGTGGCCTTCGTTCGAAACGGGTATATGTTCACGTAAAAACTAAAGAGAAGCATTCTCAGAAACTTCTGAGTGATGATTGCATTCAAGTCACACAGTTGAACCCTCCTTTTGATGGAGCAGTTTTGAAACTGTCTTTTTGTAGAATCTGTAAGTGGATACGTGGACCTCTTTGAAGATTTCTTTGGAAACGGGAATATTTCCACAGAAAAACTAAACTGAAGCATTCTCAGAAACTGCTTTGTGATGTTTGTGTTCGAGCCACAGAGTTTAACATTGCTTTTCATAGAGCAGTTTTGAAATATTCTTTTAGCAGAATCTGCAAGTGGACATTTGGAGCGCTTTCAGGCCTGTGGTGGAAAAGGCCTGAAAGCCTTTTCCTTTATCTTCACAGAAAGACGAGAGAGAAGCATTGCCAGAAACTTCTTTGTGATGATTGCATTCAACTCACAGAGTTGAAGATTCCTTTTGAAACAGCAGTTTCGAAACACTCTTTCTGTGGGATCCGCAAGGGGATATTTGGACCTCTTTGAAGGTTTCGTTGGAAACGGGATAATCTTCACCTAAAAGCTAAACGGAAGCATTCTCAGAAACTTCTTTGGGATGTTTGCATTCACCTCACAGAGTTGAACTTTCCCTTTGATAGCGCAGCTTTGACACACGTTTTCTACAATGTGCAAGTGGCTATTTAGCGGGCTTGGAGGACTGTGTTGGAAAAGGAAATATCTTCTCCTAAAAACGACATAGAAGCATTCTCAGAAACTGCTCTGTGATGATTGCATTCAACTCCCAGAGTTGAACATTCCTTTTGATAGAGCAGTTTGCAAACACTCTTTTTGTAGAATCTGGAAGTGGAGATTTGGACCGCTTTGAGGCCTGTGGTAGTGAAGGAAAGAGCTTCATATAAAAACCACACGGTAGCACTCTCAGAAAATTCTTTGTGACGATGGAGTTTAACTCAGGGAGCTGAACATTCGTTATGATGGAGCAGTTTCCAAACACACGTTTTGTAGAATCTGCAAGGGGATATTTGGACCTCTCTGAGGATTTCGTTGGAAACGGGATCAACTTCCCATAACTGAACGGAAGCATTCTCAGAAAGTTTTCTGCGATGACTGCATTCAACTCACAGAGTTGAACAATCCTTCTGATGGAGCAGTTTTGAAACCCTCTTTCTTTGGAATCTGCAAGGGGATATGTGGACCTCTTTGAAGATTTCACTGGAAACGGGATCATCTTCACATAAAAACTAAACAGAAGCATTCTCGGAAACTATTTTGTGATGTTTGCATTCAACTCCCAGACTTGAACTTTCCTTTTGAAAGAGCAGCTATGAAACACTCTTTTTCGAGAATCTGCAAGTGGACGTTTGGAGGGCTTTGAGGCCTGTGGTGGAAAAGGAAATATCTTCACACAAAAACCAGATAGAAGCATTCTCAGAAACTACTTTGTGAGGATGGCATTCAACTCATGGAGTTGAACAATCCTATTGATAGAGCAGATTGGAATCACTCTTTTTATAGAATCTGCAAATGGAGATTTGGACTGCTTTGAGGCCTACGGTAGTACAGGAAGGAACTTCAGATAAAAGGCAAACGGAAGCATTCTCAGAATATTCTTTGTGATGATGGAGTTTCACTCACAGAGCTGAACATGCCTTTTGATGGAGCAGTTTCCAAATACACTTTTGGTAGAATCTGCAGGTGGATATTTGGAGCTCTCTGAGGATTTCGTTGGAAACGGGAATAATTTCCCATAACTAAACACAAACACTCTGAGAAAGTTCTTCATGATGAATGCATTTAACTCGCAGAGATGAACCTGCCTTTGAGAGTTCAGGTTCGAAACACTCTTTCTGTATAATCTGCAAGTGGATATTTGGACCACTGGGTGGCCTTCGTTCGAAACGGGTATATGTTCACGTAAAAACTAAAGAGAAGCATTCTCAGAAACTTCTGAGTGATGATTGCATTCAAGTCACACAGTTGAACCCTCCTTTTGATGGAGCAGTTTTGAAACTGTCTTTTTGTAGAATCTGTAAGTGGATACGTGGACCTCTTTGAAGATTTCTTTGGAAACGGGAATATTTCCACAGAAAAACTAAACTGAAACATTCTCAGAAACCGCTTTGTGATGTTTGTGTTCCAGCCACAGAGTTTAACATTGCTTTTCATAGAGCAGTTTTGAAATATTCTTTTCGCAGAATCTGCAAGTGGACATTTGGAGCGCTTTCAGGCCTGTGGTGGAAAAGGCCTGAAAGCCTTTTCCTTTATCTTCACAGAAAGACGAGAGAGAAGCATTGTCAGAAACTTCTTTGTGATGATTGCATTCAGCTCACAGAGTTGAAGATTCCTTTTGAAACAGCAGTTTCGAAACACTCTTTCTGTGGGATCCGCAAGGGGATATTTGGACCTCTTTGCAGGTTTCGTTGGAAACGGGATAATCTTCACCTAAAAGCTAAACGGAAGCATTCTCAGAAACTTCTTTGGGATGTTTGCATTCACCTCACAGAGTTGAACTTTCCCTTTGATAGCGCAGCTTTGACACACTTTTTCTACAATGTGCAAGTGGCTATTTAGCGGGCTTGGAGGACTGTGTTGGAAAAGGAAATATCTTCTCCTAAAAACGACATAGAAGCATTCTCAGAAACTGCTCTGTGATGATTGCATTCAACTCCCAGAGTTGAACATTCCTTTTGATAGAGCAGTTTGCAAACACTCTTTTTGTAGAATCTGCAAGTGGAGATTTGGACCGCTTTGAGGCCTGTGGTAGTGAAGGAAAGAACTTCATATAAAAACCAGACGGTAGCACTCTCAGAAAATTCTTTGTGACGATGGAGTTTAACTCAGGGAGCTGAACATTCGTTACGATGGAGCAGTTTCCAAACACACGTTTTGTAGAATCTGCAAGGGGATATTTGGACCTCTCTGAGGATTTCGTTGGAAACGGGATCAACTTCCCATAACTGAACGGAAGCAAACTCAGAACATTCTTTGTGATGTTTGTATTCAACTCACAGAGTTGAACCTTCCTTTGATAGTTCAGGTTTGCAACACCCTTGTAGTAGAATCTGCAAGTGTATATTTTGACCACTTTGTAGCCTTCGTTTGAAACATCTATATCTTCACATCAAACCTAGACAGAAGCATTCTCAGAAAGTTTTCTGCGATGACTGCATTCAACTCACAGAGTTGAACAATCCTTCTGATGGAGCAGTTTTGAAACCCTCTTTCTTTGGAATCTGCAAGGGGATATGTGGACCTCTTTGAAGATTTCACTGGAAACGGGATCATCTTCACATAAAAACTAAACAGAAGCATTCTCGGAAACTACTTTGTGATGTTTGTATTCAACTCCCAGAGTTGAACTTTCCTTTTGAAAGAGCAGCTATAAAACACTCTTTTTCGAGAATCTGCAAGTGGACGTTTGGAGGGCTTTGAGGCCTGTGGTGGAAAAGGAAATATCTTCACATAAAAACTAGATAGAAGCATTCTCAGAAACGACTTTGTGAGGATGGCATTCAACTCATGGAGTTGAACAATCCTATTGATAGAGCAGATTGGAATCACTCTTTTTGTAGAATCTGCAAATGGAGATTTGGACTGCTTTGAGGCCTACGGTCGTATAGGAAGGAACTTCATATAAAAGGCAAACGGAAGCATTCTCAGAATATTCTTTGTGATGATGGAGTTTCACTCACAGAGCTGAACATGCCTTTTGATGGAGCAGTTTCCAAATACACTTTTGGTAGAATCTGCAGGTGGATATTTGGAGCTTTCTGAGGATTTCGTTGGAAACGGGAATAATTTCCCATAACTAAACACAAACACTCTGAGAAAGTTCTTCATGATGAATGCATTTAACTCGCAGAGATGAACCTGCCTTTGAGAGTTCATGTTCGAAACACTCTTTCTGTAGAATCTGCAAGTGGATATTTGGACCACTGGCTGGCCTTCGTTCGAAACGGGTATATGTTCACGTAAAAACTAAAGAGAAGCATTCTCAGAAACTTCTGAGTGATGATTGCATTCAAGTCACACAGTTGAACCCTCCTTTTGATGGAGCAGTTTTGAAACTGTCTTTTTGTAGAATCTGTAAGTGGATACGTGGACCTCTTTGAAGATTTCTTTGGAAACGGGAATATTTCCACAGAAAAACTAAACTGAAGCATTCTCAGAAACTGCTTTGTGATGTTTGTGTTCGAGCCACAGAGTTTAACATTGCTTTTCATAGAGCAGTTTTGAAATATTCTTTTGGCAGAATCTGCAAATGGACTTTTGGAGCGCTTTCAGGCCTGTGGTGGAAAAGGCCTGAAAGCCTTTTCCTTTATCTTCACAGAAAGACGAGAGAGAAGCATTGTCAGAAACTTCTTTGGGATGATTGCATTCAACTCACAGAGTTGAAGATTCCTTTTGAAACAGCAGTTTCGAAACACTCTTTCTGTGGGATCCGCAAGGGGATATTTGGACCTCTTTGAAGGTTTCGTTGGAAACGGGATAATCTTCACCTAAAAGCTAAACGGAAGCATTCTCAGAAACTTCTTTGGGATGTTTGCATTCACCTCACAGAGTTGAACTTTCCCTTTGATAGCGCAGCTTTGACACACTGTTTCTACAATGTGCAAGTGGCTATTTAGCGGGCTTGGAGGACTGTGTTGGAAAAGGAAATATCTTCTCCTAAAAACGACATAGAAGCATTCTCAGAAACTGCTCTGTGATGATTGCATTCAACTCCCAGAGTTGAACATTCCTTTTGATAGAGCAGTTTGCAAACACTCTTTTTGTAGAATCTGCAAGTGGAGATTTGGACCGCTTTGAGGTCTGTGGCAGTGAAGGTAAGAATTTCATATAAAAACCACACGGTAGCACTCTCAGAAAATTCTTTGTGACGATGGAGTTTAACTCAGGGAGCTGAACATTCGTTATGATGGAGCAGTTTCCAAACACACGTTTTGTAGAATCTGCAAGGGGATATTTGGACCTCTCTGAGGATTTCGTTGGAAACGGGATCAACTTCCCATAACTGAACGGAAGCAAACTCAGAACATTCTTTGTGATGTTTGTATTCAACTCACAGAGTTGAACCTTCCTTTGATAGTTCAGGTTTGCAACACCCTTGTAGTAGAATCTGCAAGTGTATATTTTGACCACTTTGTAGCCTTCGTTTGAAACGTCTATATCTTCACATCAAACCTAGACAGAAGCATTCTCAGAAAGTTTTCTGCGATGACTGCATTCAACTCACAGAGTTGAACAATCCTTCTGATGGAGCAGTTTTGAAACCCTCTTTCTTTGGAATCTGCAAGGGGATATGTGGACCTCTTTGAAGATTTCACTGGAAACGGGATCATCTTCACATAAAAACTAAACAGAAGCATTCTCGGAAACTACTTTGTGATGTTTGTATTCAACTCCCAGAGTTGAACTTTCCTTTTGAAAGAGCAGCTATGAAACACTCTTTTTCGAGAATCTGCAAGTGGACGTTTGGAGGGCTTTGAGGCCTGTGGTGGAAAAGGAAATATCTTCACATAAAAACTAGATAGAAGCATTCTCAGAAACGACTTTGTGAGGATGGCATTCAACTCATGGAGTTGAACAATCCTATTGATAGAGCAGATTGGAATCACTCTTTTTGTAGAATCTGCAAATGGAGATTTGGACTGCTTTGAGGCCTACGGTCGTATAGGAAGGAACTTCATATAAAAGGCAAACGGAAGCATTCTCAGAATATTCTTTGTGATGATGGAGTTTCACTCACAGAGCTGAACATGCCTTTTGATGGAGCAGTTTCCAAATACACTTTTGGTAGAATCTGCAGGTGGATATTTGGAGCTCTCTGAGGATTTCGTTGGAAACGGGAATAATTTCCCATAACTAAACACAAACACTCTGAGAAAGTTCTTCATGATGAATGCATTTAACTCGCAGAGATGAACCTGCCTTTGAGAGTTCAGGTTCGAAACACTCTTTCTGTAGAATCTGCAAGTGGATATTTGGACCACTGGGTGGCCTTCGTTCGAAACGGGTATATGTTCACGTAAAAACTAAAGAGAAGCATTCTCAGAAACTTCTGAGTGATGATTGCATTCAAGTCACACAGTTGAACCCTCCTTTTGATGGAGCAGTTTTGAAACTGTCTTTTTGTAGAATCTGTAAGTGGATACGTGGACCTCTTTGAAGATTTCTTTGGAAACGGGAATATTTCCACGGAAAAACTAAACTGAAGCATTCTCAGAAACCGCTTTGTGATGTTTGTGTTCGAGCCACAGAGTTTAACATTGCTTTTCATAGAGCAGTTTTGAAATATTCTTTTCGCAGAATCTGCAAGTGGACATTTGGAGCGCTTTCAGGCCTGTGGTGGAAAAGGCCTGAAAGCCTTTTCCTTTATCTTCACAGAAAGACGAGAGAGAAGCATTGTCAGAAACTTCTTTGTGATGATTGCATTCAACTCACAGAGTTGAAGATTCCTTTTGAAACAGCAGTTTCGAAACACTCTTTCTGTGGGATCCGCAAGGGGATATTTGGACCTCTTTGAAGGTTTCGTTGGAAACGGGATAATCTTCACCTAAAAGCTAAACGGAAGCATTCTCAGAAACTTCTTTGGGATGTTTGCATTCACCTCACAGAGTTGAACTTTCCCTTTGATAGCGCAGCTTTGACACACTTTTTCTACAATGTGCAAGTGGCTATTTAGCGGGCTTGGAGGACTGTGTTGGAAAAGGAAATATCTTCTCCTAAAAACGACATAGAAGCATTCTCAGAAACTGCTCTGTGATGATTGCATTCAACTCCCAGAGTTGAACATTCCTTTTGATAGAGCAGTTTGCAAACACTCTTTTTGTAGAATCTGCAAGTGGAGATTTGGACCGCTTTGAGGCCTGTGGTAGTGAAGGAAAGAACTTCATATAAAAACCAGACGGTAGCACTCTCAGAAAATTCTTTGTGACGATGGAGTTTAACTCAGGGAGCTGAACATTCGTTATGATGGAGCAGTTTCCAAACACACGTTTTGTAGAATCTGCAAGGGGATATTTGGACCTCTCTGAGGATTTCGTTGGAAACGGGATCAACTTCCCATAACTGAACGGAAGCAAACTCAGAACATTCTTTGTGATGTTTGTATTCAACTCACAGAGTTGAACCTTCCTTTGATAGTTCAGGTTTGCAACACCCTTGTAGTAGAATCTGCAAGTGTATATTTTGACCACTTTGTAGCCTTCGTTTGAAACGTCTATATCTTCACATCAAACCTAGACAGAAGCATTCTCAGAAAGTTTTCTGCGATGACTGCATTCAACTCACAGAGTTGAACAATCCTTCTGATGGAGCAGTTTTGAAACCCTCTTTCTTTGGAATCTGCAAGGGGATATGTGGACCTCTTTGAAGATTTCACTGGAAACGGGATCATCTTCACATAAAAACTAAACAGAAGCATTCTCGGAAACTACTTTGTGATGTTTGTATTCAACTTCCAGAGTTGAACTTTCCTTTTGAAAGAGCAGCTATGAAACACTCTTTTTCGAGAATC
This sequence comes from Homo sapiens, assembly GCF_000001405.40. NCBI lineage: Eukaryota > Metazoa > Chordata > Mammalia > Primates > Hominidae > Homo > Homo sapiens. Next base: position 60,921,092 of record NC_000023.11, read on the forward strand.
TGCAAGTGGACGTTTGGAGGGCTTTGAGGCCTGTGGTGGAAAAGGAAATATCTTCACATAAAAACTAGATAGAAGCATTCTCAGAAACGACTTTGTGAGGATGGCATTCAACTCATGGAGTTGAACAATCCTATTGATAGAGCAGATTGGAATCACTCTTTTTGTAGAATCTGCAAATGGAGATTTGGACTGCTTTGAGGCCTACGGTCGTATAGGAAGGAACTTCATATAAAAGGCAAACGGAAGCATTCTCAGAATATTCTTTGTGATGATGGAGTTTCACTCACAGAGCTGAACATGCCTTTTGATGGAGCAGTTTCCAAATACACTTTTGGTAGAATCTGCAGGTGGATATTTGGAGCTCTCCGAGGATTTCGTTGGAAACGGGAATAATTTCCCATAACTAAACACAAACACTCTGAGAAAGTTCTTCATGATGAATGCATTTAACTCGCAGAGATGAACCTGCCTTTGAGAGTTCAGGTTCGAAACACTCTTTCTGTAGAATCTGCAAGTGGATATTTGGACCACTGGCTGGCCTTCGTTCGAAACGGGTATATGTTCACGTAAAAACTAAAGAGAAGCATTCTCAGAAACTTCTGAGTGATGATTGCATTCAAGTCACACAGTTGAACCCTCCTTTTGATGGAGCAGTTTTGAAACTGTCTTTTTGTAGAATCTGTAAGTGGATACGTGGACCTCTTTGAAGATTTCTTTGGAAACGGGAATATTTCCACAGAAAAACTAAACTGAAGCATTCTCAGAAACTGCTTTGTGATGTTTGTGTTCGAGCCACAGAGTTTAACATTGCTTTTCATAGAGCAGTTTTGAAATATTCTTTTGGCAGAATCTGCAAGTGGACATTTGGAGCGCTTTCAGGCCTGTGGTTGGGAAAAGGCCTGAAAGCCTTTTCCTTTATCTTCACAGAAAGACGAGAGAGAAAGCATTGTCAGAAACTTCTTTGTGATGATTGCATTCAACTCACAGTAGTTGAAGATTCCTTTTGAAACAGCAGTTTCGAAACACTCTTTCTGTGGGATCCGCAAGGGGATATTTGGACCTCTTTGAAGGTTTCGTTGGAAACGGGATAATCTTCACCTAAAAGCTAAACGGAAGCATTCTCAGAAACTTCTTTGGGATGTTTGCATTCACCTCACAGAGTTGAACTTTCCCTTTGATAGCGCAGCTTTGACACACTTTTTCTACAATGTGCAAGTGGCTATTGAGCGGGCTTGGAGGACTGTGTTGGAAAAGGAAATATCTTCTCCTAAAAACGACATAGAAGCATTCTCAGAAACTGCTCTGTGATGATTGCATTCAACTCCCAGAGTTGAACATTCCTTTTGATAGAGCAGTTTGCAAACACTCTTTTTGTAGAATCTGCAAGTGGAGATTTGGACCGCTTTGAGGTCTGTGGTAGTGAAGGAAAGAGCTTCATATAAAAACCAGACGGTAGCACTCTCAGTAAAATTCTTTGTGACGATAGAGTTTAACTCAGAGAGCTGAACATTCGTTATGATGGAGCAGTTTCCAAACACACATTTTGTAGAATCTGCAAAGGGATATTTGGACCTCTCTGAGGATTTCGTTGGAAATGGGATCAACTTCCCATAACTGAACGGAAGCAAACTCAGAACATTCTTTGTGATGTTTGTATTCAACTCACAGAGTTGAACCTTCCTTTGATAGTTCAGGTTTGCAACACCCTTGTAGTAGAATCTGCAAGTGTATATTTTGACCACTTTGTAGCCTTCGTTTGAAACGTCTATATCTTCACATCAAACCTAGCCAGAAGCATTCTCAGAAAGTTTTCTGCGATGACTGCATTCAACTCACAGAGTTGAACAATCCTTCTGATGGAGCAGTTTTGAAACCCTCTTTCTTTGGAATCTGCAAGGGGATATGTGGACCTCTTTGAAGATTTCACTGGAAACGGGATCATCTTCACATAAAAACTAAACAGGAAGCATTCTCGGAAACTACTTTGTGATGTTTGTATTCAGCTCCCAGAGTTGAACTTCCCTTTTGAAAGAGCAGCTATGAAGCACTCTTTTTCGAGAATCTGCAAGTGGACGTTTGGAGGGCTTTGAGGCCTGTGGTGGAAAAGGAAATATCTTCACATAAAAACTAGATAGAAGCATTCTCAGAAACTACTTTGTGAGGATGGCATTCAACTCATGGAGTTGAACAGTCCTATTGATAGAGCAGATTGGAATCACTCTTTTTGTAGAATCTGCAAATGGAGATTTGGACTGCTTTGAGGCCTACGGTAGTATAGGAAGGAACTTCATATAAAAGGCAAACGGAAGCATTCTCAGAATATTCTTTGTGATGATGGAGTTTCACTCACAGAGCTGAACATGCCTTTTGATGGAGCAGTTTCCAAATACACTTTTGGTAGAATCTGCAGGTGGATATTTGGAGCTCTCTGAGGATTTCGTTGGAAACGGGAATAATTTCCCATAACTAAACACAAACACTCTGAGAAAGTTCTTCATGATGAATGCATTTAACTCGCAGAGATGAACCTGCCTTTGAGAGTTCAGGTTCGAAACACTCTTTCTGTAGAATCTGCAAGTGGATATTTGGACCACTGGGTGGCCTTCGTTCGAAACGGGTATATGTTCACGTAAAAACTAAAGAGAAGCATTCTCAGAAACTTCTGAGTGATGATTGCATTCAAGTCACACAGTTGAACCCTCCTTTTGATGGAGCAGTTTTGAAACTGTCTTTTTGTAGAATCTGTAAGTGGATACGTGGACCTCTTTGAAGATTTCTTTGGAAACGGGAATATTTCCACAGAAAAACTAAACTGAAGCATTCTCAGAAACTGCTTTGTGATGTTTGTGTTCGAGCCACAGAGTTTAACATTGCTTTTCATAGAGCAGTTTTGAAATATTCTTTTCGCAGAATCTGCAAGTGGACATTTGGAGCGCTTTCAGGCCTGTGGTGGAAAAGGCCTGAAAGCCTTTTCCTTTATCTTCACAGAAAGACGAGAGAGAAGCATTGTCAGAAACTTCTTTGTGATGATTGCATTCAACTCACAGAGTTGAAGATTCCTTTTGAAACAGCAGTTTCGAAACACTCTTTCTGTGGGATCCGCAAGGGGATATTTGGACCTCTTTGAAGATTTCGTTGGAAACGGGATAATCTTCACCTAAAAGCTAAACGGAAGCATTCTCAGAAACTTCTTTGGGATGTTTGCATTCACCTCACAGAGTTGAACTTTCCCTTTGATAGCGCAGCTTCGACACACTTTTTCTACAATGTGCAAGTGGATATTTAGCGGGCTTGGAGGACTGTGTTGGAAAAGGAAATATCTTCTCCTAAAAACCACATAGAAGCCTTCTCAGAAACTGCTCTGTGATGATTGCATTCAACTCCCAGAGTTGAACATTCCTTTTGATAGAGCAGTTTGCAAACACTCTTTTTGTAGAATTTGCAAGTGGAGATTTGGACCGCTTTGAGGCCTGTGGTAGTAAAGGAAAGAACTTCATATAAAAACTAGACGGTAGCACTCTCAGAAAATTCTTTGTGACGATGGAGTTTAACTCAGGGAGCTGAACATTCGTTATGATGGAGCAGTTTCCAAACACACGTTTTGTAGAATCTGCAAGGGGATATTTGGACCTCTCTGAGGATTTCGTTGGAAACGGGATCAACTTCCCATAACTGAACGGAAGCAAACTCAGAACATTCTTTGTGATGTTTGTATTCAACTCACAGAGTTGAACCTTCCTTTGATAGTTCAGGTTTGCAACACCCTTGTAGTAGAATCTGCAAGTGTATATTTTGACCACTTTGTAGCCTTCGTTTGAAACGTCTATATCTTCACATCAAACCTAGACAGGAAGCATTCTCAGCAAAGTTTTCTGCGATGACTGCATTCAACTCACAGAGTTGAACAATCCTTTTGATGGAGCAGTTTTGAAACCCTCTTTCTTTGGAATCTGCAAGGGGATATGTGGACCTCTTTCAAGATTTCACTGGAAACGGGATCATCTTCACATAAGAACTAAACAGAAGCAAACTCAGAACATTCTTTGTGATGTTTGTATTCAACTCCCAGAGTTGAAATTTCCTTTTGAAAGAGCAGCTATGAAACACTCTTTTTCGAGAATCTGCAAGTGGACGTTTGGAGGGCTTTGAGGCCTGTGGTGGAAAAGGAAATATCTTCACATAAAAACTAGATAGAAGCATTCTCAGAAACGACTTTGTGAGGATGGCATTCAACTCATGGAGTTGAACAATCCTATTGATAGAGCAGATTGGAATCACTCTTTTTGTAGAATCTGCAAATGGAGATTTGGACTGCTTTGAGGCCTACGGTAGTATAGGAAGGAACTTCATATAAAAGGCAAACGGAAGCATTCTCAGAATATTCTTTGTGATGATGGAGTTTCACTCACAGAGCTGAACATGCCTTTTGATGGAGCAGTTTCCAAATACACTTTTGGTAGAATCTGCAGGTGGATATTTGGACCTCTCGGAGGATTTCATTGGAAACGGGAATAATTTCCCATAACTAAACACAAACACTCTGAGAAAGTTCTTCATGATGAATGCATTTAACTCGCAGAGATGAACCTGCCTTTGAGAGTTCAGGTTCGAAACACTCTTTCTGTAGAATCTGCAAGTGGATATTTGGACCACTGGGTGGCCTTCGTTCGAAACGGGTATATGTTCACGTAAAAACTAAAGAGAAGCATTCTCAGAAACTTCTGAGTGATGATTGCATTCAAGTCACACAGTTGAACCCGCCTTTTGATTGAGCAGTTTTGAAACTGTCTTTTTGTAGAATCTGTAAGTGGATTCGTGGACCTCTTGGAAGATTTCTTTGGAAACGGGAATATTTCCACAGAAAAACTAAACTGAAGCATTCTCAGAAACTGCTTTGTGATGTTGGTGTTCGAGCCGCAGAGTTTAACATTGCTTTTCATAGAGCAGTTTTGAAATATTCTTTTGGCAGAATCTGCAAGTGGACATTTGGAGCGCTTTCAGGCCTGTGGTGGAAAAGGCCTGAAAGCCTTTTCCTTTATCTTCACAGAAAGACGAGAGAGAAGCATTGTCAGAAACTTCTTTGTGATGATTGCATTCAACTCACAGAGTTGAAGATTCCTTTTGAAACAGCAGTTTCGAAACACTCTTTCTGTGGGATCCGCAAGGGGATATTTGGACCTCTTTGAAGATTTCGTTGGAAACGGGATAATCTTCACCTAAAAGCTAAACGGAAGCATTCTCAGAAACTTCTTTGGGATGTTTGCATTCACCTCACAGAGTTGAACTTTCCCTTTGATAGCGCAGCTTCGACACACTTTTTCTACAATGTGCAAGTGGATATTTAGCGGGCTTGGAGGACTGTGTTGGAAAAGGAAATATCTTCTCCTAAAAACGACATAGAAGCATTCTCAGAAACTGCTCTGTGATGATTGCATTCAACTCCCAGAGTTGAACATTCCTTTTGATAGAGCAGTTTGCAAACACTCTTTTTGTAGAATCTGCCAGTGGAGATTTGGACCGCTTTGAGGCCTGTGGTAGTAAAGGAAAGAACTTCATATAAAAACCAGACGGTAGCACTCTCAGAAAATTCTTTGTGACGATGGAGTTTAACTCAGAGAGCTGAACATTCGTTATGATGGAGCAGTTTCCAAACACACGTTTTGTAGAATCTGCAAGGGGATATTTGGACCTCTCTGAGGATTTCGTTGGAAACGGGATCAACTTCCCATAACTGAACGGAAGCAAACTCAGAACATTCTTTGTGATGTTTGTATTCAACTCACAGAGTTGAACCTTCCTTTGATAGTTCAGGTTTGCATCACCCTTGTAGTAGAATCTGCAAGTGTATATGTTGACCACTTTGTAGCCTTCGTTTGAAACGTCTATATCTTCACCTCAAACCTAGACAGAAGCATTCTCAGAAAGTTTTCTGCGATGACTGCATTCAACTCACAGAGTTGAACAATCCTTTTGATGGAGCAGTTTTGAAACCCTCTTTCTTTGGAATCTGCAAGGGGATATGTGGACCTCTTTGAAGATTTCACTGGAAACGGGATCATCTTCACATAAGAACTAAACAGAAGCATTCTCGGAAACTACTTTGTGATGTTTGTATTCAACTCCCAGAGTTGAACTTTCCTTTTGAAAGAGCAGCTATGAAACACTCTTTTTCGAGAATCTGCAAGTGGACGTTTGGAGGGCTTTGAGGCCTGTGGTGGAAAAGGAAATATCTTCACATAAAAACTAGATAGAAGCATTCTCAGAAACGACTTTGTGAGGATGGCATTCAACTCATGGAGTTGAACAGTCCTATTGATAGAGGAGATTGGAATCACTCTTTTTGTAGAATCTGCAAATGGAGATTTGGACTGCTTTGAGGCCTACGGTAGTATAGGAAGGAACTTCATATAAAAGGCAAACGGAAGCATTCTCAGAATATTCTTTGTGATGATGGAGTTTCACTCACAGACCTGAACATGCCTTTTGATGGAGCAGTTTCCAAATACACTTTTGGTAGAATCAGCAGGTGGATATTTGGAGCTCTCTGAGGATTTCGTTGGAAACGGGAATAATTTCCCATAACTAAACACAAAACACTCTGAGAAAGTTCTTCATGATGAATGCATTTAACTCGCAGAGATGAACCTGCCTTTGAGAGTTCAGGTTCGAAACACTCTTTCTGTAGAATCTGCAAGTGGATATTTGTACCACTGGCTGGCCTTCGTTCGAAACGGGTATATGTTCACGTAAAAACTAAAGAGAAGCATTCTCAGAAACTTCTGAGTGATGATTGCATTCAAGTCACACGGTTGAACCCTCCTTTTGATTGAGCAGTTTTGAAACTGTCTTTTTGTAGAATCTGTAAGTGGATACGTGGACCTCTTTGAAGATTTCTTTGGAAATGGGAATATTTCCACAGAAAAACTAAACTGAAGCATTCTCAGAAACTGCTTTGTGATGTTTGTGTTCGAGCCGCAGAGTTTAACATTGCTTTTCATAGAGCAGTTTTGAAATATTCTTTTGGCAGAATCTGCAAGTGGACATTTGGAGCGCTTTCAGGCCTGTGGTGGAAAAGGCCTGAAAGCCTTTTCCTTTATCTTCACAGAAAGACGAGAGAGAAGCATTGTCAGAAACTTCTTTGTGAAGATTGCATTCAACTCACAGAGTTGAAGATTCCTTTTGAAACAGCAGTTTCGAAACACTCTTTCTGTGGGATCTGCAAGGGGATATTTGGACCTCTTTGAAGATTTCGTTGGAAACAGGATAATCTTCACCTAAAAGCTAAACGGAAGCATTCTCAGAAACTTCTTTGGGATGTTTGCATTCACCTCACAGAGTTGAACTTTCCCTTTGATAGCGCAGCTTCGACACACTTTTTCTACAATGTGCAAGTGGATATTTAGCGGGCTTGGAGGACTGTGTTGGAAAAGGAAATATCTTCTCCTAAAAACGACATAGAAGCATTCTCAGAAACTGCTCTGTGATGATTGCATTCAACTCCCAGAGTTGAACATTCCTTTTGATAGAGCAGTTTGCAAACACTCTTTTTGTAGAATCTGCAAGTGGAGATTTGGACCACTTTGAGGCCTGTGGTAGTAAAGGAAAGAACTTCATATAAAAACTAGAAGGTAGCACCCTCAGAAAATTCTTTGTGACGATGGAGTTTAACTCAGAGAGCTGAACATTCGTTATGATGGAGCAGTTTCCAAACACACGTTTTGTAGAATCTGCAAGGGGATATTTGGACCTCTCTGAGGATTTCGTTGGAAACGGGATCAACTTCCCATAACTGAATGGAAGCAAACTCAGAACATTCTTTGTGATGTTTGCATTCATCTCACAGAGTTGAACCTTCCTTTGATAGTTGAGGTTTGCAACACCCTTGTAGTAGAATCTGCAAGTGTATATGTTGACCACTTTGTAGCCTTCGTTTGAAACGTCTATATCTTCACCTCAAACCTAGACAGAAGCATTCTCAGAAAGTTTTCTGCGATGACTGCATTCAACTCACAGAGTTGAACAATCCTTTTGATGGAGCAGTTTTGAAACCCTCTTTCTTTGGAATCTGCAAGGGGACATGTGGACCTCTTTGAAGATTTCACTGGAAACGGGATCATCTTCACATAAGAACTAACCAGAAGCATTCTCGGAAACTACTTTGTGATGTTTGTATTCAACTCCCAGAGTTGAACTTTCCTTTTGAAAGAGCAGCTATGAAACACTCTTTTTCGAGAATCTGCAAGTGGACGTTTGGAGGGCTTTGAGGCCTGTGGTGGAAAAGGAAATATCTTCACTTAAAAACTACATAGAAGCATTCTCAGAAACTACTTTGTGAGGATGGCATTCAACTCATGGAGTTGAACAATCCTATTGATAGAGCAGATTGGAATCACTCTTTTTGTAGAATCTGCAAATGGAGATTTGGACTGCTTTGAGGCCTACGGTAGTATAGGAAGGAACTTCATATAAAAGGCAAACGGAAGCATTCTCAGAATATTCTTTGTGATGACGGAGTTTCACTCACAGAGCTGAACATGCCTTTTCATGGAGCAGTTTCCAAATACACTTTTGGTACAATCTGCAGGTGGATATTTGGAGCTCTCTGAGGATTTCGTTGGAAACGGGAATAATTTCCCATAACTAAACACAAACACGCTGAGAAAGTTCTTCATGATGAATGCATTTAACTCACAGAGATGAACCTGCCTTTGAGAGTTCAGGTTCAAAACACTCTTTCTGTAGAATCTGCAAGTGGATATTTGGACCACTGGCTGGCCTTCGTTCGAAACGGGTATATGTTCACGTAAAAACTAAAGAGAAGCATTCTCAGAAACTTCTGAGTGATGATTGCATTCAAGTCACACAGTTGAACCCTCCTTTTGATGGAGCAGTTTTGAAACTGTCTTTTTGTAGAATCTGTAAGTGGATACGTGGACCTCTTTGAAGATTTCTTTGGAAACGGGAATATTTCCACAGAAAAACTAAACTGAAGCATTCTCAGAAACCTCTTTGTGATGTTTGTGTTCGAGCCACAGAGTTTAACATTGCTTTTCATAGAGCAGTTTTGAAATATTCTTTTCGCAGAATCTGCAAGTGGACACTTGGAGCGCTTTCAGGCCTGTGGTGGCAAAGGCCTGAAAGCCTTTTCCTTTATCTTCACAGAAAGACGAGAGAGAAGCATTGTCAGAAACTTCTTTGTGATGATTGCATTCAACTCACAGAGTTGAAGATTCCTTTTGAAACAGCAGTTTCGAAACACTCTTTCTGTGGGATCCGCAAGGGGATATTTGGACCTCTTTGAAGGTTTCGTTGGAAACGGGATAATCTTCACCTAAAAGCTAAACGGAAGCATTCTCAGAAACTTCTTTGGGATGTTTGCATTCACCTCACAGAGTTGAACTTTCCCTTTGATAGCGCAGCTTTGACACACTTTTTCTACAATGTGCAAGTGGCTATTTAGCGGGCTTGGAGGACTGTGTTGGAAAAGGAAATATCTTCTCCTAAAAACGACATAGAAGCATTCTCAGAAACTGCTCTGTGATGATTGCATTCAACTCCCAGAGTTGAACATTCCTTTTGATAGAGCAGTTTGCAAACACTCTTTTTGTAGAATCTGCAAGTGGAGATTTGGACCGCTTTGAGGCCTGTGGTAGTGAAGGAAAGAACTTCATATAAAAACCAGACGGTAGCACTCTCAGAAAATTCTTTGTGACGATGGAGTTTAACTCAGGGAGCTGAACATTCGTTATGATGGAGCAGTTTCCAAACACACGTTTTGTAGAATCTGCAAGGGGATATTTGGACCTCTCTGAGGATTTCGTTGGAAACGGGATCAACTTCCCATAACTGAACGGAAGCAAACTCAGAACATTCTTTGTGATGTTTGTATTCAACTCACAGAGTTGAACCTTCCTTTGATAGTTCAGGTTTGCAACACCCTTGTAGTAGAATCTGCAAGTGTATATTTTGACCACTTTGTAGCCTTCGTTTGAAACGTCTATATCTTCACATCAAACCTAGACAGAAGCATTCTCAGAAAGTTTTCTGCGATGACTGCATTCAACTCACAGAGTTGAACAATCCTTCTGATGGAGCAGTTTTGAAACCCTCTTTCTTTGGAATCTGCAAGGGGATATGTGGACCTCTTTGAAGATTTCACTGGAAACGGGATCATCTTCACATAAAAACTAAACAGAAGCATTCTCGGAAACTACTTTGTGATGTTTGTATTCAACTCCCAGAGTTGAACTTTCCTTTTGAAAGAGCAGCTATGAAACACTCTTTTTCGAGAATCTGCAAGTGGACGTTTGGAGGGATTTGAGGCCTGTGGTGGAAAAGGAAATATCTTCACATAAAAACTAGATAGAAGCATTCTCAGAAACGACTTTGTGAGGATGGCATTCAACTCATGGAGTTGTACAATCCTATTGATAGAGCAGATTGGAATCACTCTTTTTGTAGAATCTGCAAATGGAGATTTGGACTGCTTTGAGGCCTACGGTCGTATAGGAAGGAACTTCATATAAAAGGCAAACGGAAGCATTCTCAGAATATTCTTTGTGATGATGGAGTTTCACTCACAGAGCGGAACATGCCTTTTGATGGAGCAGTTTCCAAATACACTTTTGGTAGAATCTGCAGGTGGATATTTGGAGCTCTCTGAGGATTTCGTTGGAAACGGGAATAATTTCCCATAACTAAACACAAACACGCTGAGAAAGTTCTTCATGATGAATGCATTTAACTCGCAGAGATGAACCTGCCTTTGAGAGTTCATGTTCGAAACACTCTTTCTGTAGAATCTGAAAGTGGATATTTGGACCACTGGCTGGCCTTCGTTCGAAACGGGTATATGTTCACGTAAAAACTAAAGAGAAGCATTCTCAGAAACTTCTGAGTGATGATTGCATTCAAGTCACACAGTTGAACCCTCCTTTTGATGGAGCAGTTTTGAAACTGTCTTTTTGTAGAATCTGTAAGTGGATACGTGGACCTCTTTGAAGATTTCTTTGGAAACGGGAATATTTCCACAGAAAAACTAAACTGAAGCATTCTCAGAAACCGCTTTGTGATGTTTGTGTTCGAGCCACAGAGTTTAACATTGCTTTTCGTAGAGCAGTTTTGAAATATTCTTTTCGCAGAATCTGCAAGTGGACATTTGGAGCGCTTTCAGGCCTGTGGTGGAAAAGGCCTGAAAGCCTTTTCCTTTATCTTCACAGAAAGACGAGAGAGAAGCATTGTCAGAAACTTCTTTGTGATGATTGCATTCAACTCACAGAGTTGAAGATTCCTTTTGAAACAGCAGTTTCGAAACACTCTTTCTGTGGGATCCGCAAGGGGATATTTGGACCTCTTTGAAGGTTTCGTTGGAAACGGGATAATCTTCACCTAAAAGCTAAACGGAAGCATTCTCAGAAACTTCTTTGGGATGTTTGCATTCACCTCACAGAGTTGAACTTTCCCTTTGATAGCGCAGCTTTGACTCACTTTTTCTACAATGTGCAAGTGGCTATTTAGCGGGCTTGGAGGACTGTGTTGGAAAAGGAAATATCTTCTCCTAAAAACGACATAGAAGCATTCTCAGAAACTGCTCTGTGATGATTGCATTCAACTCCCAGAGTTGAACATTCCTTTTGATAGAGCAGTTTGCAAACACTCTTTTTGTAGAATCTGCAAGTGGAGATTTGGACCGCTTTGAGGCCTGTGGTAGTGAAGGAAAGAACTTCATATAAAAACCAGACGGTAGCACTCTCAGAAAATTCTTTGTGACGATGGAGTTTAACTCAGGGAGCTGAACATTCGTTATGATGGAGCAGTTTCCAAACACACGTTTTGTAGAATCTGCAAGGGGATATTTGGACCTCTCTGAGGATTTCGTTGGAAACGGGATCAACTTCCCATAACTGAACGGAAGCAAACTCAGAACATTCTTTGTGATGTTTGTATTCAACTCACAGAGTTGAACCTTCCTTTGATAGTTCAGGTTTGCAACACCCTTGTAGTAGAATCTGCAAGTGTATATTTTGACCACTTTGTAGCCTTCGTTTGAAACGTCTATATCTTCACATCAAACCTAGACAGAAGCATTCTCAGAAAGTTTTCTGCGATGACTGCATTCAACTCACAGAGTTGAACAATCCTTCTGATGGAGCAGTTTTGAAACCCTCTTTCTTTGGAATCTGCAAGGGGATATGTGGACCTCTTTGAAGATTTCACTGGAAACGGGATCATCTTCACATAAAAACTAAACAGAAAGCATTCTCGGAAACTACTTTGTGATGTTTGTATTCAACTCCCAGAGTTGAACTTTCCTTTTGAAAGAGCAGCTATGAAACACTCTTTTTCGAGAATCTGAAAGTGGACGTTTGGAGGGCTTTGAGGCCTGTGGTGGAAAAGGAAATATCTTCACATAAAAACTAGATAGAAGCATTCTCAGAAACTACTTTGTGAGGATGGCATTCAACTCATGGAGTTGAACAATCCTATTGATAGAGCAGATTGGAATCACTCTTTTTGTAGAATCTGCAAATGGAGATTTGGACTGCTTTGAGGCCTACGGTAGTATAGGAAGGAACTTCATATAAAAGGCAAACGGAAGCATTCTCAGAATATTCTTTGTGATGATGGAGTTTCACTCACAGAGCTGAACATGCCTTTTGAGATGGGAGCAGTTTCCAAATACACTTTTGGTAGAATCTGCAGGTGGATATTTGGAGCTCTCTGAGGATTTCGTTGGAAACGGGAATAATTTCCCATAACTAAACACAAACACGCTGAGAAAGTTCTTCATGATGAATGCATTTAACTCGCAGAGATGAACCTGCCTTTGAGAGTTCAGGTTCGAAACACTCTTTCTGTAGAATCTGCAAGTGGATATTTGGACCACTGGGTGGCCTTCATTCGAAACGGGTATATGTTCACGTAAAAACTAAAGAGAAGCGTTCTCAGAAACTTCTGAGTGATGAATGCATTCAAGTCACACAGTTGAACCCTCCTTTTGATTGAGCAGTTTTTAAACTGTCTTTTTGTAGAATCTGTAAGTGGATGCGTGGACCTCTTTGAAGATTTCTTTGGAAACGGGAATATTTCCACAGAAAAACTAAACTGAAGCATTCTCAGAAACTGCTTTGTGATGTTTGTGTTCGAGCCGCAGAGTTTAACATTGCTTTTCATAGAGCAGTTTTGAAATATTCTTTTGGCAGAATCTGCAAGTGGACATTTGGAGCGCTTTCAGGCCTGTGGTGGAAATGGCCTGAAAGCCTTTTCCTTTATCTTCACAGAAAGACGAGAGAGAAGCATTGTCAGAAACTTCTTTGTGATGATTGCATTCAACTCACAGAGTTGAAGATTCCTTTTGAAACAGCAGTTTCGAAACACTCTTTCTGTGGGATCCGCAAGGGGATATTTGGACCTCTTTGAAGATTTCGTTGGAAACGGGATAATCTTCACTTAAAGCTAAACGGAAGCATTCTCAGAAACTTCTTTGGGATGTTTGCATTCACCTCACAGAGTTGAACTTTCCCTTTGATAGCGCAGCTTCGACACACTTTTTCTACAATGTGCAAGTGGATATTTAGCGGGCTTGGAGGACTGTGTTGGAAAAGGAAATATCTTCTCCTAAAAACGACATAGAAGCATTCTCAGCAAACTGCTCTGTGATGATTGCATTCAACTCCCAGGAGTTGAACATTCCTTTTGATAGAGCAGTTTGCAAACACTCTTTTTGTAGAATCTGCAAGTGGAGATTTGGACCGCTTTGAGGCCTGTGGTAGTAAAGGAAAGAACTTCATATAAAAACTAGACGGTAGCACTCTCAGAAAATTCTTTGTGACGATGGAGTTTAACTCAGAGAGCTGAACATTCGTTATGATGGAGCAGTTTCCAAACACACGTTTTGTAGAATCTGCAAGGGGATATTTGGACCTCTCTGAGGATTTCGTTGGAAACGGGATCAACTTCCCATAACTGAACGGAAGCAAACTCAGAACATTCTTTGTGATGTTTGTATTCAACTCACAGAGTTGAACCTTCCTTTGATAGTTCAGGTTTGCAACACCCTTGTAGTAGAATCTGCAAGTGTATATTTTGACCACTTTGTAGCCTTCGTTTGAAACGTCTATATCTTCACATCAAACCTAGACAGAAGCATTCTCAGAAAGTTTTCTGCAATGACTGCATTCAACTCACAGAGTTGAACAATCCTTTTGATGGAGCAGTTTTGAAACCCTCTTTCTTTGGAATCTGCAAGGGGATATGTGGACCTCTTTGAAGATTTCACTGGAAACGGGATCATCTTCACATAAGAACTAAACAGAAGCATTCTCGGAAACTACTTTGTGATGTTTGTATTCAACTCCCAGAGTTGAACTTTCCTTTTGAAAGAGCAGCTATGAAACACTCTTTTTCGAGAATCTGCAAGTGGACGTTTGGAGGGCTTTGAGGCCTGTGGTGGAAAAGGGAATATCTTCACATAAAAACTAGATAGAAGCATTCTCAGAAACGACTTTGTGAGGATGGCATTCAACTCATGGAGTTGAACAGTCCTATTGATAGAGCAGATTGGAATCACTCTTTTTGTAGAATCTGCAAATGGAGATTTGGACTGCTTTGAGGCCTACGGTAGTATAGGAAGGAACTTCATATAAAAGGGAAACGGAAGCATTCTCAGAATATTCTTTGTGATGATGGAGTTTCACTCACAGAGCTGAACATGCCTTTTGATGGAGCAGTTTCCAAATACACTTTTGGTAGAATCTGCAGGTGGATATTTGGAGCTCTCTGAGGATTTCGTTGGAAACGGGAATAATTTCCCATAACTAAACACAAACACGCTGAGAAAGTTCTTCATGATGAATGCATTGAACTCGCAGAGATGAACCTGCCTTTGAGAGTTCAGGTTCGAAACACTCTTTCTGTAGAATCTGCAAGTGGATATTTGGACCACTGGCTGGCCTTCGTTCGAAACGGGTATACGTTCACGTAAAAACTAAAGAGAAGCGTTCTCAGAAACTTCTGAGTGATGATTGCATTCAAGTCACACAGTTGAACCCTCCTTTTGATTGAGCAGTTTTGAAACTGTCTTTTTGTAGAATCTGTAAGTGGATGCGTGGACCTCTTTGAAGATTTCTTTGGAAACGGGAATATTTCCACAGAAAAACTAAACTGAAGCATTCTCAGAAACTGCTTTGTGATGTTTGTGTTCGAGCCACAGAGTTTAACATTGCTTTTCATAGAGCAGTTTTGAAATATTCTTTTGGCAGAATCTGCAAGTGGACATTTGGAGCGCTTTCAGGCCTGTGGTGGAAAAGGCCTGAAAGCCTTTTCCTTTATCTTCACAGAAAGACGAGAGAGAAGCATTGTCAGAAACTTCTTTGTGATGATTGCATTCAACTCACAGAGTTGAAGATTCCTTTTGAAACAGCAGTTTCGAAACACTCTTTCTGTGGGATCCGCAAGGGGATATTTGGACCTCTTTGAAGATTTCGTTGGAAACGGGATAATCTTCACCTAAAAGCTAAACGGAAGCATTCTCAGAAACTTCTTTGGGATGTTTGCATTCACCTCACAGACTTGAACTTTCCCTTTGATAGCGCAGCTTCGACACACTTTTTCTACAATGTGCAAGGGGATATTTAGCGGGCTTGGAGGACTGTGTTGGAAAAGGAAATATCTTCTCCTAAAAACGACATAGAAGCATTCTCAGAAACTGCTCTGTGATGATTGCATTCAACTCCCAGAGTTGAACATTCCTTTTGATAGAGCAGTTTGCAAACACTCTTTTTGTAGAATCTGCAAGTGGAGATTTGGACCGCTTTGAGGCCTGTGGTAGTGAAGGGAAGAGCTTCATATAAAAACCAGACGGTAGCACTCTCAGAAAATTCTTTGTGACGATGGAGTTTAACTCAGGGAGCTGAACATTCGTTATGATGGAGCAGTTTCCAAACACACGTTTTGTAGAATCTGCAAGGGGATATTTGGACCTCTCTGAGGATTTCGTTGGAAACGGGATCAACTTCCCATAACTGAACGGAAGCAAACTCAGAACATTCTTTGTGATGTTTGTATTCAACTCACAGAGTTGAACCTTCCTTTGATAGTTCAGGTTTGCAACACCCTTGTAGTAGAATCTGCAAGTGTATATTTTGACCACTTTGTAGCCTTCGTTTGAAACGTCTATATCTTCACATCAAACCTAGAAAGAAGCATTCTCAGAAAGTTTTCTGCGATGACTGCATTCAACTCACAGAGTTGAACAATCCTTCTGATGGAGCAGTTTTGAAACCCTCTTTCTTTGGAATCTGCAAGGGGATATGTGGACCTCTTTGAAGATTTCACTGGAAACGGGATCATCTTCACATAAAAACTAAACAGAAGCATTCTCGGAAACTACTTTGTGATGTTTGTATTCAACTCCCAGAGTTGAACTTTCCTTTTGAAAGAGCAGCTATGAAACACTCTTTTTCGAGAATCTGCAAGTGGACGTTTGGAGGGCTTTGAGGCCTGTGGTGGAAAAGGAAATATCTTCACATAAAAACTAGATAGAAGCATTCTCAGAAACGACTTTGTGAGGATGGCATTCAACTCATGGAGTTGAACAATCCTATTGATAGAGCAGATTGGAATCACTCTTTTTGTAGAATCTGCAAATGGAGATTTGGACTGCTTTGAGGCCTACGGTCGTATAGGAAGGAACTTCATATAAAAGGCAAACGGAAGCATTCTCAGAATATTCTTTGTGATGATGGAGTTTCACTCACAGAGCTGAACATGCCTTTTGATGGAGCAGTTTCCAAATACACTTTTGGTAGAATCTGCAGGTGGATATTTGGAGCTCTCTGAGGATTTCGTTGGAAACGGGAATAATTTCCCATAACTAAACACAAACACTCTGAGAAAGTTCTTCATGATGAATGTATTTAACTCGCAGAGATGAACCTGCCTTTGAGAGTTCAGGTTCGAAACACTCTTTCTGTAGAATCTGCAAGTGGATATTTGGACCACTGGCTGGCCTTCGTTCGAAACGGGTATATGTTCACGTAAAAACTAAAGAGAAGCATTCTCAGAAACTTCTGAGTGATGATTGCATTCAAGTCACACAGTTGAACCCTCCTTTTGATGGAGCAGTTTTGAAACTGTCTTTTTGTAGAATCTGTAAGTGGATACGTGGACCTCTTTGAAGATTTCTTTGGAAACGGGAATATTTCCACAGAAAAACTAAACTGAAGCATTCTCAGAAACTGCTTTGTGATGTTTGTGTTCGAGCCACAGAGTTTAACATTGCTTTTCATAGAGCAGTTTTGAAATATTCTTTTGGCAGAATCTACAAGTGGACATTTGGAGCGCTTTCAGGCCTGTGGTGGAAAAGGCCTGAAAGCCTTTTCCTTTATCTTCACAGAAAGACGAGAGAGAAGCATTGTCAGAAACTTCTTTGTGATGATTGCATTCAACTCACAGAGTTGAAGATTCCTTTTGAAACAGCAGTTTCGAAACACTCTTTCTGTGGGATCCGCAAGGGGATATTTGGACCTCTTTGAAGGTTTCGTTGGAAACGGGATAATCTTCACCTAAAAGCTAAACGGAAGCATTCTCAGAAACTTCTTTGGGATGTTTGCATTCACCTCACAGAGTTGAACTTTCCCTTTGATAGCGCAGCTTTGACACACGTTTTCTACAATGTGCAAGTGGATATTTAGCGGGCTTGGAGGACTGTGTTGGAAAAGGAAATATCTTCTAAAAACGACATAGAAGCATTCTCAGAAACTGCTCTGTGATGATTGCATTCAACTCCCAGAGTTGAACATTCCTTTTGATAGAGCAGTTTGCAAACACTCTTTTTGTAGAATCTGCAAGTGGAGATTTGGACCGCTTTGAGGCCTGTGGTAGTGAAGGAAAGAGCTTCATATAAAAACCAGACGGTAGCACTCTCAGAAAATTCTTTGTGACGATGGAGTTTAACTCAGGGAGCTGAACATTCGTTATGATGGAGCAGTTTCCAAACACACGTTTTGTAGAATCTGCAAGGGGATATTTGGACCTCTCTGAGGATTTCGTTGGAAACGGGATCAACTTCCCATAACTGAACGGAAGCAAACTCAGAACATTCTTTGTGATGTTTGTATTCAACTCACAGAGTTGAACCTTCCTTTGATAGTTCAGGTTTGCAACACCCTTGTAGTAGAATCTGCAAGTGTATATTTTGACCACTTTGTAGCCTTCGTTTGAAACGTCTATATCTTCACATCAAACCTAGACAGAAGCATTCTCAGAAAGTTTTCTGCGATGACTGCATTCAACTCACAGAGTTGAACAATCCTTCTGATGGAGCAGTTTTGAAACCCTCTTTCTTTGGAATCTGCAAGGGGATATGTGGACCTCTTTGAAGATTTCACTGGAAACGGGATCATCTTCACATAAAAACTAAACAGAAGCATTCTCGGAAACTACTTTGTGATGTTTGTATTCAACTCCCAGAGTTGAGCTTTCCTTTTGAAAGAGCAGCTATAAAACACTCTTTTTCGAGAATCTGCAAGTGGACGTTTGGAGGGCTTTGAGGCCTGTGGTGGAAAAGGAAATATCTTCACACAAAAACTAGATAGAAGCATTCTCAGAAACGACTTTGTGAGGATGGCATTCAACTCATGGAGTTGAACAATCCTATTGATAGAGCAGATTGGAATCACTCTTTTTGTAGAATCTGCAAATGGAGATTTGGACTGCTTTGAGGCCTACGGTCGTATAGGAAGGAACTTCAGATAAAAGGCAAACGGAAGCATTCTCAGAATATTCTTTGTGATGATGGAGTTTCACTCACAGAGCTGAACATGCCTGTTGATGGAGCAGTTTCCAAATACACTTTTGGTAGAATCTGCAGGTGGATATTTGGAGCTCTCTGAGGATTTCGTTGGAAACGGGAATAATTTCCCATAACTAAACACAAACACTCTGAGAAAGTTCTTCATGATGAATGCATTTAACTCGCAGAGATGAACCTGCCTTTGAGAGTTCAGGTTCGAAACACTCTTTCTGTAGAATCTGCAAGTGGATATTTGGACCACTGGGTGGCCTTCGTTCGAAACGGGTATATGTTCACGTAAAAACTAAAGAGAAGCATTCTCAGAAACTTCTGAGTGATGATTGCATTCAAGTCACACAGTTGAACCCTCCTTTTGATGGAGCAGTTTTGAAACTGTCTTTTTGTAGAATCTGTAAGTGGATACGTGGACCTCTTTGAAGATTTCTTTGGAAACGGGAATATTTCCACAGAAAAACTAAACTGAAGCATTCTCAGAAACCGCTTTGTGATGTTTGTGTTCGAGCCACAGAGTTTACCATTGCTTTTCATAGAGCAGTTTTGAAATATTCTTTTCGCAGAATCTGCAAGTGGACATTTGGAGCGCTTTCAGGCCTGTGGTGGAAAAGGCCTGAAAGCCTTTTCCTTTATCTTCACAGAAAGACGAGAGAGAAGCATTGTCAGAAACTTCTTTGTGATGATTGCATTCAACTCACAGAGTTGAAGATTCCTTTTGAAACAGCAGTTTCGAAACACTCTTTCTGTGGGATCCGCAAGGGGATATTTGGACCTCTTTGAAGCTTTCGTTGGAAACGGGATAATCTTCACCTAAAAGCTAAACGGAAGCATTCTCAGAAACTTCTTTGGGATGTTTGCATTCACCTCACAGAGTTGAACTTTCCCTTTGATAGCGCAGCTTTGACACACTTTTTCTACAATGTGCAAGTGGCTATTTAGCGGGCTTGGAGGACTGTGTTGGAAAAGGAAATATCTTCTCCTAAAAACGACATAGAAGCATTCTCAGAAACTGCTCTGTGATGATTGCATTCAACTCCCAGAGTTGAACATTCCTTTTGATAGAGCAGTTTGCAAACACTCTTTTTGTAGAATCTGCAAGTGGAGATTTGGACCGCTTTGAGGCCTGTGGTAGTGAAGGAAAGAACTTCATATAAAAACCAGACGGTAGCACTCTCAGAAAATTCTTTGTGACGATGGAGTTTAACTCAGGGAGCTGAACATTCGTTATGATGGAGCAGTTTCCAAACACACGTTTTGTAGAATCTGCGAGGGGATATTTGGACCTCTCTGAGGATTTCGTTGGAAACGGGATCAACTTCCCATAACTGAACGGAAGCAAACTCAGAACATTCTTTGTGATGTTTGTATTCAATTCACAGAGTTGAACCTTCCTTTGATAGTTCAGGTTTGCAACACCCTTGTAGTAGAATCTGCAAGTGTATATTTTGACCACTTTGTAGCCTTCGTTTGAAACGTCTATATCTTCACATCAAACCTAGACAGAAGCATTCTCAGAAAGTTTTCTGCGATGACTGCATTCAACTCACAGAGTTGAACAATCCTTCTGATGGAGCAGTTTTTAAACCCTCTTTCTTTGGAATCTGCAAGGGGATATGTGGACCTCTTTGAAGATTTCACTGGAAACGGGATCATCTTCACATAAAAACTAAACAGAAGCATTCTCGGAAACTATTTTGTGATGTTTGTATTCAACTCACAGAGTTGAACTTTCCTTTTGAAAGAGCAGCTATGAAACACTCTTTTTCGAGAATCTGCAAGTGGACGTTTGGAGGGCTTTGAGGCCTGTGGTGGAAAAGGAAATATCTTCACACAAAAACCAGATAGAAGCATTCTCAGAAACGACTTTGTGAGGATGGCATTCAACTCATGGAGTTGAACAATCCTATTGATAGAGCAGATTGGAATCACTCTTTTTGTAGAATCTGCAAATGGAGATTTGGACTGCTTTGAGGCCTACGGTAGTACAGGAAGGAACTTCATATAAAAGGCAAACGGAAGCATTCTCAGAATATTCTTTGTGATGATGGAGTTTCACTCACAGAGCTGAACATGCCTTTTGATGGAGCAGTTTCCAAATACACTTTTGGTAGAATCTGCAGGTGGATATTTGGAGCTCTCTGAGGATTTCGTTGGAAACGGGAATAATTTCCCATACCTAAACACAAACACGCTGAGAAAGTTCTTCATGATGAATGCATTTAACTCGCAGAGATGAACCTGCCTTTGAGAGTTCAGGTTCGAAACACTCTTTCTGTAGAATCTGCAAGTGGATATTTGGACCACTGGGTGGCCTTCGTTCGAAACGGGTATATGTTCACGTAAAAACTAAAGAGAAGCATTCTCAGAAACTTCTGAGTGATGATTGCATTCAAGTCACACAGTTGAACCCTCCTTTTGATTGAGCAGTTTTGAAACTGTGTTTTTGTAGAATCTGTAAGTGGATGCGTGGACCTCTTTGAAGATTTCTTTGGAAACGGGAATATTTCCACAGAAAAACTAAACTGAAGCATTCTCAGAAACTGCTTTGTGATGTTTGTGTTCGAGCCGCAGAGTTTAACATTGCTTTTCATAGAGCAGTTTTGAAATATTCTTTTGGCAGAATCTGCAAGTGGACATTTGGAGCGCTTTCAGGCCTGTGGTGGAAAAGGCCTGAAAGCCTTTTCCTTTATCTTCACAGAAAGACGAGAGAGAAGCATTGTCAGAAACTTCTTTGTGATGATTGCATTCAACTCACAGAGTTGAAGATTCCTTTTGAAACAGCAGTTTCGAAACACTCTTTCTGTGGGATCCGCAAGGGGATATTTGGACCTCTTTGAAGATTTCGTTGGAAACGGGATAATTTTCACCTAAAAGCTAAACGGAAGCATTCTCAGAAACTTCTTTGGGATGTTTGCATTCACCTCACAGAGTCGAACTTTCCCTTTGATAGCGCAGCTTCGACACACTTTTTCTAAAATGTGCAAGTGGATATTTAGCGGGCTTGCAGGACTGTGTTGGAAAAGGAAATATCTTCTCCTAAAAACCACATAGAAGCATTCTCAGAAACTGCTCTGTGATGATTGCATTCAACTCCCAGAGTTGAACATTCCTTTTGATAGAGCAGTTTGCAAACACTCTTTTTGTAGAATCTGCAAGTGGAGATTTGGACCGCTTTGAGGCCTGTGGTAGTAAAGGAAAGAACTTCCTATAAAAACTAGACGGTAGCACTCTCAGAAAATTCTTTGTGACGATGGAGTTTAACTCAGAGAGCTGAACATTCGTTATGATGGAGCAGTTTCCAAACACACGTTTTGTAGAATCTGCAAGGGGATATTTGGACCTCTCTGAGGATTTCGTTGGAAACGGGATCAACTTCCCATAACTGAACGGAAGCAAACTCAGAACATTCTTTATGATGTTTGAATTCAACTCACAGAGTTGAACCTTCCTTTGATAGTTCAGGTTTGCAACACCCTTGTAGTAGAATCTGCAAGTGTATATTTTGACCACTTTGTAGCATTCGTTTGAAACGTCTATATCTTCACATCAAACCTAGACAGAACCATTCTCAGAAAGTTTTCTGCGATGACTGCATTCAACTCACAGAGGTGAACAATCCTTTTGATGGAGCAGTTTTGAAACCCTCTTTCTTTGGAATCTGCAAGGGGATATGTGGACCTCTTTGAAGATTTCACTGGAAACGGGATCATCTTCACATAAGAACTAAACAGAAGCATTCTCGGAAACTACTTTGTGATGTTTGTATTCACCTCCCAGAGTTGAACTTTCCTTTTGAAAGAGCAGCTATGAAACACTCTTTTTCGAGAATCTGCAAGTGGACGTTTGGAGGGCTTTGAGGCCTGTGGTGGAAAAGGAAATATCTTTACATAAAAACTAGATAGAAGCATTCTCAGAAACGAGTTTGTGAGGATGGCATTCAACTCATGGAGTTGAACAATCCTATTGATAGAGCAGATTGGAATCACTCTTTTTGTAAAATCTGCAAATGGAGATTTGGACTGCTTTGAGGCCTACGGTAGTATAGGAAGGAACTTCATATAAAAGGCAAACGGAAGCATTCTCAGAATATTCTTTGTGATGATGGAGTTTCACTCACAGAGCTGAACATGCCTTTTGATGGAGCAGTTTCCAAATACACTTTTGGTAGAATCTGCAGGTGGATATTTGGACCTCTCTGAGGATTTCGTTGGAAACGGGAATAATTTCCCATAACTAAACACAAACACGCTGAGAAAGTTCTTCATGATGAATGCATTTAACTCGCAGAGATGAACCTGCCTTTGAGAGTTCAGGTTCGAAACACTCTTTCTGTAGAATCTGCAAGTGGATATTTGGACCACTGGCTGGCCTTCGTTCGAAACGGGTATATGTTCACGTAAAAACTAAAGAGAAGCGTTCTCAGAAACATCTGAGTGATGATTGCATTCAAGTCACACAGTTGAACCCTCCTTTTGATTGAGCAGTTTTGAAACTGTCTTTTTGTAGAATCTGTAAGTGGATACGTGGACCTCTTTGAAGATTTCTTTGGAAACGGGAATATTTCCACAGAAAAACTAAACTGAAGCATTCTCAGAAACCGCTTTGTGATGTTTGTGTTCCAGCCACAGAGTTTAACATTGCTTTTCATAGAGCAGTTTTGAAATATTCTTTTCGCAGAATCTGCAAGTGGACATTTGGAGCGCTTTCAGGCCTGTGGTGGAAAAGGCCTGAAAGCCTTTTCCTTTATCTTCACAGAAACACGAGAGAGAAGCATTGTCAGAAACTTCTTTGTGATGATTGCATTCAACTCACAGAGTTGAAGATTCCTTTTGAAACAGCAGTTTCGAAACACTCTTTCTGTGGGATCCGCAAGGGGATATTTGGACCTCTTTGAAGGTTTCGTTGGAAACGGGATAATCTTCACCTAAAAGCTAAACGGAAGCATTCTCAGAAACTTCTTTGGGATGTTTGCATTCACCTCACAGAGTTGAACTTTCCCTTTGATAGCGCAGCTTTGACACACTTTTTCTACAATGTGCAAGTGGCTATTTAGCGGGCTTGGAGGACTGTGTTGGAAAAGGAAATATCTTCTCCTAAAAACGACATAGAAGCATTCTCAGAAACTGCTCTGTGATGATTGCATTCAACTCCCAGAGTTGAACATTCCTTTTGATAGAGCAGTTTGCAAACACTCTTTTTGTAGAATCTGCAAGTGGAGATTTGGACCGCTTTGAGGTCTGTGGTAGTGAAGGAAAGAGCTTCATACAAAAACCAGACGGTAGCACTCTCAGAAAATTCTTTGTGACGATGGAGTTTAACTCAGGGAGCTGAACATTCGTTATGATGGAGCAGTTACCAAACACACGTTTTGTAGAATCTGCAAGGGGATATTTGGACCTCTCTGAGGATTTCGTTGGAAACGGGATCAACTTCCCATAACTGAACGGAAGCAAACTCAGAACATTCTTTGTGATGTTTGTATTCAACTCACAGAGTTGAACCTTCCTTTGATAGTTCAGGTTTGCAACACCCTTGTAGTAGAATCTGCAAGTGTATATTTTGACCACTTTGTAGCCTTCGTTTGAAACGTCTATATCTTCACATCAAACCTAGACAGAAGCATTCTCAGAAAGTTTTCTGCGATGACTGCATTCAACTCACAGAGTTGAACAATCCTTTTGATGGAGCAGTTTTGAAACCCTCTTTCTTTGGAATCGGCAAGGGGATATGTGGACCTCTTTGAAGATTTCACTGGAAACGGGATCATCTTCACATAAGAACTAAACAGAAGCATACTCGGAAACTACTTTGTGATGTTTGTATTCACCTCCCAGAGTTGAACTTTCCTTTTGAAGGGCAGGTATGAAACACTCTTTTTCGAGAATCTGCAAGTGGACGTTTGGAGGGCTTTGAGGCCTGTGGTGGAAAAGGAAATATCTTCACATAAAAACTAGATAGAAGCATTCTCAGAAACGACTTTGTGAGGATGGCATTCAACTCATGGAGTTGAACAATCCTATTGATAGAGCAGATTGGAATCACTCTTTTTGTAGAATCTGCAAATGGAGATTTGGACTGCTTTGAGGCCTACGGTAGTATAGGAAGGTACTTCATATAAAAGGCAAACGGAAGCATTCTCAGAATATTCTTTGTGATGATGGAGTTTCACTCACAGAGCTGAACATGCCTTTTGATGGAGCAGTTTCCAAATACACTTTTGGTAGAATCTGCAGGTGGATATTTGGACCTCTCTGAAGATTTCGTTGGAAACGGGAATAATTTCCCATACCTAAACACAAACACTCTGAGAAAGTTCTTCATGATGAATGCATTGAACTCGCAGAGATGAACCTGCCTTTGAGAGTTCAGGTTCGAAACACTCTTTCTGTAGAATCTGCAAGTGGATATTTGGACCACTGGCTGGCCTTCGTTCGAAACGGGTATATGTTCACGTAAAAACTAAAGAGAAGCGTTCTCAGAAACTTCTGAGTGATGATTGCATTCAAGTCACACAGTTGAACCCTCCTTTTGATTGAGCAGTTTTGAAACTGTCTTTTTGTAGAATCTGTAAGTGAATGCGTGGACCTCTTTGAAGATTTCTTTGGAAACGGGAATATTTCCACAGAAAAACTAAACTGAAGCATTCTCAGAAACTGCTTTGTGATGTTTGTGTTCGAGCCACAGAGTTTAACATTGCTTTTCATAGAGCAGTTTTGAAATATTCTTTTGGCAGAATCTGCAAGTGGACATTTGGAGCGCTTTCAGGCCTGTGGTGGAAAAGGCCTGAAAGCCTTTTCCTTTATCTTCACAGGAAGACGAGAGAGAAGCATTGTCAGAAACTTCTTTGTGATGATTGCATTCAACTCACAGAGTTGAAGATTCCTTTTGAAACAGCAGTTTCGAAACACTCTTTCTGTGGGATCCGCAAGGGGATATTTGGACCTCTTTGAAGGTTTCGTTGGAAACGGGATAATCTTCACCTAAAAGCTAAACGGAAGCATTCTCAGAAACTTCTTTGGGATGTTTGCATTCACCTCACAGAGTTGAACTTTCCCTTTGATAGCGCAGCTTTGACACACTTTTTCTACAATGTGCAAGTGGCTATTTAGCGGGCTTGGAGGACTGTGTTGGAAAAGGAAATATCTTCTCCTAAAAACGACATAGAAGCATTCTCAGAAACTGCTCTGTGATGATTGCATTCAACTCCCAGAGTTGAACATTCCTTTTGATAGAGCAGTTTGCAAACACTCTTTTTGTACAATCTGCAAGTGGAGATTTGGACCGCTTTGAGGCCTGTGGTAGTGAAGGAAAGAACTTCATATAAAAACCAGACGGTAGCACTCTCAGAAAATTCTTTGTGACGATGGAGTTTAACTCAGAGAGCTGAACATTCGTTATGATGGAGCAGTTTCCAAACACACGTTTTGTAGAATCTGCAAGGGGATATTTGGACCTCTCTGAGGATTTCGTTGGAAACGGGATCAACTTCCCATAACTGAACGGAAGCAAACTCAGAACATTTTTTGTGATGGTTGCATTCATCTCACAGAGTTGAACCTTCCTTTGATAGTTGAGGTTTGCATCACCCTTGTAGTAGAATCTGCAAGTGTATATTTTGACCACTTTGTAGCCTTCGTTTGAAACGTCTATATCTTCACATCAAACCTAGACAGAAGCATTCTCAGAAAGTTTTCTGCGATGACTGCATTCAACTCACAGAGTTGAACAATCCTTCTGATGGAGCAGTTTTGAAACCCTCTTTCTTTGGAATCTGCAAGGGGATATGTGGACCTCTTTGAAGATTTCACTGGAAACGGGATCATCTTCACATAAAAACTAAACAGAAGCATTCTCAGAAACTATTTTGTGATGTTTGTATTCAACTCCCAGAGTTGAACTTTCCTTTTGAAAGAGCAGCTATGAAACACTCTTTTTCGAGAATCTGCAAGTGGACGTTTGGAGGGCTTTGAGGCCTGTGGTGGAAAAGGAAATATCTTCACACAAAAACCAGATAGAAGCATTCTCAGAAACTGCTTTGTGAGGATGGCATTCAACTCATGGAGTTGAACAATCCTATTGATAGAGCAGATTGGAATCACTCTTTTTGTAGAATCTGCAAATGGAGATTTGGACTGCTTTGAGGCCTACGGTAGTACAGGAAGGAACTTCATATAAAAGGCAAACGGAAGCATTCTCAGAATATTCTTTGTGATGATGGAGTTTCACTCACAGAGCTGAACATGCCTTTTGATGGAGCAGTTTCCAAATACACTTTTGGTAGAATCTGCAGGTGGATATTTGGAGCTCTCTGAGGATTTCGTTGGAAAGGGGAATAATTTCCCATAACTAAACACAAACACTCTGAGAAAGTTCTTCAAGATGAATGCATTTAACTCGCAGAGATGAACCTGCCTTTGAGAGTTCAGGTTCGAAACACTCTTTCTGTAGAATCTGCAAGTGGATATTTGGACCACTGGGTGGCCTTCGTTCGAAACGGGTATATGTTCACGTAAAAACTAAAGAGAAGCATTCTCAGAAACTTCTGAGTGATGATTGCATTCAAGTCACACGGTTGAACCCTCCTTTTGATGGAGCAGTTTTGAAACTGTCTTTTTGTAGAATCTGTAAGTGGATACGTGGACCTCTTTGAAGATTTCTTTGGAAACGGGAATATTTCCACAGAAAAACTAAACTGAAGCATTCTCAGAAACCTCTTTGTGATGTTTGTGTTCGAGCCACAGAGTTTAACATTGCTTTTCATAGAGCAGTTTTGAAATATTCTTTTCGCAGAATCTGCAAGTGGACACTTGGAGCGCTTTCAGGCCTGTGGTGGCAAAGGCCTGAAAGCCTTTTCCTTTATCTTCACAGAAAGACGAGAGAGAAGCATTGTCAGAAACTTCTTTGTGATGATTGCATTCAACTCACAGAGTTGAAGATTCCTTTTGAAACAGCAGTTTCGAAACACTCTTTCTGTGGGATCCGCAAGGGGATATTTGGACCTCTTTGAAGGTTTCGTTGGAAACGGGATAATCTTCACCTAAAAGCTAAACGGAAGCATTCTCAGAAACTTCTTTGGGATGTTTGCATTCACCTCACAGAGTTGAACTTTCCCTTTGATAGCGCAGCTTTGACACACTTTTTCTACAATGTGCAAGTGGCTATTTAGCGGGCTTGGAGGACTGTGTTGGAAAAGGAAATATCTTCTCCTAAAAACGACATAGAAGCATTCTCAGAAACTGCTCTGTGATGATTGCATTCAACTCCCAGAGTTGAACATTCCTTTTGATAGAGCAGTTTGCAAACACTCTTTTTGTACAATCTGCAAGTGGAGATTTGGACCGCTTTGAGGCCAGTGGTAGTGAAGGAAAGAACTTCATATAAAAACCAGACGGTAGCACTCTCAGAAAATTCTTTGTGACGATGGAGTTTAACTCAGGGAGCTGAACATTCGTTATGATGGAGCAGTTTCCAAACACACGTATTGTAGAATCTGCGAGGGGATATTTGGACCTCTCTGAGGATTTCGTTGGAAACGGGATCAACTTCCCATAACTGAACGGAAGCAAACTCAGAACATTCTTTGTGATGTTTGTATTCAACTCACAGAGTTGAACCTTCCTTTGATAGTTCAGGTTTGCAACACCCTTGTAGTAGAATCTGCAAGTGTATATTTTGACCACTTTGTAGCCTTCGTTTGAAACGTCTATATCTTCACATCAAACCTAGACAGAAGCATTCTCAGAAAGTTTTCTGCGATGGCTGCATTCAACTCACAGAGTTGAACAATCCTTCTGATGGAGCAGTTTTGAAACCCTCTTTCTTTGGAATCTGCAAGGGGATATGTGGACCTCTTTGAAGATTTCACTGGAAACGGGATCGATCATCTTCACATAAAAACTAAACAGAAGCATTCTCGGAAA
Source organism: Homo sapiens (assembly GCF_000001405.40). Taxonomy (NCBI): domain Eukaryota; kingdom Metazoa; phylum Chordata; class Mammalia; order Primates; family Hominidae; genus Homo; species Homo sapiens. The sequence continues at coordinate 60,949,820 of NC_000023.11, forward strand.
CTACTTTGTGATGTTTGTATTCAACTCCCAGAGTTGAACTTTCCTTTTGAAAGAGCAGCTATGAAACACTCTTTTTCGAGAATCTGCAAGTGGACGTTTGGAGGGCTTTGAGGCCTGTGGTGGAAAAGGAAATATCTTCACATAAAAACTAGATAGAAGCATTCTCAGAAACGACTTTGTGAGGATGGCATTCAACTCATGGAGTTGAACAATCCTATTGATAGAGCAGATTGGAATCACTCTTTTTGTAGAATCTGCAAATGGAGATTTGGACTGCTTTGAGGCCTACGGTCGTATAGGAAGGAACTTCATATAAAAGGCAAACGGAAGCATTCTCAGTATATTCTTTGTGATGATGGAGTTTCACTCACAGAGCTGAACATGCCTTTTGATGGAGCAGTTTCCAAATACACTTTTGGTAGAATCTGCAGGTGGATATTTGGACCTCTCTGAGGATTTCGTTGGAAACGGGAATAATTTCCCATAACTAAACACAAACACTCTGAGAAAGTTCTTCATGATGAATGCATTTAACTCGCAGAGATGAACCTGCCTTTGAGAGTTCATGTTCGAAACACTCTTTCTGTAGAATCTGCAAGTGGATATTTGGACCACTGGCTGGCCTTCGTTCGAAACGGGTATATGTTCACGAAAAAACTAAAGAGAAGCATTCTCAGAAACTTCTGAGTGATGATTGCATTCAAGTCACACAGTTGAACCCTCCTTTTGATGGAGCAGTTTTGAAACTGTCTTTTTGTAGAATCTGTAAGTGGATACGTGGACCTCTTTGAAGATTTCTTTGGAAACGGGAATATTTCCACAGAAAAACTAAACTGAAGCATTCTCAGAAACCGCTTTGTGATGTTTGTGTTCGAGCCACAGAGTTTAACATTGCTTTTCATAGAGCAGTTTTGAAATATTCTTTTGGCAGAATCTGCAAGTGGACATTTGGAGCGCTTTCAGGCCTGTGGTGGAAAAGGCCTGAAAGCCTTTTCCTTTATCTTCACAGAAAGACGAGAGAGAAGCATTGTCAGAAACTTCTTTGTGATGATTGCATTCAACTCACAGAGTTGAAGATTCCTTTTGAAACAGCAGTTTCGAAACACTCTTTCTGTGGGATCCGCAAGGGGATATTTGGACCTCTTTGAAGATTTCGTTGCAAACGGGATAATCTTCACCTAAAAGCTAAACGGAAGCATTCTCAGAAACTTCTTTGGGATGTTTGCATTCACCTCACAGAGTTGAACTTTCCCTTTGATAGCGCAGCTTCGACACACTTTTTCTACAATGTGCAAGTGGATATTTAGCGGGCTTGGAGGACTGTGTTGGAAAAGGAAATATCTTCTCCTAAAAACGACATAGAAGCATTCTCAGAAACTGCTCTGTGATGATTGCATTCAACTCCCAGAGTTGAACATTCCTTTTGATAGAGCAGTTTGCAAACACTCTTTTTGTAGAATCTGCAAGTGGAGATTTGGACCGCTTTGAGGCCTGTGGTAGTAAAGGAAAGAACTTCATATAAAAACTAGACGGTAGCACTCTCAGAAAATTTTTTGTGACGATGGAGTTTAACTCAGAGAGCTGAACATTCATTATGATGGAGCAGTTTCCAAACACACGTTTTGTAGAATCTGCAAGGGGATATTTGGACCTCTCTGAGGATTTCGTTGGAAACGGGATCAACTTCCCATAACTGAACGGAAGCAAACTCAGAACATTCTTTATGACGTTTGAATTCAACTCACAGAGTTGAACATTCCTTTGATAGTTCAGGTTTGCAACACCCTTGCAGTAGAATCTGCAAGTGTATATTTTGACCACTTTGTAGCCTTCGTTTGAAAGGTCTATATCTTCACATCAAACCTAGACAGAAGCATTCTCAGAAAGTTTTCTGCGATGACTGCATTCAACTCACAGAGTTGAACAATCCTTCTGATGGAGCAGTTTTGAAACCCTCTTTCTTTGGAATCTGCAAGGGGATATGTGGACCTCTTTGAAGATTTCACTGGAAACGGGATCATCTTCACATAAAAACTAAACAGAAGCATTCTCGGAAACTACTTTGTGATGTTTGTATTCAACTCCCAGAGTTGAAATTTCCTTTTGAAAGAGCAGCTATGAAACACACTTTTTCGAGAATCTGCAAGTGGACGTTTGGAGGGCTTTGAGGCCTGTGGTGGAAAAGGAAATATCTTCACATAAAAACTAGATAGAAGCATTCTCAGAAACGACTTTGTGAGCATGGCATTCAACTCATGGAGTTGAACAATCCTATTGATAGAGCAGATTGGAATCACTCTTTTTGTAGAATCTGCAAATGGAGATTTGGACTGCTTTGAGGCCTACGGTAGTATAGGAAGGAACTTCATATAAAAGGCAAATGGAAGCATTCTCAGAATATTCTTTGTGATGATGGAGTTTCACTCACAGAGCTGAACATGCCTTTTGATGGAGCAGTTTCCAAATACACTTTTGGTAGAATCTGCAGGTGGATATTTGGAGCTCTCTGAGGATTTCGTTGGAAACGGGAATAATTTCCCATAACTAAACACAAACACTCTGAGAAAGTTCTTCATGATGAATGCATTTAACTCGCAGAGATGAACCTGCCTTTGAGAGTTCAGGTTCGAAACACTCTTTCTGTATAATCTGCAAGTGGATATTTGGACCACTGGGTGGCCTTCGTTCGAAACGTGTATATGTTCACCTAAAAACTAAAGAGAAGCATTCTCAGAAACTTCTGAGTGATGATTGCATTCAAGTCACACAGTTGAACCCTCCTTTTGATGGAGCAGTTTTGAAACTGTCTTTTTGTAGAATCTGTAAGTGGATACGTGGACCTCTTTGAAGATTTCTTTGGAAACGGGAATATTTCCACAGAAAAACTAAACTGAAGCATTCTCAGAAACCGCCTTGTGATGTTTGTGTTCGAGCCACAGAGTTTAACATTGCGTTTCATAGAGCAGTTTTGAAATATTCTTTTGGCAGAATCTGCAAGTGGACATTTGGAGCGCTTTCAGGCCTGTGGTGGAAAAGGCCTGAAAGCCTTTTCCTTTATCTTCACAGAAAGACGAGAGAGAAGCATTGTCAGAAACTTCTTTGTGATGATTGCATTCAACTCACAGAGTTGAAGATTCCTTTTGAAACAGCAGTTTCGAAACACTCTTTCTGTGGGATCCGCAAGGGGATATTTGGACCTCTTTGAAGGTTTCGTTGGAAACGGGATAATCTTCACCTAAAAGCTAAACGGAAGCATTCTCAGAAACTTCTTTGGGATGTTTTGCATTCACCTCACAGAGTTGAACTTTCCCTTTGATAGCGCAGCTTTGACACACTTTTTCTACAATGTGCAAGTGGCTATTTAGCGGGCTTGGAGGACTGTGTTGGAAAAGGAAATATCTTCTCCTAAAAACGACATAGAAGCATTCTCAGAAACTGCTCTGTGATGATTGCATTCAACTCCCAGAGTTGAACATTCCTTTTGATAGAGCAGTTTGCAAACACTCTTTTTGTAGAATCTGCAAGTGGAGATTTGGACCGCTTTGAGGCCTGTGGTAGTGAAGGAAAGAACTTCATATAAAAACCAGACGGTAGCACTCTCAGAAAATTCTTTGTGACGATGGAGTTTAACTCAGGGAGCTGAACATTCGTTATGATGGAGCAGTTTCCAAACACACGTTTTGTAGAATCTGCAAGGGGATATTTGGACCTCTCTGAGGATTTCGTTGGAAACGGGATCAACTTCCCATAACTGAACGGAAGCAAACTCAGAACATTCTTTGTGATGTTTGTATTCAACTCACAGAGTTGAACCTTCCTTTGATAGTTCAGGTTTGCAACACCCTTGTAGTAGAATCTGCAAGTGTATATTTTGACCACTTTGTAGCCTTCGTTTGAAACGTCTATATCTTCACATCAAACCTAGAAAGAAGCATTCTCAGAAAGTTTTCTGCGATGACTGCATTCAACTCACAGAGTTGAACAATCCTTCTGATGGAGCAGTTTTGAAACCCTCTTTCTTTGGAATCTGCAAGGGGATATGTGGACCTCTTTGAAGATTTCACTGGAAACGGGATCATCTTCACATAAAAACTAAACAGAAGCATTCTCGGAAACTACTTTGTGATGTTTGTATTCAACTCCCAGAGTTGAACTTTCCTTTTGAAAGAGCAGCTATGAAACACTCTTTTTCGAGAATCTGCAAGTGGACGTTTGGAGGGCTTTGAGGCCTGTGGTGGAAAAGGAAATATCTTCACATAAAAACTAGATAGAAGCATTCTCAGAAACGACTTTGTGAGGATGGCATTCAACTCATGGAGTTGAACAATCCTATTGATAGAGCAGATTGGAATCACTCTTTTTGTAGAATCTGCAAATGGAGATTTGGACTGCTTTGAGGCCTACGGTCGTATAGGAAGGAACTTCATATAAAAGGCAAACGGAAGCATTCTCAGAATATTCTTTGTGATGATGGAGTTTCACTCACAGAGCTGAACATGCCTTTTGATGGAGCAGTTTCCAAATACACTTTTGGTAGAATCTGCAGGTGGATATTTGGAGCTCTCTGAGGATTTCGTTGGAAACGGGAATAATTTCCCATAACTAAACACAAACACTCTGAGAAAGTTCTTCATGATGAATGCATTTAACTCGCAGAGATGAACCTGCCTTTGAGAGTTCATGTTCGAAACACTCTTTCTGTAGAATCTGCAAGTGGATATTTGGACCACTGGCTGGCCTTCGTTCGAAACGGGTATATGTTCACGTAAAAACTAAAGAGAAGCATTCTCAGAAACTTCTGAGTGATGATTGCATTCAAGTCACACAGTTGAACCCTCCTTTTGATGGAGCAGTTTTGAAACTGTCTTTTTGTAGAATCTGTAAGTGGATACGTGGACCTCTTTGAAGATTTCTTTGGAAACGGGAATATTTCCACAGAAAAACTAAACTGAAGCATTCTCAGAAACTGCTTTGTGATGTTTGTGTTCGAGCCACAGAGTTTAACATTGCTTTTCATAGAGCAGTTTTGAAATATTCTTTTCACAGAAACTGCAAGTGGACATTTGGAGCGCTTTCAGGCCTGTGGTGGAAAAGGCCTGAAAGCCTTTTCCTTTATCTTCACAGAAAGACGAGAGAGAAGCATTGTCAGAAACTTCTTTGTGATGATTGCATTCAACTCACAGAGTTGAAGATTCCTTTTGAAACAGCAGTTTCGAAACACTCTTTCTGTGGGATCCGCAAGGGGATATTTGGACCTCTTTGAAGGTTTCGTTGGAAACGGGATAATCTTCACCTAAAAGCTAAACGGAAGCATTCTCAGAAACTTCTTTGGGATGTTTGCATTCACCTCACAGAGTTGAACTTTCCCTTTGATAGCACAGCTTTGACACACTTTTTCTACAATGTGCAAGTGGCTATTTAGCGGGCTTGGAGGACTGTGTTGGAAAAGGAAATATCTTCTCCTAAAAACGACATAGAAGCATTCTCAGAAACTGCTCTGTGATGATTGCATTCAACTCCCAGAGTTGAACATTCCTTTTGATAGAGCAGTTTGCAAACACTCTTTTTGTAGAATCTGCAAGTGGAGATTTGGACCGCTTTGAGGCCTGTGGTAGTGAAGGACAGAACTTCATATAAAAACCAGACGGTAGCACTCTCAGAAAATTCTTTGTGACGATGGAGTTTAACTCAGGGAGCTGAACATTCGTTATGACGGAGCAGTTTCCAAACACACGTTTTGTAGAATCTGCGAGGGGATATTTGGACCTCTCTGAGGATTTCGTTGGAAACGGGATCAACTTCCCATAACTGAACGGAAGCAAACTCAGAACATTCTTTGTGACGTTTGTATTCAACTCACAGAGTTGAACCTTCCTTTGATAGTTCAGGTTTGCAACACCCTTGTAGTAGAATCTGCAAGTGTATATTTTGACCACTTTGTAGCCTTCGTTTGAAACGTCTATATCTTCACATCAAACCTAGACAGAAGCATTCTCAGAAAGTTTTCTGCGATGACTGCATTCAACTCACAGAGTTGAAAAATCCTTCTGATGGAGCAGTTTTGAAACCCTCTTTCTTTGGAATCTGCAAGGGGATATGTGGACCTCTTTGAAGATTTCACTGGAAACGGGATCATCTTCACATAAAAACTAAACAGAAGCATTCTCGGAAACTATTTTGTGATGTTTGTATTCAACTCCCAGAGTTGAACTTTCCTTTTGAAAGAGCAGCTATGAAACACTCTTTTTCGAGAATCTGCAAGTGGACGTTTGGAGGGCTTTGAGGCCTGTGGTGGAAAAGGAAATATCTTCACACAAAAACCAGATAGAAGCATTCTCAGAAACTACTTTGTGAGGATGGCATTCAACTCATGGAGTTGAACAATCCTATTGATAGAGCAGATTGGAATCACTCTTTTTGTAGAATCTGCAAGTGGAGATTTGGACCGCTTTGAGGTCTGTGGTAGTGAAGGAAAGAACTTCATATAAAAACCAGACGGTAGCACTCTGAGAAAATTCTTTGTGACGATGGAGTTTAACTCAGGGAGCTGAACATTCGTTATGATGGAGCAGTTTCCAAACACACGTTTTGTAGAATCTGCAAGGGGATATTTGGACCTCTCTGAGGATTTCGTTGGAAACGGGATCAACTTCCCATAACTGAACGGAAGCAAACTCAGAACATTCTTTGTGATGTTTGTATTCAACTCACAGAGTTGAACCTTCCTTTGATAGTTCAGGTTTGCAACACCCTTGTAGTAGAATCTGCAACTGTATATTTTGACCACTTTGTAGCCTTCGTTTGAAACGTCTATATCTTCACATCAAACCTAGACAGAAGCATTCTCAGAAAGTTTTCTGCGATGACTGCATTCAACTCACAGAGCTGAACAATCCTTCTGATGGAGCAGTTTTGAAACCCTCTTTCTTTGGAATCTGCAAGGGGATATGTGGACCTCTTTGAAGATTTCACTGGAAACGGGATCATCTTCACATAAAAACTAAACAGAAGCATTCTCGGAAACTACTTTGTGATGTTTGTATTCAACTCCCAGAGTTGAACTTTCCTTTTGAAAGAGCAGCTATGAAACACTCTTTTTCGAGAATCTGCAAGTGGACGTTTGGAGGGCTTTGAGGCCTGTGGTGGAAAAGGAAATATCTTCACATAAAAACTAGATAGAAGCATTCTCACAAACGACATTGTGAGGATGGAATTCAACTCATGGAGTTGAACAATCCTATTGATAGAGCAGATTGGAATCACTCTTTTTGTAGAATCTGCAAATGGAGATTTGGACTGCTTTGAGGCCTACGGTAGTATAGGAAGGAACTTCATATAAAAGGCAAACGGAAGCATTCTCAGAATATTCTTTGTGATGATGGAGTTTCACTCACAGAGCTGAACATGCCTTTTGATGGAGCAGTTTCCAAATACACTTTTGGTAGAATCTGCAGGTGGATATTTGGAGCTCTCTGAGGATTTCGTTGGAAACGGGAATAATTTCCCATAACTAAACACAAACACTCTGAGAAAGTTCTTCATGATGAATGCTTTTAACTCGCAGAGATGAACCTGCCTTTGAGAGTTCAGGTTCGAAACACTCTTTCTGTAGAATCTGCAAGTGGATATTTGGACCACTGGGTGGCCTTCGTTCGAAACGGGTATATGTTCACGTAAAAACTAAAGAGAAGCATTCTCAGAAACTTCTGAGTGATGATTGCATTCAAGTCACACAGTTGAACCCTCCTTTTGATGGAGCAGTTTTGAAACTGTCTTTTTGTAGAATCTGTAAGTGGATACGTGGACCTCTTTGAAGATTTCTTTGGAAACGGGAATATTTCCACAGAAAAACTAAACTGAAACATTCTCAAAAACCGCTTTGTGATGTTTGTGTTCGAGCCACAGAGTTTAACATTGCTTTTCATAGAGCAGTTTTGAAATATTCTTTTCGCAGAATCTGCAAGTGGACATTTGGAGTGCTTTCAGGCCTGTGGTGGCAAAGGCCTGAAAGCCTTTTCCTTTATCTTCACAGAAAGACGAGAGAGAAGCATTGTCAGAAACTTCTTTGTGATGATTGCATTCAACTCACAGAGTTGAAGATTCCTTTTGAAACAGCAATTTCGAAACACTCTTTCTGTGGGATCCGCAAGGGGATATTTGGACCTCTTTGAAGGTTTCGTTGGAAACGGGATAATCTTCTCCTAAAAGCTAAACGGAAGCATTCTCAGAAACTTCTTTGGGATGTTTGCATTGACCTCACAGAGTTGAACTTTCCCTTTGATAGCGCAGCTTTGACACACTTTTTCTACAATGTGCAAGTGGCTATTTAGCGGGCTTGGAGGACTGTGTTGGAAAAGGAAATATCTTCTCCTAAAAACGACATAGAAGCATTCTCAGAAACTGCTCTGTGATGATTGCATTCAACTCCCAGAGTTGAACATTCCTTTTGATAGAGCAGTTTGCAAACACTCTTTCTGTAGAATCTGCAAGTGGAGATTTGGACCGCTTTGAGGCCTGTGGTAGTGAAGGAAAGAGCTTCATATAAAAACCAGACGGTAGCACTCTCAGAAAATTCTTTGTGACGATGGAGTTTAACTCAGGGAGCTGAACATTCGTTATGATGGAGCAGTTTCCAAACACACGTTTTGTAGAATCTGCAAGGGGATATTTGGACCTCTCTGAGGATTTCGTTGGAAACGGGATCAACTTCCCATAACTGAACGGAAGCAAACTCAGAACATTCTTTGTGATGTTTGTATTCAACTCACAGAGTTGAACCTTCCTTTGATAGTTCAGGTTTGCAACACCCTTGTAGTAGAATCTGCAAGTGTATATTTTGACCACTTTGTAGCCTTCGTTTGAAACGTCTATATCTTCACATCAAACCTAGACAGAAGCATTCTCAGAAAGTTTTCTGCGATGACTGCATTCAACTCACAGAGTTGAACAATCCTTCTGATGGAGCAGTTTTGAAACCCTCTTTCTTTGGAATCTGCAAGGGGATATGTGGACCTGTTTGAAGATTTCACTGGAAACGGGATCATCTTCACATAAAAACTAAACAGAAGCATTCTCGGAAACTACTTTGTGATGTTTGTATTCAACTCCCAGAGTTGAACTTTCCTTTTGAAAGAGCAGCTATAAAACACTCTTTTTCGAGAATCTGCAAGTGGACGTTTGGAGGGCTTTGAGGCCTGTGGTGGAAAAGGAAATATCTTCACACAAAAACCAGATAGAAGCATTCTCAGAAACTACTTTGTGAGGATGGCATTCAACTCATGGAGTTGAACAATCCTATTGATAGAGCAGATTGGAATCACTCTTTTTATAGAATCTGCAAATGGAGATTTGGACTGCTTTGAGGCCTACGGTAGTACAGGAAGGAACTTCATATAAAAGGCAAACGGAAGCATTCTCAGAATATTCATTGTGATGATGGAGTTTCACTCACAGAGCTGAACATGCCTTTTGATGGAGCAGTTTCCAAATACACTTTTGGTAGAATCTGCAGGTGGATATTTGGAGCTCTCTGAGGATTTCGTTGGAAACGGGAATAATTTCCCATAACTAAACACAAACACGCTGAGAAAGTTCTTCATGATGAATGCATTTAACTCGCAGAGATGAACCTGCCTTTGAGAGTTCAGGTTCGAAACACACTTTCTGTATAATCTGCAAGTGGATATTTGGACCACTGGGTGGCCTTCGTTCGAAACGGGTATATGTTCACGTAAAAACTAAAGAGAAGCATTCTCAGAAACTTCTGAGTGATGATTGCATTCAAGTCACACAGTTGAACCCTCCTTTTGATGGAGCAGTTTTGAAACTGTCTTTTTGTAGAATCTGTAAGTGGATACGTGGACCTCTTTGAAGATTTCTTTGGAAACGGGAATATTTCCACAGAAAAACTAAACTGAAGCATTCTCAGAAACCGCTTTGTGATGTTTGTGTTCGAGCCGCAGAGTTTAACATTGCTTTTCATAGAGCAGTTTTGAAATATTCTTTTGGCAGAATCTGCAAGTGGACATTTGGACCGCTTTCAGGCCTGTGGTGGCAAAGGCCTGAAAGCCTTTTCCTTTATCTTCACAGAAAGACGAGAGAGAAGCATTGTCAGAAACTTCTTTGTGATGATTGCATTCAACTCACAGAGTTGAAGATTCCTTTTGAAACAGCAGTTTCGAAACACTCTTTCTGTGGGATCCGCAAGGGGATATTTGGACCTCTTTGAAGGTTTGGTTGGAAACGGGATAATCTTCACCTAAAAGCTAAACGGAAGCATTCTCAGAAACTTCTTTGGGATGTTTGCATTCACCTCACAGAGTTGAACTTTCCCTTTGATAGCGCAGCTTCGACACACTTTTTCTACAATGTGCAAGTGGCTATTTAGCGGGCTTGGAGGACTGTGTTGGAAAAGGAAATATCTTCTCCTAAAAACGACATAGAAGCATTCTCAGAAACTGCTCTGTGATGATTGCATTCAACTCCCAGAGTTGAACATTCCTTTTGATAGAGCAGTTTGCAAACACTCTTTTTGTAGAATCTGGAAGTGGAGATTTGGACCGCTTTGAGGCCTGGGGTAGTGAAGGAAAGAACTTCATATAAAAACCAGACGGTAGCACTCTCAGAAAATTCTTTGTGACGATGGAGTTTAACTCAGGGAGCTGAACATTCGTTATGATGGAGCAGTTTCCAAACACACTTTTTGTAGAATCTGCAAGGGGATATTTGGGCCTCTCTGAGGATTTCGTTGGAAACGGGATCAACTTCCCATAACTGAACGGAAGCAAACTCAGAACATTCTTTGTGATGTTTGTATTCAACTCACAGAGTTGAACCTTCCTTTGATAGTTCAGGTTTGCAACACCCTTGTAGTAGAATCTGCAAGTGTATATTTTGACCACTTTGTAGCCTTCGTTTGAAACGTCTATATCTTCACATCAAACCTAGACAGAAGCATTCTCAGAAAGTTTTCTGCGATGACTGCATTCAACTCACAGAGTTGAACAATCCTTCTGATGGAGCAGTTTTGAAACCCTCTTTCTTTGGAATCTGCAAGGGGATATGTGGACCTCTTTGAAGATTTCACTGGAAACGGGATCATCTTCACATAAAAACTAAACAGAAGCATTCTCGGAAACTACTTTGTGATGTTTGTATTCAACTCCCAGAGTTGAACTTTCCTTTTCAAAGAGCAGCTATGAAACACTCTTTTTCGAGAATCTGCAAGTGGACGTTTGGAGGGCTTTGAGGCCTGTGGTGGAAAAGGAAATATCTTCACATAAAAACTAGATAGAAGCATTCTCAGAAACTACTTTGTGAGGATGGCATTCAACTCATGGAGTTGAACAATCCTATTGATAGAGCAGATTGGAATCACTCTTTTTGTAGAATCTGCAAATGGAGATTTGGACTGCTTTGAGGCCTACGGTCGTATAGGAAGGAACTTCATATAAAAGGCAAACGGAAGCATTCTCAGAATATTCTTTGTGATGATGGAGTTTCACTCACAGAGCTGAACATGCCTTTTGATGGAGCAGTTTCCAAATACACTTTTGGTAGAATCTGCAGGTGGATATTTGGAGCTCTCTGAGGATTTCGTTGGAAACGGGAATAATTTCCCATAACTAAACACAAACACTCTGAGAAAGTTCTTCATGATGAATGCATTTAACTTGCAGAGATGAACCTGCCTTTGAGAGTTCAGGTTCGAAACACTCTTTCTGTAGAATCTGCAAGTGGATATTTGGACCACTGGGTGGCCTTCGTTCGAAACGGGTATATGTTCACGTAAAAACTAAAGAGAAGCATTCTCAGAAACTTCTGAGTGATGATTGCATTCAAGTCACACAGTTGAACCCTCCTTTTGATGGAGCAGTTTTGAAACTGTCTTTTTGTAGAATCTGTAAGTGGATACGTGGACCTCTTTGAAGATTTCTTTGGAAACGGGAATATTTCCACAGAAAAACTAAACTGAAACATTCTCAGAAACCGCTTTGTGATGTTTGTGTTCCAGCCACAGAGTTTAACATTGCTTTTCATAGAGCAGTTTTGAAATATTCTTTTCGCAGAATCTGCAAGTGGACATTTGGAGCGCTTTCAGGCCTGTGGTGGAAAAGGCCTGAAAGCCTTTTCCATTATCTTCACAGAAAGACGAGAGAGAAGCATTGTCAGAAACTTCTTTGTGATGATTGCATTCAACTCACAGAGTTGAAGATTCCTTTTGAAACAGCAGTTTCGAAACACTCTTTCTGTGGGATCCGCAAGGGGATATTTGGACCTCTTTGAAGGTTTCGTTGGAAACGGGATAATCTTCACCTAAAAGCTAAACGGAAGCATTCTCAGAAACTTCTTTGGGATGTTTGCATTCACCTCACAGAGTTGAACTTTCCCTTTGATAGCGCAGCTTTGACACACTTTTTCTACAATGTGCAAGTGGCTATTTAGCGGGCTTGGAGGATTGTGTTGGAAAAGGAAATATCTTCTCCTAAAAACGACATAGAAGCATTCTCAGAAACTGCTCTGTGATGATTGCATTCAACTCCCAGAGTTGAACATTCCTTTTGATAGAGCAGTTTGCAAACACTCTTTTTGTAGAATCTGCAAGTGGAGATTTGGACCGCTTTGAGGCCTGTGGTAGTGAAGGAAAGAACTTCATATAAAAACCAGACGGTAGCACTCTCAGAAAATTCTTTGTGACGATGGAGTTTAACTCAGGGAGCTGAACATTCGTTATGATGGAGCAGTTTCCAAACACACGTTTTGTAGAATCTGCAAGGGGATATTTGGACCTCTCTGAGGATTTCGTTGGAAACGGGATCAACTTCCCATAACTGAACGGAAGCAAACTCAGAACATTCTTTGTGATGTTTGTATTCAACTCACAGAGTTGAACCTTCCTTTGATAGTTCAGGTTTGCAACACCCTTGTAGTAGAATCTGCAAGTGTATATTTTGACCACTTTGTAGCCTTCGTTTGAAACGTCTATATCTTCACATCAAACCTAGACAGAAGCATTCTCAGAAAGTTTTCTGCGATGACTGCATTCAACTCACAGAGTTGAACAATCCTTCTGATGGAGCAGTTTTGAAACCCTCTTTCTTTGGAATCTGCAAGGGGATATGTGGACCTCTTTGAAGATTTCACTGGAAACGGGATCATCTTCACATAAAAACTAAACAGAAGCATTCTCGGAAACTACTTTGTGATGTTTGTATTCAACTCCCAGAGTTGAACTTTCCTTTTGAAAGAGCAGCTATGAAACACTCTTTTTCGAGAATCTGCAAGTGGACGTTTGGAGGGCTTTGAGGCCTGTGGTGGAAAAGGAAATATCTTCACATAAAAACTAGATAGAAGCATTCTCAGAAACTACTTTGTGAGGATGGCATTCAACTCATGGAGTTGAACAATCCTATTGATAGAGCAGATTGGAATCACTCTTTTTGTAGAATCTGCAAATGGAGATTTGGACTGCTTTGAGGCCTACGGTAGTATAGGAAGGAACTTCATATAAAAGGCAAACGGAAGCATTCTCAGAATATTCTTTGTGATGATGGAGTTTCACTCACAGAGCTGAACATGCCTTTTGATGGAGCAGTTTCCAAATACACTTTTGGTAGAATCTGCAGGTGGATATTTGGAGCTCTCCGAGGATTTCGTTGGAAACGGGAATAATTTCCCATAACTAAACACAAACACTCTGAGAAAGTTCTTCATGATGAATGCATTTAACTCGCAGAGATGAACCTGCCTTTGAGAGTTAATGTTCGAAACACTCTTTCTGTAGAATCTGCAAGTGGATATTTGGACCACTGGCTGGCCTTCGTTCGAAACGGGTATATGTTCACGTAAAAACTAAAGAGAAGCATTCTCAGAAACTTCTGAGTGATGATTGCATTCAAGTCACACAGTTGAACCCTCCTTTTGATGGAGCAGTTTTGAAACTGTCTTTTTGTAGAATCTGTAAGTGGATACGTGGACCTCTTTGAAGATTTCTTTGGAAACGGGAATATTTCCACAGAAAAACTAAACTGAAGCATTCTCAGAAACCGCTTTGTGATGTTTGTGTTCGAGCCACAGAGTTTAACATTGCTTTTCATAGAGCAGTTTTGAAATATTCTTTTCGCAGAATCTGCAAGTGGACATTTGGAGCGCTTTCAGGCCTGTGGTGGAAAAGGCCTGAAAGCCTTTTCCTTTATCTTCACAGAAAGACGAGAGAGAAGCATTGTCAGAAACTTCTTTGTGATGATTGCATTCAACTCACAGAGTTGAAGATTCCTTTTGAAACAGCAGTTTCGAAACACTCTTTCTGTGGGATCCGCAAGGGGATATTTGGACCTCTTAGAAGGTTTCGTTGGAAACGGGATTATCTTCACCTAAAAGCTAAACGGAAGCATTCTCAGAAACTTCTTTGGGATGTTTGCATTCACCTCACAGAGTTGAACTTTCCCTTTGATAGCGCAGCTTTGACACACTTTTTCTACAATGTGCAAGTGGCTATTTAGCGGGCTTGGAGGACTGTGTTGGAAAAGGAAATATCTTCTCCTAAAAACGACATAGAAGCATTCTCAGAAACTGCTCTGTGATGATTGCATTCAACTCCCAGAGTTGAACATTCCTTTTGATAGAGCAGTTTGCAAACACTCTTTTTGTAGAATCTGCAAGTGGAGATTTGGACCGCGTTGAGGCCTGTGGTAGTGAAGGAAAGAACTTCATATAAAAACCAGACGGTAGCACTCTCAGAAAATTCTTTGTGACGATGGAGTTTAACTCAGGGAGCTGAACATTCGTTATGATGGAGCAGTTTCCAAACACACGTTTTGTAGAATCTGCAAGGGGATATTGGGACCTCTCTGAGGATTTCGTTGGAAACGGGATCAACTTCCCATAACTGAACGGAAGCAAACTCAGAACATTCTTTGTGATGTTTGTATTCAACTCACAGAGTTGAACCTTCCTTTGATAGTTCAGGTTTGCAACACCCTTGTAGTAGAATCTGCAAGTGTATATTTTGACCACTTTGTAGCCTTCGTTTGAAACGTCTATATCTTCACATCAAACCTAGAAAGAAGCATTCTCAGAAAGTTTTCTGCGATGACTGCATTCAACTCACAGAGTTGAACAATCCTTCTGATGGAGCAGTTTTGAAACCCTCTTTCTTTGGAATCTGCAAGGGGATATGTGGACCTCTTTGAAGATTTCACTGGAAACGGGATCATCTTCACATAAAAACTAAACAGAAGCATTCTCGGAAACTACTTTGTGATGTTTGTATTCAACTCCCAGAGTTGAACTTTCCTTTTGAAAGAGCAGCTATGAAACACTCTTTTTCGAGGATCTGCAAGTGGACGTTTGGAGGGCTTTGAGGCCTGTGGTGGAAAAGGAAATATCTTCACATAAAAACTAGATAGAAGCATTCTCACAAACGACATTGTGAGGATGGAATTCAACTCATGGAGTTGAACAATCCTATTGATAGAGCAGATTGGAATCACTCTTTTTGTAGAATCTGCAAATGGAGATTTGGACTGCTTTGAGGCCTACGGTAGTATAGGAAGGAACTTCATATAAAAGGCAAACGGAAGCATTCTCAGAATATTCTTTGTGATGATGGAGTTTCACTCACAGAGCTGAACATGCCTTTTGATGGAGCAGTTTCCAAATACACTTTTGGTAGAATCTGCAGGTGGATATTTGGAGCTCTCTGAGGATTTCGTTGGAAACAGGAATAATTTCCCATAACTAAACACAAACACTCTGAGAAAGTTCTTCATGATGAATGCATTTAACTCGCAGAGATGAACCTGCCTTTGAGAGTTCAGGTTCGAAACACTCTTTCTGTAGAATCTGCAAGTGGATATTTGGACCACTGGGTGGCCTTCGTTCGAAACGGGTATATGTTCACATAAAAACTAAAAAGAAGCATTCTCAGAAACTTCTGAGTGATGATTGCATTCAAGTCACATAGTTGAACCCTCCTTTTGATGGAGTAGTTTTGAAACTGTCTTTTTGTAGAATCTGTAAGTGGATACGTGGACCTCTTTGAAGATTTCTTTGGAAACGGGAATATTTCCACAGAAAAACTAAACTGAAGCATTCTCAGAAACTGCTTTGTGATGTTTGTGTTCGAGCCACAGAGTTTAACATTGCTTTTCATAGAGCAGTTTTGAAATATTCTTTTCGCAGAATCTGCAAGTGGACATTTGGAGCGCTTTCAGGCCTGTGGTGGAAAAGGCCTGAAAGCCTTTTCCTTTATCTTCACAGAAAGACGAGAGAGAAGCATTGTCAGAAACTTCTTTGTGATGATTGCATTCAACTCACAGAGTTGAAGATTCCTTTTGAAACAGCAGTTTCGAAACACTCTTTCTGTGGGATCCGCAAGGGGATATTTGGACCTCTTTGAAGATTTCGTTGGAAACGGGATAATCTTCACCTAAAAGCTAAACGGAAGCATTCTCAGAAACTTCTTTGGGATGTTTGCATTCACCTCACAGAGTTGAACTTTCCCTTTGATAGCACAGCTTCGACACACTTTTTCTACAATGTGCAAGTGGATATTTAGCGGGCTTGGAGGACTGTGTTGGAAAAGGAAATATCTTCTCCTAAAAACGACATAGAAGCATTCTCAGAAACTGCTCTGTGATGATTGCATTCAACTCCCAGAGTTGAACATTCCTTTTGATAGAGCAGTTTGCAAACACTCTTTTTGTAGAATCTGCAAGTGGAGATTTGGACAGCTTTGAGGCCTGTGGTAGTAAAGGAAAGAACTTCATATAAAAACTAGACGGTTAGCACTCTCAGAAAATTCTTTGTGACGATGGAGTTTAACTCAGGGAGCTGAACATTCGTTATGATGGAGCAGTTTCCAAACACACGTTTTGTAGAATCTGCAAGGGGATATTTGGACCTCTCTGAGGATTTCGTTGGAAACGGGATCAACTTCCCATAACTGAACGGAAGCAAACTCAGAACATTCTTTGTGATGTTTGTATTCAACTCACAGAGTTGAACCTTCCTTTGATAGTTCAGGTTTGCAACACCCTTGTAGTAGAATCTGCAAGTGTATATTTTGACCACTTTGTAGCCTTCGTTTGAAACGTCTATATCTTCACATCAAACCTAGACAGAAGCATTCTCAGAAAGTTTTCTGCGATGACTGCATTCAACTCACAGAGTTGAACAATCCTTCTGATGGAGCAGTTTTGAAACCCTCTTTCTTTGGAATCTGCAAGGGGATATGTGGACCTCTTTGAAGATTTCACTGGAAACGGGATCATCTTCACATAAAAACTAAACAGAAGCATTCTCGGAAACTACTTTGTGATGTTTGTATTCAACTCCCAGAGTTGAACTTTCCTTTTGAAAGAGCAGCTATGAAACACTCTTTTTCGAGAATCTGCAAGTGGACGTTTGGAGGGCTTTGAGGCCTGTGGTGGAAAAGGAAATATCTTCACATAAAAACTAGATAGAAGCATTCACAGAAACGACTTTGTGAGGATGGCATTCAACTCATGGAGTTGAACAATCCTATTGATAGAGCAGATTGGAATCACTCTTTTAGTAGAATCTGCAAATGGAGATTTGGACTGCTTTGAGGCCTACGGTCGTATAGGAAGGAACTTCATATAAAAGGCAAACGGAAGCATTCTCAGAATATTCTTTGTGATGATGGAGTTTCACTCACAGAGCTGAACATGCCTTTTGATGGAGCAGTTTCCAAATACACTTTTGGTAGAATCTGCAGGTGGATATTTGGAGCTTTCTGAGGATTTCGTTGGAAACGGGAATAATTTCCCATAACTAAACACAAACACTCTGAGAAAGTTCTTCATGATGAATGCATTTAACTCGCAGAGATGAACCTGCCTTTGAGAGTTCATGTTCGAAACACTCTTTCTGTAGAATCTGCAAGTGGATATTTGGACCACTGGCTGGCCTTCGTTCGAAACGGGTATATGTTCACGTAAAAACTAAAGAGAAGCATTCTCAGAAACTTCTGAGTGATGATTGCATTCAAGTCACACAGTTGAACCCTCCTTTTGATGGAGCAGTTTTGAAACTGTCTTTTTGTAGAATCTGTAAGTGGATACGTGGATCTCTTTGAAGATTTCTTTGGAAACGGGAATATTTCCACAGAAAAACTAAACTGAAGCATTCTCAGAAACCGCTTTGTGATGTTTGTGTTCGAGCCACAGAGTTTAACATTGCTTTTCATAGAGCAGTTTTGAAATATTCTTTTGGCAGAATCTGCAAGTGGACATTTGGAGCGCTTTCAGGCCTGTGGTGGAAAAGGCCTGAAAGCCTTTTCCTTTATCTTCACAGAAAGACGAGAGAGAAGCATTGTCAGAAACTTCTTTGTGATGATTGCATTCAACTCACAGAGTTGAAGATTCCTTTTGAAACAGCAGTTTCGAAACACTCTTTCTGTGGGATCCGCAAGGGGATATTTGGACCTCTTTGAAGGTTTCGTTGGAAACGGGATAATCTTCACCTAAAAGCTAAACGGAAGCATTCTCAAAAACTTCTTTGGGATGTTTGCTTTCACCTCACAGAGTTGAACTTTCCCTTTGATAGCGCAGCTTTGACACACTTTTTCTACAATGTGCAAGTGGCTATTTAGCGGGCTTGGAGGACTGTGTTGGAAAAGGAAATATCTTCTCCTAAAAACGACATAGAAGCATTCTCAGAAACTGCTCTGTGATGATTGCATTCAACTCCCAGAGTTGAACATTCCTTTTGATAGAGCAGTTTGCAAACACTCTTTTTGTAGAATCTGCAAGTGGAGATTTGGACCGCTTTGAGGTCTGTGGTAGTGAAGGAAAGAGCTTCATATAAAAACCAGACGGTAGCACTCTCAGAAAATTCTTTGTGACGATGGAGTTTAACTCAGGGAGCTGAACATTCGTTATGATGGAGCAGTTTCCAAACACACGTTTTGTAGAATCTGCAAGGGGATATTTGGACCTCTCTGAGGATTTCGTTGGAAACGGGATCAACTTCCCATAACTGAACGGAAGCAAACTCAGAACATTCTTTGTGATGTTTGTATTCAACTCACAGAGTTGAACCTTCCTTTGATAGTTCAGGTTTGCAACACCCTTGTAGTAGAATCTGCAAGTGTATATTTTGACCACTTTGTAGCCTTCGTTTGAAACGTCTATATCTTCACATCAAACCTAGAAAGAAGCATTCTCAGAAAGTTTTCTGCGATGACTGCATTCAACTCACAGAGTTGAACAATCCTTTTGATGGAGCAGTTTTGAAACCCTCTTTCTTTGGAATCTGCAAGGGGATATGTGGACCTCTTTGAAGATTTCACTGGAAACGGGATCATCTTCACATAAAAACTAAACAGAAGCATTCTCGGAAACTACTTTGTGATGTTTGTATTCAACTCCCAGAGTTGAACTTTCCTTTTGAAAGAGCAGCTATGAAACACTCTTTTTCGAGAATCTGCAAGTGGACGTTTGGAGGGCTTTGAGGCCTGTGGTGGAAAAGGAAATATCTTCACATAAAAACTAGATAGAAGCATTCTCAGAAACGACTTTGTGAGGATGGCATTCAACTCATGGAGTTGAACAATCCTATTGATAGAGCAGATTGGAATCACTCTTTTTGTAGAATCTGCAAATGGAGATTTGGACTGCTTTGAGGCCTACGGTCGTATAGGAAAGAACTTCATATAAAAGGCAAACGGAAGCATTCTCAGAATATTCTTTGTGATGATGGAGTTTCACTCACAGAGCTGAACATGCCTTTTGATGGAGCAGTTTCCAAATACACTTTTGGTAGAATCTGCAGGTGGATATTTGGAGCTCTCTGAGGATTTCGTTGGAAACGGGAATAATTTCCCATAACTAAACACAAACACTCTGAGAAAGTTCTTCATGATGAATGCATTTAACTCGCAGAGATGAACCTGCCTTTGAGAGTTCAGGTTCGAAACACTCTTTCTGTAGAATCTGCAAGTGGATATTTGGACCACTGGGTGGCCTTCGTTCGAAACGACTATATGTTCACGTAAAAACTAAAGAGAAGCATTCTCAGAAACTTCTGAGTGATGATTGCATTCAAGTCACACAGTTGAACCCTCCTTTTGATGGAGCAGTTTTGAAACTGTCTTTTTGTAGAATCTGTAAGTGGATACGTGGACCTCTTTGAAGATTTCTTTGGAAACGGGAATATTTCCACAGAAAAACTAAACTGAAGCATTCTCAGAAACCGCTTTGTGATGTTTGTGTTCGAGCCACAGAGTTTAACATTGCTTTTCATAGAGCAGTTTTGAAATATTCTTTTCGCAGAATCTGCAAGTGGACATTTGGAGCGCTTTCAGGCCTGTGGTGGAAAAGGCCTGAAAGCCTTTTCCTTTATCTTCACAGAAAGACGAGAGAGAAGCATTGTCAGAAACTTCTTTGTGATGATTGCATTCAACTCACAGAGTTGAAGATTCCTTTTGAAACAGCAGTTTCGAAACACTCTTTCTGTGGGATCCGCAAGGGGATATTTGGACCTCTTTGAAGGTTTCGTTGGAAACGGGATAATCTTCACCTAAAAGCTAAACGGAAGCATTCTCAGAAACTTCTTTGGGATGTTTGCATTCACCTCACAGAGTTGAACTTTCCCTTTGATAGCGCAGCTTTGACACACTTTTTCTACAATGTGCAAGTGGCTATTTAGCGGGCTTGGAGGACTGTGTTGGAAAAGGAAATATCTTCTCCTAAAAACGACATAGAAGCATTCTCAGAAACTGCTCTGTGATGATTGCATTCAACTCCCAGAGTTGAACATTCCTTTTGATAGAGCAGTTTGCAAACACTCTTTTTGTAGAATCTGCAAGTGGAGATTTGGACCGCTTTGAGGCCTGTGGTAGTGAAGGAAAGAACTTCATATAAAAACCAGACGGTAGCACTCTCAGAAAATTCTTTGTGACGATGGAGTTTAACTCAGGGAGCTGAACATTCGTTATGATGGAGCAGTTTCCAAACACACGTTTTGTAGAATCTGCAAGGGGATATTTGGACCTCTCTGAGGATTTCGTTGGAAACGGGATCAACTTCCCATAACTGAACGGAAGCAAACTCAGAACATTCTTTGTGATGTTTGTATTCAACTCACAGAGTTGAACCTTCCTTTGATAGTTCAGGTTTGCAACACCCTTGTAGTAGAATCTGCAAGTGTATATTTTGACCACTTTGTAGCCTTCGTTTGAAACGTCTATACCTTCACATCAAACCTAGACAGAAGCATTCTCAGAAAGTTTTCTGCGATGACTGCATTCAACTCACAGAGTTGAACAATCCTTCTGATGGAGCAGTTTTGAAACCCTCTTTCTTTGGAATCTGCAAGGGGATATGTGGACCTCTTTGAAGATTTCACTGGAAACGGGATCATCTTCACATAAAAACTAAACAGAAAGCATTCTCGGAAACTACTTTGTGATGTTTGTATTCAACTCCCAGAGTTGAACTTTCCTTTTGAAAGAGCAGCTATGAAACACTCTTTTTCGAGAATCTGAAAGTGGACGTTTGGAGGGCTTTGAGGCCTGTGGTGGAAAAGGAAATATCTTCACATAAAAACTAGATAGAAGCATTCTCAGAAACTACTTTGTGAGGATGGCATTCAACTCATGGAGTTGAACAATCCTATTGATAGAGCAGATTGGAATCACTCTTTTTGTAGAATCTGCAAATGGAGATTTGGACTGCTTTGAGGCCTACAGTAGTACAGGAAGGAACTTCATATAAAAGGCAAACGGAAGCATTCTCAGAATATTCTTTGTGATGATGGAGTTTCACTCACAGAGCTGAACATGCCTTTTGATGGAGCAGTTTCCAAATACACTTTTGGTAGAATCTGCAGGTGGATATTTGGAGCTCTCTGAGGATTTCGTTGGAAACGGGAATAATTTCCCATAACTAAACACAAACACTCTGAGAAAGTTCTTCATGATGAATGCATTTAACTCGCAGAGATGAACCTGCCTTTGAGAGTTCAGGTTCGAAACACTCTTTCTGTAGAATCTGCAAGTGGATATTTGGACCACTGGGTGGCTTCGTTCGAAACGGGTATATGTTCACGTAAAAACTAAAGAGAAGCATTCTCAGAAACTTCTGAGTGATGATTGCATTCAAGTCACACAGTTGAACCCTCCTTTTGATGGAGCAGTTTTGAAACTGTCTTTTTGTAGAATCTGTAAGTGGATACGTGGACCTCTTTGAAGATTTCTTTGGAAACGGGAATATTTCCACAGAAAAACTAAACTGAAACATTCTCAGAAACCGCTTTGTGATTTTTGTGTTCCAGCCACAGAGTTTAACATTGCTTTTCATAGAGCAGTTTTGAAATATTCTTTTGGCAGAATCTGCAAGTGGACATTTGGAGCGCTTTCAGGCCTGTGGTGGAAAAGGCCTGAAAGCCTTTTCCTTTATCTTCACAGAAAGACGAGAGAGAAGCATTGTCAGAAACTTCTTTGTGATGATTGCATTCAACTCACAGAGTTGAAGATTCCTTTTGAAACAGCAGTTTCGAAACACTCTTTCTGTGGGATCCGCAAGGGGATATTTGGACCTCTTTGAAGGTTTCGTTGGAAACGGGATAATCTTCACCTAAAAGCTAAACGGAAGCATTCTCAGAAACTTCTTTGGGATGTTTGCATTCACCTCACAGAGTTGAACTTTCCCTTTGATAGCGCAGCTTTGACACACTTTTTCTACAATGTGCAAGTGGCTATTTAGCGGGCTTGGAGGATTGTGTTGGAAAAGGAAATATCTTCTCCTAAAAACGACATAGAAGCATTCTCAGAAACTGCTCTGTGATGATTGCATTCAACTCCCAGAGTTGAACATTCCTTTTGATAGAGCAGTTTGCAAACACTCTTTTTGTAGAATCTGCAAGTGGAGATTTGGACCGCTTTGAGGCCTGTGGTAGTGAAGGAAAGAACTTCATATAAAAACCAGACGGTAGCACTCTCAGAAAATTCTTTGTGACGATGGAGTTTAACTCAGGGAGCTGAACATTCGTTATGATGGAGCAGTTTCCAAACACACGTTTTGTAGAATCTGCAAGGGGATATTTGGACCTCTCTGAGGATTTCGTTGGAAACGGGATCAACTTCCCATAACTGAACGGAAGCAAACTCAGAACATTCTTTGTGATGTTTGTATTCAACTCACAGAGTTGAACCTTCCTTTGATAGTTCAGGTTTGCAACACCCTTGTAGTAGAATCTGCAAGTGTATATTTTGACCACTTTGTAGCCTTCGTTTGAAACGTCTATATCTTCACATCAAACCTAGACAGAAGCATTCTCAGAAAGTTTTCTGCGATGACTGCATTCAACTCACAGAGTTGAACAATCCTTCTGATGGAGCAGTTTTGAAACCCTCTTTCTTTGGAATCTGCAAGGGGATATGTGGACCTCTTTGAAGATTTCACTGGAAACGGGATCATCTTCACATAAAAACTAAACAGAAGCATTCTCGGAAACTACTTTGTGATGTTTGTATTCAACTCCCAGAGTTGAACTTTCCTTTTGAAAGAGCAGCTATGAAACACTCTTTTTCGAGAATCTGCAAGTGGACGTTTGGAGGGCTTTGAGGCCTGTGGTGGAAAAGGAAATATCTTCACATAAAAACTAGATAGAAGCATTCTCAGAAACGACTTTGTGAGGATGGCATTCAACTCATGGAGTTGAACAATCCTATTGATAGAGCAGATTGGAATCACTCTTTTTGTAGAATCTGCAAATGGAGATTTGGACTGCTTTGAGGCCTAAGGTAGTATAGGAAGGAACTTCATATAAAAGGCAAACGGAAGCATTCTCAGAATATTCTTTGTGATGATGGAGTTTCACTCACAGAGCTGAACATGCCTTTTGATGGAGCAGTTTCCAAATACACTTTTGGTAGAATCTGCAGGTGGATATTTGGAGCTCTCTGAGGATTTCGTTGGAAACGGGAATAATTTCCCATAACTAAACACAAACACTCTGAGAAAGTTCTTCATGATGAATGCATTTAACTCGCAGAGATGAACCTGCCTTTGAGAGTTCAGGTTCGAAACACTCTTTCTGTAGAATCTGCAAGTGGATATTTGGACCACTGGTTGGCCTTCGTTCGAAACGGGTATATGTTCACGTAAAAACTAAAGAGAAGCATTCTCAGAAACTTCTGAGTGATGATTGCATTCAAGTCACACAGTTGAACCCTCCTTTTGATGGAGCAGTTTTGAAACTGTCTTTTTGTAGAATCTGTAAGTGGATACGTGGACCTCTTTGAAGATTTCTTTGGAAACGGGAATATTTCCACAGAAAAACTAAACTGAAGCATTCTCAGAAACCGCTTTGTGATGTTTGTGTTCGAGCCACAGAGTTTAACATTGCTTTTCATAGAGCAGTTTTGAAATATTCTTTTCGCAGAATCTGCAAGTGGACATTTGGAGCGCTTTCAGGCCTGTGGTGGAAAAGGCCTGAAAGCCTTTTCCTTTATCTTCACAGAAAGACGAGAGAGAAGCATTGTCAGAAACTTCTTTGTGATGATTGCATTCAACTCACAGAGTTGAAGATTCCTTTTGAAACAGCAGTTTCGAAACACTCTTTCTGTGGGATCCGCAAGGGGATATTTGGACCTCTTTGAAGGTTTCGTTGGAAACGGGATAATCTTCACCTAAAAGCTAAACGGAAGCATTCTCAGAAACTTCTTTGGGATGTTTGCATTGACCTCACAGAGTTGAACTTTCCCTTTGATAGCGCAGCTTTGACACACTTTTTCTACAATGTGCAAGTGGCTATTTAGCGGGCTTGGAGGACTGTGTTGGAAAAGGAAATATCTTCTCCTAAAAACGACATAGAAGCATTCTCAGAAACTGCTCTGTGATGATTGCATTCAACTCCCAGAGTTGAACATTCCTTTTGATAGAGCAGTTTGCAAACACTCTTTTTGTAGAATCTGCAAGTGGAGATTTGGACCGCTTTGAGGCCTGTGGTAGTGAAGGAAAGAACTTCATATAAAAACCAGACGGTAGCACTCTCAGAAAATTCTTTGTGACGATGGAGTTTAACTCAGGGAGCTGAACATTCGTTATGATGGAGCAGTTTCCAAACACACGTTTTGTAGAATCTGCAAGGGGATATTTGGACCTCTCTGAGGATTTCGTTGGAAACGGGATCAACTTCCCATAACTGAACGGAAGCAAACTCAGAACATTCTTTGTGATGTTTGTATTCAACTCACAGAGTTGAACCTTCCTTTGATAGTTCAGGTTTGCAACACCCTTGTAGTAGAATCTGCAAGTGTATATTTTGACCTCTTTGTAGCCTTCGTTTGAAACGTCTATATCTTCACATCAAACCTAGACAGAAGCATTCTCAGAAAGTTTTCTGCGATGACTGCATTCAACTCACAGAGTTGAACAATCCTTCTGATGGAGCAGTTTTGAAACCCTCTTTCTTTGGAATCTGCAAGGGGATATGTGGACCTCTTTGAAGATTTCACTGGAAACGGGATCATCTTCACATAAAAACTAAACAGAAGCATTCTCGGAAACTACTTTGTGATGTTTGTATTCAACTCCCAGAGTTGAACTTTCCTTTTGAAAGAGCAGCTATGAAACACTCTTTTTCGAGAATCTGCAAGTGGACGTTTGGAGGGCTTTGAGGCCTGTGG
This sequence comes from Homo sapiens, assembly GCF_000001405.40. NCBI lineage: Eukaryota > Metazoa > Chordata > Mammalia > Primates > Hominidae > Homo > Homo sapiens. Next base: position 60,975,477 of record NC_000023.11, read on the forward strand.
TGGAAAAGGAAATATCTTCACATAAAAACTAGATAGAAGCATTCTCAGAAACTACTTTGTGAGGATGGCATTCAACTCATGGAGTTGAACAATCCTATTGATAGAGCAGATTGGAATCACTCTTTTTGTAGAATCTGCAAATGGAGATTTGGACTGCTTTGAGGCCTACGGTCGTATAGGAAGGAACTTCATATAAAAGGCAAACGGAAGCATTCTCAGAATATTCTTTGTGATGATGGAGTTTCACTCACAGAGCTGAACATGCCTTTTGATGGAGCAGTTTCCAAATACACTTTTGGTAGAATCTGCAGGTGGATATTTGGAGCTCTCTGAGGATTTCTTTGGAAACGGGAATAATTTCCCATAACTAAACACAAACACTCTGAGAAAGTTCTTCATGATGAATGCATTTAACTCGCAGAGATGAACCTGCCTTTGAGAGTTCAGGTTCGAAACACTCTTTCTGTAGAATCTGCAAGTGGATATTTGGACCACTGGGTGGCCTTCGTTCGAAACGGGTATATGTTCACGTAAAAACTAAAGAGAAGCATTCTCAGAAACTTCTGAGTGATGATTGCATTCAAGTCACACAGTTGAACCCTCCTTTTGATGGAGCAGTTTTGAAACTGTCTTTTTGTAGAATCTGTAAGTGGATACGTGGACCTCTTTGAAGATTTCTTTGGAAACGGGAATATTTCCACAGAAAAACTAAACTGAAACATTCTCAGAAACCGCTTTGTGATGTTTGTGTTCCAGCCACAGAGTTTAACATTGCTTTTCATAGAGCAGTTTTGAAATATTCTTTTGGCAGAATCTGCAAGTGGACATTTGGAGCGCTTTCAGGCCTGTGGTGGAAAAGGCCTGAAAGCCTTTTCCTTTATCTTCACAGAAAGACGAGAGAGAAGCATTGTCAGAAACTTCTTTGTGATGATTGCATTCAACTCACAGAGTTGAAGATTCCTTTTGAAACAGCAGTTTCGAAACACTCTTTCTGTGGGATCCGCAAGGGGATATTTGGACCTCTTTGAAGGTTTCGTTGGAAACGGGATAATCTTCACCTAAAAGCTAAACGGAAGCATTCTCAGAAACTTCTTTGGGATGTTTGCATTCACCTCACAGAGTTGAACTTTCCCTTTGATAGCGCAGCTTTGACACACTTTTTCTACAATGTGCAAGTGGCTATTTAGCGGGCTTGGAGGACTGTGTTGGAAAAGGAAATATCTTCTCCTAAAAACGACATAGAAGCATTCTCAGAAACTGCTCTGTGATGATTGCATTCAACTCCCAGAGTTGAACATTCCTTTTGATAGAGCAGTTTACAAACACTCTTTTTGTAGAATCTGCAAGTGGAGATTTGGACCGCTTTGAGGCCTGTGGTAGTGAAGGAAAGAACTTCATATAAAAACCAGACGGTAGCACTCTCAGAAAATTCTTTGTGACGATGGAGTTTAACTCAGGGAGCTGAACATTCGTTATGATGGAGCAGTTTCCAAACACACGTTTTGTAGAATCTGCAAGGGGATATTTGGACCTCTCTGAGGATTTCGTTGGAAACGGGATCAACTTCCCATAACTGAACGGAAGCAAACTCAGAACATTCTTTGTGATGTTTGTATTCAACTCACAGAGTTGAACCTTCCTTTGATAGTTCAGGTTTGCAACACCCTTGTAGTAGAATCTGCAAGTGTATATTTTGACCACTTTGTAGCCTTCGTTTGAAACGTCTATATCTTCACATCAAACCTAGACAGAAGCATTCTCAGAAAGTTTTCTGCGATGACTGCATTCAACTCACAGGAGTTGAACAATCCTTCTGATGGAGCAGTTTTTAAACCCTCTTTCTTTGGAATCTGCAAGGGGATATGTGGACCTCTTTGAAGATTTCACTGGAAACGGGATCATCTTCACATAAAAACTAAACAGAAGCATTCTCGGAAACTATTTTGTGATGTTTGTATTCAACTCCCAGAGTTGAACTTTCCTTTTGAAAGAGCAGCTATGAAACACTCTTTTTCGAGAATCTGCAAGTGGACGTTTGGAGGGCTTTGAGGCCTGTGGTGGAAAAGGAAATATCTTCACACAAAAACCAGATAGAAGCATTCTCAGAAACTACTTTGTGAGGATGGCATTCAACTCATGGAGTTGAACAATCCTATTGATAGAGCAGATTGGAATCACTCTTTTTGTAGAATCTGCAAATGGAGATTTGGACTGCTTTGAGGCCTACGGTAGTACAGGAAGGAACTTCATATAAAAGGCAAACGGAAGCATTCTCAGAATATTCTTTGTGATGATGGAGTTTCACTCACAGAGCTGAACATGCCTTTTGATGGAGCAGTTTCCAAATACACTTTTGGTAGAATCTGCAGGTGGATATTTGGAGCTCTCTGAGGATTTCGTTGGAAACGGGAATAATTTCCCATAACTAAACACAAACACTCTGAGAAAGTTCTTCATGATGAATGCATTTAACTCGCAGAGATGAACCTGCCTTTGAGAGTTCAGGTTCGAAACACTCTTTCTGTATAATCTGCAAGTGGATATTTGGACCACTGGGTGGCCTTCGTTCGAAACGGGTATATGTTCACGTAAAAACTAAAGAGAAGCATTCTCAGAAACTTCTGAGTGATGATTGCATTCAAGTCACACAGTTGAACCCTCCTTTTGATGGAGCAGTTTTGAAACTGTCTTTTTGTAGAATCTGTAAGTGGATACGTGGACCTCTTTGAAGATTTCTTTGGAAACGGGAATATTTCCACAGAAAAACTAAACTGAAGCATTCTCAGAAACTGCTTTGTGATGTTTGTGTTCGAGCCACAGAGTTTAACATTGCTTTTCATAGAGCAGTTTTGAAATATTCTTTTCGCAGAATCTGCAAGTGGACATTTGGAGCGCTTTCAGGCCTGTGGTGGCAAAGGCCTGAAAGCCTTTTCCTTTATCTTCACAGAAAGACGAGAGAGAAGCATTGTCAGAAACTTCTTTGTGATGATTGCATTCAACTCACAGAGTTGAAGATTCCTTTTGAAACAGCAGTTTCGAAACACTCTTTCTGTGGGATCCGCAAGGGGATATTTGGACCTCTTTGAAGGTTTCGTTGGAAACGGGATAATCTTCACCTAAAAGCTAAACGGAAGCATTCTCAGAAACTTCTTTGGGATGTTTGCATTCACCTCACAGAGTTGAACTTTCCCTTTGATAGCGCAGCTTTGACACACTTTTTCTACAATGTGCAAGTGGCTATTTAGCGGGCTTGGGGGACTGTGTTGGAAAAGGAAATATCTTCTCCTAAAAACGACATAGAAGCATTCTCAGAAACTGCTCTGTGATGATTGCATTCAACTCCCAGAGTTGAACATTCCTTTTGATAGAGCAGTTTGCAAACACTCTTTTTGTAGAATCTGCAAGTGGAGATTTGGACCGCTTTGAGGCCTGTGGTAGTGAAGGAAAGAACTTCATATAAAAACCAGACGGTAGCACTCTCAGAAAATTCTTTGTGACGATGGAGTTTAACTCAGGGAGCTGAACATTCGTTATGATGGAGCAGTTTCCAAACACACGTTTTGTAGAATCTGCGAGGGGATATTTGGACCTCTCTGAGGATTTCGTTGGAAACGGGATCAACTTCCCATAACTGAACGGAAGCAAACTCAGAACATTCTTTGTGATGTTTGTATTCAACTCACAGAGTTGAACCTTCCTTTGATAGTTCAGGTTTGCAACACCCTTGTAGTAGAATCTGCAAGTGTATATTTTGACCACTTTGTAGCCTTCGTTTGAAACGTCTATATCTTCACATCAAACCTAGAAAGAAGCATTCTCAGAAAGTTTTCTGCGATGACTGCATTCAACTCACAGAGTTGAACAATCCTTCTGATGGAGCAGTTTTGAAACCCTCTTTCTTTGGAATCTGCAAGGGGATATGTGGACCTCTTTGATGATTTCACTGGAAACGGGGTCATCTTCACATAAAAACTAAACAGAAGCATTCTCGGAAACTACTTTGTGATGTTTGTATTCAACTCCCAGAGTTGAACTTTCCTTTTGAAAGAGCAGCTATGAAACACTCTTTTTCGAGAATCTGCAAGTGGACGTTTGGAGGGCTTTGAGGCCTGTGGTGGAAAAGGAAATATCTTCACATAAAAACTAGATAGAAGCATTCTCAGAAACTACTTTGTGAGGATGGCATTCAACTCATGGAGTTGAACAATCCTATTGATAGAGCAGATTGGAATCACTCTTTTTGTAGAATCTGCAAATGGAGATTTGGACTGCTTTGAGGCCTACAGTCGTATAGGAAGGAACTTCATATAAAAGGCAAACGGAAGCATTCTCAGAATATTCTTTTTGATGATGGAGTTTCACTCACAGAGCTGAACATGCCTTTTGATGGAGCAGTTTCCAAATACACTTTTGGTAGAATCTGCAGGTGGATATTTGGAGCTCTCTGAGGATTTCGTTGGAAACGGGAATAATTTCCCATAACTAAACACAAACACGCTGAGAAAGTTCTTCATGATGAATGCATTGAACTCGCAGAGATGAACCTGCCTTTGAGAGTTCAGGTTCGAAACACTCTTTCTGTAGAATCTGCAAGTGGATATTTGGACCACTGGGTGGCCTTCTTTCGAAACGGGTATATGTTCACGTAAAAACTAAAGAGAAGCGTTCTCAGAAACTTCTGAGTGATGATTGCATTCAAGTCACACAGTTGAACCCTCCTTTTGATTGAGCAGTTTTGAAACTGTCTTTTTGTAGAATCTGTAAGTGGATGCGTGGACCTCTTTTGAAGATTTCTTTGGAAACGGGAATATTTCCACAGAAAAACTAAACTGAAGTATTCTCAGAAACTGCTTTGTGATGTTTGTGTTCGAGCCACAGAGTTTAACATTGCTTTTCATAGAGCAGTTTTGTAATATTCTTTTCGCAGAATCTGCAAGCGGATATTTGGAGCGCTTTCAGGCCTGTGGTGGAAAAGGCCTGAAAGCCTTTTCCTTTATCTTCACAGAAAGACGAGAGAGAAGCATTGTCAGAAACTTCTTTGTGATGATTGCATTCAACTCACAGAGTTGAAGATTCCTTTTGAAACAGCAGTTTCGAAACACTCTTTCTGTGGGATCCGCAAGGGGATATTTGGACCTCTTTGAAGATTTCGTTGGAAACGGGATAATCTTCACCTAAAACCTAAGCGGAAGCATTCTCAGAAACTTCTTTGGGATGTTTGCATTCACCTCACAGAGTTGAACTTTCCCTTTGATAGCGCAGCTTCGACACACTTTTTCTACAATGTGCAAGTGGATATTTAGCGGGCTTGGAGGACTGTGGTGGAAAGGGAAATATCTTCTCCTAAAAACCACATAGAAGCATTCTCAGAAACTGCTCTGTGATGATTGCATTCAACTCCCAGAGTTGAACATTCCTTTTGATAGAGCAGTTTGCAAACACTCTTTTTGTAGAATCTGCAAGTGGAGATTTGGACCGCTTTGAGGCCTGTGGTAGTAAAGGAAAGAACTTCATATAAAAACTAGACGGTAGCACTCTCAGAAAATTCTTTGTGACGATGGAGTTTAACTCAGAGAGCTGAACATTCGTTATGATGGAGCAGTTTCCAAACACACGTTTTGTAGAATCTGCAAGGGGATATTTGGACCTCTCTGAGGATTTCGTTGGAAACGGGATCAACTTCCCATAACTGAACGGAAGCAAACTCAGAACATTCTTTGTGATGTTTCTATTCAACTCACAGAGATGAACCTTCCTTTGATAGTTCAGGTTTGCAACACCCTTGTAGTAGAATCTGCAAGTGTATATTTTGACCACTTTGTAGCCTTCGTTTGAAAGGTCTATATCTTCACATCAAACTTGGACAGAAGCATTCTCAGAAAGTTTTCTGCGATGACTGCATTCAACTCACAGAGTTGAACAATCCTTTTGATGGAGCAGTTTTGAAACCCTCTTTCTTTGGAATCTGCAAGGGGATATGTGGACCTCTTTGAAGATTTCACTGGAAACGGGATCATCTTCACATAAGAACTAAACAGAAGCATTCTCGGAAACTACTTTGTGATGTTTGTATTCAGCTCCCAGAGTTGAACTTTCCTTTTGAAAGAGCAGCTATGAAACACTCTTTTTCGAGAATCTGCAAGTGGACGTTTGGAGGGCTTTGAGGCCTGTGGTGGAAAAGGAAATATCTTCACATAAAAACTAGATAGAAGCATTCTCAGAAACTACTTTGTGAGGACGGCATTCAACTCATGGAGTTGAACAGTCCTATTGATAGAGCAGATTGGAATCACTCTTTTTGTAGAATCTGCAAATGGAGATTTGGAATGCTTTGAGGCCTACGGTAGTATAGGAAGTAACTTCATATAAAAGGCAAATGGAAGCATTCTCAGAATATTCTTTGTGATGATGGAGTTTCACTCACAGAGCTGAACATGCCTTTTGATGGAGCAGTTTCCAAATACACTTTTGGTAGAATCTGCAGGTGGATATTTGGACCTCTCTGAGGATTTCGTTGGAAACGGGAATAATTTCCCATAACTAAACACAAACACTCTGAGAAAGTTCTTCATGATGAATGCATTTAACTCGCAGAGATGAACTTGCCTTTGAGAGTTCAGGTTCGAAACACTCTTTCTGTAGAATCTGCAAGTGGATATTTGGACCACTGGCTGGCCTTCGTTCGAAACGGGTATATGTTCACGTAAAAACTAAAGAGAAGCATTCTCAGAAACTTCTGAGTGATGATTGCATTCAAGTCACACAGTTGAACCCGCCTTTTGATTGAGCAGTTTTGAAACTGTCTTTTTGTAGAATCTGTAAGTGGATACGTGGACCTCTTGGAAGATTTCTTTGGAAACGGGAATATTTCCACAGAAAAACTAAACTGAAGCATTCTCAGAAACTGCTTTGTGATGTTGGTGTTCGAGCCGCAGAGTTTAACATTGCTTTTCATAGAGCACTTTTGAAATATTCTTTTGGCAGAATCTGCAAGTGGACATTTAGAGCGTTTTCAGGCCTGTGGTGGAAAAGGCCTGAAAGCCTTTTCCTTTATCTTCACAGAAAGACGAGAGAGAAGCATTGTCAGAAACTTCTTTGTGATGATTGCATTCAACTCACAGAGTTGAAGATTCCTTTTGAAACAGCAGTTTCGAAACACTCTTTCTGTGGGATCCGCAAGGGGATATTTGGACCTCTTTGAAGATTTCGTTGGAAACGGGATAATCTTCACCTAAAAGCTAAACGGAAGCATTCTCAGAAACTTCTTTGGGATGTTTGCATTCACCTCACAGAGTCGAACTTTCCCTTTGATAGCGCAGCTTCGACACACTTTTTCTAAAATGTGCAAGTGGATATTTAGCGGGCTTGCAGGACTGTGTTGGAAAAGGAAATATCTTCTCCTAAAAACCACATAGAAGCATTCTCAGAAACTGCTCTGTGATGATTGCATTCAACTCCCAGAGTTGAACATTCCTTTTGATAGAGCAGTTTGCAAACACTCTTTTTGTAGAATCTGCAAGTGGAGATTTGGACCGCTTTGAGGCCTGTGGTAGTAAAGGAAAGAACTTCCTATAAAAACTAGACGGTAGCACTCTCAGAAAATTCTTTGTGACGATGGAGTTTAACTCAGAGAGCTGAACATTCGTTATGATGGAGCAGTTTCCAAACACACGTTTTGTAGAATCTGCAAGGGGATATTTGGACCTCTCTGAGGATTTCGTTGGAAACGGGATCAACTTCCCATAACTGAACGGAAGCAAACTCAGAACATTCTTTGTGATGTTTGTATTCAACTCACAGAGTTGAACCTTCCTTTGATAGTTGAGGTTTGCAACACCCTTGTAGTAGAATCTGCAAGTGTATATTTTGACCACTTTGTAGCCTTCGTTTGAAACGTCTATATCTTCACCTCAAACCTAGACAGAAGCATTCTCAGAAAGTTTTCTGCGATGACTGCATTCAACTCACAGAGCTGAACAATCCTTTTGATGGAGCAGTTTTGAAACCCTCTTTCTTTGGAATCTGCAAGGGGATATGTGGACCTCTTTGAAGATTTCACTGGAAACGGGATCATCTTCACATAAGAAATAAACAGAAGCATTCTCGGAAACTACTTTGTGAAGTTTGTATTCAACTCCCAGAGTTGAACTTTCCTTTTGAAAGAGCAGCTATGAAACACTCTTTTTCGAGAATCTGCAAGTGGACGTTTGGAGGGCTTTGAGGCCTGTGGTGGAAAAGGAAATATCTTCACATAAAAACTAGATAGAAGCATTCTCAGAAACGACTTTGTGAGGATGGCATTCAACTCATGGAGTTGAACAATCCTATTGATAGAGCAGATTGGAATCACTCTTTTTGTAGAATCTGCAAATGGAGATTTGGACTGCTTTGAGGCCTACGGTAGTATAGGAAGGAATTTCATATAAAAGGCAAACGGAAGCATTCTCAGAATATTCTTTGTGATGATGGAGTTTCACTCACAGAGCTGAACATGCCTTTTGATGGAGCAGTTTCCAAATACACTTTTGGTAGAATCTGCAGGTGGATATTTGGACCTCTCTGAGGATTTCGTTGGAAACGGCAATAATTTCCCATACCTAAACACAAACACTCTGAGAAAGTTCTTCATGATGAATGCATTTAACTCGCAGAGATGAACCTGCCTTTGAGAGTTCAGGTTCGAAACACTCTTTCTGTAGAATCTGCAAGTGGATATTTGGACCACTGGGTGGCCTTCGTTCGAAACGGGTATATGTTCACGTAAAAACTAAAGAGAAGCATTCTCAGAAACTTCTGAGTGATGATTGCATTCAAGTCACACGGTTGAACCCTCCTTTTGATTGAGCAGTTTTGAAACTGTCTTTTTGTAGAATCTGTAAGTGGATACGTGGACCTCTTTGAAGATTTCTTTCGAAACGGGAATATTTCCACAGAAAAACTAAACTGAAGCATTCTCAGAAACGGCTTTGTGATGTTTGTGTTCGAGCCACAGAGTTTAACATTGCTTTTCATAGAGCAGTTTTGAAATATTCTTTTGGCAGAATCTGCAAGTGGACATTTGGAGCGCTTTCAGGCCTGTGGTGGAAAAGGCCTGAAAGCCTTTTCCTTTATCTTCACAGAAAGACGAGAGAGAAGCATTGTCAGAAACTTCTTTGTGATGATTGCATTCAACTCACAGAGTTGAAGATTCCTTTTGAAACAGCAGTTTCGAAACACTCTTTCTGTGGGATCCGCAAGGGGATATTTGGACCTCTTTGAAGATTTCGTTGGAAACGGGATAATCTTCACCTAAAAGCTAAACGGAAGCATTCTCAGAAACTTCTTTGGGATGTTTGCATTCACCTCAGAGAGTTGAACTTTCCCTTTGATAGCGCAGCTTCGACACACTTTTTCTACAATGTGCAAGTGGATATTTAGCGGGCTTGGAGGACTGTGTTGGAAAAGGAAATATCTTCTCCTAAAAACGACATAGAAGCATTCTCAGAAACTGCTCTGTGATGATTGCATTCAACTCCCAGAGTTGAACATTCCTTTTGATAGAGCAGTTTGCAAACACTCTTTTTGTAGAATCTGCAAGTGGAGATTTGGACCGCTTTGAGGACTGAGGTAGTAAAGGAAAGAACTTCATATAAAAACTAGACGGTAGCACTCTCAGAAAATTCTTTGTAACGATGGAGTTTAACTCAGAGAGCTGAACATTCGTTATGATGGAGCAGTTTCCAAACACACGTTTTGTAGAATCTGCAAGGGGATATTTGGACCTCTCTGAGGATTTCGTTGGAAACGGGATCAACTTCCCATAACTGAACGGAAGCAAACTCAGAACATTCTTTGTGATGTTTGTATTCAACTCACAGAGTTGAACCTTCCTTTGATAGTTCAGGTTTGCATCACCCTTGTAGTAGAATCTGCAAGTGTATATTTTGACCACTTTGTAGCCTTCGTTTGAAACGTCTATATCTTCACATCAAACCTAGACAGAAGCATTCTCAGAAAGTTTTCTGCGATGACTGCATTCAACTCACAGAGTTGAACAATCCTTTTGATGGAGCAGTTTTGAAACCCTCTTTCTTTGGAATCTGCAAGGGGATATGTGGACCTCTTTCAAGATTTCACTGGAAACGGGATCATCTTCACATAAGAAATAAACAGAAGCATTCTCGGAAACTACTTTGTGATGTTTGTATTCAACTCCCAGAGTTGAACTTTCCTTTTGAAAGAGCAGCTATGAAACACTCTTTTTCGAGAATCTGCAAGTGGACGTTTGGAGGGCTTTGAGGCCTGTGGTGGAAAAGGAAATATCTTCACATAAAAACTAGATAGAAGCATTCTCAGAAACGACTTTGTGAGGATGGCATTCAACTCATGGAGTTGAACAATCCCATTGATAGAGCAGATTGGAGTCACTCTTTTTGTAGAATCTGCAAATGGAGATTTGGACTGCTTTGGGGCCTACGGTAGTATAGGAAGGAACGTCATATAAAAGGCAAACGGAAGCATTCTCAGAATATTCTTTGTGATGATGGAGTTTCACTCACAGAGCTGAACGTGCCTTTTGATGGAGCAGTTTCCAAATACACTTTTGGTAGAATCTGCAGGTGGATATTTGGACCTCTCGGAAGATTTCGTTGGAAACGGGAATAATTTCCCATAACTAAACACAAACACTCTGAGAAAGTTCTTCATGATGAATGCATTTAACTCGCAGAGATGAACCTGCCTTTGAGAGTTCAGGTTCGAAACACTCTTTCTGTAGAATCTGCAAGTGGATATTTGGACCACTGGCTGGCCTTCGTTCGAAACGGGTATATGTTCACGTAAAAACTAAAGAGAAGCATTCTCAGAAACTTCTGAGTGATGATTGCATTCAAGTCACACAGTTGAACCCTCCTTTTGATGGAGCAGTTTTGAAACTGTCTTTTTGTAGAATCTGTAAGTGGATGCGTGGACCTCTTTGAAGATTTCTTTGGAAACGGGAATATTTCCACAGAAAAACTAAACTGAAGCATTCTCAGAAACCGCTTTGTGATGTTTGTGTTCGAGCCGCAGAGTTTAACATTGCTTTTCATAGAGCAGTTTTGAAATATTCTTTTGGCAGAATCTGCAAGTGGACATTTGGAGCGCTTTCAGGCCTGTGGTGGCAAAGGCCTGAAAGCCTTTTCCTTTATCTTCACAGAAAGACGAGAGAGAAGCATTGTCAGAAACTTCTTTGTGATGATTGCATTCAACTCACAGAGTTGAAGATTCCTTTTGAAACAGCAGTTTCGAAACACTCTTTCTGTGGGATCCGCAAGGGGATATTTGGACCTCTTTGAAGGTTTCGTTGGAAACGGGATAATCTTCACCTAAAAGCTAAACGGAAGCATTCTCAGAAACTTCTTTGGGATGTTTGCATTCACCTCACAGAGTTGAACTTTCCCTTTGATAGCGCAGCTTTGACACACTTTTTCTACAATGTGCAAGTGGCTATTTAGCGGGCTTGGAGGACTGTGTTGGAAAAGGAAATATCTTCTCCTAAAAACGACATAGAAGCATTCTCAGAAACTGCTCTGTGATGATTGCATTCAACTCCCAGAGTTGAACATTCCTTTTGATAGAGCAGTTTGCAAACACTCTTTTTGTAGAATCTGCAAGTGGAGATTTGGACCGCTTTGAGGCCTGTGGTAGTGAAGGAAAGAACTTCATATAAAAACCAGACGGTAGCACTCTCAGAAAATTCTTTGTGACGATGGAGTTTAACTCAGGGAGCTGAACATTCGTTATGATGGAGCAGTTTCCAAACACACGTTTTGTAGAATCTGCAAGGGGATATTTGGACCTCTCTGAGGATTTCGTTGGAAACGGGATCAACTTCCCATAACTGAACGGAAGCAAACTCAGAACATTCTTTGTGATGTTTGTATTCAACTCACAGAGTTGAACCTTCCTTTGATAGTTCAGGTTTGCAACACCCTTGTAGTAGAATCTGCAAGTGTATATTTTGACCACTTTGTAGCCTTCGTTTGAAACGTCTATATCTTCACATCAAACCTAGACAGAAGCATTCTCAGAAAGTTTTCTGCGATGACTGCATTCAACTCACACAGTTGAACAATCCTTCTGATGGAGCAGTTTTGAAACCCTCTTTCTTTGGAATCTGCAAGGGGATATGTGGACCTCTTTGAAGATTTCACTGGAAACGGGATCATCTTCACATAAAAACTAAACAGAAGCATTCTCGGAAACTACTTTGTGATGTTTGTATTCAACTGCCAGAGTTGAACTTTCCTTTTGAAAGAGCAGCTATGAAACACTCTTTTTCGAGAATCTGCAAGTGGACGTTTGGAGGGCTTTGAGGCCTGTGGTGGAAAAGGAAATATCTTCACATAAAAACTAGATAGAAGCATTCTCAGAAACGACTTTGGAGGATGGCATTCAACTCATGGAGTTGAACAATCCTATTGATAGAGCAGATTGGAATCACTCTTTTTGTAGAATCTGCAAATGGAGATTTGGACTGCTTTGAGGCCTACGGTCGTATAGGAAGGAACTTCAGATAAAAGGCAAACGGAAGCATTCTCAGAATATTCTTTGTGATGATGGAGTTTCACTCACAGAGCTGAACATGCCTTTTGATGGAGCAGTTTCCAAATACACTTTTGGTAGAATCTGCAGGTGGATATTTGGACCTCTCTGAGGATTTCGTTGGAAACGGGAATAATTTCCCATAACTAAACACAAACACTCTGAGAAAGTTCTTCATGATGAATGCATTTAACTCGCAGAGATGAACCTGCCTTTGAGAGTTCATGTTCGAAACACTCTTTCTGTAGAATCTGCAAGTGGATATTTGGACCACTGGCTGGCCTTCGTTCGAAACGGGTATATGTTCACGTAAAAACTAAAGAGAAGCTTTCTCAGAAACTTCTGACTGATGATTGCATTCAAGTCACACGGTTGAACCCTCCTTTTGATTGAGCAGTTTTGAAACTGTCTTTTTGTAGAATCTGTAAATGGATACGTGGACCTCTTTGAAGATTTCTTTGGAAACGGGAATATTTCCACAGAAAAACTAAACTGAAGCATTCTCAGAAACTGCTTTGTGATGTTTGTGTTCGAGCCGCAGAGTTTAACATTGCTTTTCATAGAGCAGTTTTGAAATATTCTTTTGGCAGAATCTGCAAGTGGACATATGGAGCGCTTTCAGGCCTGTGGTGGAAAAGGCCTGAAAGCCTTTTCCTTTATCTTCACAGAAAGATGAGGGAGAAGCATTGTCAGAAACTTCTTTGTGATGATTGCATTCAACTCACAGAGTTGAAGATTCCTTTTGAAACAGCAGTTTCGAAACACTCTTTCTGTGGGATCCGCAAGGGGATATTTGGACCTCTTTGAAGATTTCGTTGGAAACGGGATAATCTTCACCTAAAAGCTGAACGGAAGCATTCTCAGAAACTTCTTTGGGATGTTTGCATTCACCTCACAGAGTTGAACTTTCCCTTTGATAGCGCAGCTTCGACACATTTTTCTACAATGTGCAAGTGGAGATTTGGACCGCTTTGAGGCCTGTGGTAGTAAAGGAAACAACTTCATATAAAAACTAGACGGTAGCACTCTCAGAAAATTCTTTGTGACGATGGAGTTTAACTCAGGGAGCTGAACATTCGTTATGATGGAGCAGTTTCCAAACACACGTTTTGTAGAATCTGCAAGGGGATATTTGGACCTCTCTGAGGATTTCGTTGGAAACGGGATCAACTTCCCATAACTGAACGGAAGCAAACTCAGAACATTCTTTGTGATGTTTGTATTCAACTCACAGAGTTGAACCTTCCTTTGATAGTTCAGGTTTGCAACACCCTTGTAGCAGAATCTGCAAGTGTATATTTTGACCACTTTGTAGCCTTCGTTTGAAACGTCTATATCTTCACATCAAACCTAGACAGAAGCATTCTCAGAAAGTTTTCTGCGATGACTGCATTCAACTCACAGAGTTGAACAATCCTTCTGATGGAGCAGTTTTGAAACCCTCTTTCTTTGGAATCTGCAAGGGGATATGTGGACCTCTTTGAAGATTTCACTGGAAACGGGATCATCTTCACATAAAAACTAAACAGAAGCATTCTCGGAAACTACTTTGTGATGTTTGTATTCAACTCCCAGAGTTGAACTTTCCTTTTGAAAGAGCAGCTATGAAACACTCTTTTTCGAGAATCTGCAAGTGGACGTTTGGAGGGCTTTGAGGCCTGTGGTGGAAAAGGAAATATCTTCACACAAAAACCAGATAGAAGCATTCTCAGAAACTACTTTGTGAGGATGGCATTCAACTCATGGAGTTGAACAATCCTATTGATAGAGCAGATTGGAATCACTCTTTTTATAGAATCTGCAAATGGAGATTTGGACTGCTTTGAGGCCTACGGTAGTACAGGAAGGAACTTCATATAAAAGGCAAACGGAAGCATTCTCAGAATATTCTTTGTGATGATGGAGTTTCACTCACAGAGCTGAACATGCCTTTTGATGGAGCAGTTTCCAAATACACTTTTGGTAGAATCTGCAGGTGGATATTTGGAGCTCTCTGAGGATTTCGTTGGAAACGGGAATAATTTCCCATAACTAAACACAAACACTCTGAGAAAGTTCTTCATGATGAATGCATTTAACTCGCAGAGATGAACCTGCCTTTGAGAGTTCAGGTTCGAAACCCTCTTTCTGTAGAATCTGCAAGTGGATATTTGGACCACTGGCTGGCCTTCGTTCGAAACGGGTATATGTTCACGTAAAAACTAAAGAGAAGCATTCTCAGAAACTTCTGAGTGATGATTGCATTCAAGTCACACAGTTGAACCCTCCTTTTGATGGAGCAGTTTTGAAACTGTCTTTTTGTAGAATCTGTAAGTGGATACGTGGACCTCTTTGAAGATTTCTTTGGAAACGGGAATATTTCCACAGAAAAACTAAACTGAAGCATTCTCAGAAACTGCTTTGTGATGTTTGTGTTCGAGCCACAGAGTTTAACATTGCTTTTCATAGAGCAGTTTTGCAATATTCTTTTCACAGAATCTGCAAGTGGACATTTGGAGCGCTTTCAGGCCTGTGGTGGAAAAGGCCTGAAAGCCTTTTCCTTTATCTTCACAGAAAGACGAGAGAGAAGCATTGTCAGAAACTTCTTTGTGATGATTGCATTCAACTCACAGAGTTGAAGATTCCTTTTGAAACAGCAGTTTCGAAACACTCTTTCTGTGGGATCCGCAAGGGGATATTTGGACCTCTTTGAAGGTTTCGTTGGAAACGGGATAATCTTCACCTAAAAGCTAAACGGAAGCATTCTCAGAAACTTCTTTGGGATGTTTGCATTCACCTCACAGAGTTGAACTTTCCCTTTGATAGCACAGCTTTGACACACTTTTTCTACAATGTGCAAGTGGCTATTTAGCGGGCTTGGAGGACTGTGTTGGAAAAGGAAATATCTTCTCCTAAAAACGACATAGAAGCATTCTCAGAAACTGCTCTGTGATGATTGCATTCAACTCCCAGAGTTGAACATTCCTTTTGATAGAGCAGTTTGCAAACACTCTTTTTGTAGAATCTGCAAGTGGAGATTTGGACCGCTTTGAGGCCTGTGGTAGTGAAGGAAAGAACTTCATATAAAAACCAGACGGTAGCACTCTCAGAAAATTCTTTGTGACGATGGAGTTTAACTCAGGGAGCTGAACATTCGTTATGATGGAGCAGTTTCCAAACACACGTTTTGTAGAATCTGCGAGGGGATATTTGGACCTCTCTGAGGATTTCGTTGGAAACGGGATCAACTTCCCATAACTGAACGGAAGCAAACTCAGAACATTCTTTGTGATGTTTGTATTCAACTCACAGAGTTGAACCTTCCTTTGATAGTTCAGGTTTGCAACACCCTTGTAGTAGAATCTGCAAGTGTATATTTTGACCACTTTGTAGCCTTCGTTTGAAACGTCTATATCTTCACATCAAACCTAGACAGAAGCATTCTTAGAAAGTTTTCTGCGATGACTGCATTCAACTCACAGAGTTGAACAATCCTTCTGATGGAGCAGTTTTGAAACCCTCTTTCTTTGGAATCTGCAAGGGAATATGTGGACCTCTTTGAAGATTTCACTGGAAACGGGATCATCTTCACATAAAAACTAAATATAAGCATTCTCGGAAACTACTTTGGGATGTTTGTATTCAACTCCCAGAGTTGAACTTTCCTTTTGAAAGAGCAGCTATGAAACACTCTTTTTCGAGAATCTGCAAGTGGACGTTTGGAGGGCTTTGAGGCCTGTGGTGGAAAAGGAAATATCTTCACATAAAAACTAGATAGAAGCATTCTCACAAACGACATTGTGAGGATGGAATTCAACTCATGGAGTTGAACAATCCTATTGATAGAGCAGATTGGAATCACTCTTTTTGTAGAATCTGCAAATGGAGATTTGGACTGCTTTGAGGCCTACGGTAGTATAGGAAGGAACTTCATATAAAAGGCAAACGGAAGCATTCTCAGAATATTCTTTGTGATGATGGAGTTTCACTCACAGAGCTGAACATGCCTTTTGATGGAGCAGTTTCCAAATACACTTTTGGTAGAATCTGCAGGTGGATATTTGGAGCTCTCTGAGGATTTCGTTGGAAACGGGAATAATTTCCCATAACTAAACACAAACACTCTGAGAAAGTTCTTCATGATGAATGCATTTAACTCGCAGAGATGAACCTGCCTTTGAGAGTTCAGGTTCGAAACACTCTTTCTGTATAATCTGCAAGTGGATATTTGGACCACTGGGTGGCTTCGTTCGAAACGGGTATATGTTCACGTAAAAACTAAAGAGAAAGCATTCTCAGAAACTTCTGAGTGATGATTGCATTCAAGTCACACAGTTGAACCCTCCTTTTGATGGAGCAGTTTTGAAACTGTCTTTTTGTAGAATCTGTAAGTGGATACGTGGACCTCTTTGAAGATTTCTTTGGAAACGGGAATATTTCCACAGAAAAACTAAACTGAAGCATTCTCAGAAACTGCTTTGTGATGTTTGTGTTCGAGCCACAGAGTTTAACATTGCTTTTCATAGAGCAGTTTTGAAATATTCTTTTGGCAGAATCTGCAAGTGGACATTTGGAGCGCTTTCAGGCCTGTGGTGGAAAAGGCCTGAAAGCCTTTTCCTTTATCTTCACAGGAAGACGAGAGAGAAGCATTGTCAGAAACTTCTTTGTGATGATTGCATTCAACTCACAGAGTTGAAGATTCCTTTTGAAACAGCAGTTTCGAAACACTCTTTCTGTGGGATCCGCAAGGGGATATTTGGACCTCTTTGAAGGTTTCGTTGGAAACGGGATAATCTTCACCTAAAAGCTAAACGGAAGCACTCTCAGAAACTTCTTTGGGATGTTTGCATTCACCTCTCAGAGTTGAACTTTCCCTTTGATAGCGCAGCTTTGACACACTTTTTCTACAATGTGCAAGTGGATATTTAGCGGGCTTGGAGGACTGTGTTGGAAAAGGAAATATCTTCTCCTATAAACGACATAGAAGCATTCTCAGAAACTGCTCTGTGATGATTGCATTCAACTCCCAGAGTTGAACATTCCTTTTGATAGAGCAGTTTGCAAACACTCTTTTTGTAGAATCTGCAAGTGGAGATTTGGACCGCTTTGAGGACTGGGGTAGTAAAGGAAAGAGCTTCATATAAAAACCAGACGGTAGCACTCTCAGAAAATTCTTTGTGACGATGGAGTTTAACTCAGGGAGCTGAACATTCGTTATGATGGAGCAGTTTCCAAACACACGTTTTGTAGAATCTGCAAGGGGATATTTGGACCTCTCTGAGGATTTCGTTGGAAACGGGATCAACTTCCCATAACTGAACGGAAGCAAACTCAGAACATTCTTTGTGATGTTTGTATTCAACTCACAGAGTTGAACCTTCCTTTGATAGTTCAGGTTTGCAACACCCTTGTAGTAGAATCTGCAAGTGTATATTTTGACCACTTTGTAGCCTTCGTTTGAAACGTCTATATCTTCACATCAAACCTAGACAGAAGCATTCTCAGAAAGTTTTCTGCGATGACTGCATTCAACTCACAGAGTTGAACAATCCTTCTGATGGAGCAGTTTTGAAACCCTCTTTCTTTGGAATCTGCAAGGGGATATGTGGACCTCTTTGAAGATTTCACTGGAAACGGGATCATCTTCACATAAAAACTAAACAGAAGCATTCTCGGAAACTACTTTGTGATGTTTGTATTCAACTCCCAGAGTTGAACTTTCCTTTTGAAAGAGCAGCTATGAAACACTCTTTTTCGAGAATCTACAAGTGGACGTTTGGAGGGCTTTGAGGCCTGTGGTGGAAAAGGAAATATCTTCACATAAAAACTAGATAGAAGCATTCTCAGAAACTACTTTGTGAGGATGGCATTCAACTCATGGAGTTGAACAATCCTATTGATAGAGCAGATTGGAATCACTCTTTTTGTAGAATCTGCAAATGGAGATTTGGACTGCTTTGAGGCCTACGGTCGTATAGGAAGGAACTTCATATAAAAGGCAAACGGAAGCATTCTCAGAATATTCTTTGTGATGATGGAGTTTCACTCACAGAGCTGAACATGCCTTGTGATGGAGCAGTTTCCAAATACACTTTTGGTAGAATCAGCAGGTGGATATTTGGAGCTCTCTGAGGATTTCGTTGGAAACGGGAATAATTTCCCATAACTAAACACAAACACTCTGAGAAAGTTCTTCATGATGAATGCATTTAACTTGCAGAGATGAACCTGCCTTTGAGAGTTCAGGTTCGAAACACTCTTTCTGTAGAATCTGCAAGTGGATATTTGGACCACTGGGTGGCCTTCGTTCGAAACGGGTATATGTTCACGTAAAAACTAAAGAGAAGCATTCTCAGAAACTTCTGAGTGATGATTGCATTCAAGTCACACAGTTGAACCCTCCTTTTGATGGAGCAGTTTTGAAACTGTCTTTTTGTAGAATCTGTAAGTGGATACGTGGACCTCTTTGAAGATTTCTTTGGAAACGGGAATATTTCCACAGAAAAACTAAACTGAAACATTCTCAGAAACCGCTTTGTGATGTTTGTGTTCCAGCCACAGAGTTTAACATTGCTTTTCATAGAGCAGTTTTGAAATATTCTTTTCGCAGAATCTGCAAGTGGACATTTGGAGCGCTTTCAGGCCTGTGGTGGAAAAGGCCTGAAAGCCTTTTCCATTATCTTCACAGAAAGACGAGAGAGAAGAAGCATTGTCAGAAACTTCTTTGTGATGATTGCATTCAACTCACAGAGTTGAAGATTCCTTTTGAAACAGCAGTTTCGAAACACTCTTTCTGTGGGATCCGCAAGGGGATATTTGGACTTCTTTGAAGGTTTCGTTGGAAACGGGATAATCTTCACCTAAAAGCTAAACGGAAGCACTCTCAGAAACTTCTTTGGGATGTTTGCATTCACCTCTCAGAGTTGAACTTTCCCTTTGATAGCGCAGCTTTGACACACTTTTTCTACAATGTGCAAGTGGCTATTTAGCGGGCTTGGAGGACTGTGTTGGAAAAGGAAATATCTTCTCCTAAAAACGACATAGAAGCATTCTCAGAAACTGCTCTGTGATGATTGCATTCAACTCCCAGAGTTGAACATTCCTTTTGATAGAGCAGTTTGCAAACACTCTTTTTGTAGAATCTGCAAGTGGAGATTTGGACCGCTTTGAGGCCTGTGGTAGTGAAGGAAAGAACTTCATATAAAAACCAGACGGTAGCACTCTCAGAAAATTCTTTGTGACGATGGAGTTTAACTCAGGGAGCTGAACATTCGTTATGATGGAGCAGTTTCCAAACACACGTTTTGTAGAATCTGCGAGGGGATATTTGGACCTCTCTGAGGATTTCGTTGGAAACGGGATCAACTTCCCATAACTGAACGGAAGCAAACTCAGAACATTCTTTGTGACGTTTGTATTCAACTCACAGAGTTGAACCTTCCTTTGATAGTTCAGGTTTGCAACACCCTTGTAGTAGAATCTGCAAGTGTATATTTTGACCACTTTGTAGCCTTCGTTTGAAACGTCTATATCTTCACATCAAACCTAGACAGAAGCATTCTCAGAAAGTTTTCTGCGATGACTGCATTCAACTCACAGAGTTGAAAAATCCTTCTGATGGAGCAGTTTTGAAACCCTCTTTCTTTGGAATCTGCAAGGGGATATGTGGACCTCTTTGAAGATTTCACTGGAAACGGGATCATCTTCACATAAAAACTAAACAGAAGCATTCTCGGAAACTACTTTGTGATGTTTGTATTCAACTCCCAGAGTTGAACTTTCCTTTTGAAAGAGCAGCTATGAAACACTCTTTTTCGAGAATCTGCAAGTGGACGTTTGGAGGGCTTTGAGGCCTGTGGTGGAAAAGGAAATATCTTCACATAAAAACTAGATAGAAGCATTCTCAGAAACGACTTTGTGAGGATGGCATTCAACTCATGGAGTTGAACAATCCTATTGATAGAGCAGATTGGAATCACTCTTTTTGTAGAATCTGCAAATGGAGATTTGGACTGCTTTGAGGCCTACGGTCGTATAGGAAGGAACTTCATATAAAAGGCAAACGGAAGCATTCTCAGAATATTCTTTGTGATGATGGAGTTTCACTCACAGAGCTGAACATGCCTTTTGATGGAGCAGTTTCCAAATACACTTTTGGTAGAATCTGCAGGTGGATATTTGGAGCTCTCTGAGGATTTCGTTGGAAACGGGAATAATTTCCCATAACTAAACACAAACACTCTGAGAAAGTTCTTCATGATGAATGCATTTAACTCGCAGAGATGAACCTGCCTTTGAGAGTTCAGGTTCGAAACACTCTTTCTGTAGAATCTGCAAGTGGATATTTGGACCACTGGCTGGCCTTCGTTCGAAACGGGTATATGTTCACGTAAAAACTAAAGAGAAGCATTCTCAGAAACTTCTGAGTGATGATTGCATTCAAGTCACACAGTTGAACCCTCCTTTTGATGGAGCAGTTTTGAAACTGTCTTTTTGTAGAATCTGTAAGTGGATACGTGGACCTCTTTGAAGATTTCTTTGGAAACGGGAATATTTCCACAGAAAAACTAAACTGAAGCATTCTCAGAAACCGCTTTGTGATGTTTGTGTTCGAGCCACAGAGTTTAACATTGCTTTTCATAGAGCAGTTTTGAAATATTCTTTTGGCAGAATCTGCAAGTGGACATTTGGAGCGCTTTCAGGCCTGTGGTGGAAAAGGCCTGAAAGCCTTTTCCTTTATCTTCACAGAAAGACGAGAGAGAAGCATTGTCAGAAACTTCTTTGTGATGATTGCATTCAACTCACAGAGTTGAAGATTCCTTTTGAAACAGCAGTTTCGAAACACTCTTTCTGTGGGATCCGCAAGGGGATATTTGGACCTCTTTGAAGGTTTCGTTGGAAACGGGATAATCTTCACCTAAAAGCTAAACGGAAGCATTCTCAGAAACTTCTTTGGGATGTTTGCATTCACCTCACAGAGTTGAACTTTCCCTTTGATAGCGCAGCTTTGACACACTTTTTCTACAATGTGCAAGTGGATATTTAGCGGGCTTGGAGGACTGTGTTGGAAAAGGAAATATCTTCTCCTAAAAACGACATAGAAGCATTCTCAGAAACTGCTCTGTGATGATTGCATTCAACTCCCAGAGTTGAACATTCCTTTTGATAGAGCAGTTTGCAAACACTCTTTTTGTAGAATCTGCAAGTGGAGATTTGGACCGCTTTGAGGCCTGTGGTAGTGAAGGAAAGAACTTCATATAAAAACCAGACGGTAGCACTCTCAGAAAATTCTTTGTGACGATGGAGTTTAACTCAGGGAGCTGAACATTCGTTATGATGGAGCAGTTTCCAAACACACTTTTTGTAGAATCTGCAAGGGGATATTTGGACCTCTCTGAGGATTTCGTTGGAAACGGGATCAACTTCCCATAACTGAACGGAAGCAAACTCAGAACATTCTTTGTGATGTTTGTATTCAACTCACAGAGTTGAACCTTCCTTTGATAGTTCAGGTTTGCAACACCCTTGTAGTAGAATCTGCAAGTGTATATTTTGACCACTTTGTAGCCTTCGTTTGAAACATCTATATCTTCACATCAAACCTAGACAGAAGCATTCTCAGAAAGTTTTCTGCGATGACTGCATTCAACTCACAGAGTTGAACAATCCTTCTGATGGAGCAGTTTTGAAACCCTCTTTCTTTGGAATCTGCAAGGGGATATGTGGACCTCTTTGAAGATTTCACTGGAAACGGGATCATCTTCACATAAGAACTAAACAGAAGCATTCTCGGAAACTACTTTGTGATGTTTGTATTCAACTCCCAGAGTTGAACTTTCCTTTTGAAAGAGCAGCTATAAAACACTCTTTTTCGAGAATCTGCAAGTGGACGTTTGGAGGGCTTTGAGGCCTGTGGTGGAAAAGGAAATATCTTCACATAAAAACTAGATAGAAGCATTCTCAGAAACGACTTTGTGAGGATGGCATTCAACTCATGGAGTTGAACAATCCTATTGATAGAGCAGATTGGAATCACTCTTTTTGTAGAATCTGCAAATGGAGATTTGGACTGCTTTGAGGCCTACGGTCGTATAGGAAGGAACTTCAGATAAAAGGCAAACGGAAGCATTCTCAGAATATTCTTTGTGATGATGGAGTTTCACTCACAGAGCTGAACATGCCTTTTGATGGAGCAGTTTCCAAATACACTTTTGGTAGAATCTGCAGGTGGATATTTGGACCACTCTGAGGATTTCGTTGGAAACGGGAATAATTTCCCATAACTAAACACAAACACTCTGAGAAAGTTCTTCATGATGAATGCATTTAACTCGCAGAGATGAACCTGCCTTTGAGAGTTCAGGTTCGAAACACTCTTTCTGTATAATCTGCAAGTGGATATTTGGACCACTGGGTGGCCTTCGTTCGAAACGGGTATATGTTCACGTAAAAACTAAAGAGAAGCATTCTCAGAAACTTCTGAGTGATGATTGCATTCAAGTCACACAGTTGAACCCTCCTTTTGATGGAGCAGTTTTGAAACTGTCTTTTTGTAGAATCTGTAAGTGGATACGTGGACCTCTTTGAAGATTTCTTTGGAAACGGGAATATTTCCACAGAAAAACTAAACTGAAGCATTCTCAGAAACTGCTTTGTGATGTTTGTGTTCGAGCCACAGAGTTTAACATTGCTTTTCATAGAGCAGTTTTGAAATATTCTTTTCGCAGAATCTGCAAGTGGACATTTGGAGCGCTTTCAGGCCTGTGGTGGAAAAGGCCTGAAAGCCTTTTCTTTATCTTCACAGAAAGACGAGAGAGAAGCATTGTCAGAAACTTCTTTGTGATGATTGCATTCAACTCACAGAGTTGAAGATTCCTTTTGAAACAGCAGTTTCAAAACACTCTTTCTGTGGGATCCGCAAGGGGATATTTGGACCTCTTTGAAGATTTCGTTGGAAACGGGATAATCTTCACCTAAAAGCTAAACGGAAGCATTCTCAGAAACTTCTTTGGGATGTTTGCATTCACCTCACAGAGTTGTACTTTCCCTTTGATAGCGCAGCTTTGACACACTTTTTCTACAATGTGCAAGTGGATTTTTAGCGGGCTTGGAGGAATGTGGTGGAAAAGGAAATATCTTCTCCTAAAAACCACATAGAAGCATTCTCAGAAACTGCTCTGTGATGATTGCATTCAACTCCCAGAGTTGAACATTCCTTTTGATAGAGCAGTTTGCAAACACTCTTTTTGTAGAATCTGCAAGTGGAGATTTGGACCGCTTTGAGGCCTGTGGTAGTAAAGGAAAGAACTTCCTATAAAAACTAGACGGTAGCACTCTCAGAAAATTCTTTGTGACGATGGAGTTTAACTCAGAGAGCTGAACATTCGTTATGATGGAGCAGTTTCCAAACACACGTTTTGTAGACTCTGCAAGGGGATACTTGGACCTCTCTGCAGATTTCGTTGGAAACGGGATCAACTTCCCATAACTGAACGGAAGCAAACTCAGAACATTCTTTGTGATGTTTGTATTCAACTCACAGGGTTGAACCTTCCTTTGATAGTTCAGGTTGGCAACACCCTTGTAGTAGAATCTGCAAGTGTATATTTTGACCACTTTGTAGCCTTCGTTTGAAAAGTCTATATCTTCACATCAAACCTAGACAGAAGCATTCTCAGAAAGTTTTCTGCGATGACTGCATTCAACTCACAGAGTTGAACAATCCTTTTGATGGAGCAGTTTTGAAACCCTCTTTCTTTGGAATCTGCAAGGGGATATGTGGACCTCTTTGAAGATTTCACTGGAAACGGGATCATCTTCACATAAAAACTAAACAGAAGCATTCTCGGAAACTACTTTGTGATGTTTGTATTCAACTCCCAGAGTTGAACTTTCCTTTTGAAAGAGCAGCTATGAAACACTCTTTTTCGGGAATCTGCAAGTGGACGTTTGGAGGGCTTTGAGGCCTGTGGTGGAAAAGGAAATATCTTCACTTAAAAACTACATAGAAGCATTCTCAGAAACTACTTTGTGAGGATGGCATTCAACTCATGGAGTTGAACAATCCTATTGATAGAGCAGATTGGAATCACTCTTTTTATAGAATCTGCAAATGGAGATTTGGACTGCTTTGAGGCCTACGGTAGTACAGGAAGGAACTTCATATAAAAGGCAAACGGAAGCATTCTCAGAATATTCTTTGTGATGATGGAGTTTCACTCACAGAGCTGAACATGCCTTTTGATGGAGCAGTTTCCGAATACACTTTTGGTAGAATCTGCAGGTGGATATTTGGAGCTCTCTGAGGATTTCGTTGGAAACGGGAATAATTTCCCATAACTAAACACAAACACTCTGAGAAAGTTCTTCATGATGAATGCATTTAACTTGCAGAGATGAACCTGCCTTTGAGAGTTCAGGTTCGAAACACTCTTTCTGTAGAATCTGCAAGTGGATATTTGGACCACTGGGTGGCCTTCGTTCGAAACGGGTATATGTTCACGTAAAAACTAAAGAGAAGCATTCTCAGAAACTTCTGAGTGATGATTGCATTCAAGTCACACAGTTGAACCCTCCTTTTGATGGAGCAGTTTTGAAACTGTCTTTTTATAGAATCTGTAAGTGGATACGTGGACCTCTTTGAAGATTTCTTTGGAAACGGGAATATTTCCACAGAAAAACTAAACTGAAGCATTCTCAGAAACCGCTTTGTGATGTTTGTGTTCGAGCCACAGAGTTTAACATTGCTTTTCACAAAGCAGTTTTGAAATATTCTTTTCGCAGAATCTGCAAGTGGACATTTGGAGCGCTTTCAGGCCTGTGGTGGCAAAGGCCTGAAAGCATTTATTTATCTTCACAGAAAGACGAGAGAGAAGCATTGTCAGAAACTTCTTTGTGATGATTGCATTCAACTCACAGAGTTGAAGATTCCTTTTGAAACAGCAGTTTCGAAACACTCTTTCTGTGGGATCCGCAAGGGGATATTTGGACTTCTTTGAAGGTTTCGTTGGAAACGGGATAATCTTCACCTAAAAGCTAAACGGAAGCACTCTCAGAAACTTCTTTGGGATGTTTGCATTCACCTCTCAGAGTTGAACTTTCCCTTTGATAGCGCAGCTTTGACACACTTTTTCTACAATGTGCAAGTGGCTATTTAGCGGACTTGGAGGACTGTGTTGGAAAAGGAAATATCTTCTCCTAAAAACGACATAGAAGCATTCTCAGAAACTGCTCTGTGATGATTGCATTCAACTCCCAGAGTTGAACATTCCTTTTGATAGAGCAGTTTGCAAACACTCTTTTTGTAGAATCTGCAAGTGGAGATTTGGACCGCTTTGAGGACTGGGGTAGTAAAGGAAAAAGCTTCATATAAAAACCAGACGGTAGCACTCTCAGAAAATTCTTTGTGACGATGGAGTTTAACTCAGGGAGCTGAACATTCGTTATGATGGAGCAGTTTCCAAACACACGTTTTGTAGAATCTGCAAGGGGATATTTGGACCTCTCCTGAGGATTTCGTTGGAAACGGGATCAACTTCCCATAACTGAACGGAAGCAAACTCAGAACATTCTTTGTGATGTTTGTATTCAACTCACAGAGTTGAACCTTCCTTTGATAGTTCAGGTTTGCAACACCCTTGTAGTAGAATCTGCAAGTGTATATTTTGACCACTTTGTAGCCTTCGTTTGAAACGTCTATATCTTCACATCAAACCTAGACAGAAGCATTCTCAGAAAGTTTTCTGCGATGACTGCATTCAACTCACAGAGTTGAACAATCCTTCTGATGGAGCAGTTTTGAAACCCTCTTTCTTTGGAATCTGCAAGGGGATATGTGGACCTCTTTGAAGATTTCACTGGAAACGGGATCATCTTCACATAAAAACTAAACAGAAGCATTCTCGGAAACTACTTTGTGATGTTTGTATTCAACTCCCAGAGTTGAACTTTCCTTTTGAAAGAGCAGCTATGAAACACTCTTTTTCGAGAATCTGCAAGTGGACGTTTGGAGGGCTTTGAGGCCTGTGGTGGAAAAGGAAATATCTTCACACAAAAACCAGATAGAAGCATTCTCAGAAACTACTTTGTGAGGATGGCATTCAACTCATGGAGTTGAACAATCCTATTGATAGAGAAGATTGGAATCACTCTTTTTGTAGAATCTGCAAATGGAGATTTGGACTGCTTTGAGGCCTACGGTAGTACAGGAAGGAAGTTCATATAAAAGGCAAACGGAAGCATTCTCAGAATATTCTTTGTGATGATGGAGTTTCACTCACAGAGCTGAACATGCCTTTTGAGATGGGAGCAGTTTCCAAATACACTTTTGGTAGAATCTGCAGGTGGATATTTGGAGCTCTCTGAGGATTTCGTTGGAAACGGGAATAATTTCCCATAACTAAACACAAACACGCTGAGAAAGTTCTTCATGATGAATGCATTTAACTCGCAGAGATGAACCTGCCTTTGAGAGTTCAGGTTCGAAACACTCTTTCTGTAGAATCTGCAAGTGGGTATTTGGACCACTGGGTGGCCTTCGTTCGAAACGGGTATATGTTCACGTAAAAACTAAAGAGAAGCATTCTCAGAAACTTCTGAGTGATGATTGCATTCAAGTCACACAGTTGAACCCTCCTTTTGATTGAGCAGTTTTGAAACTGTCTTTTTGTAGAATCTGTAAGTGGATACGTGGACCTCTTTGAAGATTTCTTTGGAAACGGGAATATTTCCACAGAAAAACTAAACTGAAGCATTCTCAGAGACCGCTTTGTGATGTTTGTGTTCCAGCCACAGAGTTTAACATTGCTTTTCATAGAGCAGTTTTGAAATATTCTTTTGGCAGAATCTGCAAGTGGACATTTGGAGCGCTTTCAGGCCTGTGGTGGCAAAGGCCTGAACGCCTTTTCCTTTATGTTCACAGAAAGACGAGAGAGAAGCATTGTCAGAAACTTCTTTGTGATGATTGCATTCAACTCACAGAGTTGAAGATTCCTTTTGAAACAGCAGTTTCGAAACACTCTTTCTGTGGGATCCGCAAGGGGATATTTGGACCTCTTTGAAGGTTTCGTTGGAAACGGGATAATCCTCACCTAAAAGCTAAACGGGAAGCATTCTCAGAAACTTCTTTGGGATGTTTGCATTCACCTCACAGAGTTCAACTTTCCCTTTGATAGCGCAGCTTTGACACACTTTTTCTACAATGTGCAAGTGGCTATTTAGCGGGCTTGGAGGACTGTGTTGGAAAAGGAAATATCTTCTCCTAAAAACGACATAGAAGCATTCTCAGAAACTGCTCTGTGATGATTGCATTCAACTCCCAGAGTTGAACATTCCTTTTGATAGAGCAGTTTGCAAACACTCTTTTTGTAGAATCTGCAAGTGGAGATTTGGACCGCTTTGAGGCCTGTGGTAGTGAAGGAAAGAACTTCATATAAAAACCAGACGGTAGCACTCTCAGAAAATTCTTTGTGACGATGGAGTTTAACTCAGGGAGCTGAACATTCGTTATGATGGAGCAGTTTCCAAACACACGTTTTGTAGAATCTGCAAGGGGATATTTGGACCTCTCTGAGGATTTCGTTGGAAACGGGATCAACTTCCCATAACTGAACGGAAGCAAACTCAGAACATTCTTTGTGATGTTTGTATTCAACTCACAGAGTTGAACCTTCCTTTGATAGTTCAGGTTTGCAACACCCTTGTAGTAGAATCTGCAAGTGTATATTTTGACCACTTTGTAGCCTTCGTTTGAAACGTCTATATCTTCACATCAAACCTAGACAGAAGCATTCTCAGAAAGTTTTCTGCGATGACTGCATTCAACTCACAGAGTTGAACAATCCTTCTGATGGAGCAGTTTTGAAACCCTCTTTCTTTGGAATCTGCAAGGGGATATGTGGACCTCTTTGAAGATTTCACTGGAAACGGGATCATCTTCACATAAAAACTAAACAGAAGCATTCTCGGAAACTACTTTGTGATGTTTGTATTCAACTCCCAGAGTTGAACTTTCCTTTTGAAAGAGCAGCTATGAAACACTCTTTTTCGAGAATCTGCAAGTGGACGTTTGGAGGGCTTTGAGGCCTGTGGTGGAAAAGGAAATATCTTCACATAAAAACTAGATAGAAGCATTCTCAGAAACTACTTTGTGAGGATGGCATTCAACTCATGGAGTTGAACAATCCTATTGATAGAGCAGATTGGAATCACTCTTTTTGTAGAATCTGCAAATGGAGATTTGGACTGCTTTGAGGCCTACGGTAGTATAGGAAGGAACTTCATATAAAAGGCAAACGGAAGCATTCTCAGAATATTCTTTGTGATGATGGAGTTTCACTCACAGAGCTGAACATGCCTTTTGATGGAGCAGTTTCCAAATACACTTTTGGTAGAATCTGCAGGTGGATATTTGGAGCTCTCTGAGGATTTCGTTGGAAACGGGAATAATTTCCCATAACTAAACACAAACACTCTGAGAAAGTTCTTCATGATGAATGCATTTAACTCGCAGAGATGAACCTGCCTTTGAGAGTTCAGGTTCGAAACACTCTTTCTGTATAATTTGCAAGTGGATATTTGGACCACTGGGTGGCCTTCGTTCGAAACGGGTATATGTTCACGTAAAAACTAAAGAGAAGCATTCTCAGAAACTTCTGAGTGATGATTGCATTCAAGTCACACAGTTGAACCCTCCTTTTGATGGAGCAGTTTTGAAACTGTCTTTTTGTAGAATCTGTAAGTGGATACGTGGACCTCTTTGAAGATTTCTTTGGAAACGGGAATATTTCCACAGAAAAACTAAACTGAAACATTCTCAGAAACCGCTTTGTGATGTTTGTGTTCCAGCCACAGAGTTTAACATTGCTTTTCATAGAGCAGTTTTGAAATATTCTTTTGGCAGAATCTGCAAGTGGACATTTGGAGCGCTTTCAGGCCTGTGGTGGAAAAGGCCTGAAAGCCTTTTCCTTTATCTTCACAGAAAGACGAGAGAGAAGCATTGTCAGAAACTTCTTTGTGATGATTGCATTCAACTCACAGAGTTGAAGATTCCTTTTGAAACAGCAGTTTCGAAACACTCTTTCTGTGGGATCCGCAAGGGGATATTTGGACCTCTTTGAAGGTTTCGTTGGAAACGGGATAATCTTCACCTAAAAGCTAAACGGAAGCATTCTCAGAAACTTCTTTGGGATGTTTGCATTCACCTCACAGAGTTGAACTTTCCCTTTGATAGCGCAGCTTTGACACACTTTTTCTACAATGTGCAAGTGGCTATTTAGCGGGCTTGGAGGACTGTGTTGGAAAAGGAAATATCTTCTCCTAAAAACGACATAGAAGCATTCTCAGAAACTGCTCTGTGATGATTGCATTCAACTCCCAGAGTTGAACATTCCTTTTGATAGAGCAGTTTGCAAACACTCTTTTTGTAGAATCTGCAAGTGGAGATTTGGACCGCTTTGAGGCCTGTGGTAGTGAAGGAAAGAACTTCATATAAAAACCAGACGGTAGCACTCTCAGAAAATTCTTTGTGACGATGTAGTTTAACTCAGGGAGCTGAACATTCGTTATGATGGAGCAGTTTCCAAACACACGTTTTGTAGAATCTGCGAGGGGATATTTGGACCTCTCTGAGGATTTCGTTGGAAACGGGATCAACTTCCCATAACTGAACGGAAGCAAACTCAGAACATTCTTTGTGATGTTTGTATTCAACTCACAGAGTTGAACCTTCCTTTGATAGTTCAGGTTTGCAACACCCTTGTAGTAGAATCTGCAAGTGTATATTTTGACCACTTTGTAGCCTTCGTTTGAAACGTCTATATCTTCACATCAAACCTAGACAGAAGCATTCTCAGAAAGTTTTCTGCGATGACTGCATTCAACTCACAGAGTTGAACAATCCTTCTGATGGAGCAGTTTTGAAACCCTCTTTCTTTGGAATCTGCAAGGGGATATGTGGACCTCTTTGAAGATTTCACTGGAAACGGGATCATCTTCACATAAAAACTAAACAGAAGCATTCTCGGAAACTACTTTGTGATGTTTGTATTCAACTCCCAGAGTTGAACTTTCCTTTTGAAAGAGCAGCTATGAAACACTCTTTTTCGAGAATCTGCAAGTGGACGTTTGGAGGGCTTTGAGGCCTGTGGTGGAAAAGGAAATATCTTCACATAAAAACTAGATAGAAGCATTCTCAGAAACGACTTTGTGAGGATGGCATTCAACTCATGGAGTTGAACAATCCTATTGATAGAGCAGATTGGAATCACTCTTTTTGTAGAATCTGCAAATGGAGATTTGGACTGCTTTGAGGCCTACGGTCGTATAGGAAGGAACTTCATATAAAAGGCAAACGGAAGCATTCTCAGAATATTCTTTGTGATGATGGAGTTTCACTCACAGAGCTGAACATGCCTTTTGATGGAGCAGTTTCCAAATACACTTTTGGTAGAATCTGCAGGTGGATATTTGGAGCTCTCTGAGGATTTCGTTGGAAACGGGAATAATTTCCCATAACTAAACACAAACACTCTGAGAAAGTTCTTCATGATGAATGCATTGAACTCTCAGAGATGAACCTGCCTTTGAGAGTTCAGGTTCAAAACACTCTTTCTGTAGAATCTGCAAGTGGATATTTGGACCACTGGCTGGCCTTCGTTTGAAACGGGTATATGTTCCCGTAAAAACTAAAGAGAAGCATTCTCAGAAACTTCTGAGTGATGATTGCATTCAAGTCACACAGTTGAACCCTCCTTTTGATGGAGCAGTTTTGAAACTGTCTTTTTGTAGAATCTGTAAGTGGATACGTGGACCTCTTTGAAGATTTCTTTGGAAACGGGAATATTTCCACAGAAAAACTAAACTGAAGCATTCTCAGAAACCGCTTTGTGATGTTTGTGTTCGAGCCACAGAGTTTAACATTGCTTTTCATAGAGCAGTTTTGAAATATTCTTTTCGCAGAATCTGCAAGTGGACATTTGGAGCGCTTTCAGGCCTGTGGTGGAAAAGGCCTGAAAGCCTTTTCCTTTATCTTCACAGAAAGACGAGAGAGAAGCATTGTCAGAAACTTCTTTGTGATGATTGCATTCAACTCACAGAGTTGAAGATTCCTTTTGAAACAGCAGTTTCGAAACACTCTTTCTGTGGGATCCGCAAGGGGATATTTGGACCTCTTTGAAGGTTTCGTTGGAAACGGGATAATCTTCACCTAAAAGCTAAACGGAAGCATTCTCAGAAACTTCTTTGGGATGTTTGCATTCACCTCACAGAGTTGAACTTTCCCTTTGATAGCGCAGCTTTGACACACTTTTTCTACAATGTGCAAGTGGCTATTTAGCGGGCTTGGAGGACTGTGTTGGAAAAGGAAATATCTTCTCCTAAAAACGACATAGAAGCATTCTCAGAAACTGCTCTGTGATGATTGCATTCAACTCCCAGAGTTGAACATTCCTTTTGATAGAGCAGTTTGCAAACACTCTTTTTGTAGAATCTGCAAGTGGAGATTTGGACCGCTTTGAGGCCTGTGGTAGTGAAGGAAAGAACTTCATATAAAAACCAGACGGTAGCACTCTCAGAAAATTCTTTGTGACGATGGAGTTTAACTCAGGGAGCTGAACATTCGTTATGATGGAGCAGTTTCCAAACACACGTTTTGTAGAATCTGCGAGGGGATATTTGGACCTCTCTGAGGATTTCGTTGGAAACGGGATCAACTTCCCATAACTGAACGGAAGCAAACTCAGAACATTCTTTGTGATGTTTGTATTCAATTCACAGAGTTGAACCTTCCTTTGATAGTTCAGGTTTGCAACACCCTTGTAGTAGAATCTGCAAGTGTATATTTTGACCACTTTGTAGCCTTCGTTTGAAACGTCTATATCTTCACATCAAACCTAGACAGAAGCATTCTCAGAAAGTTTTCTGCGATGACTGCATTCAACTCACAGAGTTGAACAATCCTTCTGATGGAGCAGTTTTGAAACCCTCTTTCTTTGGAATCTGCAAGGGGATATGTGGACCTCTTTGAAGATTTCACTGGAAACGGGATCATCTTCATATAAAAACTAAACAGAAGCATTCTCAGAAACTATTTTGTGATGTTTGTATTCAACTCCCAGAGTTGAACTTTCCTTTTGAAAGAGCAGCTATGAAACACTCTTTTTCGAGAATCTGCAAGTGGACGTTTGGAGGGCTTTGAGGCCTGTGGTGGAAAAGGAAATATCTTCACACAAAAACCAGATAGAAGCATTCTCAGAAACGACTTTGTGAGGATGGCATTCAACTCATGGAGTTGAACAATCCTATTGATAGAGCAGATTGGAATCACTCTTTTTGTAGAATCTGCAAATGGAGATTTGGACTGCTTTGAGGCCTACGGTAGTACAGGAAGGAACTTCATATAAAAGGCAAACGGAAGCATTCTCAGAATATTCTTTGTGATGATGGAGTTTCACTCACAGAGCTGAACATGCCTTTTGATGGAGCAGTCTCCAAATACACTTTTGGTAGAATCTGCAGGTGGAAATTTTGACGTCTCTGAGGATTTCGTTGGAAAAGGGAATAATTTCCCATAACTAAACACAAACACTCTGAGAAAGTTCTTCATGATGAATGCATTGAACTCGCAGAGATGAACCTGCCTTTGAGAGTTCAGGTTCGAAACACTCTTTCTGTAGAATCTGCAAGTGGATATTTGGACCACTGGGTGGCCTTCGTTCTAAACGGGTATATGTTCACGTAAAAACTAAAGAGAAGCATTCTCAGAAACTTCTGAGTGATGATTGCATTCAAGTCACACAGTTGAACCCTCCTTTTGATGGAGCAGTTTTGAAACTGTCTTTTTGTAGAATCTGTAAGTGGATACGTGGACCTCTTTGAAGATTTCTTTGGAAACGGGAATATTTCCACAGAAAAACTAAACTGAAGCATTCTCAGAAACCGCTTTGTGATGTTTGTGTTCGAGCCACAGAGTTTAACATTGCTTTTCATAGAGCAGTTTTGAAATATTCTTTTGGCAGAATCTGCAAGTGGACATTTGGAGTGCTTTCAGGCCTGTGGTGGAAAAGGCCTGAAAGCCTTTTCCTTTATCTTCACAGAAAGACGAGAGAGAAGCATTGTCAGAAACTTCTTTGTGATGATTGCATTCAACTCACAGAGTTGAAGATTCCTTTTGAAACAGCAGTTTCGAAACACTCTTTCTGTGGGATCCGCAAGGGGATATTTGGACCTCTTTGAAGGTTTCTTTGGAAACGGGATAATCTTCACCTAAAAGCTAAACGGAAGCATTCTCAGAAACTTCTTTGGGATGTTTGCATTCACCTCACAGAGTTGAACTTTCCCTTTGATAGCGCAGCTTTGACACACTTTTTCTACAATGTGCAAGTGGCTATTTAGCGGGCTTGGAGGACTGTGTTGGAAAAGGAAATATCTTCTCCTAAAAACGACATAGAAGCATTCTCAGAAACTGCTCTGTGATGATTGCATTCAACTCCCAGAGTTGAACATTCCTTTTGATAGAGCAGTTTGCAAACACTCTTTTTGTAGAATCTGCAAGTGGAGATTTGGACCGCTTTGAGGCCTGTGGTAGTGAAGGAAAGAACTTCATATAAAAACCAGACGGTAGCACTCTCAGAAAATTCTTTGTGACGATGGAGTTTAACTCAGGGAGCTGAACATTCGTTATGATGGAGCAGTTTCCAAACACACGTTTTGTAGAATCTGCAAGGGGATATTTGGACCTCTCTGAGGATTTCGTTGGAAACGGGATCAACTTCCCATAACTGAACGGAAGCAAACTCAGAACATTCTTTGCGATG
Source organism: Homo sapiens (assembly GCF_000001405.40). NCBI lineage: Eukaryota > Metazoa > Chordata > Mammalia > Primates > Hominidae > Homo > Homo sapiens. The sequence goes on from NC_000023.11 coordinate 61,009,832, forward strand.
TTTGTATTCAACCCACAGAGTTGAACCTTCCTTTGATAGTTCAGGTTTGCAACACCCTTGTAGTAGAATCTGCAAGTGTATATTTTGACCACTTTGTAGCCTTCGTTTGAAACGTCTATATCTTCACATCAAACCTAGACAGAAGCATTCTCAGAAAGTTTTCTGCGATGACTGCATTCAACTCACAGAGTTGAACAATCCTTCTGATGGAGCAGTTTTGAAACCCTCTTTCTTTGGAATCTGCAAGGGGATATGTGGACCTCTTTGAAGATTTCACTGGAAACGGGATCATCTTCACATAAAAACTAAACAGAAGCATTCTCGGAAACTACTTTGTGATGTTTGTATTCAACTCCCAGAGTTGAACTTTCCTTTTGAAAGAGCAGCTATGAAACACTCTTTTTCTAGAATCTGCAAGTGGACGTTTGGAGGGCTTTGAGGCCTGTGGTGGAAAAGGAAATATCTTCACACAAAAACCAGATAGAAGCATTCTCAGAAACTACTTTGTGAGGATGGCATTCAACTCATGGAGTTGAACAATCCTATTGATAGAGCAGATTGGAATCACTCTTTTTGTAGAATCTGCAAATGGAGATTTGGACTGCTTTGAGGCCTACGGTAGTACAGGAAGGAACTTCATATAAAAGGCAAACGGAAGCATTCTCAGAATATTCTTTGTGATGATGGAGTTTCACTCACAGAGCTGAACATGCCTTTTGATGGAGCAGTTTCCAAATACACTTTTGGTAGAATCTGCAGGTGGATATTTGGAGCTCTCTGAGGATTTCGTTGGAAACGGGAATAATTTCCCATAACTAAACACAAACACGCTGAGAAAGTTCTTCATGATGAATGCATTTAACTCGCAGAGATGAACCTGCCTTTGAGAGTTCAGGTTCGAAACACTCTTTCTGTAGAATCTGCAAGTGGATATTTGGACCACTGGGTGCCCTTCGTTCGAAACGGGTATATGTTCACGTAAAAACTAAAGAGAAGCGTTCTCAGAAACTTCTGAGTGATGATTGCATTCAAGTCACACAGTTGAACCCTCGTTTTGATTGAGCAGTTTTGAAACTGTCTTTTTGTAGAATCTGTAAGTGGATGCGTGGACCTCTTTGAAGATTTCTTTGGAAACGGGAATATTTCCACAGAAAAACTAAACTGAAGCATTCTCAGAAACTGCTTTGTGATGTTTGTGTTCGAGCCACAGAGTTTAACATTGCTTTTCATAGAGCAGTTTTGAAATATTCTTTTGGCAGAATCTGCAAGTGGACATTTGGAGCGCTTTCAGGCCTGTGGTTGGGAAAAGGCCTGAAAGCCTTTTCCTTTATCTTCACAGAAAGACGAGAGAGAAGCATTGTCAGAAACTTCTTTGTGATGATTGCATTCAACTCACAGAGTTGAAGATTCCTTTTGAAACAGCAGTTTCGAAACACTCTTTCTGTGGGATCCGCAAGGGGATATTTGGACCTCTTTGAAGATTTCGTTGGAAACGGGATAATCTTCACCTAAAAGCTAAACGGAAGCATTCTCAGAAACTTCTTTGGGATGTTTGCATTCACCTCACAGAGTTGAACTTTCCCTTTGATAGCGCAGCTTCGACACACTTTTTCTACAATGTGCAAGTGGATATTTAGCGGGCTTGGAGGAATGTGTTGGAAAAGGAAATATCTTCTCCTAAAAACCACATAGAAGCATTCTCAGAAACTGCTCTGTGATGATTGCATTCAACTCCCAGAGTTGAACATTCCTTTTGATAGAGCAGTTTGCAAACACTCTTTTTGTAGAATCTGCAAGTGGAGATTTGGACCGCTTTGAGGCCTGTGGTAGTAAAGGAAAGAACTTCATATAAAAACTAGACGGTAGCACTCTCAGAAAATTCTTTGTGACGATGGAGTTTAACTCAGAGAGCTGAACATTCGTTATGATGGAGCAGTTTCCAAACACACGTTTTGTAGAATCTGCAAGGGGATATTTGGACCTCTCTGAGGATTTCGTTGGAAACGGGATCAACTTCCCATAACTGAACGGAAGCAAACTCAGAACATTCTTTGTGATGTTTGTATTCAACTCACAGAGTTGAACCTTCCTTTGATAGTTCAGGTTTGCATCACCCTTGTAGTAGAATCTGCAAGTGTATATTTTGACCACTTTGTAGCCTTCGTTTGAAACGTCTATATGCTTCACATCAAACCTAGACAGAAGCATTCTCAGAAAGTTTTCTGCGATGACTGCATTCAACTCACAGAGTTGAACAATCCTTTTGATGGAGCAGTTTTGAAACCCTCTTTCTTTGGAATCTGCAAGGGGATATGTGGACCTCTTTGAAGATTTCACTGGAAACGGGATCATCTTCACAGAAGAACTAAACAGAAGCATTCTCGGAAACTACTTTGTGATGTTTGTATTCAACTCCCAGAGTTGAACTTTCCTTTTGAAAGAGCAGCTATGAAACACTCTTTTTCGAGAATCTGCAAGTGGACGTTTGGAGGGCTTTGAGGCCTGTGGTGGAAAAGGAAATATCTTCACATAAAAACTAGAATAGAAGCATTCTCAGAAACGACTTTGTGAGGATGGCATTCAACTCATGGAGTTGAACAATCCTATTGATAGAGCAGATTGGAATCACTCTTTTTGTAGAATCTGCAAATGGAGATTTGGACTGCTTTGAGGCCTACGGTCGTATAGGAAGGAACTTCATATAAAAGGCAAACGGAAGCATTCTCAGAATATTCTTTGTGATGATGGAGTTTCACTCACAGAGCTGAACATGCCTGTTGATGGAGCAGTTTCCCAATACACTTTTGGTAGAATCTGCAGGTGGACATTTGGACCTCTCTGAGGATTTCTTTGGGAACGGGAATAATTTCCCATAACTAAACACAAACACTCTGAGAAAGTTCTTCATGATGAATGCATTTAACTCGCAGAGATGAACCTGCCTTTGAGAGTTCAGGTTCGAAACACTCTTTCTGTAGAATCTGCAAGTGGATATTTGGACCACTGGGTGGCCTTCGTTCGAAACGGGTATATGTTCACGTAAAAACTAAAGAGAAGCATTCTCAGAAACTTCTGAGTGATGATTGCATTCAAGTCACACAGTTGAACCCTCCTTTTGATGGAGCAGTTTTGAAACTGTCTTTTTGTAGAATCTGTAAGTGGATACGTGGACCTCTTTGAAGATTTCTTTGGAAACGGGAATATTTCCACAGAAAAACTAAACTGAAGCATTCTCAGAAACTGCTTTGTGATGTTTGTGTTCGAGCCACAGAGTTTAACATTGCTTTTCATAGAGCAGTTTTGAAATATTCTTTTCGCAGAATCTGCAAGTGGACATTTGGAGCGCTTTCAGGCCTGTGGTGGCAAAGGCCTGAAAGCCTTTTCCTTTATCTTCACAGAAAGACGAGAGAGAAGCATTGTCAGAAACTTCTTTGTGATGATTGCATTCAACTCACAGAGTTGAAGATTCCTTTTGAAACAGCAGTTTCGAAACACTCTTTCTGTGGGATCCGCAAGGGGATATTTGGACCTCTTTGAAGGTTTCGTTGGAAACGGGATAATCTTCACCTAAAAGCTAAACGGAAGCATTCTCAGAAACTTCTTTGGGATGTTTGCATTCACCTCACAGAGTTGAACTTTCCCTTTGATAGCGCAGCTTTGACACACTTTTTCTACAATGTGCAAGTGGCTATTTAGCGGGCTTGGAGGACTGTGTTGGAAAAGGAAATATCTTCTCCTAAAAACGACATAGAAGCATTCTCAGAAACTGCTCTGTGATGATTGCATTCAACTCCCAGAGTTGAACATTCCTTTTGATAGAGCAGTTTGCAAACACTCTTTTTGTAGAATCTGCAAGTGGAGATTTGGACCGCTTTGAGGCCTGTGGTAGTGAAGGAAAGAACTTCATATAAAAACCAGACGGTAGCACTCTCAGAAAATTCTTTGTGACGATGGAGTTTAACTCAGGGAGCTGAACATTCGTTATGATGGAGCAGTTTCCAAACACACGTTTTGTAGAATCTGCGAGGGGATATTTGGACCTCTCTGAGGATTTCGTTGGAAACGGGATCAACTTCCCATAACTGAACGGAAGCAAACTCAGAACATTCTTTGTGATGTTTGTATTCAATTCACAGAGTTGAACCTTCCTTTGATAGTTCACGTTTGCAACACCCTTGTAGTAGAATCTGCAAGTGTATATTTTGACCACTTTGTAGCCTTCGTTTGAAACGTCTATATCTTCACATCAAACCTAGACAGAAGCATTCTCAGAAAGTTTTCTGCGATGACTGCATTCAACTCACAGAGTTGAACAATCCTTCTGATGGAGCAGTTTTGAAACCCTCTTTCTTTGGAATCTGCAAGGGGATATGTGGACCTCTTTGAAGATTTCACTGGAAACGGGATCATCTTCACATAAAAACTAAACAGAAGCATTCTCGGAAACTACTTTGTGATGTTTGTATTCAACTGCCAGAGTTGAACTTTCCTTTTGAAAGAGCAGCTATGAAACACTCTTTTTCGAGAATCTGCAAGTGGACGTTTGGAGGGCTTTGAGGCCTGTGGTGGAAAAAGAAATATCTTCACATAAAAACTAGATAGAAGCATTCTCAGAAACGACTTTGTGAGGATGGCATTCAACTCATGGAGTTGAACAATCCTATTGATAGAGCAGATTGGAATCACTCTTTTTGTGGAATCTGCAAATGGAGATTTGGACTGCTTTGAGGCCTACGGTCGTATAGGAAGGAACTTCAGATAAAAGGCAAACGGAAGCATTCTCAGAATATTCTTTGTGATGATGGAGTTTCACTCACAGAGCTGAACATGCCTTTTGATGGAGCAGTTTCCAAATACACTTTTGGTAGAATCTGCAGGTGGATATTTGGAGCTCTCTGAGGATTTCGTTGGAAAGGGGAATAATTTCCCATAACTAAACACAAACACTCTGAGAAAGTTCTTCATGATGAATGCATTTAACTCGCAGAGATGAACCTGCCTTTGAGAGTTCAGGTTCGAAACACTCTTTCTGTAGAATCTGCAAGTGGATATTTGGACCACTGGCTGGCCTTCGTTCGAAACGGGTATATGTTCACGTAAAAACTAAAGAGAAGCATTCTCAGAAACTTCTGAGTGATGATTGCATTCAAGTCACACAGTTGAACCCTCCTTTTGATGGAGCAGTTTTGAAACTGTCTTTTTGTAGAATCTGTAAGTGGATACGTGGACCTCTTTGAAGATTTCTTTGGAAACGGGAATATTTCCACAGAAAAACTAAACTGAAGCATTCTCAGAAACCGCTTTGTGATGTTTGTGTTCGAGCCACAGAGTTTAACATTGCTTTTCATAGAGCAGTTTTGAAATATTCTTTTGGCAGAATCTGCAAGTGGACATTTGGAGCGCTTTCAGGCCTGTGGTGGAAAAGGCCTGAAAGCCTTTTCCTTTATCTTCACAGAAAGACGAGAGAGAAGCATTGTCAGAAACTTCTTTGTGATGATTGCATTCAACTCACAGAGTTGATTTTCCTTTTGAAACAGCAGTTTCGAAACACTCTTTCTGTGGGATCCGCAAGGGGATATTTGGACCTCTTTGAAGGTTTCGTTGGAAACGGGATAATCTTCACCTAAAAGCTAAACGGAAGCATTCTCAGAAACTTCTTTGGGATGTTTGCATTCACCTCACAGAGTTGAACTTTCCCTTTGATAGCGCAGCTTTGACACACTTTTTCTACAATGTGCAAGTGGCTATTTAGCGGGCTTGGAGGACTGTGTTGGAAAAGGAAATATCTTCTCCTAAAAACGACATAGAAGCATTCTCAGAAACTGCTCTGTGATGATTGCATTCAACTCCCAGAGTTGAACATTCCTTTTGATAGAGCAGTTTGCAAACACTCTTTTTGTAGAATCTGCAAGTGGAGATTTGGACCGCTTTGAGGCCTGTGGTAGTGAAGGAAAGAACTTCATATAAAAACCAGACGGTAGCACTCTCAGAAAATTCTTTGTGACGATGGAGTTTAACTCAGGGAGCTGAACATTCGTTATGATGGAGCAGTTTCCAAACACACGTTTTGTAGAATCTGCGAGGGGATATTTGGACCTCTCTGAGGATTTCGTTGGAAAAGGGATCAACTTCCCATAACTGAACGGAAGCAAACTCAGAACATTCTTTGTGATGTTTGTATTCAACTCACAGAGTTGAACCTTCCTTTGATAGTTCAGGTTTGCAACACCCTTGTAGTAGAATCTGCAAGTGTATATTTTGACCACTTTGTAGCCTTCGTTTGAAACGTCTATATCTTCACATCAAACCTAGACAGAAGCATTCTCAGAAAGTTTTCTGCGATGACTGCATTCAACTCACAGAGTTGAACAATCCTTTTGATGGAGCAGTTTTGAAACCCTCTTTCTTTGGAATCTGCAAGGGGATATGTGGACCTCTTTGAAGATTTCACTGGAAACGGGATCATCTTCACATAAAAACTAAACAGAAGCATTCTCGGAAACTACTTTGTGATGTTTGTATTCAACTCCCAGAGTTGAACTTTCCTTTTGAAAGAGCAGCTATGAAACACTCTTTTTCGAGAATCTGCAAGTGGACGTTTGGAGGGCTTTGAGGCCTGTGGTGGAAAAGGAAATATCTTCACATAAAAACTAGATAGAAGCATTCTCAGAAACGACTTTGTGAGGATGGCATTCAACTCATGGAGTTGAACAATCCTATTGATAGAGCAGATTGGAATCACTCTTTTTGTAGAATCTGCAAATGGAGATTTGGACTGCTTTGAGGCCTACGGTAGTATAGGAAGGAACTTCATATAAAAGGCAAACGGAAGCATTCTCAGAATATTCTTTGTGATGATGGAGTTTCACTCACAGAGCTGAACATGCCTTTTGATGGAGCAGTTTCCAAATACACTTTTGGTAGAATCTGCAGGTGGATATTTGGAGCTCTCTGAGGATTTCGTTGGAAAAGGGAATAATTTCCCATAACTAAACACAAACACGCTGAGAAAGTTCTTCATGATGAATGCATTTAACTCGCAGAGATGAACCTGCCTTTGAGAGTTCAGGTTCGAAACACTCTTTCTGTAGAATCTGCAAGTGGATATTTGGACCACTGGCTGGCCTTCGTTCGAAACGGGTATATGTTCACGTAAAAACTAAAGAGAAGCGTTCTCAGAAACTTCTGAGTGATGATTGCATTCAAGTCACACAGTTGAACCCTCCTTTTGATTGAGCAGTTTTGAAACTGTCTTTTTGTAGAATCTGTAAGTGGATGCGTGGACCTCTTTGAAGATTTCTTTGGAAACGGGAATATTTCCACAGAAAAACTAAACTGAAGCATTCTCAGAAACTGCTTTGTGATGTTTGTGTTCGAGCCACAGAGTTTAACATTGCTTTTCATAGAGCAGTTTTGAAATATTCTTTTGGCAGAATCTGCAAGTGGACATTTGGAGCGCTTTCAGGCCTGTGGTGGAAAAGGCCTGAAAGCCTTTTCCTTTATCTTCACAGAAAGACGAGAGAGAAGCATTGTCAGAAACTTCTTTGTGATGATTGCATTCAACTCACAGAGTTGAAGATTCCTTTTGAAACAGCAGTTTCGAAACACTCTTTCTGTGGGATCCGCAAGGGGATATTTGGACTTCTTTGAAGATTTCGTTGGAAACGGGATAATCTTCACCTAAAAGCTAAACGGAAGCATTCTCAGAAACTTCTTTGGGATGTTTGCATTCACCTCACAGAGTTGAAATTTCCCTTTGATAGCGCAGCTTCGACACACTTTTTCTACAATGTGCAAGTGGATATTTAGCGGGCTTGGAGGACTGTGTTGGAAAAGGAAATATCTTCTCCTAAAAACGACATAGAAGCATTCTCAGAAACTGCTCTGTGATGATTGCATTCAACTCCCAGAGTTGAACATTCCTTTTGATAGAGCAGTTTGCAAACACTCTTTTTGTAGAATCTGCAAGTGGAGATTTGGACCGCTTTGAGGCCGGTGGTAGTAAAGGAAAGAACTTCATATAAAACTAGACGGTAGCAGTCTCAGAAAATTGTTTGTGACGATGGAGTTTAACTCAGAGAGCTGAACATTCGTTATGATGGAGCAGTTTCCAAACACACGTTTTGTAGAATCTGCAAGGGGATATTTGGACCTCTCTGAGGATTTCGTTGGAAACGGGATCAACTTCCCATAACTGAACGGAAGCAAACTCAGAACATTCTTTGTGATGTTTGTATTCAACTCACAGAGTTGAACCTTCCTTTGATAGTTCAGGTTTGCAACACCCTTGTAGTAGAATCTGCAAGTGTATATTTTGACCACTTTGTAGCCTTCGTTTGAAACGTCTATATCTTCACCTCAAACCTAGACAGAAGCATTCTCAGAAAGTTTTCTGCGATGACTGCATTCAACTCACAGAGTTGAACAATCCTTTCGATGGAGCAGTTTTGAAACCCTCTTTCTTTGGAATCTGCAAGGGGATATGTGGACCTCTTTGAAGATTTCACTGGAAACGGGATCATCTTCACATAAGAACTAAACAGAAGCATTCTCGGAAACTACTTTGTGATGTTTGTATTCAACTCCCAGAGTTGAACTTTCCTTTTGAAAGAGCGGCTATGAAACACTCTTTTTCGAGAATCTGCAAGTTGACGTTTGGAGGGCTTTGAGGCCTGTGGTGGAAAAGGAAATATCTTCACATAAAAACTAGATAGAAGCATTCTCAGAAACGACTTTGTGAGGATGGCATTCAACTCATGGAGTTGAACAATCCTATTGATAGAGCAGATTGGAATCACTCTTTTTGTAGAATCTGCAAATGGAGATTTGGACTGCTTTGAGGCCTACGGTCGTATAGGAAGGAACTTCATATAAAAGGCAAACGGAAGCATTCTCAGAATATTCTTTGTGATGATGGAGTTTCACTCACAGAGCTGAACATGCCTTTTGATGGAGCAGTTTCCAAATACACTTTTGGTAGAATCTGCAGGTGGATATTTAGAGCTCTCTGAGGATTTCGTTGGGAACGGGAATAATTTCCCATAACTAAACACAAACACTCTGAGAAAGTTCTTCATGATGAATGCATTTAACTCGCAGAGATGAACCTGCCTTTGAGAGTTCAGGTTCGAAACACTCTTTCTGTATAATCTGCAAGTGGATATTTGGACCACTGGGTGGCCTTCGTTCGAAACGGGTATATGTTCACGTAAAAACTAAAGAGAAGCATTCTCAGAAACTTCTGAGTGATGATTGCATTCAAGTCACACGGTTGAACCCTCCTTTTGATGGAGCAGTTTTGAAACTGTCTTTTTGTAGAATCTGTAAGTGGATACGTGGACCTCTTTGAAGATTTCTTTGGAAACGGGAATATTTCCACAGAAAAACTAAACTGAAGCATTCTCAGAAACCGCTTTGTGATGTTTGTGTTCGAGCCACAGAGTTTAACATTGCTTTTCATAGAGCAGTTTTGAAATATTCTTTTGGCAGAATCTGCAAGTGGACATTTGGAGCGCTTTCAGGCCTGTGGTGGCAAAGGCCTGAAAGCCTTTTCCTTTATCTTCACAGAAAGACGAGAGAGAAGCATTGTCAGAAACTTCTTTGTGATGATTGCATTCAACTCACAGAGTTGAAGATTCCTTTTGAAACAGCAGTTTCGAAACACTCTTTCTGTGGGATCCGCAAGGGGATATTTGGACCTCTTTGAAGGTTTCGTTGGAAACGGGATAATCTTCACCTAAAAGCTAAACGGAAGCATTCTCAGAAACTTCTTTGGGATGTTTGCATTCACCTCACAGAGTTGAACTTTCCCTTTGATAGCGCAGCTTTGACACACTTTTTCTACAATGTGCAAGTGGCTATTTAGCGGGCTTGGAGGACTGTGTTGGAAAAGGAAATATCTTCTAAAAACGACATAGAAGCATTCTCAGAAACTGCTCTGTGATGATTGCATTCAACTCCCAGAGTTGAACATTCCTTTTGATAGAGCAGTTTGCAAACACTCTTTTTGTAGAATCTGCAAGTGGAGATTTGGACCGCTTTGAGGCCTGTGGTAGTGAAGGAAAGAGCTTCATATAAAAACCAGACGGTAGCACTCTCAGAAAATTCTTTGTGACGATGGAGTTTAACTCAGGGAGCTGAACATTCGTTATGATGGAGCAGTTTCCAAACACACGTTTTGTAGAATCTGCAAGGGGATATTTGGACCTCTCTAAGGATTTCGTTGGAAACGGGATCAACTTCCCATAACTGAACGGAAGCAAACTCAGAACATTCTTTGTGATGTTTGTATTCAACTCACAGAGTTGAACCTTCCTTTGATAGTTCAGGTTTGCAACACCCTTGTAGTAGAATCTGCAAGTGTATATTTTGACCACATTGTAGCCTTCGTTTGAAACGTCTATATCTTCACATCAAACCTAGACAGAAGCATTCTCAGAAAGTTTTCTGCGATGACTGCATTCAACTCACAGAGTTGAACAATCCTTCTGATGGAGCAGTTTTGAAACCCTCTTTCTTTGGAATCTGCAAGGGGATATGTGGACCTCTTTGAAGATTTCACTGGAAACGGGATCATCTTCACATAAAAACTAAACAGAAGCATTCTCGGAAACTACTTTGTGATGTTTGTATTCAACTCCCAGAGTTGAACTTTCCTTTTGAAAGAGCAGCTATGAAACACTCTTTTTCGAGAATCTGCAAGTGGACGTTTGGAAGGCTTTGAGTCCTGTGGTGGAAAAGAAAATATCTTCACATAAAAACTAGATAGAAGCATTCTCAGAAACGACTTTGTGAGGATGGCATTCAACTCATGGAGTTGAACAATCCTATTGATAGAGCAGATTGGAATCACTCTTTTGGTAGAATCTGCAAATGGAGATTTGGACTGCTTTGAGGCCTACGGTAGTATAGGAAGGAACTTCATATAAAAGGCAAACGGAAGCATTCTCAGAATATTCTTTGTGATGATGGAGTTTCACTCACAGAGCTGAACATGCCTTTTGATGGAGCAGTTTCCAAATACACTTTTGGTAGAATCTGCAGGTGGATATTTGGACCTCTCTGAGGATTTCGTTGGAAACGGGAATAATTTCCCATACCTAAACACAAACACTCTGAGAAAGTTCTTCATGATGAATGCATTGAACTCGCAGAGATGAACCTGCCTTTGAGAGTTCAGGTTCGAAACACTCTTTCTGTAGAATCTGCAAGTGGATATTTGGACCACTGTGTGGCCTTCGTTCGAAACGGTTATATGTTCACGTAAAAACTAAAGAGAAGCATTCTCAGAAACTTCTGAGTGATGATTGCATTCAAGTCACACGGTTGAACCCTCCTTTTGATTGAGCAGTTTTGAAACTGTCTTTTTGTAGAATCTGTAAGTGGATACGTGGACCTCTTTGAAGATTTCTTTGGAAACGGGAATATTTCCACAGAAAAACTAAACTGAAGCATTCTCAGAAACGGCTTTGTGATGTTTCTGTTCGAGCCACAGAGTTTAACATTGCTTTTCATAGAGCAGTTTTGAAATATTCTTTTGGCAGAATCTGCAAGTGGACATTTGGAGCGCTTTCAGGCCTGTGGTGGAAAAGGCCTGAAAGCCTTTTCCTTTATCTTCACAGAAAGACGAGAGAGAAGCATTGTCAGAAACTTCTTTTTGATGATTGCATTCAACTCACAGAGTTGAAGATTCCTTTTGAAACAGCAGTTTCGAAACACTCTTTCTGTGGGATCCGCAAGGGGATATTTGGACCTCTTTGAAGGTTTCGTTGGAAACGGGATAATCTTCACCTAAAAGCTAAACGGAAGCATTCTCAGAAACTTCTTTGGGATGTTTGCATTCACCTCACAGAGTTGAACTTTCCCTTTGATAGCGCAGCTTTGACACACTTTTTCTACAATGTGCAAGTGGCTATTTAGCGGGCTTGGAGGACTGTGTTGGAAAAGGAAATATCTTCTCCTAAAAACGACATAGAAGCATTCTCAGAAAGTGCTCTGTGATGATTGCATTCAACTCCCAGAGTTGAACATTCATTTTGATAGAGCAGTTTGCAATCACTCCTTTGTAGAATCTGCAAGTGGAGATTTGGACCGCTTTGAGGCCTGTGGTAGTAAAGGAAAGAACTTCACATGAAAACTAGACAGTAGCACTCTCACAAAATTCTTTGTGACGATTGAGTTAGCTCAGAGAGCTGAACATTCATTTTGATGGAGCAGTTTCCAAACAAACTTTTTGTAGAATTTGCAAGGGGATATTTGGACCTCTCTGAGGATTTCGTTGGAAACGGGATCAAATTCCCATAACTGAACGGAGGCATTCTCAGAAACATCTTTGTGATGCTTGCATTCAACTCACAGAGTGGAAACTTCCTTTGATAGTGCAGGTTTGCAACACCCGTGTAGTAGAATCTGCAAGTGTATATTTTGACCATTTTGTAGTCTTCGTTTGAAACGGCTATATCTTCACATCAAACCTAGACAGAAGCATTCTCACAAAGTTTTCTGCGATGACTGCATTCAACTCTCAGAGTTGAACAATCCTTTTGATGGAGGAGTTTTGAAACCCACTTTCTTTGGAATCTGCAAGGGCATACGTGTACCTCGTTGAACATTTCATTGGAAAAGGGATCATCTTCACATAAAAACTAAACAGAAGCATTCTCGGAAACTACTTTGTGATGTTTGTATTCAACTCCGAGAGTTGAGCTTTCCTTTTGAAAGAGCAGCTATGAAACAGTCTTTTTCGAGAATCTGCAAGTGGACATTAGGAGGGCTATGAGGCCTGTGGTGGAAAAGGAAATATCTTCACATAAAAAACATAAAAACTAGATAGAAGCATTCTCAGAAACTACTTTGTGAGGATGGCATTCAACTCACGGAGTTGAACAATCCTATTGATAGAGCAGATTGGAAACACTCTTTTTGTAGAATCTGTAAATGGAGATTTGGACTGCTTTGAGGCCTACGGTAGTATAGGAAGGAACTTCATATAAAAAGCAAACGGAAGCATTCTCAGAATATTCTTTGTGATGATGGAGTTTAACTCACAGAGCTGAACATGCCTTTTGATGGAGCAGTTTCCAAATACACTTTTAGTAGAATCTGCAAGTGGATATTTGGACCTCTCTGAGGATTTCGTTGGAAATGGGAAAGACTTCCCATGACTAAACACAAACATTCTGAGAAAGTTCTTCATGATGAATGCATTTAACTCACAGTGATGAACCTTCCTTTGAGAGTTCAGGTTTGAAACACTCTTTCTGTAGAATCTGCAAGTGGATATTTGGACAACTGTGTGGCCTTCGTTCGAAACGGGTATATGTTCACGTAAAAACTAAAGAGAAGCATTCTGAGAAACTTCTGTGTGATGATTGCATTCAAGTCACAGGGTTGAACCCTCCTTTTGATTGAGCAGTTTTGAATCTGTCTTTTTGTAGAATCTGTAAGTGGATATGTGGACCTCTTTGAAGATTTCTTTGGAAATGGGATTATCTCCACAGAAAAACTAAACTGAAACATTCTCAGAAACCGCTTTGTGATGTTTGTGTTCCAGCCACAGAGTTTAACATTGCTTTTCATAGAGCAGTTTTGAAATATTCTTTTCGCAGAATCTGCAAGTGGACATTTGGAGCGCTTTCAGGCCTGTGGTGGAACAGGCCTGAAAGCCTTTTCCTTTATCTTCACAGAAAGGCGAGAGAGAAGAAGCATTGTCAGAAACTTCTTTGTGATGATTGCATTCAACTCACAGAGTTGAAGATTCCTTTTGAAACAGCAGTTTCGAAACACTCTTTCTGTGGGATCCGCAAGGGGATATTTGGACTTCTTTGAAGGTTTCGTTGGAAACGGGATAATCTTCACCTAAAAGCTAAACGGAAGCATTCTCAGAAACTTCTTTGGGATGTTTGCATTCACCTCACAGAGTTGAACTTTCCCTTTGATAGCGCAGCTTTGACACACTTTTTCTACAATGTGCAAGTGGCTATTTAGCGGGCTAGGAGGACTGTGTTGGAAAAGGAAATATCTTCTCCTAAAAACGACATAGAAGCATTCTCAGAAACTGCTCTGTGATGATTGCATTCAACTCCCAGAGTTGAACATTCCTTTTGATAGAGCAGTTTGCAAACACTCTTTTTGTAGAATCTGCAAGTGGAGATTTGGACCGCTTTGAGGCCTGTGGTAGTGAAGGAAAGAACTTCATATAAAAACCAGACGGTAGCACTCTCAGAAAATTCTTTGTGACGATAGAGTTTAACTCAGAGAGCTGAACATTCGTTATGATGGAGCAGTTTCCAAACACACATTTTGTAGAATCTGCAAAGGGATATTTGGACCTCTCTGAGGATTTCGTTGGAAATGGGATCAACTTCCCATAACTGAACGGAAGCAAACTCAGAAAATTCTTTGTGATGTTTGTATTCAACTCACAGAGTTGAACCTTCCTTTGATAGTTCAGGTTTGCAACACCCTTGTAGTAGAATCTGCAAGTGTATATTTTGACCACTTTGTAGCCTTCGTTTGAAACGTCTATATCTTCACATGAAACCTAGACAGAAGCATTCTCAGAAAGTTTTCTGTGATGACTGCATTCAACTCACAGATTGGAACAATCCTTTTGATGGAGCAGTTTTGAAACCCTCTTTCTTTGGAATCTGCAAGTGGTATGTGGAACTCCTTGAAGATTTCACTGGAAACGTGATCATCTTCACATAAAAACTAAACAGAAAGCATTCTCGGAACTACTTTGTGATGTTTGTATTCAACTCCCAGAGTTGAACTTTCCTTTTGAAAGAGCAGCTATGAAACACTCTTTTTCGAGAATCTGCAAGTGGACGTTTGGAGGGCTTTGAGGCCTGTGGTGGAAAAGGAAATATCTTCACATAAAAACTAGATAGAGCATTCTCAGAAACGACTTTGTGAGGATGGCATTCAACTCATGGAGTTGAACAATCCTATTGATAGAGCAGATTGGAATCACTCTTTTTGTAGAATCTGCAAATGGAGATTTGGACTGCTTTGAGGCCTACGGTCGTATAGGAAGGAACTTCATATAAAAGGCAAACGGAAGCATTCTCAGAATATTCTTTGTGATGATGGAGTTTCACTCACAGAGCTGAACATGCCTTTTGATGGAGCAGTTTCCAAATACACTTTTGGTAGAATCTGCAGGTGGATATTTGGAGCTCTCTGAGGATTTCGTTGGAAACGGGAATAATTTCCCATAACTAAACACAAACACTCTGAGAAAGTTCTTCATGATGAATGTATTTAACTCGCAGAGATGAACCTGCCTTTGAGAGTTCAGGTTCGAAACACTCTTTCTGTAGAATCTGCAAGTGGATATTTGGACCACTGGCTGGCCTTCGTTCGAAACGGGTATATGTTCACGTAAAAACTAAAGAGAAGCATTCTCAGAAACTTCTGAGTGATGATTGCATTCAAGTCACACAGTTGAACCCTCCTTTTGATGGAGCAGTTTTGAAACTGTCTTTTTGTAGAATCTGTAAGTGGATACGTGGACCTCTTTGAAGATTTCTTTGGAAACGGGAATATTTCCACAGAAAAACTAAACTGAATCATTCTCAGAAACTGCTTTGTGATGTTTGTGTTCGAGCCACAGAGTTTAACATTGCTTTTCATAGAGCAGTTTTGAAATATTCTTTTCGCAGAATCTGCAAGTGGACATTTGGAGCGCTTTCAGGCCTGTGGTGGAAAAGGCCTGAAAGCCTTTTCCTTTATCTTCACAGAAAGACGAGAGAGAAGCATTGTCAGAAACTTCTTTGTGATGATTGCATTCAACTCACAGAGTTGAAGATTCCTTTTGAAACAGCAGTTTCGAAACACTCTTTCTGTGGGATCCGCAAGGGGATATTTGGACCTCTTTGAAGGTTTCGTTGGAAACGGGATAATCTTCACCTAAAAGCTAAACGGAAGCATTCTCAGAAACTTCTTTGGGATGTTTGCATTCACCTCACAGAGTTGAACTTTCCCTTTGATAGCGCAGCTTTGACACACTTTTTCTACAATGTGCAAGTGGCTATTTAGCGGGCTTGGAGGACTGTGTTGGAAAAGGAAATATCTTCTCCTAAAAACGACATAGAAGCATTCTCAGAAACTGCTCTGTGATGATTGCATTCAACTCCCAGAGTTGAACATTCCTTTTGATAGAGCAGTTTGCAAACACTCTTTTTGTAGAATCTGCAAGTGGAGATTTGGACCGCTTTGAGGCCTGTGGTAGTGAAGGAAAGAACTTCATATAAAAACCAGACGGTAGCACTCTCAGAAAATTCTTTGTGACGATGGAGTTTAACTCAGGGAGCTGAACATTCGTTATGATGGAGCAGTTTCCAAACACACGTTTTGTAGAATCTGCGAGGGGATATTTGGACCTCTCTGAGGATTTCGTTGGAAACGGGATCAACTTCCCATAACTGAACGGAAGCAAACTCAGAACATTCTTTGTGATGTTTGTATTCAACTCACAGAGTTGAACCTTCCTTTGATAGTTCAGGTTTGCAACACCCTTGTAGTAGAATCTGCAAGTGTATATTTTGACCACTTTGTAGCCTTCATTTGAAACGTCTATATCTTCACATCAAACCTAGACAGAAGCATTCTCAGAAAGTTTTCTGCGATGACTGCATTCAACTCACAGAGTTGAACAATCCTTCTGATGGAGCAGTTTTGAAACCCTCTTTCTTTGGAATCTGCAAGGGGATATGTGGACCTCTTTGAAGATTTCACTGGAAACGGGATCATCTTCACATAAAAACTAAACAGAAGCATTCTCGGAAACTACTTTGTGATGTTTGTATTCAACTCCCAGAGTTGAACTTTCCTTTTGAAAGAGCAGCTATGAAACACTCTTTTTCGAGAATCTGCAAGTGGACGTTTGGAAGGCTTTGAGGCCTGTGGTGGAAAAGGAAATATCTTCACATAAAAACTAGATAGAAGCATTCTCAGAAACTACTTTGTGAGGATGGCATTCAACTCATGGAGTTGAACAATCCTATTGATAGAGCAGATTGGAATCACTCTTTTTGTAGAATCTGCAAATGGAGATTTGGACTGCTTTGAGGCCTACGGTCGTATAGGAAGGAACTTCATATAAAAGGCAAACGGAAGCATTCTCAGAATATTCTTTGTGATGACGGAGTTTCACTCACAGAGCTGAACATGCCTTTTCATGGAGCAGTTTCCAAATACACTTTTGGTAGAATCTGCAGGTGGATATTTGGAGCTCTCTGAGGATTTCGTTGGAAACGGGAATAATTTCCCATAACTAAACACAAACACGCTGAGAAAGTTCTTCATGATGAATGCATTTAACTCGCAGAGATGAACCTGCCTTTGAGAGTTCAGGTTCAAAACACTCTTTCTGTAGAATCTGCAAGTGGATATTTGGACCACTGGCTGGCCTTCGTTCGAAACGGGTATATGTTCACGTAAAAACTAAAGAGAAGCGTTCTCAGAAACTTCTGAGTGATGAATGCATTCAAGTCACACAGTTGAACCCTCCTTTTGATTGAGCAGTTTTTAAACTGTCTTTTTGTAGAATCTGTAAGTGGATGCGTGGACCTCTTTGAAGATTTCTTTGGAAACGGGAATATTTCCACAGAAAAACTAAACTGAAGCATTCTCAGAAACTGCTTTGTGATGTTTGTGTTCGAGCCACAGAGTTTAACATTGCTTTTCATAGAGCAGTTTTGAAATATTCTTTTGGCAGAATCTGCAAGTGGACATTTGGAGCGCTTTCAGGCCTGTGGTGGAAAAGGCCTGAAAGCCTTTTCCTTTATCTTCACAGGAAGACGAGAGAGAAGCATTGTCAGAAACTTCTTTTTGATGATTGCATTCAACTCACAGAGTTGAAGATTCCTTTTGAAACAGCAGTTTCGAAACACTCTTTCTGTGGGATCCGCAAGGGGATATTTGGACCTCTTTGAAGGTTTCGTTGGAAACGGGATAATCTTCACCTAAAAGCTAAACGGAAGCATTCTCAGAAACTTCTTTGGGATGTTTGCATTCACCTCACAGAGTTGAACTTTCCCTTTGATAGCGCAGCTTTGACACACTTTTTCTACAATGTGCAAGTGGCTATTTAGCGGGCTTGGAGGACTGTGTTGGAAAAGGAAATATCTTCTCCTAAAAACGACATAGAAGCATTCTCAGAAACTGCTCTGTGATGATTGCATTCAACTCCCAGAGTTGAACATTCCTTTTGATAGAGCAGTTTGCAAACACTCTTTTTGTAGAATCTGCAAGTGGAGATTTGGACCGCTTTGAGGCCTGTGGTAGTGAAGGAAAGAACTTCATATAAAAACCAGACGGTAGCACTCTCAGAAAATTCTTTGTGACGATGGAGTTTAACTCAGGGAGCTGAACATTCGTTATGATGGAGCAGTTTCCAAACACACGTTTTGTAGAATCTGCAAGGGGATATTTGGACCTCTCTGAGGATTTCGTTGGAAACGGGATCAACTTCCCATAACTGAACGGAAGCAAACTCAGAACATTCTTTGTGATGTTTGTATTCAACTCACAGAGTTGAACCTTCCTTTGATAGTTCAGGTTTGCAACACCCTTGTAGTAGAATCTGCAAGTGTATATTTTGACCACTTTGTAGCCTTCATTTGAAACGTCTATATCTTCACATCAAACCTAGACAGAAGCATTCTCAGAAAGTTTTCTGCGATGACTGCATTCAACTCACAGAGTTGAACAATCCTTCTGATGGAGCAGTTTTGAAACCCTCTTTCTTTGGAATCTGCAAGGGGATATGTGGACCTCTTTGAAGATTTCACTGGAAACGGGATCATCTTCACATAAAAACTAAACAGAAGCATTCTCGGAAACTACTTTGTGATGTTTGTATTCAACTCCCAGAGTTGAACTTTCCTTTTGAAAGAGCAGCTATGAAACACTCTTTTTCGAGAATCTGCAAGTGGACGTTTGGAGGGCTTTGAGGCCTGTGGTGGAAAAGGAAATATCTTCACATAAAAACTAGATAGAAGCATTCTCAGAAACGACTTTGTGAGGATGGCATTCAACTCATGGAGTTGAACAATCCTATTGATAGAGCAGATTGGAATCACTCTTTTTGTAGAATCTGCAAATGGAGATTTGGACTGCTTTGAGGCCTACGGTCGTATAGGAAGGAACTTCATATAAAAGGCAAACGGAAGCATTCTCAGAATATTCTTTGTGATGATGGAGTTTCACTCACAGAGCTGAACATGCCTTTTGATGGAGCAGTTTCCAAATACACTTTTGGTAGAATCTGCAGGTGGATATTTGGAGCTCTCTGAGGATTTCGTTGGAAACGGGAATAATTTCCCATAACTAAACACAAACACTCTGAGAAAGTTCTTCATGATGAATGCATTTAACTCGCAGAGATGAACCTGCCTTTGAGAGTTCAGGTTCGAAACACTCTTTCTGTAGAATCTGCAAGTGGATATTTGGACCACTGGCTGGGTTCGTTCGAAACGGGTATATGTTCACGTAAAAACTAAAGAGAAGCATTCTCAGAAACTTCTGAGTGATGATTGCATTCAAGTCACACAGTTGAACCCTCCTTTTGATGGAGCAGTTTTGAAACTGTCTTTTTGTAGAATCTGTAAGTGGATACGTGGACCTCTTTGAAGATTTCTTTGGAAACGGGAATATTTCCAAAGAAAAACTAAACTGAAGCATTCTCAGAAACCGCTTTGTGATGTTTGTGTTCGAGCCACAGAGTTTAACATTGCTTTTCATAGAGCAGTTTTGAAATATTCTTTTCGCAGAATCTGCAAGTGGACATTTGGAGCGCTTTCAGGCCTGTGGTGGAAAAGGCCTGAAAGCCTTTTCCTTTATCTTCACAGAAAGACGAGAGAGAAGCATTGTCAGAAACTTCTTTGTGATGATTGCATTCAACTCACAGAGTTGAAGATTCCTTTTGAAACAGCAGTTTCGAAACACTCTTTCTGTGGGATCCGCAAGGGGATATTTGGACCTCTTTGAAGCTTTCGTTGGAAACGGGATAATCTTCACCTAAAAGCTAAACGGAAGCATTCTCAGAAACTTCTTTGGGATGTTTGCATTCACCTCACAGAGTTGAACTTTCCCTTTGATAGCGCAGCTTTGACACACTTTTTCTACAATGTGCAAGTGGCTATTTAGCGGGCTTGGAGGACTGTGTTGGAAAAGGAAATATCTTCTCCTAAAAACGACATAGAAGCATTCTCAGAAACTGCTCTGTGATGATTGCATTCAACTCCCAGAGTTGAACATTCCTTTTGATAGAGCAGTTTGCAAACACTCTTTTTGTAGAATCTGCAAGTGGAGATTTGGACCGCTTTGAGGTCTGTGGTAGTGAAGGAAAGAACTTCATATAAAAACCAGACGGTAGCACTCTCAGAAAATTCTTTGTGACGATGGAGTTTAACTCAGGGAGCTGAACATTCGTTATGATGGAGCAGTTTCCAAACACACGTTTTGTAGAATCTGCAAGGGGATATTTGGACCTCTCTGAGGATTTCGTTGGAAACGGGATCAACTTCCCATAACTGAATGGAAGCAAACTCAGAACATTCTTTGCGATGTTTGTATTCAACTCACAGAGTTGAACCTTCCTTTGATAGTTCAGGTTTGCAACACCCTTGTAGTAGAATCTGCAAGTGTATATTTTGACCACTTTGTAGCCTTCGTTTGAAACGTCTATATCTTCACATCAAACCTAGACAGAAGCATTCTCAGAAAGTTTTCTGCGATGACTGCATTCAACTCACAGAGTTGAACAATCCTTCTGATGGAGCAGTTTTGAAACCCTCTTTCTTTGGAATCTGCAAGGGGATATGTGGACCTCTTTGAAGATTTCACTGGAAACGGGATCATCTTCACATAAAAACTAAACAGAAGCATTCTCGGAAACTACTTTGTGATGTTTGTATTCAACTCCCAGAGTTGAACTTTCCTTTTGAAAGAGCAGCTATGAAACACTCTTTTTCGAGAATCTGCAAGTGGACGTTTGGAGGGCTTTGAGGCCTGTGGTGGAAAAGGATATATCTTCACATAAAAACTAGATAGAAGCATTCTCAGAAACGACATTGTGAGGATGGCATTCAACACATGGAGTTGAACAATCCTATTGATAGAGCAGATTGGAATCACTCTTTTTGTAGAATCTGCAAATGGAGATTTGGACTGCTTTGAGGCCTACGGTAGTATAGGAAGGAACTTCATATAAAAGGCAAACGGAAGCATTCTCAGAATATTCTTTGTGATGATGGAGTTTCACTCACAGAGCTGAACATGCCTTTTGATGGAGCAGTTTCCAAATACACTTTTGGTAGAATCTGCAGGTGGATATTTGGAGCTCTCTGAGGATTTCGTTGGAAACGGGAATAATTTCCCATAACTAAACACAAACACTCTGAGAAAGTTCTTCATGATGAATGCATTTAACTCGCAGAGATGAACCTGCCTTTGAGAGTTCAGGTTCGAAACACTCTTTCTGTAGAATCTGCAAGTGGATATTTGGACCACTGGGTGGCCTTCGTTCGAAACGGGTATATGTTCACGTAAAAACTAAAGAGAAGCATTCTCAGAAACTTCTGAGTGATGATTGCATTCAAGTCACACAGTTGAACCCTCCTTTTGATGGAGCAGTTTTGAAACTGTCTTTTTGTAGAATCTGTAAGTGCATACGTGGACCTCTTTGAAGATTTCTTTGGAAACGGGAATATTTCCACAGAAAAACTAAACTGAAACATTCTCAGAAACCGCTTTGTGATGTTTGTGTTCCAGCCACAGAGTTTAACATTGCTTTTCATAGAGCAGTTTTGAAATATTCTTTTGGCAGAATCTGCAAGTGGACATTTGGAGCGCTTTCAGGCCTGTGGTGGAAAAGGCCTGAAAGCCTTTTCCTTTATCTTCACAGAAAGACGAGAGAGAAGCATTGTCAGAAACTTCTTTGTGATGATTGCATTCAACTCACAGAGTTGAAGATTCCTTTTGAAACAGCAGTTTCGAAACACTCTTTCTGTGGGATCCGCAAGGGGATATTTGGACCTCTTTGAAGGTTTCGTTGGAAACGGGATAATCTTCACCTAAAAGCTAAACGGAAGCATTCTCAGAAACTTCTTTGGGATGTTTGCATTCACCTCACAGAGTTGAACTTTCCCTTTGATAGCGCAGCTTTGACACACTTTTTCTACAATGTGCAAGTGGCTATTTAGCGGGCTTGGAGGACTGTGTTGGAAAAGGAAATATCTTCTCCTAAAAACGACATAGAAGCATTCTCAGAAACTGCTCTGTGATGATTGCATTCAACTCCCAGAGTTGAACATTCCTTTTGATAGAGCAGTTTGCAAACACTCTTTTTGTAGAATCTGCAAGTGGAGATTTGGACCGCTTTGAGGCCTGTGGTAGTGAAGGAAAGAGCTTCATATAAAAACCAGACGGTAGCACTCTCAGAAAATTCTTTGTGACGATGGAGTTTAACTCAGGGAGCTGAACATTCGTTATGATGGAGCAGTTTCCAAACACACGTTTTGTAGAATCTGCAAGGGGATATTTGGACCTCTCTGAGGATTTCGTTGGAAACGGGATCAACTTCCCATAACTGAACGGAAGCAAACTCAGAACATTCCTTGTGATGTTTGTATTCAACTCACAGAGTTGAACCTTCCTTTGATAGTTCAGGTTTGCAACACCCTTGTAGTAGAATCTGCAAGTGTATATTTTGACCACTTTGTAGCCTTCGTTTGAAACGTCTATATCTTCACATCAAACCTAGACAGAAGCATTCTCAGAAAGTTTTCTGCGATGACTGCATTCAACTCACAGAGTTGAACAATCCTTCTGATGGAGCAGTTTTGAAACCCTCTTTCTTTGGAATCTGCAAGGGGATATGTGGACCTCTTTGAAGATTTCACTGGAAACGGGATCATCTTCACATAAAAACTAAACAGAAGCATTCTCGGAAACTACTTTGTGATGTTTGTATTCAACTCCCAGAGTTGAACTTTCCTTTTGAAAGAGCAGCTATGAAACACTCTTTTTCGAGAATCTGCAAGTGGACGTTTGGAGGGCTTTGAGGCCTGTGGTGGAAAAGGAAATATCTTCACATAAAAACTAGATAGAAGCATTCTCAGAAACGACTTTGTGAGGATGGCATTCAACTCATGGAGTTGAACAATCCTATTGATAGAGCAGATTGGAATCACTCTTTTTGTAGAATCTGCAAATGGAGATTTGGACTGCTTTGAGGCCTACGGTCGTATAGGAAGGAAGTTCATATAAAAGGCAAACGGAAGCATTCTCAGAATATTCTTTGTGATGATGGAGTTTCACTCACAGAGCTGAACATGCCTTTTGATGGAGCAGTTTCCAAATACACTTTTGGTAGAATCTGCAGGTGGATATTTGGAGCTCTCTGAGGATTTCGTTGGAAACGGGAATAATTTCCCATAACTAAACACAAACACTCTGAGAAAGTTCTTCATGATGAATGCATTCAACTCGCAGAGATGAACCTGCCTTTGAGAGTTCAGGTTCGAAACACTCTTTCTGTAGAATCTGCAAGTGGATATTTGGACCACTGGGTGGCCTTCGTTCGAAACTGGTATATGTTCACGTAAAAACTAAAGAGAAGCATTCTCAGAAACTTCTGAGTGATGATTGCATTCAAGTCACACAGTTGAACCCTCCTTTTGATGGAGCAGTTTTGAAACTGTCTTTTTGTAGAATCTGTAAGTGGATACGTGGACATCTTTGAAGATTTCTTTGGAAACGGGAATATTTCCACAGAAAAACTAAACTGAAACATTATCAGAAACCGCTTTGTGATGTTTGTGTTCCAGCCACAGAGTTTAACATTGCTTTTCATAGAGCAGTTTTGAAATATTCTTTTGGCAGAATCTGCAAGTGGACATTTGGAGCGCTTTCAGGCCTGTGGTGGCAAAGGCCTGAAAGCCTTTTCCTTTATCTTCACAGAAAGACGAGAGAGAAGCATTGTCAGAAACTTCTTTGTGATGATTGCATTCAACTCACAGAGTTGAAGATTCCTTTTGAAACAGCAGTTTCGAAACACTCTTTCTGTGGGATCCGCAAGGGGATATTTGGACCTCTTTGAAGGTTTCGTTGGAAACGGGATAATCTTCACCTAAAAGCTAAACGGAAGCATTCTCAGAAACTTCTTTGGGATGTTTGCATTCACCTCACAGAGTTGAACTTTCCCTTTGATAGCGCAGCTTTGACACACTTTTTCTACAATGTGCAAGTGGCTATTTAGCGGGCTTGGAGGACTGTGTTGGAAAAGGAAATATCTTCTCCTAAAAACGACATAGAAGCATTCTCAGAAACTGCTCTGTGATGATTGCATTCAACTCCCAGAGTTGAACATTCCTTTTGATAGAGCAGTTTGCAAACTCTCTTTTTGTAGAATCTGCAAGTGGAGATTTGGACCGCTTTGAGGCCTGTGGTAGTGAAGGAAAGAACTTCATATAAAAACCAGACGGTAGCACTCTCAGAAAATTCTTTGTGACGATGGAGTTTAACTCAGGGAGCTGAACATTCGTTATGATGGAGCAGTTTCCAAACACACGTTTTGTAGAATCTGCAAGGGGATATTTGGACCTCTCTGAGGATTTCGTTGGAAACGGGATCAACTTCCCATAACTGAACGGAAGCAAACTCGGAACATTCTTTGTGATGTTTGTATTCAACTCACAGAGTTGAACCTTCCTTTGATAGTTCAGGTTTGCAACACCCTTGTAGTAGAATCTGCAAGTGTATATTTTGACCACTTTGTAGCCTTCGTTTGAAACGTCTATATCTTCACATCAAACCTAGACAGAAGCATTCTCAGAAAGTTTTCTGCGATGACTGCATTCAACTCACAGAGTTGAACAATCCTTCTGATGGAGCAGTTTTGAAACCCTCTTTCTTTGGAATCTGCAAGGGGATATGTGGACCTCTTTGAAGATTTCACTGGAAACGGGATCATCTTCACATAAAAACTAAACAGAAGCATTCTCGGAAACTACTTTGTGATGTTTGTATTCAACTCAAAGAGTTGAACTTTCCTTTTGAAAGAGCAGCTATGAAACACTCTTTTTCGAGAATCTGCAAGTGGACGTTTGGAGGGCTTTGAGGCCTGTGGTGGAAAAGGAAATATCTTCACACAAAAACCAGATAGAAGCATTCTCAGAAACTACTTTGTGAGGATGGCATTCAACTCATGGAGTTGAACAATCCTATTGATAGAGCAGATTGGAATCACTCTTTTTATAGAATCTGCAAATGGAGATTTGGACTGCTTTGAGGCCTACGGTAGTACAGGAAGGAACTTCATATAAAAGGCAAACGGAAGCATTCTCAGAATATTCTTTGTGATGATGGAGTTTCACTCACAGAGCTGAACATGCCTTTTGATGGAGCAGTTTCCAAATACACTTTTGGTAGAATCTGCAGGTGGATATTTGGAGCTCTCTGAGGATTTCGTTGGAAACGGGAATAATTTCCCATAACTAAACACAAACACTCTGAGAAAGTTCTTCATGATGAATGCATTTAACTCGCAGAGATGAACCTGCCTTTGAGAGTTCAGGTTCGAAACACTCTTTCTGTATAATCTGCAAGTGGATATTTGGACCACTGGGTGGCCTTCGTTCGAAACGGGTATATGTTCACGTAAAAACTAAAGAGAAGCATTCTCAGAAACTTCTGAGTGATGATTGCATTCAAGTCACACAGTTGAACCCTCCTTTTGATGGAGCAGTTTTGAAACTGTCTTTTTGTAGAATCTGTAAGTGGATACGTGGACCTCTTTGAAGATTTCTTTGGAAACGGGAATATTTCCACAGAAAAACTAAACTGAAACATTCTCAGAAACCGCTTTGTGATGTTTGTGTTCCAGCCACAGAGTTTAACATTGCTTTTCATAGAGCAGTTTTGAAATATTCTTTTGGCAGAATCTGCAAGTGGACATTTGGAGCGCTTTCAGGCCTGTGGTGGCAAAGGCCTGAAAGCCTTTTCCTTTATCTTCACAGAAAGACGAGAGAGAAGCATTGTCAGAAACTTCTTTGTGATGATTGCATTCAACTCACAGAGTTGAAGATTCCTTTTGAAACAACAGTTTCGAAACACTCTTTCTGTGGGATCCGCAAGGGGATATTTGGACCTCTTTGAAGGTTTCGTTGGAAACGGGATAATCTTCACCTAAAAGCTAAACGGAAGCACTCTCAGAAACTTCTTAGGGATGTTTGCATTCACCTCTCAGAGTTGAACTTTCCCTTTGATAGCGCAGCTTTGACACACTTTTTCTACAATGTGCAAGTGGCTATTTAGCGGACTTGGAGGACTGTGTTGGAAAAGGAAATATCTTCTCCTAAAAACGACATAGAAGCATTCTCAGAAACTGCTCTGTGATGATTGCATTCAACTCCCAGAGTTGAACATTCCTTTTGATAGAGCAGTTTGCAAACACTCTTTTTGTAGAATCTGCAAGTGGAGATTTGGACCGCTTTGAGGCCTGTGGTAGTGAAGGAAAGAGCTTCATATAAAAACCAGACGGTAGCACTCTCAGAAAATTCTTTGTGACGATGGAGTTTAACTCAGGGAGCTGAACATTCGTTATGATGGAGCAGTTTCCAAACACACGTTTTGTAGAATCTGCAAGTGGATATGTGGACCTCTCTGAGGATTTCGTTGGAAACGGGATCAACTTCCCATAACTGAACGGAAGCAAACTCAGAACATTTTTTGTGATGTTTGTATTCAACTCACAGAGTTGAACCTTCCTTTGATAGTTCAGGTTTGCAACACCCTTGTAGTAGAATCTGCAAGTGTATATTTTGACCACTTTGTAGCCTTCGTTTGAAACGTCTATATCTTCACATCAAACCTAGACAGAAGCATTCTCAGAAAGTTTTCTGCGATGACTGCATTCAACTCACAGAGTTGAACAATCCTTCTGATGGAGCAGTTTTGAAACCCTCTTTCTTTGGAATCTGCAAGAGGATATGTGGACCTCTTTGAAGATTTCACTGGAAACGGGATCATCTTCACATAAAAACTAAACAGAAGCATTCTCGGAAACTACTTTGTGATGTTTGTATTCAACTCCCAGAGTTGAACTTTCCTTTTGAAAGAGCAGCTATGAAACACTCTTTTTCGAGAATCTGCAAGTGGACGTTTGGAGGGCTTTGAGGCCTGTGGTGGAAAAGGAAATATCTTCACATAAAAACTAGATAGAAGCATTCTCAGAAACGACTTTGTGAGGATGGCATTCAACTCATGGAGTTGAACAATCCTATTGATAGAGCAGATTGGAATCACTCTTTTTGTAGAATCTGCAAATGGAGATTTGGACTGCTTTGAGGCCTACGGTCGTATAGGAAGGAACTTCATATAAAAGGCAAACGGGAAGCATTCTCAGAATATTCTTTGTGATGACGGAGTTTCACTCACAGAGCTGAACATGCCTTTTCATGGAGCAGTTTCCAAATACACTTTTGGTAGAATCTGCAGGTGGATATTTGGAGCTCTCTGAGGATTTCGTTGGAAACGGGAATAATTTCCCATAACTAAACACAAACACGCTGAGAAAGTTCTTCATGATGAATGCATTTAACTCGCAGAGATGAACCTGCCTTTGAGAGTTCAGGTTCAAAACACTCTTTCTGTAGAATCTGCAAGTGGATATTTGGACCACTGGCTGGCCTTCATTCGAAACGGATATATGTTCACGTAAAAACTAAAGAGAAGCGTTCTCAGAAACTTCTGAGTGATGAATGCATTCAAGTCACACAGTTGAACCCTCCTTTTGATTGAGCAGTTTTGAAACTGTCTTTTTGTAGAATCTGTAAGTGGATGCGTGGACCTCTTTGAAGATTTCTTTGGAAACGGGAATATTTCCACAGAAAAACTAAACTGAAGCATTCTCAGAAACTGCTTTGTGATGTTTGTGTTCGAGCCGCAGAGTTTAACATTGCTTTTCATAGAGCAGTTTTGAAATATTCTTTTGGCAGAATCTGCAAGTGGACATTTGGAGCGCTTTCAGGCCTGTGGTGGAAATGGCCTGAAAGCCTTTTCCTTTATCTTCACAGAAAGACGAGAGAGAAGAATTGTCAGAAACTTCTTTGTGATGATTGCATTCAACTCACAGAGTTGAAGATTCCTTTTGAAACAGCAGTTTCGAAACACTCTTTCTGTGGGATCCGCAAGGGGATATTTGGACCTCTTTGAAGATTTCGTTGGAAACGGGATAATCTTCACTTAAAGCTAAACGGAAGCATTCTCAGAAACTTCTTTGGGATGTTTGCATTCACCTCACAGAGTTGAACTTTCCCTTTGATAGCGCAGCTTCGACACACTTTTTCTACAATGTGCAAGTGGATATTTAGCGGGCTTGGAGGACTGTGTTGGAAAAGGAAATATCTTCTCCTAAAAACGACATAGAAGCATTCTCAGAAACTGCTCTGTGATGATTGCATTCAACTCCCAGAGTTGAACATTCCTTTTGATAGAGCAATTTGCAAACACTCTTTTTGTAGAATCTGCAAGTGGAGATTTGGACCGCTTTGAGGCCTGTGGTAGTAAAGGAAAGAACTTCATATAAAAAGTAGACGGTAGCACTCTCAGAAAATTCTTTGTGACGATGGAGTTTAACTCAGAGAGCTGAACATTCGTTATGATGGAGCAGTTTCCAAACACACGTTTTGTAGAATCTGCAAGGGGATATTTGGACCTCTCTGAGGATTTCGTTGGAAACGGGATCAACTTCCCATAACTGAACGGAAGCAAACTCAGAACATTCTTTGTGATGTTTGCATTCATCTCACAGAGTTGAACCTTCCTTTGATAGTTGAGGTTTGCAACACCCTTGTAGTAGAATCTGCAAGTGTATATTTTGACCACTTTGTAGCCTTCGTTTGAAACGTCTATATCTTCACATCAAACCTAGACAGAAGCATTCTCAGAAAGTTTTCTGCGATGACTGCATTCAACTCACAGAGTTGAACAATCCTTTTGATGGAGCAGTTTTGAAACCCTCTTTCTTTGGAATCTGCAAGGGGATATGTGGACCTCTTTGAATATTTCACTGGAAACGGGATCATCTTCACATAAGAACTAAACAGAAGCATTCTCGGAAACTACTTTGTGATGTTTGTATTCAACTCCCAGAGTTGAACTTTCCTTTTGAAAGAGCAGCTATGAAACACTCTTTTTCGGGAATCTGCAAGTGGACGTTTGGAGGGCTTTGAGGCCTGTGGTGGAAAAGGAAATATCTTCACTTAAAAACTACATAGAAGCATTCTCAGAAACTACTTTGTGAGGATGGCATTCAACTCATGGAGTTGAACAATCCTATTGATAGAGCAGATTGGAATCACTCTTTTTGTAGAATCTGCAAATGGAGATTTGGACTGCTTTGAGGCCTACGGTAGTATAGGAAGGAACTTCATATAAAAGGCAAACGGAAGCATTCTCAGAATATTCTTTGTGATGACGGAGTTTCACTCACAGAGCTGAACATGCCTTTTCATGGAGCAGTTTCCAAATACACTTTTGGTAGAATCTGCAGGTGGATATTTGGAGCTCTCTGAGGATTTCGTTGGAAACGGGAATAATTTCCCATAACTAAACACAAACACGCTGAGAAAGTTCTTCATGATGAATGCATTTAACTCGCAGAGATGAACCTGCCTTTGAGAGTTCAGGTTCGAAACACTCTTTCTGTAGAATCTGCAAGTGGATATTTGGACCACTGGCTGGCCTTCGTTCGAAACGGGTATATGTTCACGTAAAAACTAAAGAGAAGCGTTCTCAGAAACTTCTGAGTGATGAATGCATTCAAGTCACACAGTTGAACCCTCCTTTTGATTGAGCAGTTTTTAAACTGTCTTTTTGTAGAATCTGTAAGTGGATGCGTGGACCTCTTTGAAGATTTCTTTGGAAACGGGAATATTTCCACAGAAAAACTAAACTGAAGCATTCTCAGAAACCGCTTTGTGATGTTTGTGTTCGAGCCACAGAGTTTAACATTGCTTTTCATAGAGCAGTTTTGAAATATTCTTTTCGCAGAATCTGCAAGTGGACATTTGGAGCGCTTTCAGGCCTGTGGTGGAAAAGGCCTGAAAGCCTTTTCCTTTATCTTCACAGAAAGACGAGAGAGAAGCATTGTCAGAAACTTCTTTGTGATGATTGCATTCAACTCACAGAGTTGAAGATTCCTTTTGAAACAGCAGTTTCGAAACACTCTTTCTGTGGGATCCGCAAGGGGATATTTGCACCTCTTTGAAGGTTTCGTTGGAAACGGGATAATCTTCACCTAAAAGCTAAACGGAAGCATTCTCAGAAACTTCTTTGGGATGTTTGCATTCACCTCACAGAGTTGAACTTTCCCTTTGATAGCGCAGCTTCGACACACTTTTTCTACAATGTGCAAGTGGCTATTTAGCGGGCTTGGAGGACTGTGTTGGAAAAGGAAATATCTTCTCCTAAAAACGACATAGAAGCATTCTCAGAAACTGCTCTGTGATGATTGCATTCAACTCCCAGAGTTGAACATTCCTTTTGATAGAGCAGTTTGCAAACACTCTTTTTGTAGAATCTGCAAGTGGAGATTTGGACCGCTTTGAGGCCTGTGGTAGTGAAGGAAAGAACTTCATATAAAAACCAGACGGTAGCACTCTCAGAAAATTCTTTGTGACGATGGAGTTTAACTCCGGGAGCTGAACATTCGTTATGATGGAGCAGTTTCCAAACACACGTTTTGTAGAATCTGCGAGGGGATATTTGGACCTCTCTGAGGATTTCGTTGGAAACGGGATCAACTTCCCATAACTGAACGGAAGCAAACTCAGAACATTCTTTGTGATGTTTGTATTCAACTCACAGAGTGGAACCTTCCTTTGATAGTTCAGGTTTGCAACACCCTTGTAGTAGAATCTGCAAGTGTATATTTTGACCACTTTGTAGCCTTCGTTTGAAACGTCTATATCTTCACCTCAAACCTAGACAGAAGCATTCTCAGAAAGTTTTATGCGATGACTGCATTCAACTCACAGAGTTGAACAATCCTTTTGATGGAGCAGTTTTGAAACCCACTTTCTTTGGAATCTGCAAGGGGATATGTGGACCTCTTTGAAGATTTCACTGGAAACGGGATCATCTTCACATAAGAACTAAACAGAAGCATTCTCGGAAACTACTTTGTGATGTTTGTATTCAACTCCCAGAGTTGAACTTTCCTTTTGAAAGAGCAGCTATGAAACACTCTTTTTCGAGAATCTGCAAGTGGACGTTTGGAGGGCTTTGAGGCCTGTGGTGGAAAAGGAAATATCTTCACATAAAAACTAGATAGAAGCATTCTCAGAAACGACTTTGTGAGGATGGCATTCAACTCATGGAGTTGAACAATCCTATTGATAGAGCAGATTGGAATCACTCTTTTTGTAGAATCTGCAAATGGAGATTTGGACTGCTTTGAGGCCTACGGTAGTATAGGAAGGAACTTCATATAAAAGGCAAACGGAAGCATTCTCAGAATATTCTTTGTGATGATGGAGTTTCACTCACAGAGCTGAACATGCCTTTTGATGGAGCAGTTTCCAAATACACTTTTGGTAGAATCTGCAGGTGGATATTTGGAGCTCTCTGAGGATTTCGTTGGAAACGGGAATAATTTCCCATAACTAAACACAAACACTCTGAGAAAGTTCTTCATGATGAATGCATTTAACTCGCAGAGATGAACCTGCCTTTGAGAGTTCAGGTTCGAAACACTCTTTCTGTAGAATCTGCAAGTGGATATTTGGACCACTGGGTGGCCTTCGTTCGAAACGGGTATATGTTCACGTAAAAACTAAAGAGAAGCATTCTCAGAAACTTCTGAGTGATGATTGCATTCAAGTCACACAGTTGAACCCTCCTTTTGATGGAGCAGTTTTGAAACTGTCTTTTTGTAGAATCTGTAAGTGGATACGTGGACCTCTTTGAAGATTTCTTTGAAACGGGAATATTTCCACAGAAAAACTAAACTGAAGCATTCTCAGAAACTGCTTTGTGATGTTTGTGTTCGAGCCACAGAGTTTAACATTGCTTTTCATAGAGCAGTTTTGAAATATTCTTTTCGCAGAATCTGCAAGTGGACATTTGGAGCGCTTTCAGGCCTGTGGTGGAAAAGGCCTGAAAGCCTTTTCCTTTATCTTCACAGAAAGACGAGAGAGAAGCATTGTCAGAAACTTCTTTGTGATGATTGCATTCAACTCACAGAGTTGAAGATTCCTTTTGAAACAGCAGTTTCGAAACACTCTTTCTGTGGGATCCGCAAGGGGATATTTGGACCTCTTTGAAGGTTTCGTTGGAAACGGGATAATCTTCACCTAAAAGCTAAACGGAAGCATTCTCAGAAACTTCTTTGGGATGTTTGCATTCACCTCACAGAGTTGAACTTTCCCTTTGATAGCGCAGCTTTGACACACTTTTTCTACAATGTGCAAGTGGCTATTTAGCGGGCTTGGAGGACTGTGTTGGAAAAGGAAATATCTTCTCCTAAAAACGACATAGAAGCATTCTCAGAAACTGCTCTGTGATGATTGCATTCAACTCCCAGAGTTGAACATTCCTTTTGATAGAGCAGTTTGCAAACACTCTTTTTGTAGAATCTGCAAGTGGAGATTTGGACCGCTTTGAGGCCTGTGGTAGTGAAGGAAAGAACTTCATATAAAAACCAGACGGTAGCACTCTCAGAAAATTCTTTGTGACGATGGAGTTTAACTCAGGGAGCTGAACATTCGTTATGATGGAGCAGTTTCCAAACACACGTTTTGTAGAATCTGCGAGGGGATATTTGGACCTCTCTGAGGATTTCGTTGGAAACGGGATCAACTTCCCATAACTGAACGGAAGCAAACTCAGAACATTCTTTGTGATATTTGTATTCAATTCACAGAGTTGAACCTTCCTTTGATAGTTCAGGTTTGCAACACCCTTGTAGTAGAATCTGCAAGTGTATATTTTGACCACTTTGTAGCCTTCGTTTGAAACGTCTATATCTTCACATCAAACCTAGACAGAAGCATTCTCAGAAAGTTTTCTGCGATGACTGCATTCAACTCACAGAGTTGAACAATCCTTCTGATGGAGCAGTTTTGAAACCCTCTTTCTTTGGAATCTGCAAGGGGATATGTGGACCTCTTTGAAGATTTCACTGGAAACGGGATCATCTTCACATAAAAACTAAACAGAAGCATTCTCGGAAACTACTTTGTGATGTTTGTATTCAACTCCCAGAGTTGAACTTTCCTTTTGAAAGAGCAGCTATAAAACACTCTTTTTCGAGAATCTGCAAGTGGACGTTTGGAGGGCTTTGAGGCCTGTGGTGGAAAAGGAAATATCTTCACATAAAAACTAGATAGAAGCATTCTCAGAAACGACTTTGTGAGGATGGCATTCAACTCATGGAGTTGAACAATCCTATTGATAGAGCAGATTGGAATCACTCTTTTTGTGGAATCTGCAAATGGAGATTTGGACTGCTTTGAGGCCTACGGTCGTATAGGAAGGAACTTCAGATAAAAGGCAAACGGAAGCATTCTCAGAATATTCTTTGTGATGATGGAGTTTCACTGACAGAGCTGAACATGCCTTTTGATGGAGCAGTTTCCAAATACACTTTTGGTAGAATCTGCAGGTGGATATTTGGAGCTCTCTGAGGATTTCGTTGGAAAGGGGAATAATTTCCCATAACTAAACACAAACACTCTGAGAAAGTTCTTCATGATGAATGCATTTAACTCGCAGAGATGAACCTGCCTTTGAGAGTTCAGGTTCGAAACACTCTTTCTGTAGAATCTGCAAGTGGATATTTGGACCACTGGGTGGCCTTCGTTCGAAACGGGTATATGTTCACGTAAAAACTAAAGAGAAGCATTCTCAGAAACTTCTGAGTGATGATTGCATTCAAGTCACACAGTTGAACCCTCCTTTTGATGGAGCAGTTTTGAAACTGTCTTTTTGTAGAATCTGTAAGTGGATACGTGGACCTCTTTGAAGATTTCTTTGGAAACGGGAATATTTCCACAGAAAAACTAAACTGAAGCATTCTCAGAAACTGCTTTGTGATGTTTGTGTTCGAGCCACAGAGTTTAACATTGCTTTTCATAGAGCAGTTTTGAAATATTCTTTTGGCAGAATCTGCAAGTGGACATTTGGAGCGCTTTCAGGCCTGTGGTGGAAAAGGCCTGAAAGCCTTTTCCTTTATCTTCACAGGAAGACGAGAGAGAAGCATTGTCAGAAACTTCTTTGTGATGATTGCATTCAACTCACAGAGTTGAAGATTCCTTTTGAAACAGCAGTTTCGAAACACTCTTTCTGTGGGATCCGCAAGGGGATATTTGGACCTCTTTGAAGGTTTCGTTGGAAACGGGATAATCTTCACCTAAAAGCTAAACGGAAGCACTCTCAGAAACTTCTTTGGGATGTTTGCATTCACCTCTCAGAGTTGAACTTTCCCTTTGATAGCGCAGCTTTGACACACTTTTTCTACAATGTGCAAGTGGCTATTTAGCGGGCTTGGAGGACTGTGTTGGAAAAGGAAATATCTTCTCCTAAAAACGACATAGAAGCATTCTCAGAAACTGCTCTGTGATGATTGCATTCAACTCCCAGAGTTGAACATTCCTTTTGATAGAGCAGTTTGCAAACACTCTTTTTGTAGAATCTGCAAGTGGAGATTTGGACCGCTTTGAGGCCTATGGTAGTAAAGGAAAGAACTTCATATAAAAACCAGACGGTAGCACTCTCAGAAAATTCTTTGTGACGATGGAGTTTAACTCAGGGAGCTGAACATTCGTTATGATGGAACAGTTTCCAAACACACGTTTTGTAGAATCTGCAAGGGGATATATGGACCTCTCTGAGGATTTCGCTGGAAACGGGATCAACTGCCCATAACTGAACGGAAGCCAACTCAGAACATTCTTTGTGATGTTTGTATTCAACTCACAGAGTTGAACCTTCCTTTGATAGTTCAGGTTTGCAACACCCTTGTAGTAGAATCTGCAAGTGTATATTTTGACCACTTTGTAGCCTTCGTTTGAAACGTCTATATCTTCACATCAAACCTAGACAGAAGCATTCTCAGAAAGTTTTCTGCGATGACTGCATTCAACTCACAGAGTTGAACAATCCTTCTGATGGAGCAGTTTTGAAACCCTCTTTCTTTGGAATCTGCAAGGGGATATGTGGACCTCTTTGAAGATTTCACTGGAAACGGGATCAACTTCACATAAAAACTAAACAGAAGCATTCTCGGAAACTACTTTGTGATGTTTGTATTCAACTCCCAGAGTTGAACTTTCCTTTTGAAAGAGCAGCTATGAAACACTCTTTTTCGAGAATCTGCAAGTGGACGTTTGGAGGGCTTTGAGGCCTGTGGTGGAAAAGGAAATATCTTCACATAAAAACTAGATAGAAGCATTCTCAGAAACGACTTTGTGAGGATGGCATTCAACTCATGGAGTTGAACAATCCTATTGATAGAGCAGATTGGAATCACTCTTTTTGTAGAATCTGCAAATGGAGATTTGGACTGCTTTGAGGCCTACGGTCGTATAGGAAGGAACTTCATATAAAAGGCAAACGGAAGCATTCTCAGAATGTTCTTTGTGATGATGGAGTTTCACTCACAGAGCTGAACATGCCTGTTGATGGAGCAGTTTCCAAATACACTTTTGGTAGAATCTGCAGGTGGATATTTGGAGCTCTCTGAGGATTTCATTGGAAACGGGAATAATTTCCCATAACTAAACACAAACACTCTGAGAAAGTTCTTCATGATGAATGCATTTAACTCGCAGAGATGAACCTGCCTTTGAGAGTTCAGGTTCGAAACACTCTTTCTGTAGAATCTGCAAGTGGATATTTGGACCACTGGGTGGCCTTCGTTCGAAACGGGTATATGTTCACGTAAAAACTAAAGAGAAGCATTCTCAGAAACTTCTGAGTGATGATTGCATTCAAGTCACACAGTTGAACCCTCCTTTTGATGGAGCAGTTTTGAAACTGTCTTTTTGTAGAATCTGTAAGTGGATACGTGGACCTCTTTGAAGATTTCTTTGGAAACGGGAATATTTCCACAGAAAAACTAAACTGAAACATTCTCAGAAACCGCTTTGTGATGTTTGTGTTCCAGCCACAGAGTTTAACATTGCTTTTCATAGAGCAGTTTTGAAATATTCTTTTCGCAGAATCTGCAAGTGGACATTTGGAGCGCTTTCAGGCCTGTGGTGGAACAGGCCTGAAAGCCTTTTCCTTTATCTTCACAGAAAGACGAGAGAGAAGCATTGTCAGAAACTTCTTTGTGATGATTGCATTCAACTCACAGAGTTGAAGATTCCTTTTGAAACAGCAGTTTCGAAACACTCTTTCTGTGGGATCCGCAAGGGGATATTTGGACCTCTTTGAAGGTTTCGTTGGAAACGGGATAATCTTCACCTAAAAGCTAAACGGAAGCATTCTCAGAAACTTCTTTGGGATGTTTGCATTCACCTCACAGAGTTGAACTTTCCCTTTGATAGCGCAGCTTTGACACACTTTTTCTACAATGTGCAAGTGGCTATTTAGCGGGCTTGGAGGACTGTGTTGGAAAAGGAAATATCTTCTCCTAAAAACGACATAGAAGCATTCTCAGAAACTGCTCTGTGATGATTGCATTCAACTCCCAGAGTTGAACATTCCTTTTGATAGAGCAGTTTGCAAACACTCTTTTTGTAGAATCTGCAAGTGGAGATTTGGACCGCTTTGAGGCCTGTGGTAGTGAAGGAAAGAACTTCATATAAAAACCAGACGGTAGCACTCTCAGAAAATTCTTTGTGACGATGGAGTTTAACTCAGGGAGCTGAACATTCGTTATGATGGAGCAGTTTCCAAACACACGTTTTGTAGAATCTGCAAGGGGATATTTGGACCTCTCTGAGGATTTCGTTGGAAACGGGATCAACTTCCCATAACTGAACGGAAGCAAACTCAGAACATTCTTTGTGATGTTTGTATTCAACTCACAGAGTTGAACCTTCCTTTGATAGTTCAGGTTTGCAACACCCTTGTAGTAGAATCTGCAAGTGTATATTTTGACCACTTTGTAGCCTTCGTTTGAAACGTCTATATCTTCACATCAAACCTAGAAAGAAGCATTCTCAGAAAGTTTTCTGCGATGACTGCATTCAACTCACAGAGTTGAACAATCCTTCTGATGGAGCAGTTTTGAAACCCTCTTTCTTTGGAATCTGCAAGGGGATATGTGGACCTCTTTGAAGATTTCACTGGAAACGGGATCATCTTCACATAAAAACTAAACAGAAGCATTCTCGGAAACTACTTTGTGATGTTTGTATTCAACTCCCAGAGTTGAACTTTCCTTTTGAAAGAGCAGCTATGAAACACTCTTTTTCGAGAATCTGCAAGTGGACGTTTGGAAGGCTTTGAGGCCTGTGGTGGAAAAGGAAATATCTTCACATAAAAACTAGATAGAAGCATTCTCAGAAACGACTTTGTGAGGATGGCATTCAACTCATGGAGTTGAACAATCCTATTGATAGAGCAGATTGGAATCACTCTTTTTGTAGAATCTGCAAATGGAGATTTGGACTGCTTTGAGGCCTACGGTCGTATAGGAAGGAACTTCATATAAAAGGCAAACGGAAGCATTCTCAGAATATTCTTTGTGATGATGGAGTTTCACTCACAGAGCTGAACATGCCTTTTGATGGAGCAGTTTCCAAATACACTTTTGGTAGAATCTGCAGGTGGATATTTGGAGCTCTCTGAGGATTTCGTTGGAAACGGGAATAATTTCCCATAACTAAACACAAACACGCTGAGAAAGTTCTTCATGATGAATGCATTTAACTCGCAGAGATGAACCTGCCTTTGAGAGTTCAGGTTCGAAACACTCTTTCTGTAGAATCTGCAAGTGGATATTTGGACCACTGGCTGGCCTTCGTTCGAAACGGGTATATGTTCACGTAAAAACTAAAGAGAAGCATTCTCAGAAACTTCTGAGTGATGATTGCATTCAAGTCACACGGTTGAACCCTCCTTTTGATGGAGCAGTTTTGAAACTGTCTTTTTGTAGAATCTGTAAGTGGATACGTGGACCTCTTTGAAGATTTCTTTGGAAACGGGAATATTTCCACAGAAAAACTAAACTGAAGCATTCTCAGAAACCGCTTTGTGATGTTTGTGTTCGAGCCACAGAGTTTAACATTGCTTTTCATAGAGCAGTTTTGAAATATTCTTTTCGCAGAATCTGCAAGTGGACATTTGGAGCGCTTTCAGGCCTGTGGTGGCAAAGGCCTGAAAGCCTTTTCCTTTATCTTCACAGAAAGACGAGAGAGAAGCATTGTCAGAAACTTCTTTTTGATGATTGCATTCAACTCACAGAGTTGAAGATTCCTTTTGAAACAGCAGTTTCGAAACACTCTTTCTGTGGGATCCGCAAGGGGATATTTGGACCTCTTTGAAGGTTTCGTTGGAAACGGGATAATCTTCACCTAAAAGCTAAACGGAAGCATTCTCAGAAACTTCTTTGGGATGTTTGCATTCACCTGACAGAGTTGAACTTTCCCTTTGATAGCGCAGCTTTGACACACTTTTTCTACAATGTGCAAGTGGCTATTTAGCGGGCTTGGAGGACTGTGTTGGAAAAGGAAATATCTTCTCCTAAAAACGACATAGAAGCATTCTCAGAAACTGCTCTGTGATGATTGCATTCAACTCCCAGAGTTGAACATTCCTTTTGATAGAGCAGTTTGCAAACACTCTTTTTGTAGAATCTGCAAGTGGAGATTTGGACCGCTTTGAGGCCTGTGGTAGTGAAGGAAAGAACTTCATATAAAAACCAGACGGTAGCACTCTCAGAAAATTCTTTGTGACGATGGAGTTTAACTCAGGGAGCTGAACATTCGTTATGATGGAGCAGTTTCCAAACACACGTTTTGTAGAATCTGCGAGGGGATATTTGGACCTCTCTGAGGATTTCGTTGGAAACGGGATCAACTTCCCATAACTGAACGGAAGCAAACTCAGAACATTCTTTGTGATGTTTGAATTCAACTCACAGAGTTGAACCTTCCTTTGATAGTTCAGGTTTGCAACACCCTTGTAGTAGAATCTGCAAGTGTATATTTTGACCACTTTGTAGCCTTCGTTTGAAACGTCTATATCTTCACATCAAACCTAGACAGAAGCATTCTCAGAAAGTTTTCTGCGATGACTGCATTCAACTCACAGAGTTGAACAATCCTTCTGATGGAGCAGTTTTGAAACCCTCTTTCTTTGGAATCTGCAAGGGAATATGTGGACCTCTTTGAAGATTTCACTGGAAACGGGATCATCTTCACATAAAAACTAAACAGAAGCATTCTCGGAAACTACTTTGTGATGTTTGTATTCAACTCCCAGAGTTGAACTTTCCTTTTGAAAGAGCAGCTATGAAACACTCTTTTTCGAGAATCTGCAAGTGGACGTTTGGAGGGCTTTGAGGCCTGTGGTGGAAAAGGAAATATCTTCACACAAAAACCAGATAGAAGCATTCTCAGAAACTACTTTGTGAGGATGGCATTCAACTCATGGAGTTGAACAATCCTATTGATAGAGCAGATTGGAATCACTCTTTTCATAGAATCTGCAAATGGAGATTTGGACTGCTTTGAGGCCTACGGTAGTACAGGAAGGAACTTCAAATAAAAGGCAAACGGAAGCATTCTCAGAATATTCTTTGTGATGATGGAGTTTCACTCACAGAGCTGAACATGCCTTTTGATGGAGCAGTTTCCAAATACACTTTTGGTAGAATCAGCAGGTGGATATTTGGAGCTCTCTGAGGATTTCGTTGGAAACGGGAATAATTTCCCATAACTAAACACAAACACTCTGAGAAAGTTCTTCATGATGAATGCATTTAACTCGCAGAGATGAACCTGCCTTTGAGAGTTCAGGTTCGAAACACTCTTTCTGTAGAATCTGCAAGTGGATATTTGGACCACTGGGTGGCCTTCGTTCGAAACGGGTATATGTTCACGTAAAAACTAAAGAGAAGCATTCTCAGAAACTTCTGAGTGATGATTGCATTCAAGTCACACAGTTGAACCCTCCTTTTGATGGAGCAGTTTTGAAACTGTCTTTTTGTAGAATCTGTAAGTGGATACGTGGACCTCTTTGAAGATTTCTTTGGAAACGGGAATATTTCCACAGAAAAACTAAACTGAAGCATTCTCAGAAACCTCTTTGTGATGTTTGTGTTCGAGCCACAGAGTTTAACATTGCTTTTCATAGAGCAGTTTTGAAATATTCTTTTCGCAGAATCTGCAAGTGGACACTTGGAGCGCTTTCAGGCCTGTGGTGGCAAAGGCCTGAAAGCCTTTTCCTTTATCTTCACAGAAAGACGAGAGAGAAGCATTGTCAGAAACTTCTTTGTGATGATTGCATTCAACTCACAGAGTTGAAGATTCCTTTTGAAACAGCAGTTTCGAAACACTCTTTCTGTGGGATCCGCAAGGGGATATTTGGACCTCTTTGAAGGTTTCGTTGGAAACGGGATAATCTTCACCTAAAAGCTAAACGGAAGCATTCTCAGAAACTTCTTTGGGATGTTTGCATTCACCTCACAGAGTTGAACTTTCCCTTTGATAGCGCAGCTTTGACACACTTTTTCTACAATGTGCAAGTGGCTATTTAGCGGGCTTGGAGGACTGTGTTGGAAAAGGAAATATCTTCTCCTAAAAACGACATAGAAGCATTCTCAGAAACTGCTCTGTGATGATTGCATTCAACTCCCAGAGTTGAACATTCCTTTTGATAGAGCAGTTTGCAAACACTCTTTTTGTAGAATCTGCAAGTGGAGATTTGGACCGCTTTGAGGCCTGTGGTAGTGAAGGAAAGAACTTCATATAAAAACCAGACGGTAGCACTCTCAGAAAATTCTTTGTGACGATGGAGTTTAACTCAGGGAGCTGAACATTCGTTATGATGGAGCAGTTTCCAAACACACGTTTTGTAGAATCTGCAAGGGGATATTTGGACCTCTCTGAGGATTTCGTTGGAAACGGGATCAACTTCCCATAACTGAACGGAAGCAAACTCAGAACATTCTTTGTGATGTTTGTATTCAACTCACAGAGTTGAACCTTCCTTTGATAGTTCAGGTTTGCAACACCCTTGTAGTAGAATCTGCAAGTGTATATTTTGACCACTTTGTAGCCTTCGTTTGAAACGTCTATATCTTCACATCAAACCTAGACAGAAGCATTCTCAGAAAGTTTTCTGCGATGACTGCATTCAACTCACAGAGTTGAACAATCCTTCTGATGGAGCAGTTTTGAAACCCTCTTTCTTTGGAATCTGCAAGGGGATATGTGGACCTCTTTGAAGATTTCACTGGAAACGGGATCATCTTCACATAAAAACTAAACAGAAGCATTCTCGGAAACTACTTTGTGATGTTTGTATTCAACTCCCAGAGTTGAACTTTCCTTTTGAAAGAGCAGCTATGAAACACTCTTTTTCGAGAATCTGCAAGTGGACGTTTGGAAGGCTTTGAGGCCTGTGGTGGAAAAGGAAATATCTTCACATAAAAACTAGATAGAAGCATTCTCAGAAACGACTTTGTGAGGATGGCATTCAACTCATGGAGTTGAACAATCCTATTGATAGAGCAGATTGGAATCACTCTTTTTGTAGAATCTGCAAATGGAGATTTGGACTGCTTTGAGGCCTACGGTAGTATAGGAAGGAACTTCATATAAAAGGCAAACGGAAGCATTCTCAGAATATTCTTTGTGATCATGGAGTTTCACTCACAGAGCTGAACATGCCTTTTGATGGAGCAGTTTCCAAATACACTTTTGGTAGAATCTGCAGGTGGATATTTGGAGCTCTCTGAGGATTTCGTTGGAAAAGGGAATAATTTCCCATAACTAAACACAAACACGCTGAGAAAGTTCTTCATGATGAATGCATTTAACTCGCAGAGATGAACCTGCCTTTGAGAGTTCAGGTTCGAAACACTCTTTCTGTAGAATCTGCAAGTGGATATTTGGACCACTGGCTGGCCTTCGTTCGAAACGGGTATATGTTCACATAAAAACTAAAGAGAAGCATTCTCAGAAACTTCTGAGTGATGATTGCATTCAAGTCACACAGTTGAACCCTCCTTTTGATGGAGCAGTTTTGAAACTGTCTTTTTGTAGAATCTGTAAGTGGATACGTGGATCTCTTTGAAGATTTCTTTGGAAACGGGAATATTTCCACAGAAAAACTAAACTGAAGCATTCTCAGAAACCGCTTTGTGATGTTTGTGTTCGAGCCACAGAGTTTAACATTGCTTTTCATAGAGCAGTTTTGAAATATTCTTTTGGCAGAATCTGCAAGTGGACATTTGGAGCGCTTTCAGGCCTGTGGTGGAAAAGGCCTGAAAGCCTTTTCCTTTATCTTCACAGAAAGACGAGAGAGAAGCATTGTCAGAAACTTCTTTGTGATGATTGCATTCAACTCACAGAGTTGAAGATTCCTTTTGAAACAGCAGTTTCGAAACACTCTTTCTGTGGGATCCGCAGGGGGATATTTGGACCTCTTTGAAGATTTCGTTGGAAACGGGATAATCTTCACCTAAAAGCTAAACGGAAGCATTCTCAGAAACTTCTTTGGGATGTTTGCATTCACCTCACAGAGTTGAACTTTCCCTTTGATAGCGCAGCTTCGACACACTTTTTCTACAATGTGCAAGTGGATATTTAGCGGGCTTGGAGGACTGTGTTGGAAAAGGAAATATCTTCTCCTAAAAACGACATAGAAGCATTCTCAGAAACTGCTCTGTGATGATTGCATTCAACTCCCAGAGTTGAACATTCCTTTTGATAGAGCAGTTTGCAAACACTCTTTTTGTAGAATCTGCAAGTGGAGATTTGGACCGCTTTGAGGCCTGTGGTAGTGAAGGAAAGAACTTCATATAAAAACCAGACGGTAGCACTCTCAGAAAATTCTTTGTGACGATGGAGTTTAACTCAGGGAGCTGAACATTCGTTATGATGGAGCAGTTTCCAAACACACGTTTTGTAGAATCTGCAAGGGGATATTTGGACCTCTCTGAGGATTTCGTTGGAAACGGGATCAACTTCCCATAACTGAACGGAAGCAAACTCAGAACATTCTTTGTGATGTTTGTATTCAACTCACAGAGTTGAACCTTCCTTTGATAGTTCAGGTTTGCAACACCCTTGTAGTAGAATCTGCAAGTGTATATTTTGACCACTTTGTAGCCTTCGTTTGAAACATCTATATCTTCACATCAAACCTAGACAGAAGCATTCTCAGAAAGTTTTCTGCGATGACTGCATTCAACTCACAGAGTTGAACAATCCTTCTGATGGAGCAGTTTTGAAACCCTCTTTCTTTGGAATCTGCAAGGGGATATGTGGACCTCTTTGAAGATTTCACTGGAAACGGGATCATCTTCACATAAAAACTAAACTGAAGCATTCTCGGAAACTATTTTGTGATGTTTGTATTCAACTCCCAGAGTTGAACTTTCCTTTTGAAAGAGCAGCTATGAAACACTCTTTTTCG
Organism: Homo sapiens; assembly: GCF_000001405.40. Classification (NCBI taxonomy): domain Eukaryota; kingdom Metazoa; phylum Chordata; class Mammalia; order Primates; family Hominidae; genus Homo; species Homo sapiens. Next base: position 61,053,440 of record NC_000023.11, read on the forward strand.
AGAATCTGCAAGTGGACGTTTGGAGGGCTTTGAGGCCTGTGGTGGAAAAGGAAATATCTTCACACAAAAACCAGATAGAAGCATTCTCAGAAACGACTTTGTGAGGATGGCATTCAACTCATGGAGTTGAACAATCCTATTGATAGAGCAGATTGGAATCACTCTTTTTGTAGAATCTGCAAATGGAGATTTGGACTGCTTTGAGGCCTACGGTAGTACAGGAAGGAACTTCATATAAAAGGCAAACGGAAGCATTCTCAGAATATTCTTTGTGATGATGGAGTTTCACTGACAGAGCTGAACATGCCTTTTGATGGAGCAGTTTCCAAATACACTTTTGGTAGAATCTGCAGGTGGATATTTGGAGCTCTCTGAGGATTTCGTTGGAAACGGGAATAATTTCCCATAACTAAACACAAACACTCTGAGAAAGTTCTTCATGATGAATGCATTTAACTCGCAGAGATGAACCTGCCTTTGAGAGTTCAGGTTCGAAACACTCTTTCTGTAGAATCTGCAAGTGGATATTTGGACCACTGGCTGGCCTTCGTTCGAAACGGGTATATGTTCACGTAAAAACTAAAGAGAAGCATTCTCAGAAACTTCTGAGTGATGATTGCATTCAAGTCACACAGTTGAACCCGCCTTTTGATTGAGCAGTTTTGAAACTGTCTTTTTGTAGAATCTGTAAGTGGATTCGTGGACCTCTTGGAAGATTTCTTTGGAAACGGGAATATTTCCACAGAAAAACTAAACTGAAACATTCTCAGAAACCGCTTTGTGATGTTTGTGTTCCAGCCACAGAGTTTAACATTGCTTTTCATAGAGCAGTTTTGAAATATTCTTTTCGCAGAATCTGCAAGTGGACATTTGGAGCGCTTTCAGGCCTGTGGTGGAAAAGGCCTGAAAGCCTTTTCCTTTATCTTCACAGAAAGACGAGAGAGAAGCATTGTCAGAAACTTCTTTGTGATGATTGCATTCAACTCACAGAGTTGAAGATTCCTTTTGAAACAGCAGTTTCGAAACACTCTTTCTGTGGGATCCGCAAGGGGATATTTGGACCTCTTTGAAGGTTTCGTTGGAAACGGGATAATCTTCACCTAAAAGCTAAACGGAAGCATTCTCAGAAACTTCTTTGGGATGTTTGCATTCACCTCACAGAGTTGAACTTTCCCTTTGATAGCGCAGCTTTGACACACTTTTTCTACAATGTGCAAGTGGCTATTTAGCGGGCTTGGAGGACTGTGTTGGAAAAGGAAATATCTTCTCCTAAAAACGACATAGAAGCATTCTCAGAAACTGCTCTGTGATGATTGCATTCAACTCCCAGAGTTGAACATTCCTTTTGATAGAGCAGTTTGCAAACACTCTTTTTGTAGAATCTGCAAGTGGAGATTTGGACCGCTTTGAGGCCTGTGGTAGTGAAGGAAAGAACTTCATATAAAAACCAGACGGTAGCACTCTCAGAAAATTCTTTGTGACGATGGAGTTTAACTCAGGGAGCTGAACATTCGTTATGATGGAGCAGTTTCCAAACACACGTTTTGTAGAATCTGCAAGGGGATATTTTGACCTCTCTGAGGATTTCGTTGGAAACGGGATCAACTTCCCATAACTGAACGGAAGCAAACTCAGAACATTCTTTGTGATGTTTGTATTCAACTCACAGAGTTGAACCTTCCTTTGATAGTTCAGGTTTGCAACACCCTTGTAGTAGAATCTGCAAGTGTATATTTTGACCACTTTGTAGCCTTCATTTGAAATGTCTATACCTTCACATCAAACCTAGACAGAAGCATTCTCAGAAAGTTTTCTGCGATGACTGCATTCAACTCACAGAGTTGAACAATCCTTCTGATGGAGCAGTTTTGAAACCCTCTTTCTTTGGAATCTGCAAGGGGATATGTGGACCTCTTTGAAGATTTCACTGGAAACGGGATCATCTTCACATAAAAACTAAACAGAAGCATTCTCGGAAACTACTTTGTGATGTTTGTATTCAACTGCCAGAGTTGAACTTTCCTTTTGAAAGAGCAGCTATGAAACACTCTTTTTCGAGAATCTGCAAGTGGACGTTTGGAGGGCTTTGAGGCCTGTGGTGGAAAAGGAAATATCTTCACACAAAAACCAGATAGAAGCATTCTCAGAAACTGCTTTGTGAGGATGGCATTCAACTCATGGAGTTGAACAATCCTATTGATAGAGCAGATTGGAATCACTCTTTTTGTAGAATCTGCAAATGGAGATTTGGACTGCTTTGAGGCCTACGGTAGTACAGGAAGGAACTTCATATAAAAGGCAAACGGAAGCATTCTCAGAATATTCTTTGTGATGATGGAGTTTCACTCACAGAGCTGAACATGCCTTTTGATGGAGCCGTTTCCAAATACACTTTTGGTAGAATCTGCAGGTGGATATTTGGAGCTCTCTGAGGATTTCGTTGGAAACGGGAATAATTTCCCATAACTAAACACAAACACTCTGAGAAAGTTCTTCATGATGAATGCATTTAACTCGCAGAGATGAACCTGCCTTTGAGAGTTCAGGTTCGAAACACTCTTTCTGTATAATCTGCAAGTGGATATTTGGACCACTGGGTGGCCTTCGTTCGAAACGGGTATATGTTCACGTAAAAACTAAAGAGAAGCATTCTCAGAAACTTCTGAGTGATGATTGCATTCAAGTCACACAGTTGAACCCTCCTTTTGATTGAGCAGTTTTGAAACTGTCTTTTTGTAGAATCTGTAAGTGGATACGTGGACCTCTTTGAAGATTTCTTTGGAAACGGGAATATTTCCACAGAAAAACTAAACTGAAACATTCTCACAAACCGCTTTGTGATGTTTGTGTTCCAGCCACAGAGTTTAACATTGCTTTTCATAGAGCAGTTTTGAAATATTCTTTTGGCAGAATCTGCAAGTGGACATTTGGAGCGCTTTCAGGCCTGTGGTGGCAAAGGCCTGAAAGCCTTTTCCTTTATCTTCACAGAAAGACGAGAGAGAAGCATTGTCAGAAACTTCTTTGTGATGATTGCATTCAACTCACAGAGTTGAAGATTCCTTTTGAAACAGCAGTTTCGAAACACTCTTTCTGTGGGATCCGCAGGGGGATATTTGGACCTCTTTGAAGATTTCGTTGGAAACGGGATAATCTTCACCTAAAAGCTAAATGGAAGCATTCTCAGAAACTTCTTTGGGATGTTTGCATTCACCTCACAGAGTTGACCTTTCCCTTTGATAGCACAGCTTCGACACACTTTTTCTACAATGTGCAAGTGGATATTTAGCGGGCTTGGAGGACTGTGTTGGAAAAGGAAATATCTTCTCCTAAAAACGACATAGAAGCATTCTCACAAACTGCTCTGTGATGATTGCATTCAACTCCCAGAGTTGAACATTCCTTTTGATAGAGCAGTTTGCAAACACTCTTTTTGTAGAATCTGCAAGTGGAGATTTGGACCGCTTTGAGGCCTGTGGTAGTAAAGGAAAGAACTTCCTATAAAAACTAGACGGTAGCACTCTCAGAAAATTCTTTGTGACGATGGAGTTTAACTCAGAGAGCTGAACATTCGTTATGATGGAGCAGTTTCCAAACACACGTTTTGTAGAATCTGCAAGGGGATATTTGGACCTCTCTGAGGATTTCGTTGGAAACGGGATCAACTTCCCATAACTGAACGGAAGCAAACTCAGAACATTCTTTGTGATGTTTGTATTCAACTCACAGAGTTGAACCTTCCTTTGATAGTTGAGGTTTGCAACACCCTTGTAGTAGAATCTGCAAGTGTATATTTTGACCACTTTGTAGCCTTCGTTTGAAACGTCTATATCTTCACCTCAAACCTAGACAGAAGCATTCTCAGAAAGTTTTCTGCGATGACTGCATTCAACTCACAGAGCTGAACAATCCTTTTGATGGAGCAGTTTTGAAACCCTCTTTCTTTGGAATCTGCAAGGGGATATGTGGACCTCTTTGAAGATTTCACTGGAAACGGGATCATCTTCACATAAGAAATAAACAGAAGCATTCTCGGAAACTACTTTGTGAAGTTTGTATTCAACTCCCAGAGTTGAACTTTCCTTTTGAAAGAGCAGCTATGAAACACTCTTTTTCGAGAATCTGCAAGTGGACGTTTGGAGGGCTTTGAGGCCTGTGGTGGAAAAGGAAATATCTTCACATAAAAACTAGATAGAAGCATTCTCAGAAACGACTTTGTGAGGATGGCATTCAACTCATGGAGTTGAACAATCCTATTGATAGAGCAGATTGGAATCACTCTTTTTGTAGAATCTGCAAATGGAGATTTGGACTGCTTTGAGGCCTACGGTAGTATAGGAAGGAACTTCATATAAAAGGCAAACGGAGGCATTCTCAGAATATTCTTTGTGATGATGGAGTTTCACACACAGAGTTGAACATGCCTTTTGATGGAGCAGTTTCCAAATACACTTTTGGTAGAATCTGCAGGTGAATATTTGAACCTCTCTGAGGATTTCGTTGGAAACGGGAATAATTTCCCATAACTAAACACAAACACGCTGAGAAAGTTCTTCATGATGAATGCATTTAACTCGCAGAGATGAACCTGCCTTTGAGATTTCAGGTTCGAAACACTCTTTCTGTAGAATCTGCAAGTGGATATTTGGACCACTGGGTGGCCTTCGTTCGAAACGGGTATATGTTCACGTAAAAACTAAAGAGAAGCATTCTCAGAAACTTCTGAGTGATGATTGCATTCAAGTCACACAGTTGAACCCTCGTTTTGATTGAGCAGTTTTGAAACTGTGTTTTTGTAGAATCTGTAAGTGGATGCGTGGACCTCTTTGAAGATTTCTTTGGAAACGGGAATATTTCCACAGAAAAACTAAACTGAAGCATTCTCAGAAACTGCTTTGTGATGTTTGTGTTCGAGCCGCAGAGTTTAACATTGCTTTTCATAGAGCAGTTTTGAAATATTCTTTTGGCAGAATCTGCAAGTGGACATTTGGAGCGCTTTCAGGCCTGTGGTGGAAAAGGCCTGAAAGCCTTTTCCTTTATCTTCACAGAAAGACGAGAGAGAAGCATTGTCAGAAACTTCTTTGTGATGATTGCATTCAACTCACAGAGTTGAAGATTCCTTTTGAAACAGCAGTTTCGAAACACTCTTTCTGTGGGAACCGCAAGGGGATATTTGGATCTATTTGAAGGTTTCGTTGGAAACTGGATAATCGTCACCTAAAAGCTAAACGGAAGCATTCTCAGAAACTTCTTTTGGATGTTTGCATTCACCTCACAGAGTTGAATTTTCCCTTTGATAGCGCAGCTTCGACACACTTTTTCTACAATGTGCAAGTGGATATTTAGCGGGCTTGGAGGACTGTGTTGGAAAAGGAAATATCTTCTCCTAAAAACGACATAGAAGCATTCTCAGAAACTGCTCTGTGATGATTGCATTCAACTCCCAGAGTTGAACATTCCTTTTGATAGAGCAGTTTGCAAACACTCTTTTTGTAGAATCTGCAAGTGGAGATTTGGACCGCTTTGAGGCCTGTGGTAGTAAAGGAAACAACTTCATATAAAAACCAGACGGTAGCACTCTCAGAAAATTCTTTGTGACGATGGAGTTTAACTCAGAGAGCTGAACATCCGTTATGATGGAGCAGTTTCCAAACACACGTTTTGTAGAATCTGCAAGGGGATATTTGGACCTCTCTGAGGATTTCGTTGGAAACGGGATCAACTTCCCATAACTGAACGGAAGCAAACTCAGAACATTCTTTGTGATGTTTGTATTCAACTCACAGAGTTGAACCTTCCTTTTATAGTTGAGGTTTGCATCACCCTTGTAGTAGAATCTGCAAGTGTATATTTTGACCACTTTGTAGCCTTCGTTTGAAACGTCTATATCTTCACATCAAACCTAGACAGAAGCATTCTCAGAAAGTTTTCTGTGATGACTGCATTCAACTCACAGAGTTGCACAATCCTTTTGATGGAGCAGTTTTGAAACCCTCTTTCTTTGGAATCTGCAAGGGGATATATAGACCTCTTTGAAGATTTCACTGGAAACGGGATCATCTTCACATAACAACTAAACAGAAGCATTCTCGGAAACTACTTTGTGATGTTTGTATTCACCTCCCAGAGTTGAACTTTCCTTTTGAAAGAGCAGCTATGAAACACTCTTTTTCGAGAATATGCAAGTGGACGTTTGGAGGGCTTTGAGGCCTGTGGTGGAAAAGGAAATATCTTCACATAAAAACTACATAGAAGCATTCTCAGAAACGACTTTGTGAGGATGGCATTCAACTCATGGAGTTGAACAATCCTATTGATAGAGCAGATTGGAATCACTCTTTTTGTAGAATCTGCAAATGGAGATTTGGACTGCTTTGAGGCCTACGGTAGTATAGGAAGGAACTTCATATAAAAGGCAAACGGAAGCATTCTCAGAATATTCTTTGTGATGATGGAGTTTCACTCACAGAGCTGAACATGCCTTTTGAGATGGGAGCAGTTTCCAAATACACTTTTGGTAGAATCTGCAGGTGGATATTTGGAGCTCTCTGAGGATTTCGTTGGAAACGGGAATAATTTCCCATAACTAAACACAAACACTCTGAGAAAGTTCTTCATGATGAATGCATTTAACTCGCAGAGATGAACCTGCCTTTGAGAGTTCAGGTTCGAAACACTCTTTCTGTATAATCTGCAAGTGGATATTTGGACCACTGGGTGGCCTTCGTTCGAAACGGGTATATGTTCACGTAAAAACTAAAGAGAAGCATTCTCAGAAACTTCTGAGTGATGATTGCATTCAAGTCACACAGTTGAACCCTCCTTTTGATGGAGCAGTTTTGAAACTGTCTTTTTGTAGAATCTGTAAGTGGATACGTGGACCTCTTTGAAGATTTCTTTGGAAACGGGAATATTTCCACAGAAAAACTAAACTGAAGCATTCTCAGAAACCGCTTTGTGATGTTTGTGTTCGAGCCACAGAGTTTAACATTGCTTTTCATAGAGCAGTTTTGAAATATTCTTTTCGCAGAATCTGCAAGTGGACATTTGGAGCGCTTTCAGGCCTGTGGTGGAAAAGGCCTGAAAGCCTTTTCCTTTATCTTCACAGAAAGACGAGAGAGAAGCATTGTCAGAAACTTCTCTGTGATGATTGCATTCAACTCAGAGTTGAAGATTCCTTTTGAAACAGCAGTTTCGAAACACTCTTTCTGTGGGATCCGCAAGGGGATATTTGGACCTCTTTGAAGGTTTCGTTGGAAACGGGATAATCTTCACCTAAAAGCTAAATGGAAGCATTCTCAGAAACTTCTTTGGGATGTTTGCATTCACCTCACAGAGTTGAACTTTCCCTTTGATAGCGCAGCTTTGACACACTTTTTCTACAATGTGCAAGTGGCTATTTAGCGGGCTTGGAGGACTGTGTTGGAAAAGGAAATATCTTCTCCTAAAAACGACATAGAAGCATTCTCAGAAACTGCTCTGTGATGATTGCATTCAACTCCCAGAGTTGAACATTCCTTTTGATAGAGCAGTTTGCAAACACTCTTTTTGTAGAATCTGCAAGTGGAGATTTGGACCGCTTTGAGGTCTGTGGTAGTGAAGGAAAGAGCTTCATATAAAAACCAGACGGTAGCACTCTCAGAAAATTCTTTGTGACGATGGAGTTTAACTCAGGGAGCTGAACATTCGTTATGATGGAGCAGTTTCCAAACACACGTTTTGTAGAATCTGCAAGGGGATATTTGGACCTCTCTGAGGATTTCGTTGGAAACGGGATCAACTTCCCATAACTGAACGGAAGCAAACTCAGAACATTCTTTGTGATGTTTGTATTCAACTCACAGAGTTGAACCTTCCTTTGATAGTTCAGGTTTGCAACACCCTTGTAGTAGAATCTGCAAGTGTATATTTTGACCACTTTGTAGCCTTCGTTTGAAACGTCTATATCTTCACATCAAACCTAGACAGAAGCATTCTCAGAAAGTTTTCTGCGATGACTGCATTCAACTCACAGAGTTGAACAATCCTTCTGATGGAGCAGTTTTGAAACCCTCTTTCTTTGGAATCTGCAAGGGGATATGTGGACCTCTTTGAAGATTTCACTGGAAACGGGATCATCTTCACATAAAAACTAAACAGAAGCATTCTCGGAAACTACTTTGTGATGTTTGTATTCAACTCCCAGAGTTGAACTTTCCTTTTGAAAGAGCAGCTATGAAACACTCTTTTTCGAGAATCTGCAAGTGGACGTTTGGAGGGCTTTGAGGCCTGTGGTGGAAAAGGAAATATCTTCACATAAAAACTAGATAGAAGCATTCTCAGAAACGACTTTGTGAGGATGGCATTCAACTCATGGAGTTGAACAATCCTATTGATAGAGCAGATTGGAATCACTCTTTTTGTAGAATCTGCAAATGGAGATTTGGACTGCTTTGAGGCCTACGGTCGTATAGGAAGGAACTTCAGATAAAAGGCAAACGGAAGCATTCTCAGAATATTCTTTGTGATGATGGAGTTTCACTCACAGAGCTGAACATGCCTTTTGATGGAGCAGTTTCCAAATACACTTTTGGTAGAATCTGCAGGTGGATATTTGGAGCTCTCTGAGGATTTCGTTGGAAACGTTAATAATTTCCCATAACTAAACACAAACACTCTGAGAAAGTTCTTCATGATGAATGCATTTAACTCGCAGAGATGAACCTGCCTTTGAGAGTTCAGGTTGGAAACACTCTTTCTGTAGAATCTGCAAGTGGATATTTGGACCACTGGGTGGCCTTCGTTCGAAACGGGTATATGTTCACGTAAAAACTAAAGAGAAGCATTCTCAGAAACTTCTGAGTGATGATTGCATTCAAGTCACACGGTTGAACCCTCCTTTTGATGGAGCAGTTTTGAAACTGTCTTTTTGTAGAATCTGTAAGTGGATACGTGGACCTCTTTGAAGATTTCTTTGGAAACGGGAATATTTCCACAGAAAAACTAAACTGAAACATTCTCAGAAACCGCTTTGTGATGTTTGTGTTCCAGCCACAGAGTTTAACATTGCTTTTCATAGAGCAGTTTTGAAATATTCTTTTCGCAGAATCTGCAAGTGGACATTTGGAGCGCTTTCAGGCCTGTGGTGGAACAGGCCTGAAAGCCTTTTCCTTTATCTTCACAGAAAGGCGAGAGAGAAGCATTGTCAGAAACTTCTTTGTGATGATTGCATTCAACTCACAGAGTTGAAGATTCCTTTTGAAACAGCAGTTTCGAAACACTCTTTCTGTGGGATCCGCAAGGGGATATTTGGACCTCTTTGAAGGTTTCGTTGGAAACGGGATAATCTTCACCTAAAAGCTAAACGGAAGCATTCTCAGAAACTTCTTTGGGATGTTTGCATTCACCTCACAGAGTTGAACTTTCCCTTTGATAGCGCAGCTTTGACACACTTTTTCTACAATGTGCAAGTGGCTATTTAGCGGGCTTGGAGGACTGTGTTGGAAAAGGAAATATCTTCTCCTAAAAACGACATAGAAGCATTCTCAGAAACTGCTCTGTGATGATTGCATTCAACTCCCAGAGTTGAACATTCCTTTTGATAGAGCAGTTTGCAAACACTCTTTTTGTAGAATCTGCAAGTGGAGATTTGGACCGCTTTGAGGCCTGTGGTAGTGAAGGAAAGAACTTCATATAAAAACCAGACGGTAGCACTCTCAGAAAATTCTTTGTGACGATGGAGTTTAACTCAGGGAGCTGAACATTCGTTATGATGGAGCAGTTTCCAAACACACGTTTTGTAGAATCTGCGAGGGGATATTTGGACCTCTCTGAGGATTTCGTTGGAAACGGGATCAACTTCCCATAACTGAACGGAAGCAAACTCAGAACATTCTTTGTGATGTTTGTATTCAACTCACAGAGTTGAACCTTCCTTTGATAGTTCAGGTTTGCAACACCCTTGTAGTAGAATCTGCAAGTGTATATTTTGACCACTTTGTAGCCTTCGTTTGAAACGTCTATATCTTCACATCAAACCTAGAAAGAAGCATTCTCAGAAAGTTTTCTGCGATGACTGCATTCAACTCACAGAGTTGAACAATCCTTCTGATGGAGCAGTTTTGAAACCCTCTTTCTTTGGAATCTGCAAGGGGATATGTGGACCTCTTTGATGATTTCACTGGAAACGGGGTCATCTTCACATAAAAACTAAACAGAAGCATTCTCGGAAACTATTTTGTGATGTTTGTATTCAACTCCCAGAGTTGAACTTTCCTTTTGAAAGAGCAGCTATGAAACACTCTTTTTCGAGAATCTGCAAGTGGACGTTTGGAGGGCTTTGAGGCCTGTGGTGGAAAAGGAAATATCTTCACACAAAAACCAGATAGAAGCATTCTCAGAAACTACTTTGTGAGGATGGCATTCAACTCATGGAGTTGAACAATCCTATTGATAGAGCAGATTGGAATCACTCTTTTTGTAGAATCTGCAAATGGAGATTTGGACTGCTTTGAGGCCTACGGTGGTACAGGAAGGAAGTTCATATAAAAGGCAAACGGAAGCATTCTCAGAATATTCTTTGTGATGATGGAGTTTCACTCACAGAGCTGAACATGCCTTTTGATGGAGCAGTTTCCAAATACACTTTTGGTAGAATCTACAGGTGGATATTTGGAGCTCTCTGAGGATTTCGTTGGAAACGGGAATAATTTCCCATAACTAAACACAAACAATCTGAGAAAGTTCTTCATGATGAATGCATTTAACTCGCAGAGATGGACCTGCCTTTGAGAGATCAGGTTCGAAACACTCTTTCTGTAGAATCTGCAAGTGGATATTTGGACCACTGGGTGGCCTTCGTTCGAAACGGGTATATGTTCACGTAAAAACTAAAGAGAAGCATTCTCAGAAACTTCTGAGTGATGATTGCATTCAAGTCACACAGTTGAACCCTCCTTTTGATGGAGCAGTTTTGAAACTGTCTTTTTGTAGAATCTGTAAGTGGATACGTGGACCTCTTTGAAGATTTCTTTGGAAACGGGAATATTTTCACAGAAAAACTAAACTGAAGCATTCTCAGAAACCGCTTTGTGATGTTTGTGTTCGAGCCACAGAGTTTAACATTGCTTTTCATAGAGCAGTTTTGAAATATTCTTTTGGCAGAATCTGCAAGTGGACATTTGGAGCGCTTTCAGGCCTGTGGTGGAAAAGGCCTGAAAGCCTTTTCCTTTATCTTCACAGAAAGACGAGAGAGAAGCATTGTCAGAAACTTCTTTGTGATGATTGCATTCAACTCACAGAGTTGAAGATTCCTTTTGAAACAGCAGTTTCGAAACACTCTTTCTGTGGGATCCGCAAGGGGATATTTGGACCTCTTTGAAGCTTTCGTTGGAAACGGGATAATCTTCACCTAAAAGCTAAACGGAAGCACTCTCAGAAACTTCTTTGGGATGTTTGCATTCACCTCACAGAGTTGAACTTTCCCTTTGATAGCGCAGCTTTGACACACTTTTTTTCTACAATGTGCAAGTGGATATTTAGCGGGCGTGGAGGACTGTGTTGGAAAAGGAAATATCTTCTCCTAAAAACGACATAGAAGCATTCTCAGAAACTGCTCTGTGATGATTGCATTCAACTCCCAGAGTTGAACATTCCTTTTGATAGAGCAGTTTGCAAACACTCTTTTTGTAGAATCTGCAAGTGGAGATTTGGACCGCTTTGAGGCCTGTGGTAGTGAAGGAAAGAACTTCATATAAAAACCAGACGGTAGCACTCTCAGAAAATTCTTTGTGACGATGGAGTTTAACTCAGGGAGCTGAACATTCGTTATGATGGAGCAGTTTCCAAACACACGTTTTGTAGAATCTGCAAGGGGATATTTGGACCTCTCTGAGGATTTCGTTGGAAACGGGATCAACTTCCCATAACTGAACGGAAGCAAACTCAGAACATTCTTTGTGATGTTTGTATTCAACTCACAGAGTTGAACCTTCCTTTGATAGTTCAGGTTTGCAACACCCTTGTAGTAGAATCTGCAAGTGTATATTTTGACCACTTTGTAGCCTTCGTTTGAAACGTCTATATCTTCACATCAAACCTAGACAGAAGCATTCTCAGAAAGTTTTCTGCGATGACTGCATTCAACTCACAGAGTTGAACAATCCTTTTGATGGAGCAGTTTTGAAACCCTCTTTCTTTGGAATCTGCAAGGGGATATGTGGACCTCTTTGAAGATTTCACTGGAAACGGGATCATCTTCACATAAAAACTAAACAGAAGCATTCTCGGAAACTATTTTGTGATGTTTGTATTCAACTCCCAGAGTTGAACTTTCCTTTTGAAAGAGCAGCTATGAAACACTCCTTTTCGAGAATCTGCAAGTGGACGTTTGGAGGGCTTTGAGGCCTGTGGTGGAAAAGGAAATATCTTCACACAAAAACCAGATAGAAGCATTCTCAGAAACTACTTTGTGAGGATGGCATTCAACTCATGGAGTTGAACAATCCTATTGATAGAGCAGATTGGAATCACTCTTTTTGTAGAATCTGCAAATGGAGATTTGGACTGCTTTGAGGCCTACGGTAGTATAGGAAGGAACTTCATATAAAAGGCAAACGGAAGCATTCTCAGAATATTCTTTGTGATGACGGAGTTTCACTCAGAGAGCTGAACATGCCTTTTCATGGAGCAGTTTCCAAATACAGTTTTGGTACAATCTGCAGGTGGATATTTGGAGCTCTCTGAGGATTTCGTTGGAAACGGGAATAATTTCCCATAACTAAACACAAACACGCTGAGAAAGTTCTTCATGATGAATGCATTTAACTCGCAGAGATGAACCTGCCTTTGAGAGTTCAGGTTCAAAACACTCTTTCTGTAGAATCTGCAAGTGGATATTTGGACCACTGGCTGGCCTTCGTTCGAAACGGGTATATGTTCACGTAAAAACTAAAGAGAAGCGTTCTCAAAAACTTCTGAGTGATGAATGCATTCAAGTCACACAGTTGAACCCTCCTTTTGATTGAGCAGTTTTGAAACTGTCTTTTTGTAGAATCTGTAAGTGGATGCGTGGACCTCTTTGAAGATTTCTTTGGAAACGGGAATATTTCCACAGAAAAACTAAACTGAAGCATTCTCAGAAACTGCTTTGTGATGTTTGTGTTCGAGCCGCAGAGTTTAACATTGCTTTTCATAGAGCAGTTTTGAAATATTCTTTTGGCAGAATCTGCAAGTGGACATTTGGAGCGCTTTCAGGCCTGTGGTGGAAATGGCCTGAAAGCCTTTTCCTTTATCTTCACAGAAAGACGAGAGAGAAGCATTGTCAGAAACTTCTTTGTGATGATTGCATTCAACTCACAGAGTTGAAGATTCCTTTTGAAACAGCAGTTTCGAAACACTCTTTCTGTGGGATCCGCAAGGGGATATTTGGACCTCTTTGAAGATTTCGTTGGAAACGGGATAATCTTCACTTAAAGCTAAACGGAAGCATTCTCAGAAACTTCTTTGGGATGTTTGCATTCACCTCACAGAGTTGAACTTTCCCTTTGATAGCGCAGCTTCGACACACTTTTTCTACAATGTGCAAGTGGATATTTAGCGGGCTTGGAGGACTGTGTTGGAAAAGGAAATATCTTCTCCTAAAAACGACATAGAAGCATTCTCAGAAACTGCTCTGTGATGATTGCATTCAACTCCCAGAGTTGAACATTCCTTTTGATAGAGCAGTTTGCAAACACTCTTTTTGTAGAATCTGCAAGTGGAGATTTGGACCGCTTTGAGGCCTGTGGTAGTAAAGGAAAGAACTTCATATAAAAACTAGATGGTAGCACTCTCAGAAAATTCTTTGTGACGATGGAGTTTAACTCAGAGAGCTGAACATTCGTTATGATGGAGCAGTTTCAAAACACACGTTTTGTAGAATCTGCAAGGGGATATTTGGACCTCTCTGAGGATTTCGTTGGAAACGGGATCAACTTCCCATAACTGAATGGAAGGAAACTCAGAACATTCTTTGTGATGTTTGTATTCAACTCACAGAGTTGAACCTTCCTTTGATAGTTCAGGTTTGCATCACCCTTGTAGTAGAATCTGCAAGTGTATATTTTGACCACTTTGTAGCCTTCGTTTGAAACGTCTATATCTTCACATCAAACCTAGACAGAAGCATTCTCAGAAAGTTTTCTGCGATGACTGCATTCAACTCACCGAGTTGAACAATCCTTTTGATGGAGCAGTTTTGAAACCCTCTTTCTTTGGAATCTGCAAGGGGATATGTGGACCTCTTTGAAGATTTCACTGGAAACGGGATCATCTTCACATAAGAACTAAACAGAAGCATTCTCGGAAACTACTTTGTGATGTTTGTATTCAACTCCCAGAGTTGAACTTTCCTTTTGAAACAGCAGCTATGAAACACACTTTTTCGAGAATCTGCAAGTGGACGTTTGGAGGGCTTTGAGGCCTGTGGTGGAAAAGGAAATATCTTCACATAAAAACTAGATAGAAGCATTCTCAGAAACGACTTTGTGAGGATGGCATTCAACTCATGGAGTTGAACAATCCTATTGATAGAGCAGATTGGAATCACTCTTTTTGTAGAATCTGCAAATGGAGATTTGGACTGCTTTGAGGCCTACGGTAGTATAGGAAGGAACTTCATATAAAAGGCAAACGGAAGCATTCTCAGAATATTCTTTGCGATGATGGAGTTTCACTCACAGAGCTGAACATGCCTTTTGATGGAGCAGTTTCCAAATACACTTTTGGTAGAATCTGCAGGTGGATATTTGGACCTCTCTGAGGATTTAGTTGGAAACGGGAATAATTTCCCATAACTAAACACAAACACTCTGAGAAAGTTCTTCATGATTAATGCATTTAACTCGCAGAGATGAACCTGCCTTTGAGAGTTCAGGTTCGAAACACTCTTTCTGTAGAATCTGCAAGTGGATATTAGGACCACTGGGTGGCCTTCGTTCGAAACGGGTATATGTTCACGTAAAAACTAAAGAGAAGCATTCTCAGAAACTTCTGAGTGATGATTGCATTCAAGTCACACAGTTGAACCCTCCTTTTGATGGAGCAGTTTTGAAACTGTCTTTTTGTAGAATCTGTAAGTGGATACGTGGACCTCTTTGAAGATTTCTTTGGAAACGGGAATATTTCCACAGAAAAACTAAACTGAAACATTCTCAGAAACCGCTTTGTGATGTTTGTGTTCCAGCCACAGAGTTTAACATTGCTTTTCATAGAGCAGTTTTGAAATATTCTTTTCGCAGAATCTGCAAGTGGACATTTGGAGCGCTTTCAGGCCTGTGGTGGAACAGGCCTGAAAGCCTTTTCCTTTATCTTCACAGAAAGACGAGAGAGAAGCATTGTCAGAAACTTCTTTGTGATGATTGCATTCAACTCACAGAGTTGAAGATTCCTTTTGAAACAGCAGTTTCGAAACACTCTTTCTGTGGGATCCGCAAGGGGATATTTGGACCTCTTTGAAGGTTTCGTTGGAAACGGGATAATCTTCACCTAAAAGCTAAACGGAAGCATTCTCAGAAACTTCTTTGGGATGTTTGCATTCACCTCACAGAGTTGAACTTTCCCTTTGATAGCGCAGCTTTGACACACTTTTTCTACAATGTGCAAGTGGCTATTTAGCGGGCTTGGAGGACAGTGTTGGAAAAGGAAATATCTTCTCCTAAAAACGACATAGAAGCATTCTCAGAAACTGCTCTGTGATGATTGCATTCAACTCCCAGAGTTGAACATTCCTTTTGATAGAGCAGTTTGCAAACACTCTTTTTGTAGAATCTGCAAGTGGAGATTTGGACCGCTTTGAGGCCTGTGGTAGTGAAGGAAAGAACTTCATATAAAAACCAGACGGTAGCACTCTCAGAAAATTCTTTGTGACGATGGAGTTTAACTCAGGGAGCTGAACATTCGTTATGATGGAGCAGTTTCCAAACACACGTTTTGTAGAATCTGCAAGGGGATATTTGGACCTCTCTGAGGATTTCGTTGGAAACGGGATCAACTTCCCATAACTGAACGGAAGCAAACTCAGAACATTCTTTGTGATGTTTGTATTCAACTCACAGAGTTGAACCTTCCTTTGATAGTTCAGGTTTGCAACACCCTTGTAGTAGAATCTGCAAGTGTATATTTTGACCACTTTGTAGCCTTCGTTTGAAACATCTATATCTTCACACCAAACCTAGACAGAAGCATTCTCAGAAAGTTTTCTGCGATGACTGCATTCAACTCACAGAGTTGAACAATCCTTCTGATGGAGCAGTTTTGAAACCCTCTTTCTTTGGAATCTGCAAGGGGATATGTGGACCTCTTTGAAGATTTCACTGGAAACGGGATCATCTTCACATAAAAACTAAACAGAAGCATTCTCGGAAACTATTTTGTGATGTTTGCATTCAACTCCCAGAGTTGAACTTTCCTTTTGAAAGAGCAGCTATGAAACACTCTTTTTCGAGAATCTGCAAGTGGACGTTTGGAGGGCTTTGAGGCCTGTGGTGGAAAAGGAAATATCTTCACACAAAAACCAGATAGAAGCATTCTCAGAAACTACTTTGTGAGGATGGCATTCAAATCATGGAGTTGAACAATCCTATTGATAGAGCAGATTGGAATCACTCTTTTTATAGAATCTGCAAATGGAGATTTGGACTGCTTTGAGGCCTACGGTAGTACAGGAAGGAACTTCATATAAAAGGCAAACGGAAGCATTCTCAGAATATTCTTTGTGATGATGGAGTTTCACTCACAGAGCTGAACATGCCTTTTGATGGAGCAGTTTCCAAATACACTTTTGGTAGAATCTGCAGGTGGATATTTGGAGCTCTCTGAGGATTTCGTTGGAAACGGGAATAATTTCCCATAACTAAACACAAACACTCTGAGAAAGTTCTTCATGATGAATGCATTTAACTCGCAGAGATGAACCTGCCTTTGAGAGTTCAGGTTCGAAATACTCTTTCTGTATAATCTGCAAGTGGATATTTGGACCACTGGGTGGCCTTCGTTCGAAACGGGTATATGTTCACGTAAAAACTAAAGAGAAGCGTTCTCAGCAAACTTCTGAGTGATGATTGCATTCAAGTCACACAGTTGAACCCTCCTTTTGATTGAGCAGTTTTGAAACTGTCTTTTTGTAGAATCTGTAAGTGGATGCGTGGACCTCTTTGAAGATTTCTTTGGAAACGGGAATATTTCCACAGAAAAACTAAACTGAAGCATTCTCAGAAACTGCTTTGTGATGTTTGTGTTCGAGCCACAGAGTTTAACATTGCTTTTCATAGAGCAGTTTTGAAATATTCTTTTGGCAGAATCTGCAAGTGGACATTTGGAGCGCTTTCAGGCCTGTGGTGGCAAAGGCCTGAAAGCCTTTTCCTTTATCTTCACAGAAAGACGAGAGAGAAGCATTGTCAGAAACTTCTTTGTGATGATTGCATTCAACTCACAGAGTTGAAGATTCCTTTTGAAACAGCAGTTTCGAAACACTCTTTCTGTGGGATCCGCAAGGGGATATTTGGACCTCTTTGAAGGTTTCGTTGGAAACGGGATAATCTTCACCTAAAAGCTAAACGGAAGCATTCTCAGAAACTTCTTTGGGATGTTTGCATTCACCTCACAGAGTTGAACTTTCCCTTTGATAGCGCAGCTTTGACACACTTTTTCTACAATGTGCAAGTGGCTATTTAGCGGGCTTGGAGGACTGTGTTGGAAAAGGAAATATCTTCTCCTAAAAACGACATAGAAGCATTCTCAGAAACTGCTCTGTGATGATTGCATTCAACTCCCAGAGTTGAACATTCCTTTTGATAGAGCAGTTTGCAAACACTCTTTTTGTAGAATCTGCAAGTGGAGATTTGGACCGCTTTGAGGCCTGTGGTAGTGAAGGAAAGAACTTCATATAAAAACCAGACGGTAGCACTCTCAGAAAATTCTTTGTGACGATGGAGTTTAACTCAGGGAGCTGAACATTCGTTATGATGGAGCAGTTTCCAAACACACGTTTTGTAGAATCTGCGAGGGGATATTTGGACCTCTCTGAGGATTTCGTTGGAAACGGGATCAACTTCCCATAACTGAACGGAAGCAAACTCAGAACATTCTTTGTGATGTTTGTATTCAACTCACAGAGTTGAACCTTCCTTTGATAGTTCAGGTTTGCAACACCCTTGTAGTAGAATCTGCAAGTGTATATTTTGACCACTTTGTAGCCTTCGTTTGAAACGTCTATATCTTCACATCAAACCTAGAAAGAAGCATTCTCAGAAAGTTTTCTGCGATGACTGCATTCAACTCACAGAGTTGAACAATCCTTCTGATGGAGCAGTTTTGAAACCCTCTTTCTTTGGAATCTGCAAGGGGATATGTGGACCTCTTTGATGATTTCACTGGAAACGGGGTCATCTTCACATAAAAACTAAACAGAAGCATTCTCGGAAACTACTTTGTGATGTTTGTATTCAACTCCCAGAGTTGAACTTTCCTTTTGAAAGAGCAGCTATGAAACACTCTTTTTCGAGAATCTGCAAGTGGACGTTTGGAGGGCTTTGAGGCCTGTGGTGGAAAAGGAAATATCTTCACATAAAAACTAGATAGAAGCATTCTCAGAAACGACTTTGTGAGGATGGCATTCAACTCATGGAGTTGAACAGTCCTATTGATAGAGGAGATTGGAATCACTCTTTTTGTAGAATCTGCAAATGGAGATTTGGACTGCTTTGAGGCCTACGGTAGTATAGGAAGGAACTTCATATAAAAGGCAAACGGAAGCATTCTCAGAATATTCTTTGTGATGATGGAGTTTCACTCACAGACCTGAACATGCCTTTTGATGGAGCAGTTTCCAAATACACTTTTGGTAGAATCAGCAGGTGGATATTTGGAGCTCTCTGAGGATTTCGTTGGAAACGGGAATAATTTCCCATAACTAAACACAAAACACTCTGAGAAAGTTCTTCATGACGAATGCATTTAACTCGCAGAGATGAACCTGCCTTTGAGAGTTCAGGTTCGAAACACTCTTTCTGTAGAATCTGCAAGTGGATATTTGGACCACTGGGTGGCCTTCGTTCGAAACGGGTATATGTTCACGTAAAAACTAAAGAGAAGCATTCTCAGAAACTTCTGAGTGATGATTGCATTCAAGTCACACAGTTGAACCCTCCTTTTGATTGAGCAGTTTTGAAACTGTCTTTTTGTAGAATCTGTAAGTGGATACGTGGACCTCTTTGAAGATTTCTTTGGAAACGGGAATATTTCCACAGAAAAACTAAACTGAAGCATTCTCAGAAACTGCTTTGTGATGTTTGTGTTCGAGCCGCAGAGTTTAACATTGCTTTTCATAGAGCAGTTTTGAAATATTCTTTTGGCAGAATCTGCAAGTGGACATTTGGAGCGCTTTCAGGCCTGTGGTGGAAAAGGCCTGAAAGCCTTTTCCTTTATCTTCACAGAAAGACGAGAGAGAAGCATTGTCAGAAACTTCTTTGTGATGATTGCATTCAACTCACAGAGTTGAAGATTCCTTTTGAAACAGCAGTTTCGAAACACTTTTTCTGTGGGATCCGCAAGGGGATATTTGGACCTCTTTGAAGATTTCGTTGGAAACGGGATAATCTTCACCTAAAAGCTAAACGGAAGCATTCTCAGAAACTTCTTTGGGATGTTTGCATTCACCTCACAGAGTTGAACTTTCCCTTTGATAGCGCAGCTTCGACACACTTTTTCTACAATGTGCAAGTGGATATTTAGCGGGCTTGGAGGACTGTGTTGGAAAAGGAAATATCTTCTCCTAAAAACGACATAGAAGCATTCTCAGAAACTGCTCTGTGATGATTGCATTCAACTCCCAGAGTTGAACATTCCTTTTGATAGAGCAGTTTGCAAACACTCTTTTTGTAGAATCTGCAAGTGGAGATTTGGACCGCTTTGAGGCCTGTGGTAATAAAGGAAAGAACTTCATATAAAAACCAGACGGTAGCACCCTCAGAAAATTCTTTGTGACGATGGAGTTTAACTCAGAGAGCTGAACATTCGTTATGATGGAGCAGTTTCCAAACACACGTTTTGTAGAATCTGCAAGGGGATATTTGGACCTCTCTGAGGATTTCGTTGGAAATGGGATCAACTTCCCATAACTGAACGGAAGCAAACTCAGAACATTCTTTGTGATGTTTGTATTCAACTCACAGAGTTGAACCTTCCTTTGATAGTTCAGGTTTGCATCACCCTTGTAGTAGAATCTGCAAGTGTATATTTTGACCACTTTGTAGCCTTCGTTTGAAACGTCTATATGCTTCACATCAAACCTAGACAGAAGCATTCTCAGAAAGTTTTCTGCGATGACTGCATTCAACTCACAGAGTTGAACAATCCTTCTGATGGAGCAGTTTTGAAACCCTCTTTCTTTGGAATCTGCAAGGGGATATGTGGACCTCTTTGAAGATTTCACTGGAAACGGGATCATCTTCACATAAAAACTAAACAGAAGCATTCTCGGAAACTACTTTGTGATGTTTGTATTCAACTGCCAGAGTTGAACTTTCCTTTTGAAAGAGCAGCTATGAAACACTCTTTTTCGAGAATCTGCAAGTGGACGTTTGGAGGGCTTTGAGGCCTGTGGTGGAAAAGGAAATATCTTCACATAAAAACTAGATAGAAGCATTCTCAGAAACGACTTTGTGAGGATGGCATTCAACTCATGGAGTTGAACAATCCTATTGATAGAGCAGATTGGAATCACTCTTTTTGTAGAATCTGCAAATGGAGATTTGGACTGCTTTGAGGCCTACGGTCATATAGGAAGGAACTTCAGATAAAAGGCAAACGGAAGCATTCTCAGAATATTCTTTGTGATGATGGAGTTTCACTCACAGAGCTGAACATGCCTTTTGATGGAGCAGTTTCCAAATACACTTTTGGTAGAATCTGCAGGTGGATATTTGGACCACTCTGAGGATTTCGTTGGAAACGGGAATAATTTCCCATAACTAAGCACAAACACTCTGAGAAAGTTCTTCATGATGAATGCATTTAACTCGCAGAGATGAACCTGCCTTTGAGAGTTCAGGTTCGAAACACTCTTTCTGTATAATCTGCAAGTGGATATTTGGACCACTGGGTGGCCTTCGTTCGAAACGGGTATATGTTCACGTAAAAACTAAAGAGAAGCGTTCTCAGAAACTTCTGAGTGATGATTGCATTCAAGTCACACAGTTGAACCCTCCTTTTGATTGAGCAGTTTTGAAACTGTCTTTTTGTAGAATCTGTAAGTGGATGCGTGGACCTCTTTGAAGATTTCTTTGGAAACGGGAATATTTCCACAGAAAAACTAAACTGAAGCATTCTCAGAAACTGCTTTGTGATGTTTGTGTTCGAGCCGCAGAGTTTAACATTGCTTTTCATAGAGCAGTTTTGAAATATTCTTTTAGCAGAATCTGCAAGTGGACATTTGGAGCGCTTTCAGGCCTGCGGTGGAAAAGGCCTGAAAGCCTTTTCCTTTATCTTCACAGAAAGACGAGAGAGAAGCATTGTCAGAAACTTCTTTGTGATGATTGCATTCAACTCACAGAGTTGAAGATTCCTTTTGAAACAGCAGTTTCGAAACACTCTTTCTGTGGGATCCGCAGGGGGATATTTGGACCTCTTTGAAGATTTCGTTGGAAACGGGATAATCTTCACCTAAAAGCTAAACGGAAGTATTCTCAGAAACTTCTTTGGGATGTTTGCATTCACCTCACAGAGTTGAACTTTCCCTTTGATAGCGCAGCTTCGACACACTTTTTCTACAATGTGCAAGTGGATATTTAGCGGGCTTGGAGGACTGTGTTGGAAAAGGAAATATCTTCTCCTAAAAACGACATAGAAGCATTCTCAGAAACTGCTCTGTGATGATTGCTTTCAACTCCCAGAGTTGAACATTCCTTTTGATAGAGCAGTTTGCAAACACTCTTTTTGTAGAATCTGCAAGTGGAGATTTGGACCGCTTTGAGGCCTGTGGTAGTAAAGGAAAGAACTTCATATAAAAACTAGACGGTAGCACTCTCAGAAAATTCTTTGTGACGATGGAGTTTAACTCAGAGAGCTGAACATTCGTTATGATGGAGCAGTTTCCAAACACACGTTTTGTAGAATCTGCAAGGGGATATTTGGACCTCTCTGAGGATTTCGTTGGAAACGGTATCAATTTCCCATAACTGAACGGAAGCAAACTCAGAACATTTTTTGTGATGGTTGCATTCATCTCACAGAGTTGAACCTTCCTTTGATAGTTGAGGTTTGCATCACCCTTGTAGTAGAATCTGCAAGTGTATATTTTGACCACTTTGTAGCCTTCGTTTGAAACGTCTATATCTTCACATCAAACCTAGACAGAAGCATTCTCAGAAAGTTTTCTGCGATGACTGCATTCAACTCACAGAGTTGAACAATCCTTTTGATGGAGCAGTTTTGAAACCCTCTTTCTTTGGAATCTGCAAGGGGATATGTGGACCTCTTTGAAGATTTCACTGGAAACGGGATCATCTTCACATAAGAACTAAACAGAAGCATTCTCGGAAACTAATTTGTGATGTTTGTATTCACCTCCCAGAGTTGAACTTTCCTTTTGAAAGAGCAGCTATGAAACACTCTTTTTCGAGAATCTGCAAGTGGACGTTTGGAGGGCTTTGAGGCCTGTGGTGGAAAAGGAAATATCTTCACATGAAAACTAGATAGAAGCATTCTCACAAACGACTTTGTGAGGATGGCATTCAACTCATGGAGTTGAACAGTCCTATTGATAGAGGAGATTGGAATCACTCTTTTTGTAGAATCTGCAAATGGAGATTTGGACTGCTTTGAGGCCTACGGTAGTATAGGAAGGAACTTCATATAAAAGGCAAACGGAAGCATTCTCAGAATATTCTTTGTGATGATGGAGTTTCACTCACAGAGCTGAACATACCTTTTGATGGAGCAGTTTCCAAATACACTTTTGGTAGAATCTGCAGGTGGATATTTGGAGCTCTCTGAGGATTTCGTTGGAAACGGGAATAATTTCCCATAACTAAACACAAACACGCTGAGAAAGTTCTTCATGATGAATGCATTTAACTCACAGAGATGAACCTGCCTTTGAGAGTTCAGGTTCGAAACACTCTTTCTGTAGAATCTGCAAGTGGATATTTGGACCACAGGGTGGCCTTCGTTCGAAACGGGTATATGTTCACGTAAAAACTAAAGAGAAGCGTTCTCAGAAACTTCTGAGTGATGATTGCATTCAAGTCACACAGTTGAACCCTCCTTTTGATTGAGCAGTTTTGAAACTGTCTTTTTGTAGAATCTGTAAGTGGATGCGTGGACCTCTTTGAAGATTTCTTTGGAAACGGGAATATTTCCACAGAAAAACTAAACTGAAGCATTCTCAGAAACTGCTTTGTGATGTTTGTGTTCGAGCCGCAGAGTTTAACATTGCTTTTCATAGAGCAGTTTTGAAATATTCTTTTGGCAGAATCTGCAAGTGGACATTTGGAGCGCTTTCAGGCCTGTGGTGGAAAAGGCCTGAAAGCCTTTTCCTTTATCTTCACAGAAAGACGAGAGAGAAGCATTGTCAGAAACTTCTTTGTGATGATTGCATTCAACTCACAGAGTTGAAGATTCCTTTTGAAACAGCAGTTTCGAAACACTCTTTCTGTGGGATCCGCAAGGGGATATTTGGACCTCTTTGAAGATTTCGTTGGAAACGGGATAATCTTCACCTAAAAGCTAAACGGAAGCATTCTCAGAAACTTCTTTGGGATGTTTGCATTCACCTCACAGAGTCGAACTTTCCCTTTGATAGCGCAGCTTCGACACACTTTTTCTAAAATGTGCAAGTGGATATTTAGCGGGCTTGCAGGACTGTGTTGGAAAAGGAAATATCTTCTCCTAAAAACCACATAGAAGCATTCTCAGAAACTGCTCTGTGATGATTGCATTCAACTCCCAGAGTTGAACATTCCTTTTGATAGAGCAGTTTGCAAACACTCTTTTTGTAGAATCTGCAAGTGGAGATTTGGACCGCTTTGAGGCCTGTGGTAGTAAAGGAAAGAACTTCCTATAAAAACTAGACGGTAGCACTCTCAGAAAATTCTTTGTGACGATGGAGTTTAACTCAGAGAGCTGAACATTCGTTATGATGGAGCAGTTTCCAAACACACGTTTTGTAGAATCTGCAAGGGGATATTTGGACCTCTCTGAGGATTTCGTTGGAAACGGGATCAACTTCCCATAACTGAACGGAAGCAAACTCAGAACATTCTTTGTGATGTTTGTATTCAACTCACAGAGTTGAACCTTCCTTTGATAGTTCAGGTTTGCAACACCCTTGTAGTAGCATCTGCAAGTGTATATTTTGACCACTTTGTAGCCTTCGTTTGAAACGTCTATATCTTCACCTCAAACCTAGACAGAAGCATTCTCAGAAAGTTTTCTGCGATGACTGCATTCAACTCACAGAGTTGAACAATCCTTTTGATGGAGCAGTTTTGAAACCCTCTTTCTTTGGAATCTGCAAGGGGATATGTGGACCTCTTTGAAGATTTCACTGGAAACGGGATCATCTTCACATAAGAACTAAACAGAAGCATTCTCAGAAACTACTTTGTGATGTTTGTATTCAACTCCCAGAGTTGAACTTTCCTTTTGAAAGAGCAGCTATGAAACACTCTTTTTCGAGAATCTGCAAGTGGACGTTTGGAGGGCTTTGAGGCCTGTGGTGGAAAAGGAAATATCTTCACATAAAAACTAGATAGAAGCATTCTCACAAACGACTTTGTGAGGATGGCATTCAAATCATGGAGTTCAACAATCCTATTGATAGAGCAGATTGGAATCACTCTTTTTGTAGAATCTGCAAATGGAGATTTGGACTGCTTTGAGGCCTACGGTAGTATAGGAAGGAACTTCATATAAAAGGCAAACGGAAGCATTCTCAGAATATTCTTTGTGCTGATGGAGTTTCACTCACAGAGCTGAACATGCCTTTTGATGGAGCAGTTTCCAAATACACTTTTGGTAGAATCTGCAGGTGGATATTTGGAGCTCTCTGAGGATTTCGTTGGAAACGGGAATAATTTCCCATAACTAAACAGAAACACTCTGAGAAAGTTCTTCATGATGAATGCATTTAACTCGCAGAGATGAACCTTCCTTTGAGAGTTCAGGTTCGAAACACTCTTTCTGTAGAATCTGCAAGTGGATATTTGGACCACTGGGTGGCCTTCGTTCGAAACGGGTATATGTTCACGTAAAAACTAAAGAGAAGCATTCTCAGAAACTTCTGAGTGATGATTGCATTCAAGTCACACAGTTGAACCCTCCTTTTGATGGAGCAGTTTTGAAACTGTCTTTTTGTAGAATCTGTAAGTGGATACGTGGACCTCTTTGAAGATTTCTTTGGAAACGGGAATATTTCCACAGAAAAACTAAACTGAAGCATTCTCAGAAACCGCTTTGTGATGTTTGTGTTCGAGCCACAGGGTTTAACATTGCTTTTCATAGAGCAGTTTTGAAATATTCTTTTCGCAGAATCTGCAAGTGGACATTTGGAGCGCTTTCAGGCCTGTGGTGGAAAAGGCCTGAAAGCCTTTTCCTTTATCTTCACAGAAAGACGAGAGAGAAGCATTGTCAGAAACTTCTTTGTGATGATTGCATTCAACTCACAGAGTTGAAGATTCCTTTTGAAACAGCAGTTTCGAAACACTCTTTCTGTGGGATCCGCAAGGGGATATTTGGACCTCTTTGAAGGTTTCGTTGGAAACGGGATAATCTTCACCTAAAAGCTAAACGGAAGCATTCTCAGAAACTTCTTTGGGATGTTTGCATTCACCTCACAGAGTTGAACTTTCCCTTTGATAGCGCAGCTTTGACACACTTTTTCTACAATGTGCAAGTGGCTATTTAGCGGGCTTGGAGGACTGTGTTGGAAAAGGAAATATCTTCTCCTAAAAACGACATAGAAGCATTCTCAGAAACTGCTCTGTGATGATTGCATTCAACTCCCAGAGTTGAACATTCCTTTTGATAGAGCAGTTTGCAAACACTCTTTTTGTAGAATCTGCAAGTGGAGATTTGGACCGCTTTGAGGCCTGTGGTAGTGAAGGAAAGAACTTCATATAAAAACCAGACGGTAGCACTCTCAGAAAATTCTTTGTGACGATGGAGTTTAACTCAGGGAGCTGAACATTCGTTATGATGGAGCAGTTTCCAAACACACGTTTTGTAGAATCTGCAAGGGGATATTTGGACCTCTCTGAGGATTTCGTTGGAAACGGGATCAACTTCCCATAACTGAACGGAAGCAAACTCAGAACATTCTTTGTGATGTTTGTATTCAATTCACAGAGTTGAACCTTCCTTTGATAGTTCAGGTTTGCAACACCCTTGTAGTAGAATCTGCAAGTGTATATTTTGACCACTTTGTAGCCTTCGTTTGAAACGTCTATATCTTCACATCAAACCTAGACAGAAGCATTCTCAGAAAGTTTTCTGCGATGACTGCATTCAACTCACAGAGTTGAACAATCCTTCTGATGGAGCAGTTTTGATACCCTCTTTCTTTGGAATCTGCAAGGGGATATGTGGACCTCTTTGAAGATTTCACTGGAAACGGGATCATCTTCACATAAAAACTAAACAGAAGCATTCTCGGAAACTACTTTGAGATGTTTGTATTCAACTCCCAGAGTTGAACTTTCCTTTTGAAAGAGCAGCTATGAAACACTCTTTTTCGAGAATCTGCAAGTGGACGTTTGGAGGGCTTTGAGGCCTGTGGTGGAAAAGGAAATATCTTCACACAAAAACCAGATAGAAGCATTCTCAGAAACTACTTCGTGAGGATGGCTTTCAACTCATGGAGTTGAACAATCCTATTGATACAGCAGATTGGAATCACTCTTTTTGTAGAATCTGCAAATGGAGATTTGGACTGCTTTGAGGCCTACGGTCGTATAGGAAGGAACTTCATATAAAAGGCAAACGGAAGCATTCTCAGAATATTCTTTGTGATGATGGAGTTTCACTCACAGAGCTGAACATGCCTTTTGATGGAGCAGTTTCCAAATACACTTTTGGTAGAATCTGCAGGTGGATATTTGGAGCTCTCTGAGGATTTCGTTGGAAACGGGAATAATTTCCCATAACTAAACACAAACACTCTGAGAAAGTTCTTCATGATGAATGCATTTAACTCGCAGAGATGAACCTGCCTTTGAGAGTTCAGGTTCGAAACACTCTTTCTGTAGAATCTGCAAGTGGATATTTGGACCACTGGGTGGCCTTCGTTCAAAACGGGTATATGTTCACGTAAAAACTAAAGAGAAGCATTCTCAGAAACTTCTGAGTGATGATTGCATTCAAGTCACACGGTTGAACCCTCCTTTTGATGGAGCAGTTTTGAAACTGTCTTTTTGTAGAATCTGTAAGTGGATACGTGGACCTCTTTGAAGATTTCTTTGGAAACGGGAATATTTCCACAGAAAAACTAAACTGAAGCATTCTCAGAAACCGCTTTGTGATGTTTGTGTTCGAGCCGCAGAGTTTAACATTGCTTTTCATAGAGCAGTTTTGAAATATTCTTTTGGCAGAATCTGCAAGTGGACATTTGGAGCGCTTTCAGGCCTGTGGTGGAAAAGGCCTGAAAGCCTTTTCCTTTATCTTCACAGAAAGACGAGAGAGAAGCATTGTCAGAAACTTCTTTGTGATGATTGCATTCAACTCACAGAGTTGAAGATTCCTTTTGAAACAGCAGTTTCGAAACACTCTTTCTGTGGGATCCGCAAGGGGATATTTGGACCTCTTTGAAGGTTTCGTTGGAAACGGGATAATCTTCACCTAAAAGCTAAACGGAAGCACTCTCAGAAACTTCTTTGGGATGTTTGCATTCACCTCACAGAGTTGAACTTTCCCTTTGATAGCGCAGCTTTGACACACTTTTTCTACAATGTGCAAGTGGCTATTTAGCGGGCTTGGAGGACTGTGTTGGAAAAGGAAATATCTTCTCCTAAAAACGACATAGAAGCATTCTCAGAAACTGCTCTGTGATGATTGCATTCAACTCCCAGAGTTGAACATTCCTTTTGATAGAGCAGTTTGCAAACACTCTTTTTGTAGAATCTGCAAGTGGAGATTTGGACCGCTTTGAGGCCTGTGGTAGTGAAGGAAAGAGCTTCATATAAAAACCAGACGGTAGCACTCTCAGAAAATTCTTTGTGACGATGGAGTTTAACTCAGGGAGCTGAACATTCGTTATGATGGAGCAGTTTCCAAACACACGTTTTGTAGAATCTGCAAGGGGATATTTGGACCTCTCTGAGGATTTCGTTGGAAACGGGATCAACTTCCCATAACTGAACGGAAGCAAACTCAGAACATTCTTTGTGATGTTTGTATTCAACTCACAGAGTTGAACCTTCCTTTGATAGTTCAGGTTTGCAACACCCTTGTAGTAGAATCTGCAAGTGTATATTTTGACCACTTTGTAGCCTTCGTTTGAAAGGTCTATATCTTCACATCAAACCTAGACAGAAGCATTCTCAGAAAGTTTTCTGCGATGACTGCATTCAACTCACAGAGTTGAACAATCCTTCTGATGGAGCAGTTTTGAAACCCTCTTTCTTTGCAATATGCAAGGGGATATGTGGACCTCTTTGAAGATTTCACTGGAAACGGGATCATCTTCACATAAAAACTAAACAGAAGCATTCTCGGAAACTACTTTGTGATGTTTGTATTCAACTCCCAGAGTTGAACTTTCCTTTTGAAAGAGCAGCTATGAAACACTCTTTTTCGAGAATCTGCAAGTGGACGTTTGGAGGGCTTTGAGGCCTGTGGTGGAAAAGGAAATATCTTCACATAAAAACTAGATAGAAGCATTCTCAGAAACTACTTTGTGAGGATGGCATTCAACTCATGGAGTTGAACAATCCTATTGATAGAGCAGATTGGAATCACTCTTTTTGTAGAATCTGCAAATGGAGATTTGGACTGCTTTGAGGCCTACGGTCGTATAGGAAGGAACTTCATATAAAAGGCAAACGGAAGCATTCTCAGAATATTCTTTGTGATGATGGAGTTTCACTCACAGAGCTGAACATGCCTTTTGATGGAGCAGTTTCCAAATACACTTTTGATAGAATCTGCAGGTGGATATTTGGACCTCTCTGAGGATTTCGTTGGAAACGGGAATAATTTCCCATAACTAAACACAAACACTCTGAGAAAGTTCTTCATGATGAATGCATTTAACTCGCAGAGATGAACCTGCCTTTGAGAGTTCAGGTTCGAAACACTCTTTCTGTAGAATCTGCAAGTGGATATTTGGACCACTGGCTGGCCTTCGTTCGAAACGGGTATATGTTCACGTAAAAACTAAAGAGAAGCGTTCTCAGAAACTTCTGAGTGATGATTGCATTCAAGTCACACAGTTGAACCCTCCTTTTGATTGAGCAGTTTTGAAACTGTCTTTTTGTAGAATCTGTAAGTGGATGCGTGGACCTCTTTGAAGATTTCTTTGGAAACGGGAATATTTCCACAGAAAAACTAAACTGAAGCATTCTCAGAAACTGCTTTGTGATGTTTGTGTTCGAGCCACAGAGTTTAACATTGCTTTTCATAGAGCAGTTTTGAAATATTCTTTTGGCAGAATCTGCAAGTGGACATTTGGAGCGCTTTCAGGCCTGTGGTGGAAAAGGCCTGAAAGCCTTTTCCTTTATCTTCACAGGAAGACGAGAGAGAAGCATTGTCAGAAACTTCTTTGTGATGATTGCATTCAACTCACAGAGTTGAAGATTCCTTTTGAAACAGCAGTTTCGAAACACTCTTTCTGTGGGATCCGCAAGGGGATATTTGGACCTCTTTGAAGGTTTCGTTGGAAACGGGATAATCTTCACCTAAAAGCTAAACGGAAGCACTCTCAGAAACTTCTTTGGGATGTTTGCATTCACCTCTCAGAGTTGAACTTTCCCTTTGATAGCGCAGCTTTGACACACTTTTTCTACAATGTGCAAGTGGCTATTTAGCGGGCTTGGAGGACTGTGTTGGAAAAGGAAATATCTTCTCCTAAAAACGACATAGAAGCATTCTCAGAAACTGCTCTGTGATGATTGCATTCAACTCCCAGAGTTGAACATTCCTTTTGATAGAGCAGTTTGCAAACACTCTTTTTGTAGAATCTGCAAGTGGAGATTTGGACCGCTTTGAGGACTGGGGTAGTAAAGGAAAGAGCTTCATATAAAAACCAGACGGTAGCACTCTCAGAAAATTCTTTGTGACGATGGAGTTTAACTCAGGGAGCTGAACATTCGTTATGATGGAGCAGTTTCCAAACACACGTTTTGTAGAATCTGCAAGGGGATATTTGGACCTCTCTGAGGATTTCGTTGGAAACGGGATCAACTTCCCATAACTGAACGGAAGCAAACTCAGAACATTCTTTGTGATGTTTGCATTCGTCTCACAGAGTTGAACCTTCCTTTGATAGTTGAGGTTTGCAACACCCTTGTAGTAGAATCTGCAAGTGTATATTTTGACCACTTTGTAGCCTTCGTTTGAAACGTCTATATCTTCACATCAAACCTAGACAGAAGCATTCTCAGAAAGTTTTCTGCGATGACTGCATTCAACTCACAGAGCTGAACAATCCTTTTGATGGAGCAGTTTTGAAACCCTCTTTCTTTGGAATCTGCAAGGGGATATGTGGACCTCTTTGAAGATTTCACTGGAAACGGGATCATCTTCACATAAGAAATAAACAGAAGCATTCTCGGAAACTACTTTGTGAAGTTTGTATTCAACTCCCAGAGTTGAACTTTCCTTTTGAAAGAGCAGCTATGAAACACTCTTTTTCGAGAATCTGCAAGTGGACGTTTGGAGGGCTTTGAGGCCTGTGGTGGAAAAGGAAATATCTTCACATAAAAACTAGATAGAAGCATTCTCAGAAACGACTTTGTGAGGATGGCCTTCAACTCATGGAGTTGAACAATCCTATTGATAGAGCAGATTGGAATCACTCTTTTTGTAGAATCTGCAAATGGAGATTTGGACTGCTTTGAGGCCTATGGTAGTATAGGAAGGAACTTCATATAAAAGGCAAACGGAAGCATTCTCAGAATATTCTTTGTGATGATGGAGTTTCACTCACAGAGCTGAACATGCCTTTTGATGGAGCAGTTTCCAAATACACTTTTGGTAGAATCTGCAGGTGGATATTTGGACCTCTCTGAGGATTTCGTTGGAAACGGGAATAATTTCCCATACCTAAACACAAACACTCTGAGAAAGTTCTTCATGATGAATGCATTTAACTCGCAGAGATGAACCTGCCTTTGAGAGTTCAGGTTCGAAACACTCTTTCTGTAGAATCTGCAAGTGGATATTTGGACCACTGGGTGGCCTTCGTTCGAAACGGGTATATGTTCACGTAAAAACTAAAGAGAAGCATTCTCAGAAACTTCTGAGTGATGATTGCATTAAAGTCACACGGTTGAACCCTCCTTTTGATTGAGCAGTTTTGAAACTGTCTTTTTGTAGCATCTGTAAGTGGATACGTGGACCTCTTTGAAGATTTCTTTGGAAACAGGAATATTTCCACAGAAAAACTAAACTGAAGCATTCTCAGAAACTGCTTTGTGATGTTTGTGTTCGAGCCGCAGAGTTTAACATTGCTTTTCATAGAGCAGTTTTGAAATATTCTTTTGGCAGAATCTGCAAGTGGACATTTGGAGCGCTTTCAGGCCTGTGGGTGGAAAAGGCCTGAAAGCCTTTTCCTTTATCTTCACAGAAAGACGAGAGAGAAGCATTGTCAGAAACTTCTTTGTGATGATTGCATTCAACTCACAGAGTTGAAGATTCCTTTTGAAACAGCAGTTTCGAAACACTCTTTCTGTGGGATCCGCAAGGGGATATTTGGACCTCTTTGAAGGTTTCGTTGGAAACGGGATAATCTTCACCTAAAAGCTAAACGGAAGCATTCTCAGAAACTTCTTTGGGATGTTTGCATTCACCTCACAGAGTTGAACTTTCCCTTTGATAGCGCAGCTTTGACACACTTTTTCTACAATGTGCAAGTGGCTATTTAGCGGGCTTGGAGGACTGTGTTGGAAAAGGAAATATCTTCTCCTAAAAACGACATAGAAGCATTCTCAGAAACTGCTCTGTGATGATTGCATTCAACTCCCAGAGTTGAACATTCCTTTTGATAGAGCAGTTTGCAAACACTCTTTTTGTAGAATCTGCAAGTGGAGATTTGGACCGCTTTGAGGCCTGTGGTAGTGAAGGAAAGAACTTCATATAAAAACCAGACGGTAGCACTCTCAGAAAATTCTTTGTGACGATGGAGTTTAACTCAGGGAGCTGAACATTCGTTATGATGGAGCAGTTTCCAAAAACACGTTTTGTAGAATCTGCAAGGGGATATTTGGACCTCTCTGAGGATTTCGTTGGAAACGGGATCAACTTCCCATAACTGAACGGAAGCAAACTCAGAACATTCTTTGTGATGTTTGTATTCAACTCACAGAGTTGAACCTTCCTTTGATAGTTCAGGTTTGCAACACCCTTGTAGTAGTATCTGCAAGTGTATATTTTGACCACTTTGTAGCCTTCGTTTGAAACGTCTATATCTTCACATCAAACCTAGACAGAAGCATTCTCAGAAAGTTTTCTGCGATGACAGCATTCAACTCACAGAGTTGAACAATCCTATTGATGGAGCAGTTTTGAAACCCTCTTTCTTTGGAATCTGCAAGGGGATATGTGGACCTCTTTGAAGATTTCACTGGAAACGGGATCATCTTCACATAAAAACTAAACAGAAGCATTCTCGGAAACTACTTTGTGATGTTTGTATTCAACTCCCAGAGTTGAACTTTCCTTTTTTAAGAGCAGCTATGAAACACTCTTTTTCGAGAATCTGCAAGTGGACGTTTGGAGGGCTTTGAGGCCTGTGGTGGAAAAGGAAATATCTTCACATAAAAACTAGATAGAAGCATTCTCAGAAACGACTTTGTGAGGATGGCATTCAACTCATGGAGTTGAACAATCCTATTGATAGAGCAGATTGGAATCACTCTTTTTGTAGAATCTGCAAATGGAGATTTGCACTGCTTTGAGGCCTACGGTCGTATAGGAAGGAACTTCATATAAAAGGCAAACGGAAGCATTCTCAGAATATTCTTTGTGATGATGGAGTTTCACTCACAGAGCTGAACATGCCTGTTGATGGAGCAGTTTCCAAATACACTTTTGGTAGAATCTGCAGGTGGACATTTGGACCTCTCTGAGGATTTCTTTGGGAAAGGGAATAATTTCCCATAACTAAACACAAACACTCTGAGAAAGTTCTTCATGATGAATGCATTTAACTCGCAGAGATGAACCTGCCTTTGAGAGTTCAGGTTCGAAACACTCTTTCTGTAGAATCTGCAAGTGGATATTTGGACCACTGGGTGGCCTTCGTTCGAAACGGGTATATGTTCACGTAAAAACTAAAGAGAAGCATTCTCAGAAACTTCTGAGTGATGATTGCATTCAAGTCACACAGTTGAACCCTCCTTTTGATTGAGCAGTTTTGAAACTGTCTTTTTGTAGAATCTGTAAGTGGATACGTGGACCTCTTTGAAGATTTCTTTGGAAACGGGAATATTTCCACAGAAAAACTAAACTGAAGCATTCTCAGAAACCGCTTTGTGATGTTTGTGTTCGAGCCACAGAGTTTAACATTGCTTTTCACAAAGCAGTTTTGAAATATTCTTTTCGCAGAATCTGCAAGTGGACATTTGGAGCGCTTTCAGGCCTGTGGTGGCAAAGGCCTGAAAGCATTTATTTATCTTCACAGAAAGACGAGAGAGAAGCATTGTCAGAAACTTCTTTGTGATGATTGCATTCAACTCACAGAGTTGAAGATTCCTTTTGAAACAGCAGTTTCGAAACACTCTTTCTGTGGGATCCGCAAGGGGATATTTGGACCTCTTTGAAGGTTTCGTTGGAAACGGGATAATCTTCACCTAAAAGCTAAACGGAAGCATTCTCAGAAACTTCTTTGGGATGTTTGCATTCACCTGACAGAGTTGAACTTTCCCTTTGATAGCGCAGCTTTGACACACTTTTTCTACAATGTGCAAGTGGCTATTTAGCGGGCTTGGAGGACTGTGTTGGAAAAGGAAATATCTTCTCCTAAAAACGACATAGAAGCATTCTCAGAAACTGCTCTGTGATGATTGCATTCAACTCCCAGAGTTGAACATTCCTTTTGATAGAGCAGTTTGCAAACACTCTTTTTGTAGAATCTGCAAGTGGAGATTTGGACCGCTTTGAGGCCTGTGGTAGTGAAGGAAAGAACTTCATATAAAAACCAGACGGTAGCACTCTCAGAAAATTCTTTGTGACGATGGAGTTTAACTCAGGGAGCTGAACATTCGTTATGATGGAGCAGTTTCCAAACACACGTTTTGTAGAATCTGCAAGGGGATATTTGGACCTCTCTGAGGATTTCGTTGGAAACGGGATCAACTTCCCATAACTGAACGGAAGCAAACTCAGAACATTCTTTGTGATGTTTGTATTCAACTCACAGAGTTGAACCTTCCTTTGATAGTTCAGGTTTGCAACACCCTTGTAGTAGAATCTGCAAGTGTATATTTTGACCACTTTGTAGCCTTCGTTTGAAACGTCTATATCTTCACATCAAACCTAGACAGAAGCTTTCTCAGAAAGTTTTCTGCGATGACTGCATTCAACTCACAGAGTTGAACAATCCTTCTGATGGAGCAGTTTTGAAACCCTCTTTCTTTGGAATCTGCAAGGGGATATGTGGACCTCTTTGAAGATTTCACTGGAAACGGGATCATCTTCACATAAAAACTAAACAGAAGCATTCTCGGAAACTACTTTGTGATGTTTGTATTCAACTCCCAGAGTTGAACTTTCCTTTTGAAAGAGCAGCTATGAAACACTCTTTTTCGAGAATCTGCAAGTGGACGTTTGGAGGGCTTTGAGGCCTGTGGTGGAAAAGGAAATATCTTCACACAAAAACCAGATAGAAGCATTCTCAGAAACGACTTTGTGAGGATGGCATTCAACTCATGGAGTTGAACAATCCTATTGATAGAGCAGATTGGAATCACTCTTTTTGTAGAATCTGCAAATGGAGATTTGGACTGCTTTGAGGCCTACGGTAGTATAGGAAGGAACTTCATATAAAAGGCAAACGGAAGCATTCTCAGAATATCCTTTGTGATGATGGAGTTTCACTCACAGAGCTGAACATGCCTTTTGATGGAGCAGTTGCCAAATACACTTTTGGTAGAATCTGCAGGTGGATATTTGGAGCTCTCTGAGGATTTCGTTGGAAACGGGAATAATTTCCCATACCTAAACACAAACACTCTGAGAAAGTTCTTCATGATGAATGCATTTAACTCGCAGAGATGAACCTGCCTTTGAGAGTTCAGGTTCGAAACACTCTTTCTATAGAATCTGCAAGTGGATATTTGGACCACTGGGTGGCCTTCGTTCTAAACGGGTATATGTTCACGTAAAAACTAAAGAGAAGCATTCTCAGAAACTTCTGAGTGATGATTGCATTCAAGTCACACGGTTGAACCCTCCTTTTGATTGAGCAGTTTTGAAACTGTCTTTTTGTAGAATCTGTAAGTGGATACGTGGACCTCTTTGAAGATTTCTTTGGAAACGGGAATATTTCCACAGAAAAACTAAACTGAAGCATTCTCAGAAACCTCTTTGTGATGTTTGTGTTCGAGCCACAGAGTTTAACATTGCTTTTCATAGAGCAGTTTTGAAATATTCTTTTCGCAGAATCTGCAAGTGGACACTTGGAGCGCTTTCAGGCCTGTGGTGGCAAAGGCCTGAAAGCCTTTTCCTTTATCTTCACAGAAAGACGAGAGAGAAGCATTGTCAGAAACTTCTTTGTGATGATTGCATTCAACTCACAGAGTTGAAGATTCCTTTTGAAACAGCAGTTTCGAAACACTCTTTCTGTGGGATCCGCAAGGGGATATTTGGACCTCTTTGAAGGTTTCGTTGGAAACGGGATAATCTTCACCTAAAAGCTAAACGGAAGCATTCTCAGAAACTTCTTTGGGATGTTTGCATTCACCTCACAGAGTTGAACTTTCCCTTTGATAGCGCAGCTTTGACACACTTTTTCTACAATGTGCAAGTGGCTATTTAGCGGGCTTGGAGGACTGTGTTGGAAAAGGAAATATCTTCTCCTAAAAACGACATAGAAGCATTCTCAGAAACTGCTCTGTGATGATTGCATTCAACTCCCAGAGTTGAACATTCCTTTTGATAGAGCAGTTTGCAAACACTCTTTTTGTAGAATCTGCAAGTGGAGATTTGGACCGCTTTGAGGCCTGTGGTAGTGAAGGAAAGAGCTTCATATAAAAACCAGACGGTAGCACTCTCAGAAAATTCTTTGTGACGATGGAGTTTAACTCAGGGAGCTGAACATTCGTTATGATGGAGCAGTTTCCAAACACACGTTTTGTAGAATCTGCAAGGGGATATTTGGACCTCTCTGAGGATTTCGTTGGAAACGGGATCAACTTCCCATAACTGAACGGAAGCAAACTCAGAACATTCCTTGTGATGTTTGTATTCAACTCACAGAGTTGAACCTTCCTTTGATAGTTCAGGTTTGCAACACCCTTGTAGTAGAATCTGCAAGTGTATATTTTGACCACTTTGTAGCCTTCGTTTGAAACGTCTATATCTTCACATCAAACCTAGACAGAAGCATTCTCAGAAAGTTTTCTGCGATGACTGCATTCAACTCACAGAGTTGAACAATCCTTTTGATGGAGCAGTTTTGAAACCCTCTTTCTTTGGAATCTGCAAGGGGATATGTGGACCTCTTTGAAGATTTCACTGGAAACGGGATCATCTTCACATAAGAACTAAACAGAAGCATTCTCGGAAACTACTTTGTGATGTTTGTATTCAACTCCCAGAGTTGAACTTCCCTTTTGAAAGAGCAGCTATGAAACACTCTTTTTCGAGAATCTGCAAGTGGACGTTTGGAGGGCTTTGAGGCCTGTGGTGGAAAAGGAAATATCTTCACATAAAAACTAGATAGAAGCATTCTCAGAAACGACTTTGTGAGGATGGCATTCAACTCATGGAGTTGAACAATCCTATTGATAGAGCAGATTGGAATCACTCTTTTTGTAGAATCTGCAAATGGAGATTTGGACTGCTTTGAGGCCTACGGTCGTATAGGAAGGAACTTCATATAAAAGGCAAACGGAAGCATTCTCAGAATATTCTTTGTGATGATGGAGTTTCACTCACAGAGCTGAACATGCCTTTTGATGGAGCAGTTTCCAAATACACTTTTGGTAGAATCTGCAGGTGGATATTTGGACCTCTCTGAGGATTTCGTTGGAAACGGGAATAATTTCCCATAACTAAACACAAACACTCTGAGAAAGTTCTTCATGATGAATGCATTTAACTCGCAGAGATGAACCTGCCTTTGAGAGTTCAGGTTCGAAACACTCTTTCTGTATAATCTGCAAGTGGATATTTGGACCACTGGGTGGCCTTCGTTCGAAACGGGTATATGTTCACGTAAAAACTAAAGAGAAGCATTCTCAGAAACTTCTGAGTGATGATTGCATTCAAGTCACACGGTTGAACCCTCCTTTTGATGGAGCAGTTTTGAAACTGTCTTTTTGTAGAATCTGTAAGTGGATACGTGGACCTCTTTGAAGATTTCTTTGGAAACGGGAATATTTCCACAGAAAAACTAAACTGAAGCATTCTCAGAAACCGCTTTGTGATGTTTGTGTTCGAGCCACAGAGTTTAACATTGCTTTTCATAGAGCAGTTTTGAAATATTCTTTTCGCAGAATCTGCAAGGGGACATTTGGAGCGCTTTCAGGCCTGTGGTGGAAAAGGCCTGAAAGCCTTTTCCTTTATCTTCACAGAAAGACGAGAGAGAAGCATTGTCAGAAACTTCTTTGTGATGATTGCATTCAACTCACAGAGTTGAAGATTCCTTTTGAAACAGCAGTTTCGAAACACTCTTTCTGTGGGATCCGCAAGGGGATATTTGGACCTCTTTGAAGGTTTCGTTGGAAACGGGATAATCTTCCCCTAAAAGCTAAACGGAAGCATTCTCAGAAACTTCTTTGGGATGTTTGCATTCACCTCACAGAGTTGAACTTTCCCTTTGATAGCGCAGCTTTGACACACTTTTTCTACAATGTGCAAGTGGCTATTTAGCGGGCTTGGAGGACTGTGTTGGAAAAGGAAATATCTTCTCCTAAAAACGACATAGAAGCATTCTCAGAAACTGCTCTGTGATGATTGCATTCAACTCCCAGAGTTGAACATTCCTTTTGATAGAGCAGTTTGCAAACACTCTTTTTGTAGAATCTGCAAGTGGAGATTTGGACCGCTTTGAGGCCTGTGGTAGTGAAGGAAAGAACTTCATATAAAAACCAGACGGTAGCACTCTCAGAAAATTCTTTGTGACGATGGAGTTTAACTCAGGGAGCTGAACATTCGTTATGATGGAGCAGTTTCCAAACACACGTTTTGTAGAATCTGCAAGGGGATATTTGGACCTCTCTGAGGATTTCGTTGGAAACGGGATCAACTTCCCATAACTGAACGGAAGCAAACTCAGAACATTCTTTGTGATGTTTGTATTCAACTCACAGAGTTGAACCTTCCTTTGATAGTTCAGGTTTGCAACACCCTTGTAGTAGAATCTGCAAGTGTATATTTTGACCACTTTGTAGCCTTCGTTTGAAACGTCTATATCTTCACATCAAACCTAGACAGAAGCATTCTCAGAAAGTTTTCTGCGTTGACTGCATTCAACTCACAGAGTTGAACAATCCTTCTGATGGAGCAGTTTTGAAACCCTCTTTCTTTGGAATCTGCAAGGGGATATGTGGACCTCTTTGAAGATTTCACTGGAAACGGGATCATCTTCACATAAAAACTAAACAGAAGCATTCTCGGAAACTACTTTGTGATGTTTGTATTCAACTGCCAGAGTTGAACTTTCCTTTTGAAAGAGCAGCTATGAAACACTCTTTTTCGAGAATCTGCAAGTGGACGTTTGGAGGGCTTTGAGGCCTGTGGTGGAAAAGGAAATATCTTCACACAAAAACCAGATAGAAGCATTCTCAGAAACTACTTTGTGAGGATGGCATTCAACTCATGGAGTTGAACAATCCTATTGATAGAGCAGATTGGAATCACTCTTTTTATAGAATCTGCAAATGGAGATTTGGACTGCTTTGAGGCCTACGGTAGTACAGGAAGGAACTTCATATAAAAGGCAAACGGAAGCATTCTCAGAATATTCTTTGTGATGATGGAGTTTCACTCACAGAGCTGAACATGCCTTTTGATGGAGCAGTTTCCAAATACACTTTTGGTAGAATCTGCAGGTGGATATTTGGAGCTCTCTGAGGATTTCGTTGGAAACGGGAATAATTTCCCATAACTAAACACAAACACTCTGAGAAAGTTCTTCATGATGAATGCATTTAACTCGCAGAGATGAACCTGCCTTTGAGAGTTCAGGTTCGAAACACTCTTTCTGTATAATCTGCAAGTGGATATTTGGACCACTGGGTGGCCCTTCGTTCGAAACGGGTATATGTTCACGTAAAAACTAAAGAGAAGCATTCTCAGATACTTCTGAGTGATGATTGCATTCAAGTCACACGGTTGAACACTCCTTTTGATGGAGCAGTTTTGAAACTGTCTTTTTGTAGAATCTGTAAGTGGATACGTGGACCTCTTTGAAGATTTCTTTGGAAACGGGAATATTTCCACAGAAAAACTAAACTGAAGCATTCTCAGAAACCGCTTTGTGATGTTTGTGTTCGAGCCACAGAGTTTAACATTGCTTTTCATAGAGCAGTTTTGAAATATTCTTTTCGCAGAATCTGCAAGTGGACATTTGGAGCGCTTTCAGGCCTGTGGTGGCAAAGGCCTGAAAGCCTTTTCCTTTATCTTCACAGAAAGACGAGAGAGAAGCATTGTCAGAAACTTCTTTGTGATGATTGCATTCAACTCACAGAGTTGAAGATTCCTTTTGAAACAGCAGTTTCGAAACACTCTTTCTGTGGGATCCGCAAGGGGATATTTGGACCTCTTTGAAGGTTTCGTTGGAAACGGGATAATCTTCACCTAAAAGCTAAACGGAAGCATTCTCAGAAACTTCTTTGGGATGTTTGCATTCACCTCACAGAGTTGAACTTTCCCTTTGATAGCGCAGCTTTGACACACTTTTTCTACAATGTGCAAGTGGCTATTTAGCGGGCTAGGAGGACTGTGTTGGAAAAGGTAATATCTTCTCCTAAAAACGACATAGAAGCATTCTCAGAAACTGCTCTGTGATGATTGCATTCAACTCCCAGAGTTGAACATTCCTTTTGATAGAGCAGTTTGCAAACACTCTTTTTGTAGAATCTGCAAGTGGAGATTTGGACCGCTTTGAGGCCTGTGGTAGTGAAGGAAAGAACTTCATATAAAAACCAGACGGTAGCACTCTCAGAAAATTCTTTGTGACGATGGAGTTTAACTCAGGGAGCTGAACATTCGTTATGATGGAGCAGTTTCCAAACACACGTTTTGTAGAATCTGCGAGGGGATATTTGGACCTCTCTGAGGATTTCGTTGGAAACGGGATCAACTTCCCATAACTGAACGGAAGCAAACTCAGAACATTCTTTGTGATGTTTGTATTCAATTCACAGAGTTGAACCTTCCTTTGATAGTTCAGGTTCGCAACACCCTTGTAGTAGAATCTGCAAGTGTATATTTTGACCACTTTGTAGCCTTCGTTTGAAACGTCTATATCTTCACATCAAACCTAGACAGAAGCATTCTCAGAAAGTTTTCTGCGATGACTGCATTCAACTCACAGAGTTGAACAATCCTTCTGATGGAGCAGTTTTGAAACCCTCTTTCTTTGGAATCTGCAAGGGGATATGTGGACCTCTTTGAAGATTTCACTGGAAACGGGATCATCTTCACATAAAAACTAAACAGAAGCATTCTCGGAAACTACTTTGTGATGTTTGTATTCAACTCCCAGAGTTGAACTTTCCTTTTGAAAGAGCAGCTATGAAACACTCTTTTTCGAGAATCTGCAAGTGGACGTTTGGAGGGCTTTGAGGCCTGTGGTGGAAAAGGAAATATCTTCACATAAAAACTAGATAGAAGCATTCTCAGAAACGACTTTGTGAGGATGGCATTCAACTCATGGAGTTGAACAATCCTATTGATAGAGCAGATTGGAATCACTCTTTTTGTAGAATCTGCAAATGGAGATTTGGACTGCTTTGAGGCCTACGGTAGTATAGGAAGGAACTTCATATAAAAGGCAAACGGACGCATTCTCAGAATATTCTTTGTGATGATGGAGTTTCACTCACAGAGCTGAACATGCCTTTTGATGGAGCAGTTTCCAAATACACTTTTGGTAGAATCTGCAGGTGGATATTTGGACCTGTCGGAGGATTTCGTTGGAAACGGGAATAATTTCCCATAACTAAACACAAACACTCTGAGAAAGTTCTTCATGATGAATGCATTTAACTCGCAGAGATGAACCTGCCTTTGAGAGTTCAGGTTCGAAACACTCTTTCTGTAGAATCTGCAAGTGGATATTTGGACCACTGGCTGGCCTTCGTTCGAAACGGGTATATGTTCACGTAAAAACTAAAGAGAAGCATTCTCAGAAACTTCTGAGTGATGATTGCATTCAAGTCACACAGTTGAACCCTCCTTTTGATGGAGCAGTTTTGAAACTGTCTTTTTGTAGAATCTGTAAGTGGATACGTGGACCTCTTTGAAGATTTCTTTGGAAACGGGAATATTTCCACAGAAAAACTAAACTGAAGCATTCTCAGAAACTGCTTTGTGATGTTTGTGTTCGAGCCACAGAGTTTAACATTGCTTTTCATAGAGCAGTTTTGAAATATTCTTTTGGCAGAATCTGCAAGTGGACATTTGGAGCGCTTTCAGGCCTGTGGTGGAAAAGGCCTGAAAGCCTTTTCCTTTATCTTCACAGAAAGACGAGAGAGAAGCATTGTCAGAAACTTCTTTGGGATGATTGCATTCAACTCACAGAGTTGAAGATTCCTTTTGAAACAGCAGTTTCGAAACACTCTTTCTGTGGGATCCGC
Source organism: Homo sapiens (assembly GCF_000001405.40). Lineage (NCBI taxonomy): Eukaryota > Metazoa > Chordata > Mammalia > Primates > Hominidae > Homo > Homo sapiens. The sequence continues at coordinate 61,095,631 of NC_000023.11, forward strand.
AAGGGGATATTTGGACCTCTTTGAAGGTTTCGTTGGAAACGGGATAATCTTCACCTAAAAGCTAAACGGAAGCATTCTCAGAAACTTCTTTGGGATGTTTGCATTCACCTCACAGAGTTGAACTTTCCCTTTGATAGCGCAGCTTCGACACACTTTTTCTACAATGTGCAAGTGGCTATTTAGCGGGCTTGGAGGACTGTGTTGGAAAAGGAAATATCTTCTCCTAAAAACGACATAGAAGCATTCTCAGAAACTGCTCTGTGATGATTGCATTCAACTCCCAGAGTTGAACATTCCTTTTGATAGAGCAGTTTGCAAACACTCTTTTTGTAGAATCTGCAAGTGGAGATTTGGACCGCTTTGAGGTCTGTGGTAGTGAAGGAAAGAACTTCATATAAAAACCAGACGGTAGCACTCTCAGAAAATTCTTTGTGACGATGGAGTTTAACTCAGGGAGCTGAACATTCGTTATGATGGAGCAGTTTCCAAACACACGTTTTGTAGAATCTGCAAGGGGATATTTGGACCTCTCTGAGGATTTCGTTGGAAACGGGATCAACTTCCCATAACTGAACGGAAGCAAACTCAGAACATTCTTTGTGACGTTTGTATTCAACTCACAGAGTTGAACCTTCCTTTGATAGTTCAGGTTTGCAACACCCTTGTAGTAGAATCTGCAAGTGTATATTTTGACCACTTTGTAGCCTTCGTTTGAAACGTCTATATCTTCACATCAAACCTAGACAGAAGCATTCTCAGAAAGTTTTCTGCGATGACTGCATTCAACTCACAGAGTTGAACAATCCTTCTGATGGAGCAGTTTTGAAACCCTCTTTCTTTGGAATCTGCAAGGGGATATGTGGACCTCTTTGAAGATTTCACTGGAAACGGGATCATCTTCACATAAAAACTAAACAGGAAGCATTCTCGGAAACTACTTTGTGATGTTTGTATTCAACTCCCAGAGTTGAACTTTCCTTTTGAAAGAGCAGCTATGAAACACTCTTTTTCGGGAATCTGCAAGTGGACGTTTGGAGGGCTTTGAGGCCTGTGGTGGAAAAGGAAATATCTTCACTTAAAAACTACATAGAAGCATTCTCAGAAACTACTTTGTGAGGATGGCATTCAACTCATGGAGTTGAACAATCCTATTGATAGAGCAGATTGGAATCACTCTTTTTGTAGAATCTGCAAATGGAGATTTGGACTGCTTTGAGGCCTACGGTCGTATAGGAAGGAACTTCATATAAAAGGCAAACGGAAGCATTCTCAGAATATTCTTTGTGATGACGGAGTTTCACTCACAGAGCTGAACATGCCTTTTCATGGAGCAGTTTCCAAATACACTTTTGGTAGAATCTGCAGGTGGATATTTGGAGCTCTCTGAGGATTTCGTTGGAAACGGGAATAATTTCCCATAACTAAACACAAACACGCTGAGAAAGTTCTTCATGATGAATGCATTTAACTCGCAAGAGATGAACCTGCCTTTGAGAGTTCAGGTTCAAAACACTCTTTCTGTAGAATCTGCAAGTGGATATTTGGACCACTGGCTGGCCTTCGTTCGAAACGGGTATATGTTCACGTAAAAACTAAAGAGAAGCGTTCTCAGAAACTTCTGAGTGATGAATGCATTCAAGTCACACAGTTGAACCCTCCTTTTGATTGAGCAGTTTTGAAACTGTCTTTTTGTAGAATCTGTAAGTGGATGCGTGGACCTCTTTGAAGATTTCTTTGGAAACGGGAATATTTCCACAGAAAAACTAAACTGAAGCATTCTCAGAAACTGCTTTGTGATGTTTGTGTTCGAGCCGCAGAGTTTAACATTGCTTTTCATAGAGCAGTTTTGAAATATTCTTTTGGCAGAATCTGCAAGTGGACATTTGGAGCGCTTTCAGGCCTGTGGTGGAAATGGCCTGAAAGCCTTTTCCTTTATCTTCACAGAAAGACGAGAGAGAAGAATTGTCAGAAACTTCTTTGTGATGATTGCATTCAACTCACAGAGTTGAAGATTCCTTTTGAAACAGCAGTTTCGAAACACTCTTTCTGTGGGATCCGCAAGGGGATATTTGGACCTCTTTGAAGATTTCGTTGGAAACGGGATAATCTTCACTTAAAGCTAAACGGAAGCATTCTCAGAAACTTCTTTGGGATGTTTGCATTCACCTCACAGAGTTGAACTTTCCCTTTGATAGCGCAGCTTCGACACACTTTTTCTACAATGTGCAAGTGGATATTTAGCGGGCTTGGAGGACTGTGTTGGAAAAGGAAATATCTTCTCCTAAAAACGACATAGAAGCATTCTCAGAAACTGCTCTGTGATGATTGCATTCAACTCCCAGAGTTGAACATTCCTTTTGATAGAGCAATTTGCAAACACTCTTTTTGTAGAATCTGCAAGTGGAGATTTGGACCGCTTTGAGGCCTGTGGTAGTAAAGGAAAGAACTTCATATAAAAAGTAGACGGTAGCACTCTCAGAAAATTCTTTGTGACGATGGAGTTTAACTCAGAGAGCTGAACATTCGTTATGATGGAGCAGTTTCCAAACACACGTTTTGTAGAATCTGCAAGGGGATATTTGGACCTCTCTGAGGATTTCGTTGGAAACGGGATCAACTTCCCATAACTGAACGGAAGCAAACTCAGAACATTCTTTGTGATGTTTGCATTCATCTCACAGAGTTGAACCTTCCTTTGATAGTTGAGGTTTGCAACACCCTTGTAGTAGAATCTGCAAGTGTATATTTTGACCACTTTGTAGCCTTCGTTTGAAACGTCTATATCTTCACATCAAACCTAGACAGAAGCATTCTCAGAAAGTTTTCTGCGATGACTGCATTCAACTCACAGAGTTGAACAATCCTTTTGATGGAGCAGTTTTGAAACCCTCTTTTTTTGGAATCTGCAAGGGGATATGTGGACCTCTTTGAAGATTTCACTGGAAACGGGATCATCTTCACATAAGAACTAAACAGAAGCATTCTCGGAAACTACTTTGTGATGTTTGTATTCAACTCCCAGAGTTGAACTTTCCTTTTGAAAGAGCAGCTATGAAACACTCTTTTTCGGGAATCTGCAAGTGGACGTTTGGAGGGCTTTGAGGCCTGTGGTGGAAAAGGAAATATCTTCACATAAAAACTACATAGAAGCATTCTCAGAAACTACTTTGTGAGGATGGCATTCAACTCATGGAGTTGAACAATCCTATTGATAGAGCAGATTGGAATCACTCTTTTTGTAGAATCTGCAAATGGAGATTTGGACTGCTTTGAGGCCTACGGTAGTATAGGAAGGAACTTCATATAAAAGGCAAACGGAAGCATTCTCAGAATATTCTTTGTGATGACGGAGTTTCACTCACAGAGCTGAACATGCCTTTTCATGGAGCAGTTTCCAAATACACTTTTGGTAGAATCTGCAGGTGGATATTTGGAGCTCTCTGAGGATTTCGTTGGAAACGGGAATAATTTCCCATAACTAAACACAAACACGCTGAGAAAGTTCTTCATGATGAATGCATTTAACTCGCAGAGATGAACCTGCCTTTGAGAGTTCAGGTTCAAAACACTCTTTCTGTAGAATCTGCAAGTGGATATTTGGACCACTGGCTGGCCTTCATTCGAAACGGATATATGTTCACGTAAAAACTAAAGAGAAGCATTCTCAGAAACTTCTGAGTGATGATTGCATTCAAGTCACACGGTTGAACCCTCCTTTTGATGGAGCAGTTTTGAAACTGTCTTTTTGTAGAATCTGTAAGTGGATACGTGGACCTCTTTGAAGATTTCTTTGGAAACGGGAATATTTCCACAGAAAAACTAAACTGAAGCATTCTCAGAAACTGCTTTGTGATGTTTGTGTTCGAGCGACAGAGTTTAACATTGCTTTTCATAGAGCAGTTTTGAAATATTCTTTTGGCAGAATCTGCAAGTGGACATTTGGAGCGCTTTCAGGCCTGTGGTGGAAAAGGCCTGAAAGCCTTTTCCTTTATCTTCACAGAAAGACGAGAGAGAAGCATTGTCAGAAACTTCTTTGTGATGATTGCATTCAACTCACAGAGTTGAAGATTCCTTTTGAAACAGCAGTTTCGGAACACTCTTTCTGTGGGATCCGCAAGGGGATATTTGGACCTCTTTGAAGGTTTCGTTGGAAACGGGATAATCTTCACCTAAAAGCTAAACGGAAGCATTCTCAGAAACTTCTTTGGGATGTTTGCATTCACCTCACAGAGTTGAACTTTCCCTTTGATAGCGCAGCTTCGACACACTTTTTCTACAATGTGCAAGTGGATATTTAGTGGGCTTGGAGGACTGTGTTGGAAAAGGAAATATCTTCTCCTAAAAACGACATAGAAGCATTCTCAGAAACTGCTCTGTGATGATTGCATTCAACTCCCAGAGTTGAACATTCCTAATGATAGAGCAGTTTGCAAACACTCTTTTTGTAGAATCTGCAAGTGGAGATTTGGACCGCTTTGAGGCCTGTGGTAGTAAAGGAAAGAACTTCATATAAAAACCAGACGGTAGCACTCTCAGAAAATTCTTTGTGACGATGGAGTTAAACTCAGAGAGCTGAACATTCTTTATGATGGAGCAGTTTCCAAACACACGTTTTGTAGAATCTGCAAGGGGATATTTGGACCTCTCTGAGGATTTCGTTGGAAATGGGATCAACTTCCCATAACTGAACGGAAGCAAACTCAGAACATTCTTTGTGATGTTTGTATTCAACTCACAGAGTTGAACCTTCCTTTGATAGTTCAGGTTTGCAACACCCTTGTAGTAGAATCTGCAAGTGTATATTTTGACCACTTTGTAGCCTTCGTTTGAAACGTCTATATCTTCACCTCAAACCTAGACAGAAGCATTCTCAGAAAGTTTTCTGCGATGACTGCATTCAACTCACAGAGTTGAACAATCCTTTTGATGGAGCAGTTTTGACACCCTCTTTCTTTGGAATCTGCAAGGGGATATGTGGACCTCTTTGAAGATTTCACTGGAAACGGGATCATCTTCACATAAGAACTAAACAGAAGCATTCTCGGAAACTACTTTGTGATGTTTGTATTCAACTCCCAGAGTTGAACTTTCCTTTTGAAAGAGCGGCTATGAAACACTCTTTTTCGAGAATCTGCAAGTGGACGTTTGGAGGGCTTTGAGGCCTGTGGTGGAAAAGGAAATATCTTCAGATAAAAACTAGATAGAAGCATTCTCAGAGACTACTTTGTGAGGATGGCATTCAACTCATGGAGTTGAACAATCCTATTGATAGAGCAGATTGGAATCACTCTTTTTGTAGAATCTGCAAATGGAGATTTGGACTGCTTTGAGGCCTACGGTAGTATAGGAAGGAACTTCATATAAAAGGCAAACGGAAGCATTCTCAGAATATTCTTTGTGATGATGGAGTTTCACTCACAGAGCTGAACATGCCTTTTGATGGAGCAGTTTCCAAATACACTTTTGGTAGAATCTGCAGGTGGATATTTGGACCTCTCTGAGGATTTCGTTGGAAACGGGAATAATTTCCCATACCTAAACACAAACACTCTGAGAAAGTTCTTCATGATGAATGCATTGAACTCGCAGAGATGAACCTGCCTTTGAGAGTTCAGGTTCGAAACACTCTTTCTGTAGAATCTGCAAGTGGATATTTGGACCACTGGGTGGCCTTCGTTCGAAACGGGTATATGTTCACGTAAAAACTAAAGAGAAGCATTCTCAGAAACTTCTGCGTGATGATTGCATTCAAGTCACACGGTTGAACCCTCCTTTTGATTGAGCAGTTTTGAAACTGTCTTTTTGTAGAATCTGTAAGCGGGTACGTGGACCTCTTTGAAGATTTCTTTGGAAACGGGAATATTTCCACAGAAAAACTAAACTGAAGCATTCTCAGAAACTGCTTTGTGATGTTTGTGTTCGAGCCGCAGAGTTTAACATTGCTTTTCATAGAGCAGTTTTGAAATATTCTTTTGGCAGAATCTGCAAGTGGACATTTCGAGCGCTTTCAGGCCTGTGGTGGAAAAGGCCTGAAAGCCTTTTCCTTTATCTTCACAGAAAGACGAGAGAGAAGCATTGTCAGAAACTTCTTTGTGATGATTGCATTCAACTCACAGAGTTGAAGATTCCTTCTGAAACAGCAGTTTCGAAACACTCTTTCTGTGGGATCCGCAAGGGGATATTTGGACCTCTTTGAAGCTTTCGTTGGAAACGGGATAATCTTCACCTAAAAGCTGAACGGAAGCATTCTCAGAAACTTCTTTGGGATGTTTGCATTCACCTCACTGAGTTGAACTTTCCCTTTGATAGAGCAGCTTCGACACACTTTTTCTACAATGTGCAAGTGGATATATATCGGGCTTGGAGGACTGTGTTGGAAAAGGAAATATCTTCTCCTAAAAACGACATAGAAGCATTCTCAGAAACTGCTCTGTGATGATTGCATTCAACTCCCAGAGTTGAACATTCCTTTTGATAGAGCAGTTTGCAAACACTCTTTTTGTAGAATCTGCAAGTGGAGATTTGGACCGCTTTGAGGCCTGTGGTAGTGAAGGAAAGAACTTCATATAAAAACCAGACGGTAGCACTCTCAGAAAATTCTTTGTGACGATGGAGTTTAACTCAGGGAGCTGAACATTCGTTATGATGGAGCAGTTTCCAAACACACGTTTTGTAGAATCTGCAAGGGGATATTTGGACCTCTCTGAGGATTTCGTTGGAAACGGGATCAACTTCCCATAACTGAACGGAAGCAAACTCAGAACATTCTTTGTGATGTTTGTATTCAACTCACAGAGTTGAACCTTCCTTTCATAGTTCAGGTTTGCAACACCCTTGTAGTAGAATCTGCAAGTGTATATTTTGACCACTTTGTAGCCTTCGTTTGAAACGTCTATATCTTCACATCAAACCTAGACAGAAGCATTCTCAGAAAGTTTTCTGCGATGACTGCATTCAACTCACAGAGTTGAACAATCCTTCTGATGGAGCAGTTTTGAAACCCTCTTTCTTTGGAATCTGCAAGGGGATATGTGGACCTCTTTGAAGATTTCACTGGAAACGGGATCATCTTCACATAAAAACTAAACAGAAGCATTCTCGGAAACTACTTTGTGATGTTTGTATTCAACTCCCAGAGTTGAACTTTCCTTTTGAAAGAGCAGCTATGAAACACTCTTTTTCGAGAATCTGCAAGTGGACGTTTGGAGGGCTTTGAGGCCTGTGGTGGAAAAGGAAATATCTTCACATAAAAACTAGATAGAAGCATTCTCAGAAACTACTTTGTGAGGATGGCATTCAACTCATGGAGTTGAACAATCCTATTGATAGAGCAGATTGGAATCACTCTTTTTGTAGAATCTGCAAATGGAGATTTGGACTGCTTTGAGGCCTACGGTCGTATAGGAAGGAACTTCATATAAAAGGCAAACGGAAGCATTCTCAGAATATTCTTTGTGATGATGGAGTTTCACTCACAGAGCTGAACATGCCTTTTGATGGAGCAGTTTCCAAATACACTTTTGGTAGAATCTGCAGGTGGATATTTGGAGCTCTCTGAGGATTTCGTTGGAAACGGGAATAATTTCCCATAACTAAACACAAACACTCTGAGAAAGTTCTTCATGATGAATGCATTTAACTCGCAGAGATGAACCTGCCTTTGAGAGTTCAGGTTCGAAACACTCTTTCTGTAGAATCTGCAAGTGGATATTTGGACCACTGGGTGGCCTTCGTTCGAAACGGGTATATGTTCACGTAAAAACTAAAGAGAAGCATTCTCAGAAACTTCTGAGTGATGATTGCATTCAAGTCACACAGTTGAACCCTCCTTTTGATGGAGCAGTTTTGAAACTGTCTTTTTGTAGAATCTGTAAGTGGATACGTGGACCTCTTTGAAGATTTCTTTGGAAACGGGAATATTTCCACAGAAAAACTAAACTGAAACATTCTCAGAAACCGCTTTGTGATGTTTGTGTTCCAGCCACAGAGTTTAACATTGCTTTTCATAGAGCAGTTTTGAAATATTCTTTTCGCAGAATCTGCAAGTGGACATTTGGAGCGCTTTCAGGCCTGTGGTGGAACAGGCCTGAAAGCCTTTTCCTTTATCTTCACAGAAAGACGAGAGAGAAGCATTGTCAGAAACTTCTTTGTGATGATTGCATTCAACTCACAGAGTTGAAGATTCCTTTTGAAACAGCAGTTTCGAAACACTCTTTCTGTGGGATCCGCAAGGGGATATTTGGACCTCTTTGAAGGTTTCGTTGGAAACGGGATAATCTTCACCTAAAAGCTAAACGGAAGCATTCTCAGAAACTTCTTTAGGATGTTTGCATTCACCTCACAGAGTTGAACTTTCCCTTTGATAGCGCAGCTTTGACACACTTTTTCTACAATGTGCAAGTGGCTATTTAGCGGGCTTGGAGGACTGTGTTGGAAAAGGAAATATCTTCTCCTAAAAACGACATAGAAGCATTCTCAGAAACTGCTCTGTGATGATTGCATTCAACTCCCAGAGTTGAACATTCCTTTTGATAGAGCAGTTTGCAAACACTCTTTTTGTAGAATCTGCAAGTGGAGATTTGGACCGCTTTGAGGCCTGTGGTAGTGAAGGAAAGAACTTCATATAAAAACCAGACGGTAGCACTCTCAGAAAATTCTTTGTGACGATGGAGTTTAACTCAGGGAGCTGAACATTCGTTATGATGGAGCAGTTTCCAAACACACGTTTTGTAGAATCTGCAAGGGGATATTTGGACCTCTCTGAGGATTTCGTTGGAAACGGGATCAACTTCCCATAACTGAACGGAAGCAAACTCAGAACATTCTTTGTGATGTTTGTATTCAACTCACAGAGTTGAACCTTCCTTTGATAGTTCAGGTTTGCAACACCCTTGTAGTAGAATCTGCAAGTGTATATTTTGACCACTTTGTAGCCTTCGTTTGAAACGTCTATATCTTCACATCAAACCTAGAAAGAAGCATTCTCAGAAAGTTTTCTGCGATGACTGCATTCAACTCACAGAGTTGAACAATCCTTCTGATGGAGCAGTTTTGAAACCCTCTTTCTTTGGAATCTGCAAGGGGATATGTGGACCTCTTTGAAGATTTCACTGGAAACGGGATCATCTTCACATAAAAACTAAACAGAAGCATTCTCGGAAACTACTTTGTGATGTTTGTATTCAACTGCCAGAGTTGAACTTTCCTTTTGAAAGAGCAGCTATGAAACACTCTTTTTCGAGAATCTGCAAGTGGACGTTTGGAGGGCTTTGAGGCCTGTGGTGGAAAAGGAAATATCTTCACATAAAAACTAGATAGAAGCATTCTCAGAAACTACTTTGGAAGATGGCATTCAACTCATGGAGTTGAACAATCCTATTGATAGAGCAGATTGGAATCACTCTTTTTGTAGAATCTGCAAATGGAGATTTGGACTGCTTTGAGGCCTACGGTCGTATAGGAAGGAACTTCATATAACAGGCAAACGGAAGCATTCTCAGAATATTCTTTGTGATGATGGAGTTTCACTCACAGAGCTGAACATGCCTTTTGATGGAGCAGTTTCCAAATACACTTTTGGTAGAATCTGCAGGTGGATATTTGGAGCTCTTTGAGGATTTCGTTGGAAACGGGAATAATTTCCCATAACTAAACACAAACACGCTGAGAAAGTTCTTCATGATGAATGCATTTAACTCGCAGAGATGAACCTGCCTTTGAGAGTTCAGGTTCGAAACACTCTTTCTGTAGAATCTGCAAGTGGATATTTGGACCACTGGGTGGCCTTCGTTCGAAACGGGTATATGTTCACGTAAAAACTAAAGAGAAGCATTCTCAGAAACTTCTGAGTGATGATTGCATTCAAGTCACACGGTTGAACCCTCCTTTTGATGGAGCAGTTTTGAAACTGTCTTTTTGTAGAATCTGTAAGTGGATACGTGGACCTCTTTGAAGATTTCTTTGGAAACGGGAATATTTCCACAGAAAAACTAAACTGAAACATTCTCAGAAACCGCTTTGTGATGTTTGTGTTCCAGCCACAGAGTTTAACATTGCTTTTCATAGAGCAGTTTTGAAATATTCTTTTCGCAGAATCTGCAAGTGGACATTTGGAGCGCTTTCAGGCCTGTGGTGGAAAAGGCCTGAAAGCCTTTTCCTTTATCTTCACAGAAAGACGAGAGAGAAGCATTGTCAGAAACTTCTTTGTGATGATTGCATTCAACTCACAGAGTTGAAGATTCCTTTTGAAACAGCAGTTTCGAAACACTCTTTCTGTGGGATCCGCAAGGGGATATTTGGACCTCTTTGAAGGTTTCGTTGGAAACGGGATAATCTTCACCTAAAAGCTAAACGGAAGCATTCTCAGAAACTTCTTTGGGATGTTTGCATTCACCTCACAGAGTTGAACTTTCCCTTTGATAGCGCAGCTTTGACACACTTTTTCTACAATGTGCAAGTGGCTATTTAGCGGGCTTGGAGGACTGTGTTGGAAAAGGAAATATCTTCTCCTAAAAACGACATAGAAGCATTCTCAGAAACTGCTCTGTGATGATTGCATTCAACTCCCAGAGTTGAACATTCCTTTTGATAGAGCAGTTTGCAAACACTCTTTTTGTAGAATCTGCAAGTGGAGATTTGGACCGCTTTGAGGCCTGTGGTAGTGAAGGAAAGAACTTCATATAAAAACCAGACGGTAGCACTCTCAGAAAATTCTTTGTGACGATGGAGTTTAACTCAGGGAGCTGAACATTCGTTATGATGGAGCAGTTTCCAAACACACGTTTTGTAGAATCTGCAAGGGGATATTTGGACCTCTCTGAGGATTTCGTTGGAAACGGGATCAACTTCCCATAACTGAACGGAAGCAAACTCAGAACATTCTTTGTGATGTTTGTATTCAACTCACAGAGTTGAACCTTCCTTTGATAGTTCAGGTTTGCAACACCCTTGTAGTAGAATCTGCAAGTGTATATTTTGACCACTTTGTAGCCTTCGTTTGAAACGTCTATATCTTCACATCAAACCTAGACAGAAGCATTCTCAGAAAGTTTTCTGCGATGACTGCATTCAACTCACAGAGTTGAACAATCCTTCTGATGGAGCAGTTTTGAAACCCTCTTTCTTTGGAATCTGCAAGGGGATATGTGGACCTCTTTGAAGATTTCACTGGAAACGGGATCATCTTCACATAAAAACTAAACAGAAGCATTCTCGGAAACTACTTTGTGATGTTTGTATTCAACTCCCAGAGTTGAACTTTCCTTTTGAAAGAGCAGCTATGAAACACTCTTTTTCGAGAATCTGCAAGTGGACGTTTGGAGGGCTTTGAGGCCTGTGGTGGAAAAGGAAATATCTTCACATAAAAACTAGATAGAAGCATTCTCAGAAACGACTTTGTGAGGATGGCATTCAACTCATGGAGTTGAACAATCCTATTGATAGAGCAGATTGGAATCACTCTTTTTGTAGAATCTGCAAATGGAGATTTGGACTGCTTTGAGGCCTACGGTCGTATAGGAAGGAACTTCATATAAAAGGCAAACGGAAGCATTCTCAGAATATTCTTTGTGATGATGGAGTTTCACTCACAGAGCTGAACATGCCTTTTGATGGAGCAGTTTCCAAATACACTTTTGGTAGAATCTGCAGGTGGATATTTGGAGCTCTCTGAGGATTTCGTTGGAAACGGGAATAATTTCCCATAACTAAACACAAACACTCTGAGAAAGTTCTTCATGATGAATGCATTTAACTCGCAGAGATGAACCTGCCTTTGAGAGTTCAGGTTCGAAACACTCTTTCTGTAGAATCTGCAAGTGGATATTTGGACCACTGGGTGGCCTTCGTTCGAAACGGGTATATGTTCACGTAAAAACTAAAGAGAAGCATTCTCAGAAACTTCTGAGTGATGATTGCATTCAAGTCACACAGTTGAACCCTCCTTTTGATGGAGCAGTTTTGAAACTGTCTTTTTGTAGAATCTGTAAGTGGATACGTGGACCTCTTTGAAGATTTCTTTGGAAACGGGAATATTTCCACAGAAAAACTAAACTGAAGCATTCTCAGAAACTGCTTTGTGATGTTTGTGTTCGAGCCACAGAGTTTAACATTGCTTTTCATAGAGCAGTTTTGAAATATTCTTTTGGCAGAATCTGCAAGTGGACATTTGGAGCGCTTTCAGGCCTGTGGTGGAAAAGGCCTGAAAGCCTTTTCCTTTATCTTCACAGAAAGACGAGAGAGAAGCATTGTCAGAAACTTCTTTGTGATGATTGCATTCAACTCACAGAGTTGAAGATTCCTTTTGAAACAGCAGTTTCGAAACACTCTTTCTGAGGGATCCGCAAGGGGATATTTGGACCTCTTTGAAGGTTTCGTTGGAAGCGGGATAATCTTCACCTAAAAGCTAAACGGAAGCACTCTCAGAAACTTCTTTGGGATGTTTGCATTCACCTCACAGAGTTGAACTTTCCCTTTGATAGCGCAGCTTTGACACACTTTTTCTACAATGTGCAAGTGGCTATTTAGCGGGCTTGGAGGACTGTGTTGGAAAAGGAAATATCTTCTCCTAAAAACGACATAGAAGCATTCTCAGAAACTGCTCTGTGATGATTGCATTCAACTCCCAGGGTTGAACATTCCTTTTGATAGAGCAGTTTGCAAACACTCTTTTTGTAGAATCTGCAAGTGGAGATTTGGACCGCTTTGAGGCCTATGGTAGTAAAGGAAAGAACTTCATATAAAAACCAGACGGTAGCACTCTCAGAAAATTCTTTGTGACGATGGAGTTTAACTCAGGGAGCTGAACATTCGTTATGATGGAGCAGTTTCCAAACACACGTTTTGTAGAATCTGCAAGGGGATATTTGGACCTCTCTGAGGATTTCGTTGGAAACGGGATCAACTTCCCATAACTGAACGGAAGCAAACTCAGAACATTCTTTGTGATGTTTGTATTCAACTCACAGAGTTGAACCTTCCTTTGATAGTTCAGGTTTCCAACACCCTTGTAGTAGAATCTGCAAGTGTATATTTTGACCACGTTGTAGCCTTCGTTTGAAACGTCTATATCTTCACATCAAACCTAGACAGAAGCATTCTCAGAAAGTTTTCTGCGATGACTGCATTCAACACACAGAGTTGAACAATCCTTTTGATGGAGCAGTTTTGAAACCCTCTTTCTTTGGAATCTGCAAGGGGATATGTGGACCTCTTTGAAGATTTCACTGGAAACGGGATCATCTTCACATAAAAACTAAACAGAAGCATTCTCGGAAACTATTTTGTGATGTTTGTATTCAACTCCCAGAGTTGAACTTTCCTTTTGAAAGAGAAGCTATGAAACACTCTTTTTCGAGAATCTGCAAGTGGACGTTTGGGGGGCTTTGAGGCCTGTGGTGGAAAAGGAAATATCTTCACACAAAAACCAGATAGAAGCATTCTCAGAAACTACTTTGTGAGGATGGCATTCAACTCATGGAGTTGAACAATCCTATTGATAGAGAAGATTGGAATCACTCTTTTTGTAGAATCTGCAAATGGAGATTTGGACTGCTTTGAGGCCTACGGTAGTACAGGAAGGAAGTTCATATAAAAGGCAAACGGAAGCATTCTCAGAATATTCTTTGTGATGATGGAGTTTCACTGACAGAGCTGAACATGCCTTTTGATGGAGCAGTTTCCAAATACACTTTTGGTAGAATCTGCAGGTGGATATTTGGAGCTCTCTGAGGATTTCGTTGGAAACGGGAATAATTTCCCATAACTAAACACAAACACTCTGAGAAAGTTCTTCATGATGAATGCATTTAACTCGCAGAGATGAACCTGCCTTTGAGAGTTCAGGTTCGAAACACTCTTTCTGTAGAATCTGCAAGTGGATATTTGGACCACTGGGTGGCGTTCGTTCGAAACGGGTATATGTTCACCTAAAAACTAAAGAGAAGCATTCTCAGAAACTTCTGAGTGATGATTGCATTCAAGTCACACGGTTGAACCCTCCTTTTGATGGAGCAGTTTTGAAACTGTCTTTTTGTAGAATCTGTAAGTGGATACGTGGACCTCTTTGAAGATTTCTTTGGAAACGGGAATATTTCCACAGAAAAACTAAACTGAAGCATTCTCAGAAACCGCTTTGTGATGTTTGTGTTCCAGCCACAGAGTTTAACATTGCTTTTCATAGAGCAGTTTTGAAATATTCTTTTCGCAGAATCTGCAAGTGGACATTTGGAGCGCTTTCAGGCCTGTGGTGGAAAAGGCCTGAAAGCCTTTTCCTTTATCTTCACAGAAAGACGAGAGAGAAGCATTGTCAGAAACTTCTTTGTGATGATTGCATTCAACTCACAGAGTTGAAGATTCCTTTTGAAACAGCAGTTTCGAAACACTCTTTCTGTGGGATCCGCAAGGGGATATTTGGACCTCTTTGAAGGTTTCGTTGGAAACGGGATAATCTTCACCTAAAAGCTAAACGGAAGCATTCTCAGAAACTTCTTTGGGATGTTTGCATTCACCTCACAGAGCTGAACTTTCCCTTTGATAGCGCAGCTTTGACACACTTTTTCTACAATGTGCAAGTGGCTATTTAGCGGGCTTGGAGGACTGTGTTGGAAAAGGAAATATCTTCTCCTAAAAACGACATAGAAGCATTCTCAGAAACTGCTCTGTGATGATTGCATTCAACTCCCAGAGTTAAACATTCCTTTTGACAAAGCAGTTTGCAAACACTCTTTTTGTAGAATCTGCAAGTGGAGATTTGGACCGCTTTGAGGCCTGTGGTAGTGAAGGAAAGAACTTCATATAAAAACCAGACGGTAGCACTCTCAGAAAATTCTTTGTGACGATGGAGTTTAACTCAGGGAGCTGAACATTCGTTATGATGGAGCAGTTTCCAAACACACGTTTTGTAGAATCTGCAAGGGGATATTTGGACCTCTCTGAGGATTTCGTTGGAAACGGGATCAACTTCCCATAACTGAACGGAAGCAAACTCAGAACATTCTTTGTGATGTTTGCATTCATCTCACAGAGTTGAACCTTCCTTTGATAGTTGAGGTTTGCAGCACCCTTGTAGGAGAATCTGCAAGTGTATATTTTGACCACTTTGTAGCCTTCGTTTGAAACGTCTATATCTTCACATCAAACCTAGACAGAAGCATTCTCAGAAAGTTTTCTGCGATGACTGCATTCAACTCACAGAGTTGAACAATCCTTTTGATGGAGCAGTTTTGAAACCCTCTTTCTTTGGAATCTGCAAGGGGATATGTGGACCTCTTTGAATATTTCACTGGAAACGGGATCATCTTCACATAAGAACTAAACAGAAGCATTCTCGGAAACTACTTTGTGATGTTTGTATTCAACTCCCAGAGTTGAACTTTCCTTTTGAAAGAGCAGCTATGAAACACTCTTTTTCGAGAATCTGCAAGTGGACGTTTGGAAGGCTTTGAGGCCTGTGGTGGAAAAGGAAATATCTTCACATAAAAACTAGATAGAAGCATTCTCAGAAACGACTTTGTGAGGATGGCATTCAACTCATGGAGTTGAACAATCCTATTGATAGAGCAGATTGGAATCACTCTTTTTGTGGAATCTGCAAATGGAGATTTGGACTGCTTTGAGGCCTACGGTCGTATAGGAAGGAACTTCAGATAAAAGGCAAACGGAAGCATTCTCAGAATATTCTTTGTGATGATGGAGTTTCACTCACAGAGCTGAACATGCCTGTTGATGGAGCAGTTTCCAAATACACTTTTGGTAGAATCTGCAGGTGGATATTTGGAGCTCTCTGAGGATTTCGTTGGAAACGGGAATAATTTCCCATAACTAAACACAAACACTCTGAGAAAGTTCTTCATGATGAATGCATTTAACTCGCAGAGATGAACCTGCCTTTGAGAGTTCAGGTTCGAAACACTCTTTCTGTATAATCTGCAAGTGGATATTTGGACCACTGGGTGGCCTTCGTTCGAAACGGGTATATGTTCACGTAAAAACTAAAGAGAAGCATTCTCAGAAACTTCTGAGTGATGATTGCATTCAAGTCACACAGTTGAACCCTCCTTTTGATGGAGCAGTTTTGAAACTGTCTTTTTGTAGAATCTGTAAGTGGATACGTGGACCTCTGAAGATTTCTTTGGAAACGGGAATATTTCCACAGAAAAACTAAACTGAAGCATTCTCAGAAACTGCTTTGTGATGTTTGTGTTCGAGCCACAGAGTTTAACATTGCTTTTCATAGAGCAGTTTTGAAATATTCTTTTCGCAGAATCTGCAAGTGGACATTTGGAGCGCTTTCAGGCCTGTGGTGGAAAAGGCCTGAAAGCCTTTTCTTTATCTTCACAGAAAGACGAGAGAGAAGCATTGTCAGAAACTTCTTTGTGATGATTGCATTCAACTCACAGAGTTGAAGATTCCTTTTGAAACAGCAGTTTCGAAACACTCTTTCTGTGGGATCCGCAAGGGGATATTTGGACCTCTTTGAAGGTTTCGTTGGAAACGGGATAATCTTCACCTAAAAGCTAAACGGAAGCATTCTCAGAAACTTCTTTGGGATGTTTGCATTCACCTCACAGAGTTGAACTTTCCCTTTGATAGCGCAGCTTTGACACACTTTTTCTACAATGTGCAAGTGGATATTTAGCGGGCTTGGAGGACTGTGTTGGAAAAGGAAATATCTTCTCCTAAAAACGACATAGAAGCATTCTCAGAAACTGCTCTGTGATGATTGCATTCAACTCCCAGAGTTGAACATTCCTTTTGATAGAGCAGTTTGCAAACACTCTTTTTGTAGAATCTGCAAGTGGAGATTTGGACCGCTTTGAGGTCTGTGGTAGTGAAGGAAAGAACTTCATATAAAAACCAGACGGTAGCACTCTCAGAAAATTCTTTGTGACGATGGAGTTTAACTCAGGGAGCTGAACATTCGTTATGATGGAGCAGTTTCCAAACACACGTTTTGTAGAATCTGCAAGGGGATATTTGGACCTCTCTGAGGATTTCGTTGGAAACGGGATCAACTTCCCATAACTGAACGGAAGCAAACTCAGAACATTCTTTGTGATGTTTGTATTCAACTCACAGAGTTGAACCTTCCTTTGATAGTTCAGGTTTGCAACACCCTTGTAGTAGAATCTGCAAGTGTATATTTTGACCACTTTGTAGCCTTCGTTTGAAACGTCTATATCTTCACATCAAACCTAGACAGAAGCATTCTCAGAAAGTTTTCTGCGATGACTGCATTCAACTCACAGAGTTGAACAATCCTTCTGATGGAGCAGTTTTGAAACCCTCTTTCTTTGGAATCTGCAAGGGGATATGTGGACCTCTTTGAAGATTTCACTGGAAACGGGATCATCTTCACATAAAAACTAAACAGAAGCATTCTCGGAAACTACTTTGTGATGTTTGTATTCAACTCCCAGAGTTGAACTTTCCTTTTGAAAGAGCAGCTATGAAACACTCTTTTTCGAGAATCTGCAAGTGGACGTTTGGAAGGCTTTGAGGCCTGTGGTGGAAAAGGAAATATCTTCACATAAAAACTAGATAGAAGCATTCTCAGAAACGACTTTGTGAGGATGGCATTCAACTCATGGAGTTGAACAATCCTATTGATAGAGCAGATTGGAATCACTCTTTTTGTAGAATCTGCAAATGGAGATTTGCACTGCTTTGAGGCCTACGGTCGTATAGGAAGGAACTTCATATAAAAGGCAAACGGAAGCATTCTCAGAATATTCTTTGTGATGATGGAGTTTCACTCACAGAGCTGAACATGCCTGTTGATGGAGCAGTTTCCAAATACACTTTTGGTAGAATCTGCAGGTGGACATTTGGACCTCTCTGAGGATTTCGTTGGGAACGGGAATAATTTCCCATAACTAAACACAAACACGCTGAGAAAGTTCTTCATGATGAATGCATTTAACTCGCAGAGATGAACCTGCCTTTGAGAGTTCAGGTTCGAAACACTCTTTCTGTAGAATCTGCAAGTGGACATTTGGACCACTGGGTGGCCTTCGTTCGAAACGGGTATATGTTCACGTAAAAACTAAAGAGAAGCATTCTCAGAAACTTCTGAGTGATGATTGCATTCAAGTCACACAGTTGAACCCTCCTTTTGATTGAGCAGTTTTGAAACTGTCTTTTTGTAGAATCTGTAAGTGGATACGTGGACCTCTTTGAAGATTTCTTTGGAAACGGGAATATTTCCACAGAAAAACTAAACTGAAGCATTCTCAGAAACTGTTTTGTGATGTTTGTGTTCGAGCCGCAGAGTTTAACATTGCTTTTCATAGAGCAGTTTTGAAATATTCTTTTGGCAGAATCTGCAAGTGGACATTTGGAGCGCTTTCAGGCCTGTGGTGGAAAAGACCTGAAAGCCTTTTCCTTTATCTTCACAGAAAGACGAGAGAGAAGCATTGTCAGAAACTTCTTTGTGATGATTGCATTCAACTCACAGAGTTGAAGATTCCTTTTGAAACAGCAGTTTCGAAACACTCTTTCTGTGGGATCCGCAAGGGGATATTTGGACCTCTTTGAAGGTTTCGTTGGAAACGGGATAATCTTCACCTAAAAGCTAAACGGAAGCATTCTCAGAAACATCTTTGGGATGTTTGCATTCACCTCACAGAGTTGAACTTTCCCTTTGATAGCGCAGCTTTGACACACTTTTTCTACAATGTGCAAGTGGCTATTTAGCGGGCTTGGAGGACTGTGTTGGAAAAGGAAATATCTTCTCCTAAAAACGACATAGAAGCATTCTCAGAAACTGCTCTGTGATGATTGCATTCAACTCCCAGAGTTGAACATTCCTTTTGATAGAGCAGTTTGCAAACACTCTTTTTGTAGAATCTGCAAGTGGAGATTTGGACCGCTTTGAGGTCTGTGGTAGTGAAGGAAAGAGCTTCATATAAAAACCAGACGGTAGCACTCTCAGAAAATTCTTTGTGACGATGGAGTTTAACTCAGGGAGCTGAACATTCGTTATGATGGAGCAGTTTCCAAACACACGTTTTGTAGAATCTGCAAGGGGATATTTGGACCTCTCTGAGGATTTCGTTGGAAACGGGATCAACTTCCCATAACTGAACGGAAGCAAACTCAGAACATTCTTTGTGATGTTTGTATTCAACTCACAGAGTTGAACCTTCCTTTGATAGTTCAGGTTTGCAACACCCTTGTAGTAGAATCTGCAAGTGTATATTTTGACCACTTTGTAGCCTTCATTTGAAACGTCTATATCTTCACATCAAACCTAGACAGAAGCATTCTCAGAAAGTTTTCTGCGATGACTGCATTCAACTCACAGAGTTGAACAATCCTTCTGATGGAGCAGTTTTGAAACCCTCTTTCTTTGGAATCTGCAAGGGGATATGTGGACCTCTTTGAAGATTTCACTGGAAACGGGATCATCTTCACATAAAAACTAAACAGAAGCATTCTCGGAAACTACTTTGTGATGTTTGTATTCAACTCCCAGAGTTGAACTTTCCTTTTGAAAGAGCAGCTATGAAACACTCTTTTTCGAGAATCTGCAAGTGGACGTTTGGAGGGCTTTGAGGCCTGTGGTGGAAAAGGAAATATCTTCACATAAAAACTAGATAGAAGCATTCTCAGAAACTACTTTGTGAGGATGGCATTCAACTCATGGAGTTGAACAATCCTATTGATAGAGCAGATTGGAATCACTCTTTTTGTAGAATCTGCAAATGGAGATTTGGACTGCTTTGAGGCCTACGGTCGTATAGGAAGGAACTTCATATAAAAGGCAAACGGAAGCATTCTCAGAATATTCTTTGTGATGATGGAGTTTCACTCACAGAGCTGAACGTGCCTTTTGATGGAGCAGTTTCCAAATACACTTTTGGTAGAATCTGCAGGTGGATATTTGGAGCTCTCTGAGGATTTCGTTGGAAACGGGAATAATTTCCCATAACTAAACACAAACACTCTGAGAAAGTTCTTCATGATGAATGCATTTAACTCGCAGAGATGAACCTGCCTTTGAGAGTTCAGGTTCGAAACACTCTTTCTGTAGAATCTGCAAGTGGATATTTGGACCACTGGGTGGCCTTCGTTCGAAACGGGTATATGTTCACGTAAAAACTAAAGAGAAGCATTCTCAGAAACTTCTGAGTGATGATTGCATTCAAGTCACACAGTTGAACCCTCCTTTTGATGGAGCAGTTTTGAAACTGTCTTTTTGTAGAATCTGTAAGTGGATACGTGGACCTCTTTGAAGATTTCTTTGGAAACGGGAATATTTCCACAGAAAAACTAAACTGAAGCATTCTCAGAAACCGCTTTGTGATGTTTGTGTTCGAGCCACAGAGTTTAACATTGCTTTTCATAGAGCAGTTTTGAAATATTCTTTTGGCAGAATCTGCAAGTGGACATTTGGAGCGCTTTCAGGCCTGTGGGTGGAAAAGGCCTGAAAGCCTTTTCCTTTACCTTCACAGAAAGACGAGAGAGAAGCATTGTCAGAAACTTCTTTGTGATGATTGCATTCAACTCACAGAGTTGAAGATTCCTTTTGAAACAGCAGTTTCGAAACACTCTTTCTGTGAGATCCGCAAGGGGATATTTGGACCTCTTTGAAGGTTTCGTTGGAAACGGGATAATCTTCACCTAAAAGCTAAACGGAAGCATTCTCAGAAACTTCTTTGGGATGTTTGCATTCACCTCACAGAGTTGAACTTTCCCTTTGATAGCGCAGCTTTGACACACTTTTTCTACAATGTGCAAGTGGCTATTTAGCGGGCTTGGAGGACTGTGTTGGAAAAGGAAATATCTTCTCCTAAAAACGACATAGAAGCATTCTCAGAAACTGCTCTGTGATGATTGCATTCAACTCCCAGGGTTGAACATTCCTTTTGATAGAGCAGTTTGCAAACACTCTTTTTGTAGAATCTGCAAGTGGAGATTTGGACCGCTTTGAGGCCTGTGGTAGTGAAGGAAAGAGCTTCATATAAAAACCAGACGGTAGCACTCTCAGAAAATTCTTTGTGACGATGGAGTTTAACTCAGGGAGCTGAACATTCGTTATGATGGAGCAGTTTCCAAACACACGTTTTGTAGAATCTGCAAGGGGATATTTGGACCTCTCTGAGGATTTCGTTGGAAACGGGATCAACTTCCCATAACTGAACGGAAGCAAACTCAGAACATTCTTTGTGATGTTTGTATTCAACTCACAGAGTTGAACCTTCCTTTGATAGTTCAGGTTTGCAACACCCTTGTAGTAGAATCTGCAAGTGTATATTTTGACCACTTTGTAGCCTTCGTTTGAAACGTCTATATCTTCACATCAAACCTAGACAGAAGCATTCTCAGAAAGTTTTCTGCGATGACTGCATTCAACTCACAGAGTTGAACAATCCTTCTGATGGAGCAGTTTTGAAACCCTCTTTCTTTGGAATCTGCAAGGGGATATGTGGACCTCTTTGAAGATTTCACTGGAAACGGGATCATCTTCACATAAAAACTAAACAGAAGCATTCTCGGAAACTACTTTGTGATGTTTGTATTCAACTCCCAGAGTTGAGCTTTCCTTTTGAAAGAGCAGCTATAAAACACTCTTTTTCGAGAATCTGCAAGTGGACGTTTGGAGGGCTTTGAGGCCTGTGGTGGAAAAGGAAATATCTTCACACAAAAACTAGATAGAAGCATTCTCAGAAACGACTTTGTGAGGATGGCATTCAACTCATGGAGTTGAACAATCCTATTGATAGAGCAGATTGGAATCACTCTTTTTGTAGAATCTGCAAATGGAGATTTGGACTGCTTTGAGGCCTACGGTCGTATAGGAAGGAACTTCAGATAAAAGGCAAACGGAAGCATTCTCAGAATATTCTTTGTGATGATGGAGTTTCACTCACAGAGCTGAACATGCCTGTTGATGGAGCAGTTTCCAAATACACTTTTGGTAGAATCTGCAGGTGGACATTTGGACCTCTCTGAGGATTTCGTTGGAAACGGGAATAATTTCCCATAACTAAACACAAACACGCTGAGAAAGTTCTTCATGATGAATGCATTGAACTCGCAGAGATGAACCTGCCTCTGAGAGTTCAGGTTCGAAACACTCTTTCTGTAGAATCTGCAAGTGGATATTTGGACCACTGGGTGGCCTTCGTTCGAAACGGTTATATGTTCACGTAAAAACTAAAGAGAAGCATTCTCAGAAACTTCTGAGTGATGATTGCATTCAAGTCACACAGTTGAACCCTCCTTTTGATGGAGCAGTTTTGAAACTGTCTTTTTGTAGAATCTGTAAGTGGATACGTGGACCTCTTTGAAGATTTCTTTGGAAACGGGAATATTTCCACAGAAAAACTAAACTGAAGCATTCTCAGAAACTGCTTTGTGATGTTTGTGTTCGAGCCACAGAGTTTAACATTGCTTTTCATAGAGCAGTTTTGAAATATTCTTTTGGCAGAATCTGCAAGTGGACATTTGGAGCGCTTTCAGGCCTGTGGTGGAAAAGGCCTGAAAGCCTTTTCCTTTATCTTCACAGAAAGACGAGAGAGAAGCATTGTCAGAAACTTCTTTGTGATGATTGCATTCAACTCACAGAGTTGAAGATTCCTTTTGAAACAGCAGTTTCGAAACACTCTTTCTGTGGGATCCGCAAGGGGATATTTGGACCTCTTTGAAGGTTTCGTTGGAAACGGGATAATCTTCACCTAAAAGCTAAACGGAAGCATTCTCAGAAACTTCTTTGGGATGTTTGCATTCACCTCACAGAGTTGAACTTTCCCTTTGATAGCGCAGCTTTGACACACTTTTTCTACAATGTGCAAGTGGCTATTTAGCGGGCTTGGAGGACTGTGTTGGAAAAGGAAATATCTTCTCCTAAAAACGACATAGAAGCATTCTCAGAAACTGCTCTGTGATGATTGCATTCAACTCCCAGAGTTGAACATTCCTTTTGATAGAGCAGTTTGCAAACACTCTTTTTGTAGAATCTGCAAGTGGAGATTTGGACCGCTTTGAGGCCTGTGGTAGTGAAGGAAAGAACTTCATATAAAAACCAGACGGTAGCACTCTCAGAAAATTCTTTGTGACGATGGAGTTTAACTCAGGGAGCTGAACATTCGTTATGATGGAGCAGTTTCCAAACACACGTTTTGTAGAATCTGCGAGGGGATATTTGGACCTCTCTGAGGATTTCGTTGGAAAAGGGATCAACTTCCCATAACTGAACGGAAGCAAACTCAGAACATTCTTTGTGATGTTTGTATTCAACTCACAGAGTTGAACCTTCCTTTGATAGTTCAGGTTTGCAACACCCTTGTAGTAGAATCTGCAAGTGTATATTTTGACCACTTTGTAGCCTTCGTTTGAAACGTCTATATCTTCACATCAAACCTAGAAAGAAGCATTCTCAGAAAGTTTTCTGCGATGACTGCATTCAACTCACAGAGTTGAACAATCCTTCTGATGGAGCAGTTTTGAAACCCTCTTTCTTTGGAATCTGCAAGGGGATATGTGGACCTCTTTGAAGATTTCACTGGAAACGGGATCATCTTCACATAAAAACTAAACAGAAGCATTCTCGGAAACTACTTTGTGATGTTTGTATTCAACTCCCAGAGTTGAACTTTCCTTTTGAAAGAGCAGCTATGAAACACTCTTTTTCGAGAATCTGCAAGTGGACGTTTGGAAGGCTTTGAGGCCTGTGGTGGAAAAGGAAATATCTTCACATAAAAACTAGATAGAAGCATTCTCAGAAACGACTTTGTGAGGATGGCATTCAACTCATGGAGTTGAACAATCCTATTGATAGAGCAGATTGGAATCACTCTTTTTGTAGAATCTGCAAATGGAGATTTGGACTGCTTTGAGGCCTACGGTCGTATAGGAAGGAACTTCAGATAAAAGGCAAACGGAAGCATTCTCAGAATATTCTTTGTGATGATGGAGTTTCACTCACAGAGCTGAACATGCCTTTTGATGGAGCAGTTTCCAAATACACTTTTGGTAGAATCTGCAGGTGGATATTTGGAGCTCTCTGAGGATTTCGTTGGAAACGTTAATAATTTCCCATAACTAAACACAAAAACACTCTGAGAAAGTTCTTCATGATGAATGCATTGAACTCGCAGAGATGA
The DNA here is from genome assembly GCF_000001405.40 of Homo sapiens. NCBI lineage: Eukaryota > Metazoa > Chordata > Mammalia > Primates > Hominidae > Homo > Homo sapiens. Next base: position 61,119,738 of record NC_000023.11, read on the forward strand.
ACCTGCCTTTGAGAGTTCAGGTTCGAAACACTCTTTCTGTAGAATCTGCAAGTGGATATTTGGACCACTGGCTGGCCTTCGTTCGAAACGGGTATATGTTCACGTAAAAACTAAAGAGAAGCGTTCTCATAAACTTCTGAGTGATGATTGCATTCAAGTCACACAGTTGAACCCTCCTTTTGATTGAGCAGTTTTGAAACTGTCTTTTTGTAGAATCTGTAAGTGGATGCGTGGACCTCTTTGAAGATTTCTTTGGAAACGGGAATATTTCCACAGAAAAACTAAACTGAAGCATTCTCAGAAACTGCTTTGTGATGTTTGTGTTCGAGCCACAGAGTTTAACATTGCTTTTCATAGAGCAGTTTTGAACTATTCTTTTGGCAGAATCTGCAAGTGGACATTTGGAGCGCTTTCAGGCCTGTGGTGGAAAAGGCCTGAAAGCCTTTTCCTTTATCTTCACAGAAAGACGAGAGAGAAGCATTGTCAGAAACTTCTTTGTGATGATTGCATTCAACTCACAGAGTTGAAGATTCCTTTTGAAACAGCAGTTTCGAAACACTCTTTCTGTGGGATCCGCAAGGGGATATTTGGACCTCTTTGAAGATTTCGTTGGAAACGGGATAATCTTCACCTAAAAGCTAAACGGAAGCATTCTCAGAAACTTCTTTGGGATGTTTGCATTCACCTCACAGAGTTGAACTTTCCCTTTGATAGCGCAGCTTCGACACACTTTTTCTACAATGTGCAAGTGGATATTTAGCGGGCTTGGAGGACTGTGTTGGAAAAGGAAATATCTTCTCCTAAAAACGACATAGAAGCATTCTCAGAAACTGCTCTGTGATGATTGCATTCAACTCCCAGAGTTGAACATTCCTTTTGATAGAGCAGTTTGCAAACACTCTTTTTGTAGAATCTGCAAGTGGAGATTTGGACCGCTTTGAGGCCTGTGGTAGTAAAGGAAAGAACTTCATATAAAAACTAGACGGTAGCACTCTCAGAAAATTCTTTGTGACGATGGAGTTTAACTCAGAGAGCTGAACATTCGTTATGATGGAGCAGTTTCCAAACACACGTTTTGTAGAATCTGCAAGGGGATATTTGGACCTCTCTGAGGATTTCGTTGGAAACGGGATCAACTTCCCATAACTGAACGGAAGCAAACTCAGAGCATTCTTTGCGATGTTTGTATTCAACTCACAGAGTTGAACCTTCCTTTGATAGTTCAGGTTTGCAACACCCTTGTAGTAGAATCTGCAAGTGTATATTTTGACCACTTTGTAGCCTTCGTTTGAAACGTCTATATCTTCACATCAAACCTAGACAGAAGCATTCTCAGAAAGTTTTCTGCGATGACTGCATTCAACTCACAGAGTTGAACAATCCTTCTGATGGAGCAGTTTTTGAAACCCTCTTTCTTTGGAATCTGCAAGGGGATATGTGGACCTCTTTGAAGATTTCACTGGAAACGGGATCATCTTCACATAAAAACTAAACAGAAGCATTCTCGGAAACTATTTTGTGATGTTTGTATTCAACTCCCAGAGTTGAACTTTCCTTTTGAAAGAGCAGCTATGAAACACTCTTTTTCGAGAATCTGCAAGTGGACGTTTGGAGGGCTTTGAGGCCTGTGGTGGAAAAGGAAATATCTTCACACAAAAACCAGATAGAAGCATTCTCAGAAACTACTTTGTGAGGATGGCATTCAACTCATGGAGTTGAACAATCCTATTGATAGAGCAGATTGGAATCACTCTTTTTATAGAATCTGCAAATGGAGATTTGGACTGCTTTGAGGCCTACGGTAGTACAGGAAGGAACTTCATATAAAAGGCAAACGGAAGCATTCTCAGAATATTCTTTGTGATGATGGAGTTTCACTCACAGAGCTGAACATGCCTTTTGATGGAGCAGTTTCCAAATACACTTTTGGTAGAATCTGCAGGTGGATATTTGGAGCTCTCTGAGGATTTCGTTGGAAACGGGAATAATTTCCCATAACTAAACACAAACACTCTGAGAAAGTTCTTCATGATGAATGCATTTAACTCGCAGAGATGAACCTGCCTTTGAGAGTTCAGGTTCGAAACACTCTTTCTGTATAATCTGCAAGTGGATATTTGGACCACTGGGTGGCCTTCGTTCGAAACGGGTATATGTTCACGTAAAAACTAAAGAGAAGCATTCTCAGATACTTCTGAGTGATGATTGCATTCAAGTCACACGGTTGAACACTCCTTTTGATGGAGCAGTTTTGAAACTGTCTTTTTGTAGAATCTGTAAGTGGATACGTGGACCTCTTTGAAGATTTCTTTGGAAACGGGAATATTTCCACAGAAAAACTAAACTGAAGCATTCTCAGAAACTGCTTTGTGATGTTTGTGTTCGAGCCACAGAGTTTAACATTGCTTTTCATAGAGCAGTTTTGAAATATTCTTTTCGCAGAATCTGCAAGTGGACATTTGGAGCGCTTTCAGGCCTGTGGTGGCAAAGGCCTGAAAGCCTTTTCCTTTATCTTCACAGAAAGACGAGAGAGAAGCATTGTCAGAAACTTCTTTGTGATGATTGCATTCAACTCACAGAGTTGAAGATTCCTTTTGAAACAGCAGTTTCGAAACACTCTTTCTGTGGGATCCGCAAGGGGATATTTGGACCTCTTTGAAGGTTTCGTTGGAAACGGGATAATCTTCACCTAAAAGCTAAACGGAAGCGTTCTCAGAAACTTCTTTGGGATGTTTGCATTCACCTCACAGAGTTGAACTTTCCCTTTGATAGCGCAGCTTTGACACACTTTTTCTACAATGTGCAAGTGGCTATTTAGCGGGCTTGGAGGACTGTGTTGGAAAAGGAAATATCTTCTCCTAAAAACGACATAGAAGCATTCTCAGAAACTGCTCTGTGATGATTGCATTCAACTCCCAGAGTTGAACATTCCTTTTGATAGAGCAGTTTGCAAACACTCTTTTTGTAGAATCTGCAAGTGGAGATTTGGACCGCTTTGAGGCCTGTGGTAGTGAAGGAAAGAACTTCATATAAAAACCAGACGGTAGCACTCTCAGAAAATTCTTTGTGACGATGGAGTTTAACTCAGGGAGCTGAACATTCGTTATGATGGAGCAGTTTCCAAACACACGTTTTGTAGAATCTGCAAGGGGATATTTGGACCTCTCTGAGGATTTCGTTGGAAACGGGATCAACTTCCCATAACTGAACGGAAGCAAACTCAGAACATTCTTTGTGATGTTTGTATTCAACTCACAGAGTTGAACCTTCCTTTGATAGTTCAGGTTTGCAACACCCTTGTAGTAGAATCTGCAAGTGTATATTTTGACCACTTTGTAGCCTTCGTTTGAAACGTCTATATCTTCACATCAAACCTAGACAGAAGCATTCTCAGAAAGTTTTCTGCGATGACTGCATTCAACTCACAGAGTTGAACAATCCTTCTGATGGAGCAGTTTTGAAACCCTCTTTCTTTGGAATCTGCAAGGGGATATGTGGACCTCTTTGAAGATTTCACTGGAAACGGGATCATCTTCACATAAAAACTAAACAGAAGCATTCTCGGAAACTACTTTGTGATGTTTGTATTCAACTGCCAGAGTTGAACTTTCCTTTTGAAAGAGCAGCTATGAAACACTCTTTTTCGAGAATCTGCAAGTGGACGTTTGGAGGGCTTTGAGGCCTGTGGTGGAAAAGGAAATATCTTCACACAAAAACCAGATAGAAGCATTCTCAGAAACTGCTTTGTGAGGATGGCATTCAACTCATGGAGTTGAACAATCCTATTGATAGAGCAGATTGGAATCACTCTTTTTGTAGAATCTGCAAATGGAGATTTGGACTGCTTTGAGGCCTACGGTCGTACAGGAAGGAACTTCATATAAAAGGCAAACGGAAGCATTCTCAGAATATTCTTTGTGATGATGGAGTTTCACTCACAGAGCTGAACATGCCTTTTGATGGAGCAGTTTCCAAATACACTTTTGGTAGAATCTGCAGGTGGATATTTGGAGCTCTCTGAGGATTTCGTTGGAAAGGGGAATAATTTCCCATAACTAAACACAAACACTCTGAGAAAGTTCTTCATGATGAATGCATTTAACTCGCAGAGATGAACCTGCCTTTGAGAGTTCAGGTTCGAAACACTCTTTCTGTATAATCTGCAAGTGGATATTTGGACCACTGGGTGGCCTTCGTTCGAAACGGGTATATGTTCACGTAAAAACTAAAGAGAAGCATTCTCAGAAACTTCTGAGTGATGATTGCATTCAAGTCACACGGTTGAACCCTCCTTTTGATGGAGCAGTTTTGAAACTGTCTTTTTGTAGAATCTGTAAGTGGATACGTGGACCTCTTTGAAGATTTCTTTGGAAACGGGAATATTTCCACAGAAAAACTAAACTGAAGCATTCTCAGAAACCGCTTTGTGATGTTTGTGTTCGAGCCACAGAGTTTAACATTGCTTTTCATAGAGCAGTTTTGAAATATTCTTTTGGCAGAATCTGCAAGTGGACATTTGGAGCGCTTTCAGGCCTGTGGTGGAAAAGGCCTGAAAGCCTTTTCCTTTATCTTCACAGAAAGACGAGAGAGAAGAAGCATTGTCAGAAACTTCTTTGGGATGATTGCATTCAACTCACAGAGTTGAAGATTCCTTTTGAAACAGCAGTTTCGAAACACTCTTTCTGTGGGATCCGCAAGGGGATATTTGGACCTCTTTGAAGGTTTCGTTGGAAACGGGATAATCTTCACCTAAAAGCTAAACGGAAGCATTCTCAGAAACTTCTTTGGGATGTTTGCATTCACCTCACAGAGTTGAACTTTCCCTTTGATAGCGCAGCTTTGACACACTTTTTCTACAATGTGCAAGTGGCTATTTAGCGGGCTTGGAGGACTGTGTTGGAAAAGGAAATATCTTCTCCTAAAAACGACATAGAAGCATTCTCAGAAACTGCTCTGTGATGATTGCATTCAACTCCCAGAGTTGAACATTCCTTTTGATAGAGCAGTTTGCAAACACTCTTTTTGTAGAATCTGCAAGTGGAGATTTGGACCGCGTTGAGGCCTGTGGTAGTGAAGGAAAGAACTTCATATAAAAACCAGACGGTAGCACTCTCAGAAAATTCTTTGTGACGATGGAGTTTAACTCAGGGAGCTGAACATTCGTTATGATGGAGCAGTTTCCAAACACACGTTTTGTAGAATCTGCAAGGGGATATTTGGACCTCTCTGAGGATTTCGTTGGAAACGGGATCAACTTCCCATAACTGAACGGAAGCAAACTCAGAACATTCTTTGTGATGTTTGTATTCAACTCACAGAGTTGAACCTTCCTTTGATAGTTCAGGTTTGCAACACCCTTGTAGTAGAATCTGCAAGTGTATATTTTGACCACTTTGTAGCCTTCGTTTGAAACGTCTATATCTTCACATCAAACCTAGACAGAAGCATTCTCAGAAAGTTTTCTGCGATGACTGCATTCAACTCACAGAGTTGAACAATCCTTCTGATGGAGCAGTTTTGAAACCCTCTTTCTTTGGAATCTGCAATGGGATATGTGGACCTCTTTGAAGATTTCACTGGAAACGGGATCATCTTCACATAAAAACTAAACAGAAGCATTCTCGGAAACTACTTTGTGATGTTTGTATTCAACTCCCAGAGTTGAACTTTCCTTTTGAAAGAGCAGCTATGAAACACTCTTTTTCGAGAATCTGCAAGTGGACGTTTGGAAGGCTTTGAGGCCTGTGGTGGAAAAGGAAATATCTTCACATAAAAACTAGATAGAAGCATTCTCAGAAACTACTTTGTGAGGATGGCATTCAACACATGGAGTTGAACAATCCTATTGATAGAGCAGATTGGAATCACTCTTTTTGTAGAATCTGCAAATGGAGATTTGGACTGCTTTGAGGCCTACGGTCGTATAGGAAGGAACTTCATATAAAAGCAAACGGAAGCATTCTCAGAATATTCTTTGTGATGATGGAGTTTCACTCACAGAGCTGAACATGCCTTTTGATGGAGCAGTTTCCAAATACACTTTTGGTAGAATCTGCAGGTGGATATTTGGACCTCTCTGAGGATTTCGTTGGAAACGGGAATAATTTCCCATAACTAAACACAAACACTCTGAGAAAGTTCTTCATGATGAATGCATTTAACTCGCAGAGATGAACCTGCCTTTGAGAGTTCAGGTTCGAAACACTCTTTCTGTAGAATCTGCAAGTGGATATTTGGACCACTGGGTGGCCTTCGTTCGAAACGGTATATGTTCACGTAAAAACTAAAGAGAAGCATTCTCAGAAACTTCTGAGTGATGATTGCATTCAAGTCACACAGTTGAACCCTCCTTTTGATGGAGCAGTTTTGAAACTGTCTTTTTGTAGAATCTGTAAGTGGATACGTGGACCTCTTTGAAGATTTCTTTGGAAACGGGAATATTTCCACAGAAAAACTAAACTGAAGCATTCTCAGAAACTGCTTTGTGATGTTTGTGTTCGAGCCACAGAGTTTAACATTGCTTTTCATAGAGCAGTTTTGAAATATTCTTTTGGCAGAATCTGCAAGTGGACTTTTGGAGCGCTTTCAGGCCTGTGGTGGAAAAGGCCTGAAAGCCTTTTCCTTTATCTTCACAGAAAGACGAGAGAGAAGCATTGTCAGAAACTTCTTTGGGATGATTGCATTCAACTCACAGAGTTGAAGATTCCTTTTGAAACAGCAGTTTCGAAACACTCTTTCTGTGGGATCCGCAAGGGGATATTTGGACCTCTTTGAAGGTTTCGTTGGAAACGGGATAATCTTCACCTAAAAGCTAAACGGAAGCATTCTCAGAAACTTCTTTGGGATGTTTGCATTCACCTCACACAGTTGAACTTTCCCTTTGATAGCGCAGCTTTGACACACTTTTTCTACAATGTGCAAGTGGCTATTTAGCGGGCTTGGAGGACTGTGTTGGAAAAGGAAATATCTTCTCCTAAAAACGACATAGAAGCATTCTCAGAAACTGCTCTGTGATGATTGCATTCAACTCCCAGAGTTGAACATTCCTTTTGATAGAGCAGTTTGCAAACACTCTTTTTGTAGAATCTGCAAGTGGAGATTTGGACCGCTTTGAGGCCTGTGGTAGTGAAGGAAAGAGCTTCATATAAAAACCAGACGGTAGCACTCTCAGAAAATTCTTTGTGACGATGGAGTTTAACTCAGGGAGCTGAACATTCGTTATGATGGAGCAGTTTCCAAACACACGTTTTGTAGAATCTGCAAGGGGATATTTGGACCTCTCTGAGGATTTCGTTGGAAACGGGATCAACATCCCATAACTGAACGGAAGCAAACTCAGAACATTCTTTGTGATGTTTGTATTCAACTCACAGAGTTCAACCTTCCTTTGATAGTTCAGGTTTGCAACACCCTTGTAGTAGAATCTGCAAGTGTATATTTTGACCACTTTGTAGCCTTCGTTTGAAACGTCTATATCTTCACATCAAACCTAGACAGAAGCATTCTCAGAAAGTTTTCTGCGATGACTGCATTCAACTCACAGAGTTGAACAATCCTTCTGATGGAGCAGTTTTGAAACCCTCTTTCTTTGGAATCTGCAAGGGGATATGTGGACCTCTTTGAAGATTTCACTGGAAACGGGATCATCTTCACATAAAAACTAAACAGAAGCATTCTCGGAAACTACTTTGTGATGTTTGTATTCAACTCCCAGAGTTGAACTTTCCTTTTGAAAGAGCAGCTATGAAACACTCTTTTTCGAGAATCTGCAAGTGGACGTTTGGAGGGCTTTGAGGCCTGTGGTGGAAAAGGAAATATCTTCACACAAAAACCAGATAGAAGCATTCTCAGAAACTACTTTGTGAGGATGGCATTCAACTCATGGAGTTGAACAATCCTATTGATAGAGCAGATTGGAATCACTCTTTTTGTAGAATCTGCAAATGGAGATTTGGACTGCTTTGAGGCCTACAGTAGTACAGGAAGGAACTTCATATAAAAGGCAAACGGAAGCATTCTCAGAATATTCTTTGTGATGATGGAGTTTCACTCACAGAGCTGAACATGCCTTTTGATGGAGCAGTTTCCAAATACACTTTTGGTAGAATCTGCAGGTGGATATTTGGAGCTCTCTGAGGATTTCGTTGGAAACGGGAATAATTTCCCATAACTAAACACAAACACTCTGAGAAAGTTCTTCATGATGAATGCATTTAACTCGCAGAGATGAACCTGCCTTTGAGAGTTCAGGTTCGAAACACTCTTTCTGTAGAATCTGCAAGTGGATATTTGGACCACTGGGTGGCCTTCGTTCGAAACGGGTATATGTTCACGTAAAAACTAAAGAGAAGCATTCTCAGAAACTTCTGAGTGATGATTGCATTCAATTCACACAGTTGAACCCTCCTTTTGATGGAGCAGTTTTGAAACTGTCTTTTTGTAGAATCTGTAAGTGGATACGTGGACCTCTTTGAAGATTTCTTTGGAAACGGGAATATTTCCACAGAAAAACTAAACTGAAGCATTCTCAGAAACCGCTTTGTGATGTTTGTGTTCGAGCCACAGAGTTTAACATTGCTTTTCACAAAGCAGTTTTGAAATATTCTTTTCGCAGAATCTGCAAGTGGACATTTGGAGCGCTTTCAGGCCTGTGGTGGCAAAGGCCTGAAAGCATTTATTTATCTTCACAGAAAGACGAGAGAGAAGCATTGTCAGAAACTTCTTTGTGATGATTGCATTCAACTCACAGAGTTGAAGATTCCTTTTGAAACAGCAGTTTCGAAACACTCTTTCTGTGGGATCCGCAAGGGGATATTTGGACTTCTTTGAAGGTTTCGTTGGAAACGGGATAATCTTCACCTAAAAGCTAAACGGAAGCACTCTCAGAAACTTCTTTGGGATGTTTGCATTCACCTCTCAGAGTTGAACTTTCCCTTTGATAGCGCAGCTTTGACACACTTTTTCTACAATGTGCAAGTGGCTATTTAGCGGACTTGGAGGACTGTGTTGGAAAAGGAAATATCTTCTCCTAAAAACGACATAGAAGCATTCTCAGAAACTGCTGTGTGATGATTGCATTCAACTCCCAGAGTTGAACATTCCTTTTGATAGAGCAGTTTGCAAACACTCTTTTTGTAGAATCTGCAAGTGGAGATTTTGACCGCTTTGAGGCCTGGGGTAGTAAAGGAAAGAGCTTCATATAAAAACCAGACGGTAGCACTCTCAGAAAATTCTTTGTGACGATGGAGTTTAACTCAGGGAGCTGAACATTCGTTATGATGGAGCAGTTTCCAAAATCACGTTTTGTAGAATCTGCAAGGGGATATTTGGACCTCTCTGAGGATTTCGTTGGAAACGGGATCAACTTCCCATAACTGAACGGAAGCAAACTCAGAACATTCTTTGTGATGTTTGTATTCAACTCACAGAGTTGAACCTTCCTTTGATAGTTCAGGTTTGCAACACCCTTGTAGTAGTATCTGCAAGTGTATATTTTGACCACTTTGTAGCCTTCGTTTGAAACGTCTATATCTTCACATCAAACCTAGACAGAAGCATTCTCAGAAAGTTTTCTGCGATGACTGCATTCAACTCACAGAGTTGAACAATCCTATTGATGGAGCAGTTTTGAAACCCTCTTTCTTTGGAATCTGCAAGGGGATATGTGGACCTCTTTGAAGATTTCACTGGAAACGGGATCATCTTCACATAAAAACTAAACAGAAGCATTCTCGGAAACTACTTTGTGATGTTTGTATTCAACTCCCAGAGTTGAACTTTCCTTTTGAAAGAGCAGCTATGAAACACTCTTTTTCGAGAATCTGCAAGTGGACGTTTGGAAGGCTTTGAGGCCTGTGGTGGAAAAGGAAATATCTTCACATAAAAACTAGATAGAAGCATTCTCAGAAACTACTTTGTGAGGATGGCATTCAACTCATGGAGTTGAACAATCCTATTGATAGAGCAGATTGGAATCACTCTTTTTATAGAATCTGCAAATGGAGATTTGGACTGCTTTGAGGCCTACGGTAGTACAGGAAGGAACTTCATATAAAAGGCAAACGGAAGCATTCTCAGAATATTCTTTGTGATGATGGAGTTTCACTCACAGAGCTGAACATGCCTTTTGATGGAGCAGTTTCCAAATACACTTTTGGTAGAATCTGCAGGTGGATATTTGGAGCTCTCTGAGGATTTCGTTGGAAACGGGAATAATTTCCCATAACTAAACACAAACACTCTGAGAAAGTTCTTCATGATGAATGCATTTAACTCGCAGAGATGAACCTGCCTTTGAGAGTTCAGGTTCGAAACACTCTTTCTGTATAATCTGCAAGTGGATATTTGGACCACTGGGTGGCCTTCGTTCGAAACGGGTATATGTTCACGTAAAAACTAAAGAGAAGCATTCTCAGAAACTTCTGAGTGATGATTGCATTCAAGTCACACGGTTGAACCCTCCTTTTGATGGAGCAGTTTTGAAACTGTCTTTTTGTAGAATCTGTAAGTGGATACGTGGACCTCTTTGAAGATTTCTTTGGAAACGGGAATATTTCCACAGAAAAACTAAACTGAAGCATTCTCAGAAACCGCTTTGTGATGTTTGTGTTCGAGCCACAGAGTTTACCATTGCTTTTCATAGAGCAGTTTTGAAATATTCTTTTCGCAGAATCTGCAAGTGGACATTTGGAGCGCTTTCAGGCCTGTGGTGGAAGAGGCCTGAAAGCCTTTTCCTTTATCTTCACAGAAAGACGAGAGAGAAGCATTGTCAGAAACTTCTTTGTGATGATTGCATTCAACTCACAGAGTTGAAGATTCCTTTTGAAACAGCAGTTTCGAAACACTCTTTCTGTGGGATCCGCAAGGGGATATTTGGACCTCTTTGAAGGTTTCGTTGGAAACGGGATAATCTTCACCTAAAAGCTAAACGGAAGCATTCTCAGAAACTTCTTTGGGATGTTTGCATTCACCTCACAGAGTTGAACTTTCCCTTTGATAGCGCAGCTTCGACACACTTTTTCTACAATGTGCAAGTGGCTATTAAGCGGGCTTGGAAGACTGTGTTGGAAAAGGAAATATCTTCTCCTAAAAACGACATAGAAGCATTCTCAGAAACTGCTCTGTGATGATTGCATTCAATTCCCAGAGTTGAACATTCCTTTTGATAGAGCAGTTTGCAGACACTCTTTTTGTAGAATCTGCAAGTGGAGATTTGGACCGCTTTGAGGCCTGTGGTAGTAAAGGAAAGAACTTCATATAAAAACTAGACGGTAGCACTCTCAGAAAATTCTTTGTGACGATGGAGTTTAACTCAGGGAGCTGAACATTCGTTATGATGGAGCAGTTTCCAAACACACGTTTTGTAGAATCTGCAAGGGGATATTTGGACCTCTCTGAGGATTTCGTTGGAAACGGGATCAACTTCCCATAACTGAACGGAAGCAAACTCAGAACATTCTTTGTGATGTTTGTATTCAACTCACAGAGTTGAACCTTCCTTTGATAGTTCAGGTTTGCAACACCCTTGTAGTAGAATCTGCAAGTGTATATTTTGACCACTTTGTAGCCTTCGTTTGAAACGTCTATATCTTCACATCAAACCTAGACAGAAGCATTCTCAGAAAGTTTTCTGCGATGACTGCATTCAACTCACAGAGTTGAACAATCCTTCTGATGGAGCAGTTTTGAAACCCTCTTTCTTTGGAATCTGCAAGGGGATATGTGGACCTCTTTGAAGATTTCACTGGAAATGGGATCATCTTCACATAAAAACTAAACAGAAGCATTCTCGGAAACTACTTTGTGATGTTTGTATTCAACTCCCAGAGTTGAACTTTCCTTTTGAAAGAGCAGCTATGAAACACTCTTTTTCGAGAATCTGCAAGTGGACGTTTGGAGGGATTTGAGGCCTGTGGTGGAAAAGGAAATATCTTCACATAAAAACTAGATAGAAGCATTCTCAGAAACGACTTTGTGAGGATGGCATTCAACTCATGGAGTTGAACAATCCTATTGATAGAGCAGATTGGAATCACTCTTTTTGTAGAATCTGCAAATGGAGATTTGGACTGCTTTGAGGCCTACGGTCGTATAGGAAGGAACTTCATATAAAAGGCAAACGGAAGCATTCTCAGAATATTCTTTGTGATGATGGAGTTTCACTCACAGAGCGGAACATGCCTTTTGATGGAGCAGTTTCCAAATACACTTTTGGTAGAATCTGCAGGTGGATATTTGGAGCTCTCTGAGGATTTCGTTGGAAACGGGAATAATTTCCCATAACTAAACACAAACACTCTGAGAAAGTTCTTCATGATGAATGCATTTAACTCGCAGAGATGAACCTGCCTTTGAGAGTTCATGTTCGAAACACTCTTTCTGTAGAATCTGCAAGTGGATATTTGGACCACTGGGTGGCCTTCGTTCGAAACGGGTATATGTTCACGTAAAAACTAAAGAGAAGCATTCTCAGAAACTTCTGAGTGATGATTGCATTCAAGTCACACGGGTTGAACACTCCTTTTGATGGAGCAGTTTTGAAACTGTCTTTTTGTAGAATCTGTAAGTGGATACGTGGACCTCTTTGAAGATTTCTTTGGAAACGGGAATATTTCCACAGAAAAACTAAACTGAATCATTCTCAGAAACTGCTTTGTGATGTTTGTGTTCGAGCCACAGAGTTTAACATTGCTTTTCATAGAGCAGTTTTGAAATATTCTTTTCGCAGAATCTGCAAGTGGACATTTGGAGCGCTTTCAGGCCTGTGGTGGAAAAGGCCTGAAAGCCTTTTCCTTTATCTTCACAGAAAGACGAGAGAGAAGCATTGTCAGAAACTTCTTTGTGATGATTGCATTCAACTCACAGAGTTGAAGATTCCTTTTGAAACAGCAGTTTCGAAACACTCTTTCTGTGGGATCCGCAAGGGGATATTTGGACCTCTTGGAAGGTTTCGTTGGAAACGGGATAATCTTCACCTAAAAGCTAAACGGAAGCATTCTCAGAAACTTCTTTGGGATGTTTGCATTCACCTCACAGAGTTGAACTTTCCCTTTGATAGCGCAGCTTTGACACACTTTTTCTACAATGTGCAAGTGGCTATTTAGCGGGCTTGGAGGACTGTGTTGGAAAAGGAAATATCTTCTCCTAAAAACGACATAGAAGCATTCTCAGAAACTGCTCTGTGATGATTGCATTCAACTCCCAGAGTTGAACATTCCTTTTGATAGAGCAGTTTGCAAACACTCTTTTTGTAGAATCTGCAAGTGGAGATTTGGACCGCTTTGAGGTCTGTGGTAGTGAAGGAAAGAACTTCATATAAAAACCAGACGGTAGCACTCTCAGAAAATTCTTTGTGACGATGGAGTTTAACTCAGGGAGCTGAACATTCGTTATGATGGAGCAGTTTCCAAACACACGTTTTGTAGAATCTGCAAGGGGATATTTGGACCTCTCTGAGGATTTCGTTGGAAACGGGATCAACTTCCCATAACTGAATGGAAGCAAACTCAGAACATTCTTTGTGATGTTTGTATTCAACTCACAGAGTTGAACCTTCCTTTGATAGTTCAGGTTTGCAACACCCTTGTAGTAGAATCTGCAAGTGTATATTTTGACCACTTTGTAGCCTTCATTTGAAACGTCTATATCTTCACATCAAACCTAGACAGAAGCATTCTCAGAAAGTTTTCTGCGATGACTGCATTCAACTCACAGAGTTGAACAATCCTTCTGATGGAGCAGTTTTGAAACCCTCTTTCTTTGGAATCTGCAAGGGGATATGTGGACCTCTTTGAAGATTTCACTGGAAACGGGATCATCTTCACATAAAAATTAAACAGAAGCATTCTCGGAAACTACTTTGTGATGTTTGTATTCAACTCCCAGAGTTGAACTTTCCTTTTGAAAGAGCAGCTATGAAACACTCCTTTTCGAGAATCTGCAAGTGGACGTTTGGAGGGCTTTGAGGCCTGTGGTGGAAAAGGAAATATCTTCACATAAAAACTAGATAGAAGCATTCTCAGAAACGACTTTGTGAGGATGGCATTCAACTCATGGAGTTGAACAATCCTATTGATAGAGCAGATTGGAATCACTCTTTTTGTAGAATCTGCAAATGGAGATTTGGACTGCTTTGAGGCCTACGGTAGTACAGGAAGGAACTTCATATAAAAGGCAAACGGAAGCATTCTCAGAATATTCTTTGTGATGATGGAGTTTCACTCACAGAGCTGAACATGCCTTTTGATGGAGCAGTTTCCAAATACACTTTTGGTAGAATCTGCAGGTGGATATTTGGAGCTCTCTGAGGATTTCGTTGGAAACGGGAATAATTTCCCATAACTAAACACAAACACTCTGAGAAAGTTCTTCATGATGAATGCATTTAACTCGCAGAGATGAACCTGCCTTTGAGAGTTCAGGTTCGAAACACTCTTTCTGTAGAATCTGCAAGTGGATATTTGGACCACTGGCTGGCCTTCGTTCGAAACGGGTATATGTTCACGTAAAAACTAAAGAGAAGCATTCTCAGAAACTTCTGAGTGATGATTGCATTCAAGTCACACAGTTGAACCCTCCTTTTGATTGAGCAGTTTTGAAACTGTCTTTTTGTAGAATCTGTAAGTGGATGCGTGGACCTCTTTGAAGATTTCTTTGGAAACGGGAATATTTCCACAGAAAAACTAAACTGAAGCATTCTCAGAAACTGCTTTGTGATGTTTGTGTTCGAGCCACAGAGTTTAACATTGCTTTTCATAGAGCAGTTTTGAAATATTCTTTTGGCAGAATCTGCAAGTGGACATTTGGAGCGCTTTCAGGCCTGTGGTGGAAAAGGCCTGAAAGCCTTTTCCTTTATCTTCACAGAAAGACGAGAGAGAAGCATTGTCAGAAACTTCTTTGTGATGATTGCATTCAACTCACAGAGTTGAAGATTCCTTTTGAAACAGCAGTTTCGAAACACTCTTTCTGTGGGATCCGCAAGGGGATATTTGGACCTCTTTGAAGATTTCGTTGGAAACGGGATAATCTTCACCTAAAAGCTAAACGGAAGCATTCTCAGAAACTTCTTTGGGATGTTTGCATTCACCTCACAGAGTTGAACTTTCCCTTTGATAGCGCAGCTTCGACACACTTTTTCTACAATGTGCAAGTGGCTATTTAGCGGGCTTGGAGGACTGTGTTGGAAAAGGAAATATCTTCTCCTAAAAACGACATAGAAGCATTCTCAGAAACTGCTCTGTGATGATTGCATTCAACTCCCAGAGTTGAACATTCCTTTTGATAGAGCAGTTTGCAAACACTCTTTTTGTAGAATCTGCAAGTGGAGATTTGGACCGCTTTGAGGCCTGTGGTAGTGAAGGAAAGAACTTCATATAAAAACCAGACGGTAGCACTCTCAGAAAATTCTTTGTGACGATGGAGTTTAACTCAGGGAGCTGAACATTCGTTATGATGGAGCAGTTTCCAAACACACGTTTTGTAGAATCTGCAAGGGGATATTTGGACCTCTCTGAGGATTTCGTTGGAAACGGGATCAACTTCCCATAACTGAACGGAAGCAAACTCAGAACATTCTTTGTGATGTTTGTATTCAACTCACAGAGTTGAACCTTCCTTTGATAGTTCAGGTTTGCAACACCCTTGTAGTAGAATCTGCAAGTGTATATTTTGACCACTTTGTAGCCTTCGTTTGAAACATCTATATCTTCACATCAAACCTAGACAGAAGCATTCTCAGAAAGTTTTCTGCGATGACTGCATTCAACTCACAGAGTTGAACAATCCTTCTGATGGAGCAGTTTTGAAACCCTCTTTCTTTGGAATCTGCAAGGGGATATGTGGACCTCTTTGAAGATTTCACTGGAAACGGGATCATCTTCACATAAAAACTAAACAGAAGCATTCTCGGAAACTACTTTGTGATGTTTGTATTCAACTCCCAGAGTTGAACTTTCCTTTTGAAAGAGCAGCTATAAAACACTCTTTTTCGAGAATCTGCAAGTGGACGTTTGGAGGGCTTTGAGGCCTGTGGTGGAAAAGGAAATATCTTCACATAAAAACTAGATAGAAGCATTCTCAGAAACTACTTTGTGAGGATGGCATTCAACTCATGGAGTTGAACAATCCTATTGATAGAGCAGATTGGAATCACTCTTTTTATAGAATCTGCAAATGGAGATTTGGACTGCTTTGAGGCCTACGGTAGTACAGGAAGGAACTTCATATAAAAGGCAAACGGAAGCATTCTCAGAATATTCTTTGTGATGATGGAGTTTCACTCACAGAGCTGAACATGCCTTTTGATTGAGCAGTTTCCAAATACACTTTTGGTAGAATCTGCAGGTGGATATTTGGAGCTCTCTGAGGATTTCGTTGGAAACGGGAATAATTTCCCATAACTAAACACAAACACTCTGAGAAAGTTCTTCATGATGAATGCTTTTAACTCGCAGAGATGAACCTGCCTTTGAGAGTTCAGGTTCGAAACACTCTTTCTGTAGAATCTGCAAGTGGATATTTGGACCACTGGGTGGCCTTCGTTCGAAACGGGTATATGTTCACGTAAAAACTAAAGAGAAGCATTCTCAGAAACTTCTGAGTGATGATTGCATTCAAGTCACACAGTTGAACCCTCCTTTTGATGGAGCAGTTTTGAAACTGTCTTTTTGTAGAATCTGTAAGTGGATACGTGGACCTCTTTGAAGATTTCTTTGGAAACGGGAATATTTCCACAGAAAAACTAAACTGAAGCATTCTCAGAAACTGCTTTGTGATGTTTGTGTTCGAGCCACAGAGTTTAACATTGCTTTTCATAGAGCAGTTTTGAAATATTCTTTTGGCAGAATCTGCAAGTGGACATTTGGAGCGCTTTCAGGCCTGTGGTGGAAAAGGCCTGAAAGCCTTTTCCTTTATCTTCACAGGAAGACGAGAGAGAAGCATTGTCAGAAACTTCTTTGTGATGATTGCATTCAACTCACAGAGTTGAAGATTCCTTTTGAAACAGCAGTTTCGAAACACTCTTTCTGTGGGATCCGCAAGGGGATATTTGGACCTCTTTGAAGGTTTCGTTGGAAACGGGATAATCTTCACCTAAAAGCTAAACGGAAGCATTCTCAGAAACTTCTTTGGGATGTTTGCATTCACCTCACAGAGTTGAACTTTCCCTTTGATAGCGCAGCTTTGACACACTTTTTCTACAATGTGCAAGTGGCTATTTAGCGGGCTTGGAGGACTGTGTTGGAAAAGGAAATATCTTCTCCTAAAAACGACATAGAAGCATTCTCAGAAACTGCTCTGTGATGATTGCATTCAACTCCCAGAGTTGAACATTCCTTTTGATAGAGCAGTTTGCAAACACTCTTTTTGTAGAATCTGCAAGTGGAGATTTGGACCGCTTTGAGGCCTGTGGTAGTGAAGGAAAGAACTTCATATAAAAACCAGACGGTAGCACTCTCAGAAAATTCTTTGTGACGATGGAGTTTAACTCAGGGAGCTGAACATTCGTTATGATGGAGCAGTTTCCAAACACACGTTTTGTAGAATCTGCAAGGGGATATTTGGACCTCTCTGAGGATTTCGTTGGAAACGGGATCAACTTCCCATAACTGAACGGAAGCAAACTCAGAACATTCTTTGTGATGTTTGTATTCAACTCACAGAGTTGAACCTTCCTTTGATAGTTCAGGTTTGCAACACCCTTGTAGTAGAATCTGCAAGTGTATATTTTGACCACTTTGTAGCCTTCGTTTGAAACGTCTATATCTTCACCTCAAACGTAGACAGAAGCATTCTCAGAAAGTTTTCTGCGATGACTGCATTCAACTCACAGAGTTGCACAATCCTTTTGATGGAGCAGTTTTGAAACCCTCTTTCTTTGGAATCTGCAAGGGGATATATGGACCTCTTTGAAGATTTCACTGGAAACGGGATCATCTTCACATAAGAACTAAACAGAAGCATTCTCGGAAACTACTTTGTGATGTTTGTATTCAACTCCCAGAGTTGAACTTTCCTTTTGAAAGAGCAGCTATGAAACACTCTTTTTCGAGAATCTGCATGTGGACGTTTGGAGGGCTTTGAGGCCTGTGGTGGAAAAGGAAATATCTTCACATAAAAACTACATAGAAGCATTCTCAGAAACTACTTTGTGAGGATGGCATTCAACTCATGGAGTTGAACAATCCTATTGATAGAGCAGATTGGAATCACTCTTTTTGTAGAATCTGCAAATGGAGATTTGGACTGCTTTGAGGCCTACGGTCGTATAGGAAGGAACTTCATATAAAAGGCAAACGGAAGCATTCTCAGAATATTCTTTGTGATGATGGAGTTTCACTCACAGGGCTGAACATGCCTTTTGATGGAGCAGTTTCCAAATACACTTTTGGTAGAATCTGCAGGTGGATATTTGGAGCTCTCTGAGGATTTCGTTGGAAACGGGAATAATTTCCCATAACTAAACACAAACACTCTGAGAAAGTTCTTCATGATGAATGCATTGAACTCGCAGAGATGAACCTGCCTTTGAGAGTTCAGGTTCGAAACACTCTTTCTGTAGAATCTGCAAGTGGATATTTGGACCACTGGCTGACCTTCGTTCGAAACGGGTATACGTTCACGTAAAAACTAAAGAGAAGCGTTCTCAGAAACTTCTGAGTGATGATTGCATTCAAGTCACACAGTTGAACCCTCCTTTTGATTGAGCAGTTTTGAAACTGTCTTTTTGTAGAATCTGTAAGTGGATGCGTGGACCTCTTTGAAGATTTCTTTGGAAACGGGAATATTTCCACAGAAAAACTAAACTGAAGCATTCTCAGAAACTGCTTTGTGATGTTTGTGTTCGAGCCACAGAGTTTAACATTGCTTTTCATAGAGCAGTTTTGAAATATTCTTTTGGCAGAATCTGCAAGTGGACATTTGGAGCGCTTTCAGGCCTGTGGTGGAAAAGGCCTGAAAGCCTTTTCCTTTATCTTCGCAGAAAGACGAGAGAGAAGCATTGACAGAAACTTCTTTGTGATGATTGCTTTCAACTCACAGAGTTGAAGATTCCTTTTGAAACAGCAGTTTCGAAACACTCTTTCTGTGGGATCCGCAAGGGGATATTTGGACCTCTTTGAAGGTTTCGTTGGAAACGGGATAATCTTCACCTAAAAGCTAAACGGAAGCATTCTCAGAAACTTCTTTGGGATGTTTGCATTCACCTCACAGAGTTGAACTTTCCCTTTGATAGCGCAGCTTCGACACACTTTTTCTACAATGTGCAAGTGGATATTTAGCGGGCTTGGAGCACTGTGTTGGAAAAGGAAATATCTTCTCCTAAAAACGACATAGAAGCATTCTCAGAAACTGCTCTGTGATGATTGCATTCAACTCCCAGAGTTGAACATTCCTTTTGATAGAGCAGTTTGCAAACACTCTTTTTGTAGAATCTGCAAGTGGAGATTTGGACCGCTTTGAGGCCTGTGGTAGTAAAGGAAAGAACTTCATATAAAAACTAGACGGTAGCACTCTCAGAAAATTCTTTGTGACGATGGAGTTTAACTCAGAGAGCTGAACATTCGTTATGATGGAGCAGTTTCCAAACACACGTTTTGTAGAATCTGCAAGGGGATATTTGGACCTCTCTGAGGATTTCGTTGGAAACGGGATCAACTTCCCATAAGTGAACGGAAGCAAACTCAGAACATTCTTTGTGATGTTTGTATTCAATTCACAGAGTTGAACCTTCCTTTGATAGTTCAGGTTTGCAACACCCTTGTAGTAGAATCTGCAAGTGTATATTTTGACCACTTTGTAGCCTTCGTTTGAAACGTCTATATCTTCACATCAAACCTAGACAGAAGCATTCTCAGAAAGTTTTCTGCGATGACTGCATTCAACTCACAGAGTTGAAAAATCCTTCTGATGGAGCAGTTTTGAAACCCTCTTTCTTTGGAATCTGCAAGGGGATATGTGGACCTCTTTGAAGATTTCACTGGAAACGGGATCATCTTCACATAAAAACTAAACAGAAGCATTCTCGGAAACTATTTTGTGATGTTTGTATTCAACTCCCAGAGTTGAACTTTCCTTTTGAAAGAGCAGCTATGAAACACTCTTTTTCGAGAATCTGCAAGTGGACGTTTGGAGGGCTTTGAGGCCTGTGGTGGAAAAGGAAATATCTTCACACAAAAACCAGATAGAAGCATTCTCAGAAACTACTTTGTGAGGATGGCATTCAACTCATGGAGTTGAACAATCCTATTGATAGAGCAGATTGGAATCACTCTTTTTGTAGAATCTGCAAGTGGAGATTTGGACCGCTTTGAGGTCTGTGGTAGTGAAGGAAAGAACTTCATATAAAAACCAGACGGTAGCACTCTGAGAAAATTCTTTGTGACGATGGAGTTTAACTCAGGGAGCTGAACATTCGTTATGATGGAGCAGTTTCCAAACACACGTTTTGTAGAATCTGCAAGGGGATATTTGGACCTCTCTGAGGATTTCGTTGGAAACGGGATCAACTTCCCATAACTGAACGGAAGCAAACTCAGAACATTCTTTGTGATGTTTGTATTCAACTCACAGAGTTGAACCTTCCTTTGATAGTTCAGGTTTGCAACACCCTTGTAGTAGAATCTGCAAGTGTATATTTTGACCACTTTGTAGCCTTCGTTTGAAACGTCTATATCTTCACATCAAACCTAGACAGAAGCATTCTCAGAAAGTTTTCTGCGATGACTGCATTCAACTCACAGAGTTGAACAATCCTTCTGATGGAGCAGTTTTGAAACCCTCTTTCTTTGGAATCTGCAAGGGGATATGTGGACCTCTTTGAAGATTTCACTGGAAACGGGATCATCTTCACATAAAAACTAAACAGAAGCATTCTCGGAAACTATTTTGTGATGTTTGTATTCAACTCCCAGAGTTGAACTTTCCTTTTGAAAGAGCAGCTATGAAACACTCTTTTTCGAGAATCTGCAAGTGGACGTTTGGAGGGATTTGAGTCCTGTGGTGGAAAAGGAAATATCTTCACACAAAAACCAGATAGAAGCATTCTCAGAAACTACTTTGTGAGGATGGCATTCAACTCATGGAGTTGAACAATCCTATTGATAGAGCAGATTGGAATCACTCTTTTTGTAGAATCTGCAAATGGAGATTTGGACTGCTTTGAGGCCTACGGTAGTATAGGAAGGAACTTCATATAAAAGGCAAACGGAAGCATTCTCAGAATATTCTTTGTGATGATGGAGTTTCACTCACAGAGCTGAACATGCCTTTTGATGGAGCAGTTTCCAAATACACTTTTGGTAGAATCTGCAGGTGGATATTTGGAGCTCTCTGAGGATTTCGTTGGAAACGGGAATAATTTCCCATAACTAAACACAAACACTCTGAGAAAGTTCTTCATGATGAATGCATTTAACTCGCAGAGATGAACCTGCCTTTGAGAGTTCAGGTTCGAAACACTCTTTCTGTAGAATCTGCAAGTGGATATTTGGACCACTGGCTGGCCTTCGTTCGAAACGGGTATATGTTCACGTAAAAACTAAAGAGAAGCATTCTCAGAAACTTGTGAGTGATGATTGCATTCAAGTCACACAGTTGAACCCTCCTTTTGATGGAGCAGTTTTGAAACTGTCTTTTTGTAGAATCTGTTAGTGGATACGTGGACCTCTTTGAAGATTTCTTTGGAAACGGGAATATTTCCACAGAAAAACTAAACTGAAGCATTCTCAGAAACTGCTTTGTGATGTTTGTGTTCGAGCCACAGAGTTTAACATTGCTTTTCATAGAGCAGTTTTGAAATATTCTTTTCGCAGAATCTGCAAGTGGACATTTGGAGCGCTTTCAGGCCTGTAGTGGCAAAGGCCTGAAAGCCTTTTCCTTTATCTTCACAGAAAGACGAGAGAGAAGCATTGTCAGAAACTTCTTTGTGATGATTGCATTCAACTCACAGAGTTGAAGATTCCTTTTGAAACAGCAGTTTCGAAACACTCTTTCTGTGGGATCCGCAAGGGGATATTTGGACCTCTTTGAAGGTTTCGTTGGAAACGGGATAATCTTCACCTAAAAGCTAAACGGAAGCATTCTCAGAAACTTCTTTGGGATGTTTGCATTCACCTCACAGAGTTGAACTTTCCCTTTGATAGCGCAGCTTCGACACACTTTTTCTACAATGTGCAAGTGGCTATTTAGCGGGCTTGGAGGACTGTGTTGGAAAAGGAAATATCTTCTCCTAAAAACGACATAGAAGCATTCTCAGAAACTGCTCTGTGATGATTGCATTCAACTCCCAGAGTTGAACATTCCTTTTGATAGAGCAGTTTGCAAACACTCTTTTTGTAGAATCTGCAAGTGGAGATTTGGACCGCTTTGAGGCCGGTGGTAGTAAAGGAAAGAACTTCATATAAAACTAGACGGTAGCACTCTCAGAAAATTCTTTGTGACGATGGAGTTTAACTCAGAGAGCTGAACATTCGTTATGATGGAGCAGTTTCCAAACACACGTTTTGTAGAATCTGCAAGGGGATATTTGGACCCCTCTGAGGATTTCGTTGGAAACGGGATCAACTTCCCATAACTGAACGGAAGCAAACTCAGAACATTCTTTGTGATGTTTGTATTCAACTCACAGAGTTGAACCTTCCTTTGATAGTTCAGGTTTGCATCACCCTTGTAGTAGAATCTGCAAGTGTATATTTTGACCACTTTGTAGCCTTCGTTTGAAACGTCTATATCTTCACATCAAACCTAGACAGAAGCATTCTCAGAAAGTTTTCTGCGATGACTGCATTCAACTCACAGAGTTGAACAATCCTTTTGATGGAGCAGTTTTGAAACCCTCTTTCTTTGGAATCTGCAAGGGGATATGTGGACCTCTTTGAAGATTTCACTGGAAACGGGATCATCTTCACATAAGAACTAAACAGAAGCATTCTCGGAAACTACTTTGTGATGTTTGTATTCAACTCCCAGAGTTGAACTTTCCTTTTGAAACAGCAGCTATGAAACACACTTTTTCGAGAATCTGCAAGTGGACGTTTGGAGGGCTTTGAGGCCTGTGGTGGAAAAGGAAATATCTTCACATAAAAACTAGATAGAAGCATTCTCAGAAACGACTTTGTGAGGATGGCATTCAACTCATGGAGTTGAACAATCCTATTGATAGAGCAGATTGGAATCACTCTATTTGTAGAATCTGCAAATGGAGATTTGGACTGCTTTGAGGCCTACGGTAGTATAGGAAGGAACTTCATATAAAAGGCAAACGGAAGCATTCTCAGAATATTCTTTGTGATGATGGAGTTTCACTCACAGAGCTGCACATGCCTTTTCATGGAGCAGTTTCCAAATACACTTTTGGTAGAATCTGCAGGTGGATATTTGGACCTCTCTGAGGATTTCGTTGGAAACGGGAATAATTTCCCATACCTAAACACAAATACGCTGAGAAAGTTCTTCATGATGAATGCATTTAACTCGCAGAGATGAACCTGCCTTTGAGAGTTCAGGTTCGAAACACTCTTTCTGTAGAATCTGCAAGTGGATATTTGGACCAGTGGCTGGCCTTCGTTCGAAACGGGTATATGTTCACGTAAAAACTAAAGAGAAGCGTTCTCAGCAAACTTCTGAGTGATGATTGCATTCAAGTCACACAGTTGAACCCTCCTTTTGATTGACCAGTTTTGAAACTGTCTTTTTGTAGAATCTGTAAGTGGATGCGTGGACCTCTTTGAAGATTTCTTTGGAAACGGGAATATTTCCACAGAAAAACTAAACTGAAGCATTCTCAGAAACTGCTTTGTGATGTTTGTGTTCGAGCCACAGAGTTTAACATTGCTTTTCATAGAGCAGTTTTGAAATATTCTTTTGGCAGAATCTGCAAGTGGACATTTGGAGCGCTTTCAGGCCTGTGGTGGAAAAGGCCTGAAAGCCTTTTCCTTTATCTTCACAGAAAGACGAGAGAGAAGCATTGTCAGAAACTTCTTTGTGATGATTGCATTCAACTCACAGAGTTGAAGATTCCTTTTGAAACAGCAGTTTCGAAACACTCTTTCTGTGGGATCCGCAAGGGGATATTTGGACTTCTTTGAAGATTTCGTTGGAAACGGGATAATCTTCACCTAAAAGCTAAACGGAAGCATTCTCAGAAACTTCTTTGGGATGTTTGCATTCACCTCACAGAGTTGAACTTTCCCTTTGATAGCGCAGCTTCGACACACTTTTTCTACAATGTGCAAGTGGATATTTAGCGGGCTTGGAGGACTGTGTTGGAAAAGGAAATATCTTCTCCTAAAAACGACATAGAAGCATTCTCAGAAACTGCTCTGTGATGATTGCATTCAACTCCCAGAGTTGAACATTCCTTTTGATAGAGCAGTTTGCAAACACTCTTTTTGTAGAATCTGCAAGTGGAGATTTGGACCGCTTTGAGGCCTGTGGTAGTAAAGGAAAGAACTTCATATAAAACTAGACGGTAGCACTCTCAGAAAATTCTTTGTGACGATGGAGTTTAACTCAGGGAGCTGAACATTCGTTATGATGGAGCAGTTTCCAAACACACGTTTTGTAGAATCTGCAAGGGGATATTTGGACCTCTCTGAGGATTTCGTTGGAAACGGGATCAACTTCCCATAACTGAACGGAAGCAAACTCAGAACATTCTTTGTGATGTTTGTATTCAACTCACAGAGTTGAACCTTCCTTTGATAGTTGAGGTTTGCAACACCCTTGTAGTAGAATCTGCAAGTGTATATTTTGACCACTTTGTAGCCTTCGTTTGAAACGTCTATATCTTCACCTCAAACCTAGACAGAAGCATTCTCAGAAAGTTTTCTGCGATGACTGCATTCAACTCACAGAGTTGAACAATCCTTTTGATGGAGCAGTTTTGAAACCCTCTTTCTTTGGAATCTGCAAGGGGATATGTGGACCTCTTTGAAGATTTCACTGGAAACGGGATCATCTTCACATAAGAACTAAACAGAAGCATTCTCGGAAACTACTTTGTGATGTTTGTATTCAGCTCCCAGAGTTGAACTTTCCTTTTGAAAGAGCAGCTATGAAACACTCTTTTTCGAGAATCTGCAAGTGGACGTTTGGAGGGCTTTGAGGCCTGTGGTGGAAAAGGAAATATCTTCACATAAAAACTAGATAGAAACATTCTCAGAAACTACTTTGTGAGGATGGCATTCAACTCATGGAGTTGAACAGTCCTATTGATAGAGCAGATTGGAATCACTCTTTTTGTAGAATCTGCAAATGGAGATTTGGACTGCTTTGAGGCCTAGGGTAGTATAGGAAGGAACTTCATATAAAAGGCAAATGGAAGCATTCTCAGAATATTCTTTGAGATGATGGAGTTTCACTCACAGAGCTGAACATTCCTTTTGATGGAGCAGTTTCCAAATACACTTTTGGTAGAATCTACAGGTGGATATTTGGACCTCTCTGAGGATTTCGTTGGAAACGGGAATAATTTCCAATAACTAAACACAAACACGCTGAGAAAGTTCTTCATGATGAATGCATTGAACTCGCAGAGATGAACCTGCCTTTGAGAGTTCAGGTTCGAAACACTCTTTCTGTAGAATCTGCAAGTGGATATTTGGACCACTGGCTGGCCTTCGTTCGAAACGGGTATATGTTCACGTAAAAACTAAAGAGAAGCGTTCTCAGAAACTTCTGAGTGATGATTGCATTCAAGTCACACAGTTGAACCCTCCTTTTGATTGAGCAGTTTTGAAACTGTCTTTTTGTAGAATCTGTAAGTGGATGCGTGGACCTCTTTGAAGATTTCTTTGGAAACGGGAATATTTCCACAGAAAAACTAAACTGAAGCATTCTCAGAAACTGCTTTGTGATGTTTGTGTTCGAGCCACAGAGTTTAACATTGCTTTTCATAGAGCAGTTTTGAACTATTCTTTTGGCAGAATCTGCAAGTGGACATTTGGAGCGCTTTCAGGCCTGTGGTGGAAAAGGCCTGAAAGCCTTTTCCTTTATCTTCACAGAAAGACGAGAGAGAAGCATTGTCAGAAACTTCTTTGTGATGATTGCATTCAACTCACAGAGTTGAAGATTCCTTTTGAAACAGCAGTTTCGAAACACTCTTTCTGTGGGATCCGCAAGGGGACATTTGGACCTCTTTGAAGGTTTCGTTGGAAACGGGATAATCTTCACCTAAAAGCTAAACGGAAGCATTCTCAGAAACTTCTTTGGGATGTTTGCATTCATCTCACAGAGTTGAACTTTCCCTTTGATAGCGCAGCTTCGACACACTTTTTCTACAATGTGCAAGTGGATATTTAGCGGGCTTGGAGGACTGTGTTGGAAAAGGAAATATCTTCTCCTAAAAACGACATGGAAGCATTCTCAGAAACTGCTCTGTGATGATTGCATTCAACTCCCAGAGTTGAACATTCCTTTTGATAGAGCAGTTTGCAAACACTCTTTTTGTAGAATCTGCAAGTGGAGATTTGGACCGCTTTGAGGCCTGTGGTAGTAAAGGAAAGAACTTCATATAAAAACGAGACGGTAGCACTCTCAGAAAATTCTTTGTGACGATGGAGTTTAACTCAGAGAGCTGAACATTCGTTATGATGGAGCAGTTTCCAAACACACGTTTTGTAGAATCTGCAAGGGGATATTTGGACCTCTCTGAGGATTTCGTTGGAAACGGGATCAACTTCCCATAACTGAACGGTAGCAAACTCAGAACATTCTTTGTGATGTTTGTATTCAACTGACGGAGTTGAACCTTCCTTTGATAGTTCAGGTTTGCAACACCCTTGTAGTAGAATCTGCAAGTGTATATTTTGACCACTTTGTAGCCTTCGTTTGAAACGTCTATATCTTCACATCAAACCTAGACAGAAGCATTCTCAGAAAGTTTTCTGCGATGACTGCATTCAACTCACAGAGTTGAACAATCCTTCTGATGGAGCAGTTTTGAAACCCTCTTTCTTTGGAATCTGCAAGGGGATATGTGGACCTCTTTGAAGATTTCACTGGAAACGGGATCATCTTCACATAAAAACTAAACAGAAGCATTCTCGGAAACTACTTTGTGATGTTTGTATTCAACTCCCAGAGTTGAACTTTCCTTTTGAAAGAGCAGCTATGAAACACTCTTTTTCGAGAATCTGCAAGTGGCCGTTTGGAGGGCTTTGAGGCCTGTGGTGGAAAAGGAAATATCTTCACATAAAAACTAGATAGAAGCATTCTTAGAAACGACTTTGTGAGGATGGCATTCAACTCATGGAGTTGAACAATCCTATTGATAGAGCAGATTGGAATCACTCTTTTTGTAGAATCTGCAAATGGAGATTTGGACTGCTTTGAGGCCTACGGTCGTATAGGAAGGAACTTCATATAAAAGGCAAACGGAAGCATTCTCAGAATATTCTTTGTGATGATGGAGTTTCACTCACAGAGCTGAACATGCCTTTTGATGGAGCAGTTTCCAAATACACTTTTGGTAGAATCTGCAGGTGGATATTTGGAGCTCTCTGAGGATTTCGTTGGAAACGGGAATAATTTCCCATAACTAAACACAAACACGCTGAGAAAGTTCTTCATGATGAATGCATTTAACTCGCAGAGATGAACCTGCCTTTGAGAGTTCAGGTTCGAAACACTCTTTCTGTAGAATCTGTAAGTGGATATTTGTACCACTGGCTGGACTTCGTTCGAAACGGGTATACGTTCACGTAAAAACTAAAGAGAAGCGTTCTCAGAAACTTCTGAGTGATGATTGCATTCAAGTCACACAGTTGAACCCTCCTTTTGATTGAGCAGTTTTGAAACTGTCTTTTTGTAGAATCTGTAAGTGGATGCGTGGACCTCTTTGAAGATTTCTTTGGAAACGGGAATATTTCCACAGAAAAACTAAACTGAAGCATTCTCAGAAACCGCTTTGTGATGTTTGTGTTCGAGCCACAGAGTTTAACATTGCTTTTCATAGAGCAGTTTTGAAATATTCTTTTGGCAGAATCTGCAAGTGGACATTTGGAGCGCTTTCAGGCCTGTGGTGGAAAAGGCCTGAAAGCCTTTTCCTTTATCTTCACAGAAAGACGAGAGAGAAGCATTGTCAGAAACTTCTTTGTGATGATTGCATTCAACTCACAGAGTTGAAGATTCCTTTTGAAACAGCAGTTTCGAAACACTCTTTCTGTGGGATCCGCAGGGGGATATTTGGACCTCTTTGAAGATTTCGTTGGAAACGGGATAATCTTCACCTAAAAGCTAAACGGAAGCATTCTCAGAAACTTCTTTGGGATGTTTGCATTCACCTCACAGAGTTGAACTTTCCCTTTGATAGCGCAGCTTCGACACACTTTTTCTACAATGTGCAAGTGGATATTTAGCGGGCTTGGAGGACTGTGTTGGAAAAGGAAATATCTTCTCCTAAAAACGACATAGAAGCATTCTCAGAAACTGCTCTGTGATGATTGCATTCAACTCCCAGAGTTGAACATTCCTTTTGATAGAGCAGTTTGCAGACACTCTTTTTGTAGAATCTGCAAGTGGAGATTTGGACCGCTTTGAGGCCTGTGGTAGTAAAGGAAAGAACTTCATATAAAATCTAGACGGTAGCACTCTCAGAAAATTCTTTGTGACGATGGAGTTTAACTCAGAGAGCTGAACATTCGTTATGATGGAGCAGTTTCCAAACACACGTTTTGCAGAATCTGCAAGGGGATATTTGGACCTCTCTGAGGATTTCGTTGCAAACGGGATCAACTTCCCATAACTGAACGGAAGCAAACTCAGAACATTCTTTGTGATGTTTGTATTCAACTCACAGAGTTGAACCTTCCTTTGATAGTTCAGGTTTGCAACACCCTTGTAGTAGAATCTGCAAGTGTATATTTTGACCACTTTGTAGCCTTCGTTTGAAACGTCTATATCTTCACATCAAACCTAGACAGAAGCATTCTCAGAAAGTTTTCTGCGATGACTGCATTCAACTCACAGAGTTGAACAATCCTTTTGATGGAGCAGTTTTGAAACCCTCTTTCTTTGGAATCTGCAAGGGGATATGTGGACCTCTTTGAAGATTTCACTGGAAACGGGATCATCTTCACATAAGAACTAAACAGAAGCATTCTCGGAAACTATTTTGTGATGTTTGTATTCAACTCCCAGAGTTGAACTTTCCTTTTGAAAGAGCAGCTATGAAACACTCTTTTTCGAGAATCTGCAAGTGGACGTTTGGAGGGCTTTGAGGCCTGTGGTGGAAAAGGAAATATCTTCACACAAAAACCAGATAGAAGCATTCTCAGAAACTACTTTGTGAGGATGGCATTCAACTCATGGAGTTGAACAATCCTATTGATAGAGCAGATTGGAATCACTCTTTTGTAGAATCTGCAAATGGAGATTTGGACTGCTTTGAGGCCTACGGTCGTATAGGAAGGAACTTCATATAAAAGGCAAACGGAAGCATTCTCAGAATATTCTTTGTGATGATGGAGCTTCACTGACAGAGCTGAACATGCCTTTTGATGGAGCAGTTTCCAAATACACTTTTGGTAGAATCTGCAGGTGGATATTTGGAGCTCTCTGAGGATTTCGTTGGAAACGGGAATAATTTCCCATAACTAAACACAAACACTCTGAGAAAGTTCTTCATGATGAATGCATTTAACTCGCAGAGATGAACCTGCCTTTGAGAGTTCAGGTTCGAAACACTCTTTCTGTATAATCTGCAAGTGGATATTTGGACCACTGGGTGGCCTTCGTTCGAAACGGGTATATGTTCACGTAAAAACTAAAGAGAAGCATTCTCAGAAACTTCTGAGTGATGATTGCATTCAAGTCACACAGTTGAACCCTCCTTTTGATGGAGCAGTTTTGAAACTGTCTTTTTGTAGAATCTGTAAGTGGATACGTGGACCTCTTTGAAGATTTCTTTGGAAACGGGAATATTTCCACAGAAAAACTAAACTGAAACATTCTCAGAAACCGCTTTGTGATGTTTGTGTTCCAGCCACAGAGTTTAACATTGCTTTTCATAGAGCAGTTTTGAAATATTCTTTTGGCAGAATCTGCAAGTGGACATTTGGAGCGCTTTCAGGCCTGTGGTGGAAAAGGCCTGAAAGCCTTTTCCTTTATCTTCACAGAAAGACGAGAGAGAAGCATTGTCAGAAACTTCTTTGTGATGATTGCATTCAACTCACAGAGTTGAAGATTCCTTTTGAAACAGCAGTTTCGAAACACTCTTTCTGTGGGATCCGCAAGGGGATATTTGGACCTCTTTGAAGGTTTCGTTGGAAACGGGATAATCTTCACCTAAAAGCTAAACGGAAGCATTCTCAGAAACTTCTTTGGGATGTTTGCATTCACCTCACAGAGTTGAACTTTCCCTTTGATAGCGCAGCTTTGACACACTTTTTCTACAATGTGCAAGTGGCTATTTAGCGGGCTTGGAGGACTGTGTTGGAAAAGGAAATATCTTCTCCTAAAAACGACATAGAAGCATTCTCAGAAACTGCTCTGTGATGATTGCATTCAACTCCCAGAGTTGAACATTCCTTTTGATAGAGCAGTTTGCAAACACTCTTTTTGTAGAATCTGCAAGTGGAGATTTGGACCGCTTTGAGGCCTGTGGTAGTGAAGGAAAGAACTTCATATAAAAACCAGACGGTAGCACTCTCAGAAAATTCTTTGTGACGATGGAGTTTAACTCAGGGAGCTGAACATTCGTTATGATGGAGCAGTTTCCAAACACACGTTTTGTAGAATCTGCAAGGGGATATTTGGACCTCTCTGAGGATTTCTTTGGAAACGGGATCAACTTCCCATAACTGAACGGAAGCAAACTCAGAACATTCTTTGTGATGTTTGTATTCAACTCACAGAGTTGAACCTTCCTTTGATAGTTCAGGTTTGCAACACCCTTGTAGTAGAATCTGCAAGTGTATATTTTGACCACTTTGTAGCCTTCGTTTGAAACGTCTATATCTTCACATCAAACCTAGACAGAAGCATTCTCAGAAAGTTTTCTGCGATGACTGCATTCAACTCACAGAGTTGAACAATCCTTTTGATGGAGCAGTTTTGAAACCCTCTTTCTTTGGAATCTGCAAGGGGATATGTGGACCTCTTTGAAGATTTCACTGGAAACGGGATCATCTTCACATAAGAACTAAACAGAAGCATTCTCGGAAACTACTTTGTGATGTTTGTATTCAACTCCCAGAGTTGAACTTTCCTTTTGAAAGAGCAGCTATGAAACACTCTTTTTTGAGAATCTGCAAGCGGACGTTTGGAGGGCTTTGAGGCCTGTGGTGGAAAAGGAAATATCTTCACATTAAAACTAGATAGAAGCATTCTCAGAAACGACTTTGTGAGGATGGCATTCAACTCATGGAGTTGAACAATCCTATTGATAGAGCAGATTGGAATCAGTCTTTTTGTAGAATCTGCAAATGGAGATTTGGACTGCTTTGTGGCCTATGGTAGTATAGGAAGGAACTTCATATAAAAGGCAAACGGAAGCATTCTCAGAATATTCTTTGTGATGATGGAGTTTCACTCACAGAGCTGAACATGCCTTTTGATGGAGCAGTTTCCAAATACACTTTTGGTAGAATCTGCAGGTGGATATTTGGAGCTCTCTGAGGATTTCGTTGGAAACGGGAATAATTTCCCATAACTAAACACAAACACTCTGAGAAAGTTCTTCATGATGAATGCATTTAACTCGCAGAGATGAACCTGCCTTTGAGAGTTCATGTTCGAAACACTCTTTCTGTAGAATCTGCAAGTGGATATTTCGACCACTGGCTGGCCTTCGTTCGAAACGGGTATATGTTCACGTAAAAACTAAAGAGAAGCATTCTCAGAAACTGGTGAGTGATGATTGCATTCAAGTCACACAGTTGAACCCTCCTTTTGATGGAGCAGTTTTGAAACTGTCTTTTTGTAGAATCTGTAAGTGGATACGTGGACCTCTTTGAAGATTTCTTTGGAAACGGGAATATTTCCACAGAAAAACTAAACTGAAGCATTCTCAGAAACCGCTTTGTGATGTTTGTGTTCGAGCCACAGAGTTTAACATTGCTTTTCATAGAGCAGTTTTGAAATATTCTTTTCGCAGAATCTGCAAGTGGACATTTGGAGCGCTTTCAGGCCTGTGGTGGAAAAGGCCTGAAAGCCTTTTCCTTTATCTTCACAGAAAGACGAGAGAGAAGCATTGTCAGAAACTTCTTTGTGATGATTGCATTCAACTCACAGAGTTGAAGATTCCTTTTGAAACAGCAGTTTCGAAACACTCTTTCTGTGGGATCCGCAAGGGGATATTTGGACCTCTTTGAAGGTTTCGTTGGAAACGGGATAATCTTCACCTAAAAGCTAAACGGAAACATTCTCAGAAACTTCTTTGGGATGTTTGCATTCACCTCACAGAGTTGAACTTTCCCTTTGATAGCGCAGCTTTGACACACTTTTTCTACAATGTGCAAGTGGCTATTTAGCGGGCTTGGAGGACTGTGTTGGAAAAGGAAATATCTTCTCCTAAAAACGACATAGAAGCATTCTCAGAAACTGCTCTGTGATGATTGCATTCAACTCCCAGAGTTGAACATTCCTTTTGATAGAGCAGTTTGCAAACACTCTTTTTGTAGAATCTGCAAGTGGAGATTTGGACCGCTTTGAGGCCTGTGGTAGTGAAGGAAAGAACTTCATATAAAAACCAGACGGTAGCACTCTCAGAAAATTCTTTGTGACGATGGAGTTTAACTCAGGGGAGCTGAACATTCGTTATGATGGAGCAGTTTCCAAACACACGTTTTGTAGAATCTGCGAGGGGATATTTGGACCTCTCTGAGGATTTCGTTGGAAACGGGATCAACTTCCCATAACTGAACGGAAGCAAACTCAGAACATTCTTTGTGATGTTTGTATTCAATTCACAGAGTTGAACCTTCCTTTGATAGTTCAGGTTTGCAACACCCTTGTAGTAGAATCTGCAAGTGTATATTTTGACCACTTTGTAGCCTTCGTTTGAAACGTCTATATCTTCACATCAAACCTAGACAGAAGCATTCTCAGAAAGTTTTCTGCGATGACTGCATTCAACTCACAGAGTTGAACAATCCTTCTGATGGAGCAGTTTTGAAACCCTCTTTCTTTGGAATCTGCAAGGGGATATGTGGACCTCTTTGAAGATTTCACTGGAAACGGGATCATCTTCACATAAAAACTAAACAGAAGCATTCTCGGAAACTACTTTGTGATGTTTGTATTCAACTCCCAGAGTTGAACTTTCCTTTTGAAAGAGCAGCTATGAAACACTCTTTCTCGAGAATCTGCAAGTGGACGTTTGGAGGGCTTGGAGGCCTGTGGTGGAAAAGGAAATACCTTCACATAAAAACTAGATAGAAGCATTCTCAGAAACTACTTTGTGAGGATGGCATTCAACTCATGGAGTTGAACAATCCTATTGATAGAGCAGATTGGAATCACTCTTTTTGTAGAATCTGCAAATGGAGATTTGGACTGCTTTGAGGCCTACGGTCGTATAGGAAGGAACTTCAGATAAAAGGCAAACGGAAGCATTCTCAGAATATTCTTTGTGATGATGGAGTTTCACTCACAGAGCTGAACATGCCTTTTGATGGAGCAGTTTCCAAATACACTTTTGGTAGAATCTGCAGGTGGATATTTGGACCACTCTGAGGATTTCGTTGGAAACGGGAATAATTTCCCATAACTAAACACAAACACTCTGAGAAAGTTCTTCATGATGAATGCATTTAACTCGCAGAGATGAACCTGCCTTTGAGAGTTCAGGTTCGAAACACTCTTTCTGTATAATCTGCAAGTGGATATTTGGACCACTGGGTGGCCTTCGTTCGAAACGGGTATATGTTCACGTAAAAACTAAAGAGAAGCATTCTCAGAAACTTCTGAGTGATGATTGCATTCAAGTCACACAGTTGAACCCTCCTTTTGATGGAGCAGTTTTGAAACTGTCTTTTTGTAGAATCTGTAAGTGGATACGTGGACCTCTTTGAAGATTTCTTTGGAAACGGGAATATTTCCACAGAAATCTAAACTGAAACATTCTCAGAAACCGCTTTGTGATGTTTGTGTTCCAGCCACAGAGTTTAACATTGCTTTTCATAGAGCAGTTTTGAAATATTCTTTTCGCAGAATCTGCAAGTGGACATTTGGAGCGCTTTCAGGCCTGTGGTGGAAAAGGCCTGAAAGCCTTTTCCTTTATCTTCACAGAAAGACGAGAGAGAAGCATTGTCAGAAACTTCTTTGTGATGATTGCATTCAACTCACAGAGTTGAAGATTCCTTTTGAAACAGCAGTTTCGAAACACTCTTTCTGTGGGATCCGCAAGGGGATATTTGCACCTCTTTGAAGGTTTCGTTGGAAACGGGATAATCTTCACCTAAAAGCTAAACGGAAGCATTCTCAGAAACTTCTTTAGGATGTTTGCATTCACCTCACAGAGTTGAACTTTCCCTTTGATAGCGCAGCTTTGACACACTTTTTCTACAATGTGCAAGTGGCTATTTAGCGGGCTTGGAGGACTGTGTTGGAAAAGGAAATATCTTCTCCTAAAAACGACATAGAAGCATTCTCAGAAACTGCTCTGTGATGATTGCATTCAACTCCCAGAGTTGAACATTCCTTTTGATAGAGCAGTTTGCAAACACTCTTTTTGTAGAATCTGCAAGTGGAGATTTGGACCGCTTTGAGGCCTGTGGTAGTGAAGGAAAGAACTTCATATAAAAACCAGACGGTAGCACTCTCAGAAAATTCTTTGTGACGATGGAGTTTAACTCAGGGAGCTGAACATTCGTTATGATGGAGCAGTTTCCAAACACACGTTTTGTAGAATCTGCAAGTGGATATTTGGACCTCTCTGAGGATTTCGTTGGAAACGGGATCAACTTCCCATAACTGAACGGAAGCAAACTCAGAACATTCTTTGTGATGTTTGTATTCAACTCACAGAGTTGAACCTTCCTTTCATAGTTCAGGTTTGCAACACCCTTGTAGTAGAATCTGCAAGTGTATATTTTGACCACTTTGTAGCCTTCGTTTGAAACGTCTATATCTTCACATCAAACCTAGACAGAAGCATTCTCAGAAAGTTTTCTGCGATGACTGCATTCAACTCACCAGAGTTGAACAATCCTTTTGATGGAGCAGTTTTGAAACCCTCTTTCTTTGGAATCTGCAAGGGGATATGTGGACCTCTTTGAAGATTTCACTGGAAACGGGATCATCTTCACATAAAAACTAAACAGAAGCATTCTCGGAAACTATTTTGTGATGTTTGTATTCAACTCCCAGAGTTGAACTTTCCTTTTGAAAGAGCAGCTATGAAACACTCTTTTTCGAGAATCTGCAAGTGGACGTTTGGAGGGCTTTGAGGCCTGTGGTGGAAAAGGAAATATCTTCACACAAAAACCAGATAGAAGCATTCTCAGAAACTGCTTTGTGAGGATGGCATTCAACTCATGGAGTTGAACAATCCTATTGATAGAGCAGATTGGAATCACTCTTTTTGTAGAATCTGCAAATGGAGATTTGGACTGCTTTGAGGCCTACGGTAGTACAGGAAGGAACTTCATATAAAAGGCAAACGGAAGCATTCTCAGAATATTCTTTGTGATGATGGAGTTTCACTCACAGAGCTGAACATGCCTTTTGATGGAGCAGTTTCCAAATACACTTTTGGTAGAATCTGCAGGTGGATATTTGGAGCTCTCCTGAGGATTTCGTTGGAAACGGGAATAATTTCCCATAACTAAACACAAAACACGCTGAGAAATTTCTTCATGTTGAATGCATTGAACTCGCAGAGATGAACCTGCCTTTGAGAGTTCAGGTTCGAAACACTCTTTCTGTAGAATCTGCAAGTGGATATTTGGACCACTGGGTGGCCTTCGTTCGAAACGGGTATATGTTCACGTAAAAACTAAAGAGAAGCATTCTCAGAAACTTCTGAGTGATGATTGCATTCAAGTCACACGGTTGAACCCTCCTTTTGATGGAGCAGTTTTGAAACTGTCTTTTTGTAGAATCTGTAAGTGGATACGTGGACCTCTTTGAAGATTTCTTTGGAAACGGGAATATTTCCACAGAAAAACTAAACTGAAGCATTCTCAGAAACCGCTTTGTGATGTTTGTGTTCGAGCCACAGAGTTTAACTTTGCTTTTCATAGAGCAGTTTTGAAATATTCTTTTCGCAGAATCTGCAAGTGGACATTTGGAGCGCTTTCAGGCCTGTGGTGGAAAAGGCCTGAAAGCCTTTTCCTTTATCTTCACAGAAAGACGAGAGAGAAGCATTGTCAGAAACTTCTTTGTGATGATTGCATTCAACTCACAGAGTTGAAGATTCCTTTTGAAACAGCAGTTTCGAAACACTCTTTCTGTGGGATCCGCAAGGGGATATTTGGACCTCTTTGAAGGTTTCGTTGGAAACGGGATAATCTTCACCTAAAAGCTAAACGGAAGCATTCTCAGAAACTTCTTTGGGATGTTTGCATTCACTTCACAGAGTTGAACTTTCCCTTTGATAGCGCAGCTTTGACACACTTTTTCTTCAATGTGCAAGTGGCTATTTAGCGGGCTTGGAGGACTGTGTTGGAAAAGGAAATATCTTCTCCTAAAAACGACATAGAAGCATTCTCAGAAACTGCTCTGTGATGATTGCATTCAACTCCCAGAGTTGAACATTCCTTTTGATAGAGCAGTTTGCAAACACTCTTTTTGTAGAATCTGCAAGTGGAGATTTGGACCGCTTTGAGGCCTGTGGTAGTGAAGGAAAGAACTTCATATAAAAACCAGACGGTAGCACTCTCAGAAAATTCTTTGTGACGATGGAGTTTAACTCAGGGAGCTGAACATTCGTTATGATGGAGCAATTTCCAAACACACGTTTTGTAGAATCTGTGAGGGGATATTTGGACCTCTCTGAGGATTTCGTTGGAAACGGGATCAACTTCCCATAACTGAACGGAAGCAAACTCAGAACATTCTTTGTGATGTTTGTATTCAACTCACAGAGTTG
The DNA here is from genome assembly GCF_000001405.40 of Homo sapiens. Lineage (NCBI taxonomy): Eukaryota > Metazoa > Chordata > Mammalia > Primates > Hominidae > Homo > Homo sapiens. The sequence continues at coordinate 61,156,765 of NC_000023.11, forward strand.
AACCTTCCTTTGATAGTTCAGGTTTGCAACACCCTTGTAGTAGAATCTGCAAGTGTATATTTTGACCACTTTGTAGCCTTCGTTTGAAACGTCTATATCTTCACATCAAACCTAGACAGAAGCATTCTCAGAAAGTTTTCTGCGATGACTGCATTCAACTCACAGAGTTGAACAATCCTTCTGATGGAGCAGTTTTGAAACCCTCTTTCTTTGGAATCTGCAAGGGGATATGTGGACCTCTTTGAAGATTTCACTGGAAACGGGATCATCTTCACATAAAAACTAAACAGAAGCATTCTCGGAAACTACTTTGTGATGTTTGTATTCAACTCCCAGAGTTGAACTTTCCTTTTGAAAGAGCAGCTATGAAACACTCTTTTTCGAGAATCTGCAAGTGGACGTTTGGAGGGCTTTGAGGCCTGTGGTGGAAAAGGAAATATCTTCACATAAAAACTAGATAGAAGCATTCTCAGCAAACGACTTTGTGAGGATGGCATTCAACTCATGGAGTTGAACAATCCTATTGATAGAGCAGATTGGAATCACTCTTTTTGTAGAATCTGCAAATGGAGATTTGGACTGCTTTGAGGCCTACGGTCGTATAGGAAGGAACTTCATATAAAAGGCAAACGGAAGCATTCTCAGAATATTCTTTGTGATGATGGAGTTTCACTCACAGAGCTGAACATGCCTTTTCATGGAGCAGTTTCCAAATACACTTTTGGTAGAATCTGCAGGTGGATATTTGGACCTCTCTGAGGATTTCGTTGGAAACGGGAATAATTTCCCATACATAAACACAAACACGCTGAGAAAGTTCTTCATGATGAATGCATTGAACTCGCAGAGATGAACCTGCCTTTGAGAGTTCAGATTCGAAACACTCTTTCTGTAGAATCTGCAAGTGGATATTTGGACCACTGGCTGGCCTTCGTTCGAAACGGGTATATGTTCACGTAAAAACTAAAGAGAAGCGTTCTCAGAAACTTCTGAGTGATGATTGCATTCAAGTCACACAGTTGAACCCTCCTTTTGATTGAGCAGTTTTGAAACTGTCTTTTTGTAGAATCTGTAAGTGGATACGTGGACCTCTTTGAAGATTTCTTTGGAAACGGGAATATTTCCACAGAAAAACTAAACTGAAGCATTCTCAGAAACTGCTTTGTGATGTTTGTGTTCGAGCCGCAGAGTTTAACATTGCTTTTCATAGAGCAGTTTTGAAATATTCTTTTGGCAGAATCTGCAAGTGGACATTTGGAGCGCTTTCAGGCCTGTGGTGGAAAAGGCCTGAAAGCCTTTTCCTTTATCTTCACAGAAAGACGAGAGAGAAGCATTGTCAGAAACTTCTTTGTGATGATTGCATTCAACTCACAGAGTTGAAGATTCCTTTTGAAACAGCAGTTTCGAAACACTCTTTCTGTGGGATCCGCGAGGGGATATTTGGACCTCTTTGAAGATTTCGTTGGAAACGGGATAATCTTCACCTAAAAGCTAAACGGAAGCATTCTCAGAAACTTCTTTGGGATGTTTGCATTCACCTCACAGAGTTGAACTTTCCCTTTGATAGCGCAGCTTCAACACACTTTTTCTACAATGTGCAAGTGGATATTTAGCGGGCTTGGAGGACTGTGTTGGAAAAGGAAATATCTTCTCCTAAAAACGACATAGAAGCATTCTCAGAAACTGCTCTGTGATGATTGCATTCAACTCCCAGAGTTGAACATTCCTTTTGATAGAGCAGTTTGCAAACACTCTTTTTGTAGAATCTGCAAGTGGAGATTTGGACCGCTTTGAGGCCTGTGGTAGGAAAGGAAAGAACTTCATATAAAAACTAGACGGTAGCACCCTCAGAAAATTCTTTGTGACGATGGAGTTTAACTCAGAGAGCTGAACATTCGTTATGATGGAGCAGTTTCCAAACACACGTTTTGTAGAATCTGCAAGGGGATATTTGGACCTCTCTGAGGATTTCGTTGGAAACGGGATCAACTTCCCATAACTGAACGGAAGCAAACTCAGAACATTCTTTGTGATGTTTGTATTCAACTCACAGAGTTGAACCTTCCTTTGATAGTTCAGGTTTGCATCACCCTTGTAGTAGAATCTGCAAGTGTATATTTTGAACACTTTGTAGCCTTCGTTTGAAACGTCTATATCTTCACATCAAACCTAGACAGAAGCATTCTCAGAAAGTTTTCTGCGATGACTGCATTCAACTCACAGAGTTGAACAATCCTTCTGATGGAGCAGTTTTGAAACCCTCTTTCTTTGGAATCTGCAAGGGGATATGTGGACCTCTTTGAAGATTTCACTGGAAACGGGATCATCTTCACATAAAAACTAAACAGAAGCATTCTCGGAAACTATTTTGTGATGTTTGTATTCAACTCCCAGAGTTGAACTTTCCTTTTGAAAGAGCAGCTATGAAACACTCTTTTTCGAGAATCTGCAAGTGGACGTTTGGAGGGCTTTGAGGCCTGTGGTGGAAAAGGAAATATCTTCACACAAAAACCAGATAGAAGCATTCTCAGAAACTACTTTGTGAGGATGGCATTCAACTCATGGAGTTGAACAATCCTATTGATAGAGCAGATTGGAATCACTCTTTTTGTAGAATCTGCAAATGGAGATTTGGACTGCTTTGAGGCCTACGGTAGTACAGGAAGGAACTTCATATAAAAGGCAAACGGAAGCATTCTCAGAATATTCTTTGTGATGATGGAGTTTCACTCACAGAGCTGAACATGCCTTTTGATGGAGCAGTTTCCAAATACACTTTTGGTAGAATCTGCAGGTGGATATTTGGAGCTCTCTGAGGATTTCGTTGGAAACGGGAATAATTTCCCATAACTAAACACAAACACTCTGAGAAAGTTCTTCATGATGAATGCATTTAACTTGCAGAGATGAACCTGCCTTTGAGAGTTCAGGTTCGAAACACTCTTTCTGTAGAATCTGCAAGTGGATATTTGGACCACTGGGTGGCCTTCGTTCGAAACGGGTATATGTTCACGTAAAAACTAAAGAGAAGCATTCTCAGAAACTTCTGAGTGATGATTGCATTCAAGTCACACAGTTGAACCCTCCTTTTGATGGAGCAGTTTTGAAACTGTCTTTTTGTAGAATCTGTAAGTGGATACGTGGACCTCTTTGAAGATTTCTTTGAAAACGGGAATATTTCCACAGAAAAACTAAACTGAAACATTCTCAGAAACCGCTTTGTGATGTTTGTGTTCCAGCCACAGAGTTTAACATTGCTTTTCATAGAGCAGTTTTGAAATATTCTTTTGGCAGAATCTGCAAGTGGACATTTGGAGCGCTTTCAGGCCTGTGGTGGAAAAGGCCTGAAAGCCTTTTCCTTTATCTTCACAGAAAGACGAGAGAGAAGCATTGTCAGAAACTTCTTTGTGATGATTGCATTCAACTCACAGAGTTGAAGATTCCTTTTGAAACAGCAGTTTTGAAACACTCTTTCTGTGGGATCCGCAAGGGGATATTTGGACCTCTTTGAAGGTTTCGTTGGAAACGGGATAATCTTCACCTAAAAGCTAAACGGAAGCATTCTCAGAAACTTCTTTGGGATGTTTGCATTCACCTCACAGAGTTGAACTTTCCCTTTGATAGCGCAGCTTTGACACACTTTTTCTACAATGTGCAAGTGGCTATTTAGCGGGCTTGGAGGACTGTGTTGGAAAAGGAAATATCTTCTCCTAAAAACGACATAGAAGCATTCTCAGAAACTGCTCTGTGATGATTGCATTCAACTCCCAGGGTTGAACATTCCTTTTGATAGAGCAGTTTGCAAACACTCTTTTTGTAGAATCTGCAAGTGGAGATTTGGACCGCTTTGAGGCCTATGGTAGTAAAGGAAAGAACTTCATATAAAAACCAGACGGTAGCACTCTCAGAAAATTCTTTGTGACGATGGAGTTTAACTCAGGGAGCTGAACATTCGTTATGATGGAGCAGTTTCCAAACACACGTTTTGTAGAATCTGCAAGGGGATATATGGACCTCTCTGAGGATTTCGCTGGAAACGGGATCAACTTCCCATAACTGAACGGAAGCAAACTCAGAACATTCTTTGTGATGTTTGTATTCAACTCACAGAGTTGAACCTTCCTTTGATAGTTCAGGTTTGCAACACCCTTGTAGTAGAATCTGCAAGTGTATATTTTGACCACTGTGTAGCCTTCGTTTGAAACGTCTATATCTTCACATCAAACCTAGACAGAAGCATTCTCAGAAAGTTTTCTGCGATGACTGCATTCAACTCACAGAGTTGAACAATCCTTCTGATGGAGCAGTTTTGAAACCCTCTTTCTTTGGAATCTGCAAGGGGATATGTGGACCTCTTTGAAGATTTCACTGGAAACGGGATCATCTTCACATAAAAACTAAACAGAAGCATTCTCGGAAACTATTTTGTGATGTTTGTATTCAACTCCCAGAGTTGAACTTTCCTTTTGAAAGAGCAGCTATGAAACACTCTTTTTCGAGAATCTGCAAGTGGACGTTTGGAGGGCTTTGAGGCCTGTGGTGGAAAAGGAAATATCTTCACACAAAAACCAGATAGAAGCATTCTCAGAAACTACTTTGTGAGGATGGCATTCAACTCATGGAGTTGAACAATCCTATTGATAGAGCAGATTGGAATCACTCTTTTTGTAGAATCTGCAAATGGAGATTTGGACTGCTTTGAGGCCTACGGTCGTATAGGAAGGAACTTCAGATAAAAGGCAAACGGAAGCATTCTCAGAATATTCTTTGTGATGATGGAGTTTCACTCACAGAGCTGAACATGCCTTTTGATGGAGCAGTTTCCAAATACACTTTTGGTAGAATCTGCAGGTGGATATTTGGACCACTCTGAGGATTTCGTTGGAAACGGGAATAATTTCCCATAACTAAGCACAAACACTCTGAGAAAGTTCTTCATGATGAATGCATTTAACTCGCAGAGATGAACCTGCCTTTGAGAGTTCAGGTTCGAAACACTCTTTCTGTATAATCTGCAAGTGGATATTTGGACCACTGGGTGGCCTTCGTTCGAAACGGGTATATGTTCACGTAAAAACTAAAGAGAAGCATTCTCAGAAACTTCTGAGTGATGATTGCATTCAAGTCACACGGTTGAACCCTCCTTTTGATGGAGCAGTTTTGAAACTGTCTTTTTGTAGAATCTGTAAGTGGATACGTGGACCTCTTTGAAGATTTCTTTGGAAACGGGAATATTTCCACAGAAAAACTAAACTGAAGCATTCTCAGAAACCGCTTTGTGATGTTTGTGTTCGAGCCGCAGAGTTTAACATTGCTTTTCATAGAGCAGTTTTGAAATATTCTTTTCGCAGAATCTGCAAGTGGACATTTGGAGCGCTTTCAGGCCTGTGGTGGAAAAGGCCTGAAAGCCTTTTCCTTTATCTTCACAGAAAGACGAGAGAGAAGCATTGTCAGAAACTTCTTTGTGATGATTGCATTCAACTCACAGAGTTGAAGATTCCTTTTGAAACAGCAGTTTCGAAACACTCTTTCTGTGGGATCCGCAAGGGGATATTTGGACCTCTTTGAAGGTTTCGTTGGAAACGGGATAATCTTCACCTAAAAGCTAAACGGAAGCATTCTCAGAAACTTCTTTGGGATGTTTGCATTCACCTCACAGAGTTGAACTTTCCCTTTGATAGCGCAGCTTCGACACACTTTTTCTACAATGTGCAAGTGGCTATTTAGCGGGCTTGGAGGACTGTGTTGGAAAAGGAAATATCTTCTCCTAAAAACGACATAGAAGCATTCTCAGAAACTGCTCTGTGATGATTGCATTCAACTCCCAGAGTTGAACATTCCTTTTGATAGAGCAGTTGGCAAACACTCTTTTTGTAGAATCTGCAAGTGGAGATTTGGACCGCTTTGAGGTCTGTGGTAGTGAAGGAAAGAGCTTCATATAAAAACCAGACGGTAGCACTCTCAGAAAATTCTTTGTGACGATGGAGTTTAACTCAGGGAGCTGAACATTCGTTATGATGGAGCAGTTTCCAAACACACGTTTTGTAGAATCTGCAAGGGGATATTTGGACCTCTCTGAGGATTTCGTTGGAAACGGGATCAACTTCCCATAACTGAACGGAAGCAAACTCAGAGCATTCTTTGCGATGTTTGTATTCAACTCACAGAGTTGAACCTTCCTTTGATAGTTCAGGTTTGCAACACCCTTGTAGTAGAATCTGCAAGTGTATATTTTGACCACTTTGTAGCCTTCGTTTGAAACGTCTATATCTTCACATCAAACCTAGACAGAAGCATTCTCAGAAAGTTTTCTGCGATGACTGCATTCAACTCACAGAGTTGAACAATCCTTCTGATGGAGCAGTTTTTGAAACCCTCTTTCTTTGGAATCTGCAAGGGGATATGTGGACCTCTTTGAAGATTTCACTGGAAACGGGATCATCTTCACATAAAAACTAAACAGAAGCATTCTCGGAAACTACTTTGTGATGTTTGTATTCACCTCCCAGAGTTGAACTTTCCTTTTGAAAGAGCAGCTATGAAACACTCTTTTTCGAGAATCTGCAAGTGGACGTTTGGAGGGCTTTGAGGCCTGTGGTGGAAAAGTAAATATCTTCACATAAAAACTAGATAGAAGCATTCTCAGAGACTACTTTGTGAGGATGGCATTCAACTCATGGAGTTGAACAATCCTATTGATAGAGCAGATTGGAATCACTCTTTTTGTAGGATCTGCAAATGGAGATTTGGACTGCTTTGAGGCCTACGGTAGTATAGGAAGGAACTTCATATAAAAGGCAAACGGAAGCATTCTCAGAATATTCTTTGTGATGATGGAGTTTCACTCACAGAGCTGAACATGCCTTTTGATGGAGCAGTTTCCAAATACACTTTTGGTAGAATCTGCAGGTGGATATTTGGAGCTCTCTGAGGATTTCGTTGGAAACGGGAATAATTTCCCATAACTAAACACAAACACGCTGAGAAAGTTCTTCATGATGAATGCATTGAACTCGCAGAGATGAACCTGCCTTTGAGAGTTCAGGTTCGAAACACTCTTTCTGTAGAATCTGCAAGTGGATATTTGGACCACTGGCTGGCCTTCTTTCGAAACGGGTATATGTTCACGTAAAAACTAAAGAGAAGCGTTCTCAGAAACTTCTGAGTGATGATTGCATGCAAGTCACACAGTTGAACCCTCCTTTTGATTGAGCAGTTTTGAAACTGTCTTTTTGTAGAATCTGTAAGTGGATACGTGGACCTCTTTGAAGATTTCTTTGGAAACGGGAATATTTCCACAGAAAAACTAAACTGAAGCATTCTCAGAAACTGCTTTGTGATGTTTGTGTTCGAGCCACAGAGTTTAACATTGCTTTTCATAGAGCAGTTTTGAAATATTCTTTTGGCAGAATCTGCAAGTGGACATTTGGAGCGCTTTCAGGCCTGTGATGGGAAAGGCCTGAAAGCCTTTTCCTTTATCTTCACAGAAAGACGAGAGAGAAGCATTGTCAGAAACTTCTTTGTGATGATTGCATTCAACTCACAGAGTTGAAGATTCCTTTTGAAACAGCAGTTTCAAAACACTCTTTCTGTGGGATCCGCAAGGGGATATTTGGACCTCTTTGAAGATTTCGTTGGAAACGGGATAATCTTCACCTAAAAGCTAAACGGAAGCATTCTCAGAAACTTCTTTGGGATGTTTGCATTCACCTCACAGACTTGAACTTTCCCTTTGATAGCGCAGCTTCGACACACTTTTTCTACAATGTGCAAGTGGATATTTAGCGGGCTTGGAGGACTGTGTTGGAAAAGGAAATATCTTCTCCTAAAAACGACATAGAAGCATTCTCAGAAACTGCTCTGTGATGATTGCATTCAACTCCCAGAGTTGAACATTCCTTTTGATAGAGCAGTTTGCAAACACTCTTTTTGTAGAATCTGCAAGTGGAGATTTGGACCGCTTTGAGGCCTGTGGTAGTAAAGGAAAGAACTTCATATAAAAACTAGACGGTAGCACTCTCAGAAAATTCTTTGTGACGATGGAGTTTAACTCAGGGAGCTGAACATTCGTTATGATGGAGCAGTTTCCAAACACACGTTTTGTAGAATCTGCAAGGGGATATTTGGACCTCTCTGAGGATTTCGCTGGAAACGGGATCAACTTCCCATAACTGAACGGAAGCAAACTCAGAACATTCTTTGTGATGTTTGTATTCAATTCACAGAGTTGAACCTTCCTTTGATAGTTCAGGTTTGCAACACCCTTGTAGTAGAATCTGCAAGTGTATATTTTGACCACTTTGTAGCCTTCGTTTGAAACGTCTATATCTTCACATCAAACCTAGACAGAAGCATTCTCAGAAAGTTTTCTACGATGACTGCATTCAACTCACAGAGTTGAACAATCCTTCTGATGGAGCAGTTTTGAAACCCTCTTTCTTTGGAATCTGCAAGGGGATATGTGGACCTCTTTGAAGATTTCACTGGAAACGGGATCATCTTCACATAAAAACTAAACAGAAGCATTCTCGGAAACTACTTTGTGATGTTTGTATTCAACTCCCAGAGTTGAACTTTCCTTTTGAAAGAGCAGCTATGAAACACTCTTTTTCGAGAATCTGCAAGTGGACGTTTGGAGGGCTTTGAGGCCTGTGGTGGAAAAGGAAATATCTTCACATAAAAACTAGATAGAAGCATTCTCAGAAACGACTTTGTGAGGATGGCATTCAACTCATGGAGTTGAACAATCCTATTGATAGAGCAGATTGGAATCACTCTTTTTGTAGAATCTGCAAATGGAGATTTGGACTGCTTTGAGGCCTACGGTCGTATAGGAAGGAACTTCAGATAAAAGGCAAACGGAAGCATTCTCAGAATATTCTTTGTGATGATGGAGTTTCACTCACAGAGCTGAACATGCCTTTTGATGGAGCAGTTTCCAAATACACTTTTGGTAGAATCTGCAGGTGGATATTTGGAGCTCTCTGAGGATTTCGTTGGAAACGGGAATAATTTCCCATAACTAAACACAAACACTCTGAGAAAGTTCTTCATGATGAATGCATTTAACTCGCAGAGATGAACCTGCCTTTGAGAGTTCAGGTTGGAAACACTCTTTCTGTAGAATCTGCAAGTGGATATTTGGACCACTGGGTGGCCTTCGTTCGAAACGGGTATATGTTCACGTAAAAACTAAAGAGAAGCATTCTCAGAAACTTCTGAGTGATGATTGCATTCAAGTCACACAGTTGAACCCTCCTTTTGATGGAGCAGTTTTGAAACTGTCTTTTTGTAGAATCTGTAAGTGGATGCGTGGACCTCTTTGAAGATTTCTTTGGAAACGGGAATATTTCCACAGAAAAACTAAACTGAAGCATTCTCAGAAACCGCGTTGTGATGTTTGTGTTCGAGCCACTGAGTTTAACATTGCTTTTCACAAAGCAGTTTTGAAATATTCTTTTCGCAGAATCTGCAAGTGGACATTTGGAGCGCTTTCAGGCCTGTGGTGGAAAAGGCCTGAAAGCCTTTTCCTTTATCTTCACAGAAAGACGAGAGAGAAGCATTGTCAGAAACTTCTTTGTGATGATTGCATTCAACTCACAGAGTTGAAGATTCCTTTTGAAACAGCAGTTTCGAAACACTCTTTCTGTGGGATCCGCAAGGGGATATTTGGACCTCTTTGAAGGTTTCGTTGGAAACGGGATAATCTTCACCTAAAAGCTAAACGGAAGCATTCTCAGAAACTGCTTTGTGATGTTTGCATTCACCTGACAGAGTTGAACTTTCCCTTTGATAGCGCAGCTTTGACACACTTTTTCTACAATGTGCAAGTGGCTATTTAGCGGGCTTGGAGGACTGTGTTGGAAAAGGAAATATCTTCTCCTAAAAACGACATAGAAGCATTCTCAGAAACTGCTCTGTGATGATTGCATTCAACTCCCAGAGTTGAACATTCCTTTTGATAGAGCAGTTTGCAAACACTCTTTTTGTAGAATCTGCAAGTGGAGATTTGGACCGCTTTGAGGCCTGTGGTAGTGAAGGAAAGAACTTCATATAAAAACCAGACGGTAGCACTCTCAGAAAATTCTTTGTGACGATGGAGTTTAACTCAGGGAGCTGAACATTCGTTATGATGGAGCAGTTTCCAAACACACGTTTTGTAGAATCTGCGAGGGGATATTTGGACCTCTCTGAGGATTTCGTTGGAAACGGGATCAACTTCCCATAACTGAACGGAAGCAAACTCAGAACATTCTTTGTGATGTTTGTATTCAACTCACAGAGTTGAACCTTCCTTTGATAGTTCAGGTTTGCAACACCCTTGTAGTAGAATCTGCAAGTGTATATTTTGACCACTTTGTAGCCTTCGTTTGAAACGTCTATATCTTCACATCAAACCTAGACAGAAGCATTCTCAGAAAGTTTTCTGCGATGACTGCATTCAACTCACAGAGTTGAACAATCCTTTTGATGGAGCAGTTTTGAAACCCTCTTTCTTTGGAATCTGCAAGGGGATATGTGGACCTCTTTGAAGATTTCACTGGAAACGGGATCATCTTCACATAAGAACTAAACAGAAGCATTCTCGGAAACTACTTTGTGATGTTTGTATTCAGCTCCCAGAGTTGAACTTTCCTTTTGAAAGAGCAGCTATGAAACACTCTTTTTCGAGAATCTGCAAGTGGACGTTTGGAGGGCTTTGAGGCCTGTGGTGGAAAAGGAAATATCTTCACATAAAAACTAGATAGAAGCATTCTCAGAAACTACTTTATGAGGATGGCATTCGACTCATGGAGTTGAACAATCCTATTGATAGAGCAGATTGGAATCACTCTTTTTGTAGAATCTGCAAATGGAGATTTGGACTGCTTTGAGGCCTACGGTAGTATAGGAAGGAACTTCATATAAAAGGCAAACGGAAGCATTCTCAGAATATTCTTTGTGATGATGGAGTTTCACTCACAGAGCTGAACATGCCTTTTGATGGAGCAGTTTCCAAATACACTTTTGGTAGAATCTGCAGGTGGATATTTGGACCTCTCTGAGGATTTCGTTGGAAACGGGAATAATTTCCCATAACTAAACACAAACACGCTGAGAAAGTTCTTCATGATGAATGCATTTAACGCGCAGAGATGAACCTGCCTTTGAGAGTTCAGGTTCGAAACACTCTTTCTGTAGAATCTGCAAGTGGATATTTGGACCACTGGCTGGCCTTCGTTCGAAACGGGTATATGTTCACGTAAAAACTAAAGAGAAGCGTTCTCAGAAACTTCTGAGTGATGATTGCATTCCAGTCACACAGTTGAACCCTCCTTTTGATTGAGCAGTTTTGAAACTGTCTTTTTGTAGAATCTGTAAGTGGATGCGTGGACCTCTTTGAAGATTTCTTTGGAAACGGGAATATTTCCACAGAAAAACTAAACTGAAGCATTCTCAGAAACTGCTTTGTGATGTTTGTGTTCGAGCCGCAGAGTTTAACATTGCTTTTCATAGAGCAGTTTTGAAATATTCTTTTGGCAGAATCTGCAAGTGGACATTTGGAGCGCTTTCAGGCCTGTGGTGGAAATGGCCTGAAAGCCTTTTCCTTTATCTTCACAGAAAGACGAGAGAGAAGCATTGTCAGAAACTTCTTTGTGATGATTGCATTCAACTCACAGAGTTGAAGATTCCTTTTGAAACAGCAGTTTCGAAACACTCTTTCTGTGGGATCCGCAAGGGGATATTTGGACCTCTTTGAAGATTTCGTTGGAAACGGGATAATCTTCACTTAAAGCTAAACGGAAGCATTCTCAGAAACTTCTTTGGGATGTTTGCATTCACCTCACAGAGTTGAACTTTCCCTTTGATAGCGCAGCTTCGACACACTTTTTCTACAATGTGCAAGTGGATATTTAGCGGGCTTGGAGGACTGTGTTGGAAAAGGAAATATCTTCTCCTAAAAACGACATAGAAGCATTCTCAGAAACTGCTCTGTGATGATTGCATTCAACTCCCAGATTTGAACATTCCTTTTGATAGAGCAGTTTTCAAACGCTCTTTTTGTAGAATCTGCAAGTGGAGATTTAGACCGCTTTGAGGCCTGTGGTCGTAAAGGAAAGAACTTCATATAAAAACTAGATGGTAGCAGTCTCAGAAAATTCTTTGTGACGATGCAGTTTAACTCAGAGAGCTGAACATTCGTTATGATGGAGAAGTTTCCAAACACACGTTTTGTAGAATCTGCAAGGGGATATTTGGACCTCTCTGAGGATTTCGTTGGAAAAGGGATCAACTTCCCATAACTGAACGGAAGCAAACTCAGAGCATTCTTTGTGATGTTTGTATTCAACTCACAGAGTTGAACCTTCCTTTGATAGTTCAGGTTTGCAACACCCTTGTAGTAGAATCTGCAAGTGTATATTTTGACCACTTTGTAGCCTTCGTTTGAAACGTCTATATCTTCACATCAAACCTAGACAGAAGCATTCTCAGAAAGTTTTCTGCGATGACTGCATTCAACTCACAGAGTTGAACAATCATTTTGATGGAGCAGTTTTGAAACCCTCTTTCTTTGGAATCTGCAAGGGGATATGTGGACCTCGTTGAAGATTTCACTGGAAACGGGATCATCTTCACATAAGAACTAAACAGAAGCATTCTCGGAAACTATTTTGTGATGTTTGTATTCAACTCCCAGAGTTGAACTTTCCTTTTGAAAGAGCAGCTATGAAACACTCTTTTTCGAGAATCTGCAAGTGGACGTTTGGAGGGCTTTGAGGCCTGTGGTGGAAAAGGAAATATCTTCACACAAAAACCAGATAGAAGCATTCTCAGAAACGACTTTGTGAGGATGGCATTCAACTCATGGAGTTGAACAATCCTATTGATAGAGCAGATTGGAATCACTCTTTTTGTAGAATCTGCAAATGGAGATTTGGACTGCTTTGAGGCCTACGGTAGTACAGGAAGGAACTTCATATAAAAGGCAAACGGAAGCATTCTCAGAATATTCTTTGTGATGATGGAGTTTCACTCACAGAGCTGAACATGCCTTTTGATGGAGCAGTTTCCAAATACACTTTTGGTAGAATCTGCAGGTGGATATTTGGAGCTCTCTGAGGATTTCGTTGGAAACGGGAATAATTTCCCATACCTAAACACAAACACTCTGAGAAAGTTCTTCATGATGAATGCATTTAACTCGCAGAGATGAACCTGCCTTTGAGAGTTCAGGTTCGAAACACTCTTTCTGTAGAATCTGCAAGTGGATATTTGGACCACTGGGTGGCCTTCGTTCGAAACGGGTATATGTTCACGTAAAAACTAAAGAGAAGCATTCTCAGAAACTTCTGAGTGATGATTGCATTCAAGTCACACAGTTGAACCCTCCTTTTGATGGAGCAGTTTTGAAACTGTCTTTTTGTAGAATCTGTAAGTGGATACGTGGACCTCTTTGAAGATTTCTTTGGAAACGGGAATATTTCCACAGAAAAACTAAACTGAAGCATTCTCAGAAACTGCTTTGTGATGTTTGTGTTCGAGCCACAGAGTTTAACATTGCTTTTCATAGAGCAGTTTTGAAATATTCTTTTCACAGAATCTGCAAGTGGACATTTGGAGCGCTTTCAGGCCTGTGGTGGAAAAGGCCTGAAAGCCTTTTCCTTTATCTTCACAGAAAGACGAGAGAGAAGCATTGTCAGAAACTTCTTTGTGATGATTGCATTCAACTCACAGAGTTGAAGATTCCTTTTGAAACAGCAGTTTCGAAACACTCTTTCTGTGGGATCCGCAAGGGGATATTTGGACCTCTTTGAAGGTTTCGTTGGAAACGGGATAATCTTCACCTAAAAGCTAAACGGAAGCATTCTCAGAAACTTCTTTGGGATGTTTGCATTCACCTGACAGAGTTGAACTTTCCCTTTGATAGCGCAGCTTTGACACACTTTTTCTACAATGTGCAAGTGGCTATTTAGCGGGCTTGGAGGACTGTGTTGGAAAAGGAAATATCTTCTCCTAAAAACGACATAGAAGCATTCTCAGAAACTGCTCTGTGATGATTGCATTCAACTCCCAGAGTTGAACATTCCTTTTGATAGAGCAGTTTGCAAACACTCTTTTTGTAGAATCTGCAAGTGGAGATTTGGACCGCTTTGAGGCCTGTGGTAGTGAAGGAAAGAACTTCATATAAAAACCAGACGGTAGCACTCTCAGAAAATTCTTTGTGACGATGGAGTTTAACTCAGGGAGCTGAACATTCGTTATGATGGAGCAGTTTCCAAACACACGTTTTGTAGAATCTGCGAGGGGATATTTGGACCTCTCTGAGGATTTCGTTGGAAACGGGATCAACTTCCCATAACTGAACGGAAGCAAACTCAGAACATTCTTTGTGATGTTTGTATTCAACTCACAGAGTTGAACCTTCCTTTGATAGTTCAGGTTTGCAACACCCTTGTAGTAGAATCTGCAAGTGTATATTTTGACCACTTTGTAGCCTTCGTTTGAAACGTCTATATCTTCACATCAAACCTAGCCAGAAGCATTCTCAGAAAGTTTTCTGCGATGACTGCATTCAACTCACAGAGTTGAACAATCCTTCTGATGGAGCAGTTTTGAAACCCTCTTTCTTTGGAATCTGCAAGGGGATATGTGGACCTCTTTGAAGATTTCACTGGAAACGGGATCATCTTCACATAAAAACTAAACAGAAGCATTCTCGGAAACTACTTTGTGATGTTTGTATTCAACTCCCAGAGTTGAACTTTCCTTTTGAAAGAGCAGCTATGAAACACTCTTTTTCGAGAATCTGCAAGTGGACGTTTGGAGGGCTTTGAGGCCTGTGGTGGAAAAGGAAATATCTTCACACAAAAACCAGATAGAAGCATTCTCAGAAACTACTTTGTGAGGATGGCATTCAACTCATGGAGTTGAACAATCCTATTGATAGAGCAGATTGGAATCACTCTTTTTGTAGAATCTGCAAATGGAGATTTGGACTGCTTTGAGGCCTACGGTAGTACAGGAAGGAACTTCATATAAAAGGCAAACGGAAGCATTCTCAGAATATTCTTTGTGATGATGGAGTTTCACTCACAGAGCTGAACATGCCTTTTGATGGAGCAGTTTCCAAATACACTTTTGGTAGAATCTGCAGGTGGATATTTGGAGCTCTCTGAGGATTTCGTTGGAAACGGGAATAATTTCCCATAACTAAACACAAACACGCTGAGAAAGTTCTTCATGATGAATGCATTGAACTCGCAGAGATGAACCTGCCTTTGAGAGTTCAGGTTCGAAACACTCTTTCTGTAGAATCTGCAAGTGGATATTTGGACCACTGGCTGGCCTTCGTTCGAAACGGGTATATGTTCACGTAAAAACTAAAGAGAAGCATTCTCAGAAACTTCTGAGTGATGATTGCATTCAAGTCACACGGTTGAACCCTCCTTTTGATTGAGCAGTTTTGAAACTGTCTTTTTGTAGAATCTGTAAGTGGATGCGTGGACCTCTTTGAAGATTTCTTTCGAAACGGGAATATTTCCACAGAAAAACTAAACTGAAGCATTCTCAGAAACTGCTTTGTGATGTTTGTGTTCGAGCCACAGAGTTTAACATTGCTTTTCATAGAGCAGTTTTGAAATATTCTTTTGGTAGAATCTGCAAGTGGACATTTGGAGCGCTTTCAGGCCTGTGGTGGAAAAGGCCTGAAAGCCTTTTCCTTTATCTTCACAGAAAGACGAGAGAGAAGCATTGTCAGAAACTTCTTTGTGATGATTGCATTCAACTCACAGAGTTGAAGATTCCTTTTGAAACAGCAGTTTCGAAACACTCTTTCTGTGGGATCCGCAAGGGGATATTTGGACCTCTTTGAAGATTTCGTTGGAAACGGGATAATCTTCACCTAAAAGCTAAACGGAAGCATTCTCAGAAACTTCTTTGGGATGTTTGCATTCACCTCACAGAGTTGAACTTTCCCTTTGATAGCGCAGCTTCGACACCCTTTTTCTACAATGTGCAAGTGGATATTTAGCGGGCTTGGAGGACTGTGTTGGAAAAGGAAATATCTTCTCCTAAAAACGACATAGAAGCATTCTCAGAAACTGCGCTGTGATGATTGCATTCAACTCCCAGAGTTGAACATTCCTTTTGATAGAGCAGTTTGCAAACACTCTTTTTGTAGAATCTGCAAGTGGAGATTTGGACCGCTTTGAGGCCTGCGGTAGTAAAGGAAAGAACTTCATATAAAAACCAGACGGTAGCACTCTCAGAAAATTCTTTGTGACGATGGAGTTTAACTCAGAGAGCTGAACATTCGTTATGATGGAGCAGTTTCCAAACACACGTTTTGTAGAATCTGCAAGGGGATATTTGGACCTCTCTGAGGATTTCATTGGAAACGGGATCAACTTCCCATAACTGAACGGA